>NC_000023.11:103712542-104337542 GCF_000001405.40 Homo sapiens
TATTTATTTACTTATTTTTTGAGATGGAGTCTCACTCTGTTGCCCAGGCTGGAGTGCAGTGGTGTGATCTCAGCTCACTGCCAGCTTCAAGTGATTCTCCTGCCTCAGCCTCCTGAGTAGCTGGGATTACAGGTGCCCACCACCACACCGGCTAATTTTTGTATTTTTAGTAGAGACAGGGTTTCACCATGTTGGTCAGGCTGGTCTCGAACTCCTAACCTTGTGATCCACCCGCCTTGGCCTCCCAAAGTGCTGGGATTACAGGCGTGAGCCCCCGTGCCTGGCAAAGCAATCTCTTATTAGCTAACTTGGTAAGGTTCTACTACTAGCTAACATATCTTCAGTGCTTATTCTATGTCAAGCAGTGTGCCCATGCCCTTAATCAATCTACTATACTGACTTACAGAATCAAAGAGATTAAAGTAATCAAAGAGATTAAAATCAAAGAGATTAAAGTAATCAAAGAGATTAAAGTAATCAAAGAGATTAAAGTACTTAGCTTAACAGTGACCAGCTTAGTACTAGAATCCAGGTTTCTTTCTTTCTTTCTTTCTTTTTTTTTTTTGAGAAGGAGTTTTGCTCTTGTTGACCAGGCTGGAGTGCAATGGCTCAATCTCGGCTCACCGCAAACTCCGCCTCCTGGGTTCAAGCGATTCTCCTGCCTCAGCCTCACAAGTAGCTGGGATTACAGGCATGCGCTACCACGCCCGGCTAATTTTGTATTTTTAGTAGAGACAGGGCTTCTCCATGTTGATCAGGCAGGTCTCGAACTCCCGACCACAGGTGATCCGCCCACCTCGGCCTCCCAAAGTGCTGGGATTACAGGCGTGAGCCACTGCGCCCTTATGAATCCAGGGTTTCTGATTGCCTATCTAGTCCTTGCAGCCCTGGGGTGGGTCTTGGTTTGTGGGGAGGCGGAGTAGGGAGGAAGGAGTCCAAAGGAGAAAGGCAGTGGGCCGCTCCCTAGTTGTACTCACCAAGCGTTGGCGCCTCTGCCTTCTTCGAAGTCGTATGAATTCTTTATGCTGACGAGAAACAAAATTTATGGCAGCATACTCCAGCAAGGCAGCGAACACAAAGAGCAGACACACAGCCATCCAGATGTCGATTGCCTTCACGTAGGACACCTACAACATCCAGCGACAGAACGATCAACCTTCTTGAAGTCCTTCCGTGGCCTACTGAGTGGATTTTCAACCCCTATCGATTGCCTGCTCTTTTTGAGCTTTATCCTGAATTTCTTCTGGTGTTTAAAGAAGCCTTCCATGACATATCCCATTGTCTGAAAGCCCAGATGGAAAAGATCGGACTGCCCATCATACTCCACCTCTTCGCACTCTCCACCCTCTACTTCTACAAGTTTTTCCTTCCTACAATTCTTTCCCTTTCTTTCTTTATTCTTCTTGTACTTCTGCTTCTGCTTTTTATTATTGTCTTCATTCTGATCTTCTTCTGATTCTTTTGTTTCAATAAACAGCAATGAGCATGAACACTGCATTTGTCTTCCCTCTGTTATCTCCTAGGGTCCTCACAGCCTCAGTGGTAATTGGTCAGGCAGCGTTCACAATTCCGATGTGAGACACATGAGGACACTTAAGGCCCAGAGCAGATGGTCTTAGCCAAGATTACCCAGTGAGAAGGTGGCACTAGGACCTGAGGGTTCTGGGCTTTCAATTCAGTGGCATTGCCATTTACTTAGGCTGTGGTCTCACTGACAAACTAGGAGTTCCTTCCTTTCCCTCCTCCACCCCTGTTCTTCCCTTGGTCCTGTGGTTTTCCTTGTTGCTCTTTTGGAAAGGCTCTGCTGATGAATTTAGCTCAGTAGTAAGCTGGGGCCTCATCTCTCACCCTGGAGAGAACAGGGCAGGGATACTGAGGGAACACCACCCACCCCTTTAAGGATGCTTCGCTAGTTGCAAGATGTGGTTGGCATCCACCTATCCAGTCCTTTGTACTCTCCTCTCACTGCTTTCCTTGGCAGCCTCTAAGTACTTTTGTCTCCCACTTTCTGGCCTCTTCCAGGCATTGCAGCTGGATGGGGCCAGGAGTGGGGGACAGAGCTCAGGTTTAGACCTTTTCATCTTCTCAACCAAATTACCTGCTACTTAGTTTTGAGCTGCTGAGCTTACCACATAGCGCACCCCAGCAAGAACAGAATTTCGGACAGGCCACTTCTTTCATCAGCCACTGCTATGATGGGAAGTGAGGGTGCTGCAGACCCCAGGTAAGGAGCAAGTTTCACTGGATAAATAAATCCTCTGCTTCAATGATTCTTAACTGGGGACAACTCCGTCCCCCACCAGGTACATTGGGTAATATTTGGAGACATTTTTGGTGGCACAATTTTGAGGGAGGAGGTGGCTACAGACATCTAATGGGTACAGGCCAGGGATGCTGCTAAACATCCTACAGTTCACAGCTCCCTGCCTGGCCTTCAACACACAGACACGCACACACACAAGCACACATACAGACACATACAGACACACACAGACACACATACAGACATGCACACACACACATGCACACACACAACAAAGAATTATCTGGCCCCGAATGGCAAGAGTGCTAAGGGTGAAAAACCCTGCTCTAACTCTTTTAGGGCAATGTCACTGAGATGGTGGCAGTGGGTTACTAGACAACCCTGATGAAGCATCCTTTGGTGTCTCTACTTTGCCACTTACTAAGAGGGCATCCTATTTCATTCACCATCCCTCAGTCCCACAGTGCTCCCAAGGATATCAAATACCTGCTATTAAGATCAATAATGAGGTAATTACTCATTATTATAAAGAGATGGCCATGAAGGTCCTTAGACCATCAAAGAAAAAGACACTTTAAGCACTAGGAAGAAAGTCCTGTTAATGATAAGTGTGTCAATAATACATCTTAGAAATCTCGGCCGGGCGCTGTGGCTCATGCCTGTAATCCCAGCACTTTGGGAGTCCAAGAGGCAGATCACTTGAGCCCAGGGGTTCAAGATCAGCCTGGCCAACATAGCCAAACCCTGTCTCTACTAAAAACACAAAAAATTAGCTGGGTGTGGTGGCGCATGCTTGTAATCCCAGCTACTAGGGAGGCTGAGGTGGGAGAATTGCTTGAACCCGGGAGGCAGAGGTTGCAATGAGCTGAGATCGTGTCACTGCACTCCAGCCTGGGTGACAGAGCAAGACTCTGTCTAAAAAACAAAACCAAACAAACAAACAAAAAAACAAAAACAAAAACTCAGGAATCTGTCCACTCGCTATCCTAGCACATCTGAAGGGTTGCAAGTTTTCTGAATGGTCTCCTTGCATCTACTCTTGCCACCTCCAATCTGTTCTCCAAACAGTAGCCAGAGTTGTTTTCAAAATGTAAATCTGATTATATCACTCCCCTTTATGATCCTTCAGTGGTTCTCCATTACCCTTACGATACAGTCTTTGCTCCCCTTATCATGATATCTAGCCTTTGCCTACCTGTTCAGTTTCATCACACCCCTTGTAATCTGCTGTGGTGAACTATTTCAGTAGTTTCCCAAAGAGCCAATCTCCTCTAACCTTTCTCTCATTTACCTGGATAACTTTTACTCATCCTTCAGCTCTCATTTTAGATACCACATCCCCTGGGAAGCCTTCCCTAATCATCCCAGTCTGTGTCGGTTGTCCTGCTGTATGTGCTCAGGTTACCTACAACTTCTTAGCATCCATCACATACCTGGCCATTCCCTCCACTAGACTGTGAGCTCTTCGATGGCATGGACTGTTTCTATCTCGATCACTGTTCTGCTTCCAATGCCTAGCTGAGTTTCTGGACTATAGTAAATATTTTTTTGAATGAATGAACAGATAGATGGTTTAGCAACATGTGATGTGTATATCTGCTGGCTTCTGCTTGCTCTCTACCCTCCTTACCACTACCTGCCCCAATAGCTGTAGGCCATTTAGATGATAGGATCTAGATAGAAGTGGCTCCTTCCCTGCTGCAACTTTAGGTCTAATCTCCTAGCCTCTGGAATAAATTTCCATTTAGTCCTTCCATTCTGCTTTGAGCTCCCTGCAGTTGAGGGGATCAAAGTCCTGGCAAAGAGATGGTAATCAGTGCCTTTGGTGGCACCATAAAGGCAAAGTAACAGTTGTTTCTTGGGAACATGAGGAATGGCCACTCCAATCTAGTTCCCTTACAAAGTAAGCCCCTACCACTCTCATTCTGGACACTAGAGTTGTATTAGGGGTGTGAGACTGGTGTGACTTTTGGAAGCCCCTGGCCTGACCTCATGGGCACCCACCAAACTTAATGTTGCACAAACTCAAGAGTGAGCAGACAGTCCCTGGCTTACTGAGTCCCTTGCTCTGAGGGGCTGGTTAATGAGGCTATTTAGTTCAGGGTGCAGGCCTGGATATTTTGCTTACTGGCCAATGAGGCCATGAAGAACTCATTAAAATCTGACAAGAAGGTACCAAATGCTGCAAACAACCCTCAAACAAAGACTTTTTTTTTTTTCCAAATAAGGAAACTAAGTGATTCCTGGGAGCAGATGGATTATGTTCACTCACAGGAGGGAACCAGAAAAGGAAGTTCTCTTGGCAAGAATAAGGCATAAATTGCAGTACCTCCCTGCTTTAGAGATGAATCACCTTGCATGGCAGAGGCAATAAACTAGGGCAGGGTTCTTAGGTCTGAACTACTTTTCTGCTTCTGGTCTCCTTACAACATCATTATCAAAACACGACCATCACAGCCTGGTCTGGCCGTGTAGCCCTTGCCTAAGTCCAGCCTGCCTCTCAGAGCCTTGCCAATATCCCTGTCCATCTAGGAAACACATTTACAGAAAATGATCTCTAACAACGTTTCCCGGGACATGTGATTCTGATCTGAGTTTTGTCACCATTTATCCCTATAGGGTTTTGGATCACCTCAAAGGGTTTCTGACAACTCAAAAATAATTAGGGACAACACCAGCTGCTTTAGCCCCAGATTCATCACTCAGTTTTTTCAACGTTGACACCTGATAATTATAACAATAGTTAACATTTATTGAGCGGTTATTATGTGCCAAACACTGTCCTGTGTGTTAATACATTATATTTTGCAATAACCCTATGGAACTGGTAATATTCTTTTTTTTTTTCTCTCTCGAGACAGAGTCTTGCTCTGTTGCCCAGGCTGGAGTGCAGTGGTGCGATCTCAGCTCACTGCAACCTCTGCCTCCCAGGTTCAAGTGGTTCTTCTGTCTCAGCCTCCCGAGAGCTGGGATTATAGGCACACGCCACCATACCCAGCTAATTTTTTTGTATTCTTAGTAGAGATGGGGTTTCACCATGTTGGCCAGGCTGGTCTCGAACTCTTGGCCTCGTGATCCGCCTGCCTTAGCCTCCCAAAGTGCTGGGATCACAGGCCTGAGCCACTGCTCCCAGCAGGAACTGGTAATATTCTTATTCCCATGTTATAGGCAAGATGATTGAGAGGTTAAGGAATTTACCTAAGGTAAATTATTAGTAGATGATGAGCCTGGGAGACAAACCCAAATCTGTCTGACCCCAATCTCCTACTCCTAATCACTAGCTCCCCAACCCCCGCCATGTAGCAAATTCATAAATTCACCATGGATGTCTGAAATTACCTGCCGTGTAAGCCCGCAGTAAAAAGTCTTCTTAGGAACAAGCACTGAGAGATGGGAGATCACAGGGCCTGGTTCCCAACAAATCAGTGCAAGAGGGAATATGTTCATTGTAAGATCCACAAGGAACTGTGTTGCTTTTGCTTCCTGTTATTTTTCCATGACAAAGTTCAGTGGCTGGTACATAGTACATGCTCAATAAATATTTATTGAATGAATAAATGGCCTTGTTCCCTGATTCGTTCAGAGCCTTGCTGACTGTAAGGACTTTGAGGTGACCTCTAAATTCCCTACATGAAGACATGAGGCAGGGAGAATCTGTGCCCAGTCCCATCAGCACAAATCTTCCTGCGTAATCAAAACATCACTGGGCCCAGACAACTGGAGTTCACTGACTTTAATTGCTATTTTCTACCTCAATTTTCTCATCCCAAAAGAAAGGATAATATCTCTAGAGCGCTTTGTGATAGTTTCTAATTTCTGATACAGTAAGATGACAGAAATTGGTTCAAAACTCTGATATTGTTTTGGTTGTTTCTTATAAGGCATGATCTTAAGAAGGTTATTTTACCACTCTGGGCTGTATTCTCCTCATTTGTATTATGAGGCAGTAGGACTTTCTACTTGCTGAGGATCTTTTGACCTTGGACATGCTAGTATTTCCTGAAGAGAGTCAAAGTAAGGCACTGTCTCTCCTCATTCCCTAGCCAGATAGTATCCCTAACCCCAGCCTCCACATTGTCAACAATGTTATTAGCAGTATATTACAGGGAGAGAGAATGCAGGACACCAGCTTTTGCCCAGTGGGTCTTCTCAACCTTAAATCCAAGGTAAATGGTGAGCAGGAGGGCACATTGGGATGAATGGGAAATGGGGTACTCTATGGCAAGCAAGTTCCCTTGCATGTCTCTTCACCTTAGGCAAAGAGGCCCGGGAGCCAGAGCTCTGGGTGGTCATGGTGAGCACGGTGGTGATGCCCAGGCCCACACGGGCAGGGGCAGCATCCATGTTGATCCAGAAGGAGACCCAGGACAGGATGACGATGAGTAGGCTGGGGATGTACATCTGAATCAGATAGTAGCCCATCTGCCGTTCCAGGTGAAACTTTACCTCGATGCAGGTGAATTTCCCTGCAAGGAGAGAGGTGAGGTGTCAGGCCCCAGGTACCCAGCCTGTAGCTGAGCCTGAGGGGATTAGGACAGGATTAGGGCAGCCCTCTACTGACCAGCCTCTGGGCACCTCAGCTGGGCCCATGAATGAGCCTTTCATAATGGCCCCAGGTAATGCCAGATGTACGTACTAAGGAAGCTCTCAGAGCGACCATCAAAGACTTGGCCTTTGGCTCCCAGCACTTTCATTTCCAGCGGAAGGCCTTTCACGTGACTGCACAGCAAGAGGATAAGGAGCAGGAGGGCTCCAGAGTCAGACTGCCTGGGTTTGAATCCTGAACCTTCCACTGTGTGACTTTGGGCAAAACACCCAAGCGTTTTGAGCTTCAGTTTCCTTGCCTGTAAAACAGAGTAGTGATACCAACTGCATCACTGGGCTATTGGAAAAATTAAACAAGATAATGTATTTGAGGTGTTTGACACATAGGTAGCTGTTACTATTGTTATCATTATTAACAAAACAATTAGCTTAGACTCCACTTAGATCTCAGGGGCCATGCTTGTGCTTGCTAGTGCCCCAGAAGCTCTCTAGCAACAACAATTCACTGGGATAAACACTGCTTGTGTCTTAAGCAAGTGAGAAGAGCCGGATAGCAAACATCTGAAAACAGTGCCCAACAGAGACCAGCTCCAGACAGCGGGGAGCAGGTTCCCATAGAGCATCAGGCTGCAACATTCTATTCTACCAACAAAAAGTGCATTGGCCCAGGCACACCGACCAATGCTCCACCTCCTTTGCCAGACTTCACTTTACTCTGCTTTCCAGGGCCCTAGGGCTAAGAAAATACTAACGCAGAGCTTCTCTTGGAAGCAGAGGCTCAGGATAATCCAAGCAAGAAGGAGAAGATGCATATATTGTTATTTTATTCTGGCCTAGGTCTAGTCTTATCAGGCCTACTTGTTTCTTCAAAGTCAGTGATGTTGTCAATGACTGATTATGGCTTTGACACATTGTATGATGCTGTGACCTCTTACTGTTCCCTGAATCCACCTCACTTCATCCCACCCTGGGATTCTTGCCGTGACATGCCTTTATTAGGTACCTATACTTTCTTTCCTTTCTTTCCTTCTTCTTCTTCTTTTTTTTGCAATAGCAGTTTTGTTTTTAATTCCAAAATTAAAACTTGTTTAGTATAGAAAAAATAAGAAGTAGAGAAGGAATAATAATATTCATAAGCTTACATTTATCAAACCCTTACTAAGGGACCTGACTTTACCTCATTTAATCCTATAGCAACTCTTTGGGGCAAGTAAAATTATTATCTCTCATATTACAGATAGGAATACGGAGGCATGAAGAGATTAAATTATATTTCTCAAGGGCGCTCAACTAGTAAATGATGGAGCCAGAATCCAAACTCAGCTCTATCTGCCTCCAAAGTTCTTGCTCTTATCTGTTGTATCACATTACTTTAGAGACATTTAGTGCTATTTCCACCTAAGGTTTTTAAATGCATGCTTTTGGTTTGTTTCTTTTACCATAATATAATCATTCTGTATTTATACCTCCGAATCTTACCTTTTTTCACTCCTACTTTCCCACATTGATATAAGCACCTTGTAACCATTCCTTTTAATGTCTGCATACTAGTCCACCAAGCAGACGCACATGTAATTTTCTTAACCTCTGCCCTATTGGTGGATATTTAAAACAGTTCCAAGTTTTTGCTAATATAAACAGCCACCCAGGAGCCCCCTTGGGGTCTAAGGCCAATGCAGTATTTTGGAATATTTCCATATAATACATTTCAAGGAGTAGGATTCCTGGATAAATAAGTAGAAACACAATTTTAGCTTCTAGACTAAAGTTTCTCAAAGCATGTTTGCTGGACCACCTGCACCACAATCCTCAGGATGCTTGTTAAAATGCAGATTTCTAGGCATCACTCCAAGTACAGGTAACCATAATCAGAATCTCTGAGAGGTAGAGCCCAGGAGGCAACATTTTAATAGACTCCCCAGGGGAATATAGTGCACACCAAAGTTTGAAAACCACTGATCTATATACAAATTGCCAACTTTTTTACTCCAAAAAGTTTATATCAATTTTCATTCCCCCTTGCATTTTCTAAATTCAATGGCCTTTTCCTCTTCCCACTCCCCACACCCCCACATACATGCACACACATATTCATGGGGCAGCACCCAAAACATATCAGCCCACCATGGAAGGGACCCGGGATCTCCCCTCTTCAGGCTGCTGCCTCTATTTCAGGGTCAGAGCTCCGCGCAGACAAATTGTCAGGGAAAATGTGGAGCCAGCAACTCTTACAGAAGCTGCAGGGGGGCAGATGCTCAGCCTGGGAAAGCAGCCCTTCTCCACTTCTTAGCTGACATTTCACACCTGGGAAGTTCCTGAGAGCTGGCAGTGGTAGCGACAGTGGGAGGTGTGGACTGTAAGCTGGCCACTGCCCTCAGGCTTGTTCCCTCTGGGTTCAGCATAGTCACTCCCTATTACCAGATGTGGATTCCCCGCTTCCACACAAAGTTGACCCCAGGAAAAGTGGGAAACTGTCCACCCACTGTCATTTGCTCTGCAGCATGCGACAGGAACAAGAACACAGACTTTGGAGTTAGAAGGCTTGGATTTAAATTCTAAATCTGCCATTTACTAGCTGTGCGACTTGGACACTTGATTTAACTAACTTCTTAGAACCTCAGTTTTCCCTTTCTGAAAAATGGTATTTATAGTTGCTGTCACAAATAAATAAGTTATATGAAGCACCTGGCCCCATATCTGACATAGATTGAACCTTCGATAGAGGCCAGCTGCCTTGTCCCCTTGCCTCACATCTGAAGGTTCTCCTGTGGCTCACAGCCAATAAAGATCCTGGTTTTTACCTGTGTTGTAGTGCTTGGTACAACAGCCTAGATCCTTCTCATCCCGCAAGATAAACTGGGGCAGAGTCAGCCCCTCAGCCACTTGGACAGCAGGAGCATCTTCCAGCCACTCAAACACGAGGTCTTTCATGGTGTAGCCAACTGAAAGTGACAGAGATGGCAGAGGGCTGCAGAGTATGGATGCTGGGTGGGGGTAGGGGTAGGATCAGAACAGGCAGGAGAGAACAGGTGAGGAGTAAGGTCTGGGGTTTAGGAGCTTCATGCTCATTATGGAAAGGAAAACTTTTCTGGAGAGGACACTTGGTCAGTTGTCTCATGGGCCCATCCTGAGTGGGCAGGTAAATCAGGAAGATTACAGACTCCTCTCCTACCCTGTTCTCAAGCTTGAGAAAAGCCCAAAGAGAAATTATTCTGACAGACCTAGAAAGCAGGTCAAGAGGGTTGGAAAGATGTCAAGGAACACAGCTGGGAGCCTCCTGCCATATCTCAAGCCGAGGGGAGTAAGCATGTGTACCGAACACATGTCTTAAGCTGAGCTAGCCTCAGAGCCAGGACTTCTGCCACATCACCTCAGGGAGGAGACAGCTATTTATATCCTGCCAGTCATGCATGGGACAATGTGCATACCATAGATCCTAGCCAGGGCCTTGAGTTGGGGCAAATTTAAAGCTAATGTCTGAACATGTCAAGTTATTCACACATACATAGCAGTTCATGAGGGCTCATGCCACGTATATGACCATATTTGCACATGTCAGGTAGAGATGGGAGCAGAAACACCAAGGCTCACAGACATCCAGTGTTGGGCCTTGACCCAGAGTAGCTCTGTGACTTTGGGTAAGTCGCTTCCCCTTCTGTAAAATGGGAATTATAGTAGCTGCTCTCCCCACTATTCAGCGTTGCCATGAAGGGATATTGAGAGCCTGGATGTGAAAGTGGTTTAAGAACTCTAAAGAGCTGACCACATAGGACACATTCTATTCATCACAGTTATTTTATGCTGGAAACAGCCTTATAAGCCTTCTTCTGTGAACATCTAGTGGATGGCTCCAGATCTAACAGTCTCTCCTGACCCAGGAGATGAGGAGGGAGTGGAAATAAGTGATGACCCAACCTTGTCATCCTTGGTTCCTCTGCACTTTGGGCAGCCCCTCCAGGCTGGCACCCCTGCCACAGAGGAGCCCTTGGCTGACCTCTTCATTCTAGGCACTGTCTTGTGCCTAGAACTGTCATCTCCTACCTCTCTACAAAGGTTATCTATGTTTGTGGGGAATCAGGGCTCCACGAGTGCCCCCACCCTGCCCACTCTGGCATTTTTATAGGCATCTTCAATGTCTTAATTCAAGAGAGGTAAAGGTGGAACTACTTCAGGCACTGTGAGAGGGGACATACGTTTGGGCAGAGAAGATGTCGCTCAAATCGCCCCCCAAAACAGCACAAACACATTTGTGCGTAAGGCTGATGCCTTCCCGTTCCCCAGCCCCATGGAACAGCCAGATCAGCAAATAACGTGGGGATGAAAAACACACTGGGCTAGGGGTTAGGGACCCCTGGTTTCTAGTCTCATCTGTGCCAAGAATTGGCTGGGTGTGCTTGAGTAAGTTCCTCCCAACTCTGAGTGGCCCTTTTCCTGTCTGTGATGTCATGAGGTCGGGTTAACTGGCTGTTATTCCAGGCTCTCTGTGACTCTATATAGACACTTACAGCTCTCAAGCTGCATCGTGCAGGTCTGGATGTCCATGGGGAAGTTCTTGAGGTCCATCAGGCAGGACAAAATGAGGGTCAGCCTAGTGGGGACAGTAAGAAAGAAGTGACATCGGCTTACTGGGGCCCATCACAGTGCAAGGGAACCCTCCTCCCACCCCTCAGTCTTCATCCAAATTCTTCCCCTTAACGCAAACTCTCCTGGCTATCCACCCGGTGCACCTGATGCTGTACAGCACATTCCCATTCTTGAAGATGCGCAGTAACTTGTTGTCCGTGGTCACCTCATGGAAGTTGGCCCCTTTCTCATTAGCAAAGAAGAGGTCTGGCTTCCAGATAGAGTCCAGCATGGAGGGATCGAGGTCCAGAGAGTCATCAGGATATTCTCGGTAGGACAGGCGTGGGTCATTCCACTGTTGCCGCAAGAAGACATTCACCCGGTAGTCCTGGGAGGGTGCAGATATGGGCCCTTCAGAAACATTGCCATTCCCAGGGGCCCAGCAAGCCTGTAGGGGCAGGAGGGCCATGAGGAGGAATGTTGGGAACACATCTCAGGGGCAGTAGGCATTTTTCACTGGAGAAGGAACCTTCCTTGGGCTGATATGGCAAAAGATGCCAGCTTGTTATCTGGTGGGCTCCTCCCACTCACACTAGGCTGGAAGTGGGGAGCAGGGAGATCCCTTACCATTGTGGTCTTGGTGATGGAGCTGAAACTGTTGATGAAGATGTTGCAGGTCACGTTCACGGGTGGGCCTGAGGGTAGCAAAGCACAGGCCATTGGCAGGGCATTCCAGGAGGCTGGGAGCAGCTTCCAGAACTCCTTCCCTGAGCTGCAGGCCAGGGCACTGCTGGGAGAAATCAGTGCCAGATACACAGGCCCATGGACAATGGGGTGAGGAGGCTCCTTCTGAGCTGTTAGAACCAGCCCCAGCCCTGGACCTCCAGCCTCCTTTCCTTAGGGAAGGCAATAGGGGCTGGCTGGCTAGTGTGCTGCCAAAGGTGGTGGGGAGGGAGGAGTTTTTATAGGATGAAGATTTCTTACCTTTAAAATTGGGCCGAATCCTGGCATCATATCCAGATGTTCGCCCCATAAGTTTGTCTAGGAAATCAGAGGGGGACATGGGCTGGGACCCCTTGGTTCCAGATTTGACTTCCTCTTTTGCCAAGGCCACCCTGGACAGGAGAGGTAAAAAAGTCTGAGGCCAGTTATGTGCTGCACTTATCACAGACTCTCAGTTTCCATACCCCTCAGGCAGGAGGATAGAAGACAATGGGTCTCTGGGTGCCATTTGCAAAATGAGAACAAAAACGCCATAAGTCAACACGGCAGCCTGCCAGTTAGTACTAGTAAAGTGTTTTCACAGACAGTAGGTCTTCTTACCCTCCCAATTCTCAGTGAGATGGGAGTGAGGACTGTTATTCCCATTTTACAGATGAGAAAACTGAGGCTTCAAAAGGAGGACTGACTTGTTCAAAGTCTCAGAGCTAGTGACAGGGTCAGGACTCAAACCCTAGGCTGAGGCCTCGTCCAGTGTTCTCTTTCTGAAGGTACTTGGAAAACACTCAATGAGTGATGTCTTGCGGGAAATGATGTGGCTACTACAAAGTTTTGCCCGTCTAGCCTAGTCAAGGATGGGAAGGGCTCAAGGACAACTTGTATTTCTGAGAGTTGGCTTCAGTTGCTTGGGCTTTATGCTGGGCTGCTCAGGAAGTAGGACCCAGCTTCTGAAGAGGGAGTTTTGGCTTCTGGTGTGTGCTCCAACAGGAAGCTATGTTTGAGCTACGTTTTAGTTAAGGACCATGCCACTGCAGGCAGGTGAACTAGTTTTGGCAACTATGGTGGGGAAGCAGGACTCTAGGGATGGGAAAAAGCCTCCTGGTAGGGTAGACATGCTGAGGTCAACTCCCGTATTTTCCCCGCTAACAGCTTGATTTTGAGGAAGGAGCCAGTGTGCTTTGGCATAGCTTAGAAGCCAGCCCCCTTTTCCCCTAACGGGTTTCCCTCTAATAGCAGCAAAGCCCCTTTCATATGCCTACTTACCAACTTGCCAGCTAACAGATAAACTAGGGACTAGGAGCTTAGCAAAGCCTTGGGGACAGGAGCAGTGCTCAGGGCTGAGCTCAGCTGGACTCCAGGCTGGGCCAGGCACCTCCTGCTCCCTCCTGCCTGCTGTCATTGCTCTATAGCCGACTCCACCACTGTCACTGCCGCTGCCGCACTGTGGGACTGGGCAGCAGGGTAACTGCTGTCCTGCTGGGGACTAGTCTTCTTCTAGCCAGTGGGCTCCTCTTTCCCAGTAGATCCATGTACTATCCAGTGACCGATAGAATAATAAAAATAGCTAAGGCCCCATGCTAAATGCTTTACACACTCTGTCTAGTTTAGTTCTCACATTAGTCCTCTCAACTAAGTATTATGATTACCCCCATTATATAAATGAGAAGACTGAGGATCAGCAAGGTGAGGTGAATTCTTCACGATCATGCAGCCAGTGAGTGGTAAAGCCGGGATTCAAATCAAGAGCTACTGACTTCAAAACTAGCTCTATCTATCACAATACTATGGTGCAGGCAGCCCAGGGTGGGCTGCCAAGGAGCCAAAGTAGGGGAAGGTCAGTGGCAGCCCCACCTTGACCGTCTAGAGTCCTGCCTCCTTGAATCTTCTAAGGAAGAGGAAGCCCTTACCCTGGGGACAGAGGCAGGCTCTGAAAATCCAAGGAGGCTGGTGGTGGTGCTGGAGCAAGCAGAAGTCTGTGACTTCACCACAGGATGTCCACGCTAGCCAGGTGCTGCTGCTGCTTCTGGCCACCTGCCACCTGCCTGCTGGGAGGCCACATGGTCCTGCACGTGGAGAAACTGGACCCTCCCCGCCGTCCTCAGCCCCACTCTCAGGTCACCTCTCCTGCTAAGCCTAGACCTAGTATCCTGGGACAGGCTATGGGCTTAGCAGTCTTGGTCCCCAGCCCCTGTTGCAGTACCCTCTTCTGGGGCTAACTTGTCTGAGGACCTGAGAGCAGAGTCACCGTGTGCAGCCACTCCTTCCTCTCTTTCATTCCTGGAAAGTCCTAAACACCTTCAGGACCTAGGAGGATCCAGAGCTGACAGTCTTTCTCATGTAAAGTCTTGGGGTGGCGCAGGGAGAGAAGTCTAACTCTGGTGCTAGGTAGCTGAGCCACCCTGGGCAGGTCATTCCCCATCTCTAGGCCTCAGTTTCCGTATGTACAACGAAGGACTTGGACTCCAGACTCTCTAAGGGCCCGTTTTGCTCTAACTGCCTCTGCTTTCCAAGCCCCAGTGGGAATGCTGCTACTGGAGCTTGAGCTTTGAGGCAGCCTCCCCTCCTGGAGGGCCTGCAAGGCCCAGTGTGGTGCCCCCTTCTGCCTGCATCCTCCTGTCAACTCCAGCTGTGCTGCCATTCTACTTTGAGCTGCTTTTCACTCTTTAGAAGTTTATTGCCCTGCTCTGCATCCCTGCCTGCCTGCCAGCCAATGTGTCTGCAAACAGTGGGGCAGGAGGCTTTGCAGACGCAAGCAGCCCTGCGATGTTTCTTGGATTAACAGGAGGAGGAGGAGGAGTATGCCGCAGTGGTACTGACCCCCTCCACCTTGGGAGGCACTCCTCTTACGATCAGGTCAGCCCAGGCTACAGCCATCTTTCCTGTTCAGCTCACCCTGCCAACCTAGGCTGGCTCCTGGTCTAATGAGAAAGGGGCAATTGGTGGGGGAACATTTACAGGGAGCCCAAAGCCTGTCTTTCCTGCAAGCCCAGGAAGTGACTGCTACTTTTTCCCCCTCAAGGAATAGGGAGCAACCAAGTGAGCACAGGCAGGGTGACTGCAGAAGGCCAAAGAATGTCTAGCCCAGCTCCATCCTGATGTGGTCTTGGGGCAAACCCCTGCTACCTGAAGCCTCTTGGGCTGGCAGTTGACAGATGTTGCCATCATTTTTAGCGATCTGAGCAGTGTGTGGCCCAGATGATAGGGAAACAGGGTTAGGTGGCTGGGCAGACACCCTCCATTCTGGGGCTTAGTTGCCTAGCCCCTACCCAGGCCTAGGAAGCTTCCACCTGTGCAGAAACATTCCCAGCATGACCGGTGCCTTGACATCTCTAATAAAAAGCTCTTGGGGTCCTAACTGGGGGAGGTCGTGTCCTCCCCTGAAGCCCTCCAGACTGCGGGCTTTGTGCAAACTTAGAGGAAAGTGTGCCAGATGCCCAGGTTGCCCATCCCCCTTGGCTAGTGTTTGCATGCACCTCCTTCTCACCCCCACTCAGCTCACCTGAGGAGGACCTGCCCTGGCAGGGTCCAGAGAAGAAGGAAGGAGAGGGTTGCAGGAACAAGAGTTGTCATTCTGCGGGGATCTTGAAGCCCTTTCTCAGCCTGGCTGCCAATGTGAGAGGGGATATCCCTGCAGGAACGCCAAAAGTACAGAGCCTTTCTCCAACCTGGGCTGCTCGCAAAAGAGCCTGCTTTCTCTCCTCTTCTGCCTCTTCTCCTCTGGCCTGTCTTTACCTGCCAGGGGCCAGAACTATTCCCCTGGAAATGATCCTGACACAGATAACCCTACTGGCTTCTGCTTGGGCTCGCCTTGGGCTCCGGAGGGCCTTAGCCTGCCAGCTGGGAGCTGGAAAAGATTCTCTCTGGGCAGCAATCACTCTCCAAACCCTGAAGAGTCTTGGAGGGGAGGGAGGAGGGAGACCGGTAGGAAGATGTTTTCCTGCCTCCCACCTCCCCCTAGATGCACCCTCCGAAAGCAGTAATTTAAAGGCACAGTCGGCAGCAGCTGGAGTGGGGTTCAGAGCCTGCCCGTGTGCCAGGGAGGAGCTTGGGCTGCCATGGCTGTTTGGGGAGGGCCAGAGGTGTTCTGTCCAACCTCTAACTCCCCAGCTGCAGGAGGGCATGTAAGCAGCCCTGCTCCCCCCGCCCCCCACCTCCCACTCCCGACCAGCTTTCCTTTCATCCTGGAGCCAAGCTGGAGCCCAACAGTAAAGTCCTAATGATTGTTACCAGGGGGAAAAAGACCTGAGAGGGTTTAGGCAGCGCCACCAGGTATTCTCAAGCTGACAGCTTCAGGTTAGAGAGAAGGTGAAGAGGCTGAGGGCAGGAATAGCTTTCCCCCAACTCTCTGGACAGAGACACAGAAGGTGCATGATACAGAGGAACTTGGGAACCCTCCTCAAGTGCGGTCTGCCTGCTTGACAGTCTGTCTGTCCCTTCATCTGTCTACCTGCCCCCATCCCACCTCGCCCTTGTAGTTAGTTGTGCAGCCATTCCCGTGCCTGCTTTCCTCCCTCAGGTCGTCTCTTGGGGTCCTCTATAGCTCTCAGAATTCCTCCTCCCAGACACTCCTTCCCCAGCCTGGCTCATGGGAAGGGACAGAGATGCAGAGCAAGGCTGGGACACAGTAGGCTTTGCAGGCTTCAGAGGAATGGCAGCGGGTCAAGAGCAGTGACCTAGTGGCCCTCAGCCCTGGATGGAGGACAGAGGCAGAGGGGTGGGCTGGCCTCTTCCCTTGCCTCCTGCACATTTGCTTACAGCAACAAGGTGCTTTGGCAGCTCCATTTTCTCCTGCCTGACTCTTCCTCAAAGGTTCCAGTGTGTTATCTAAACACCTCTGAGACTTCTCCCCTCCCCCATTTCCTCTTGCTCTCTCTTCTTTTTTTCACTCTACTCCTCTCTTCCTCCCCCCTCCCTGAAATTTTCCTTCACGGACCCTCTGTCCATCTCCATCTCCAATCTTCCTCGCAGTTTCTTCTCTGCGTCTCACTTTCTGTGCCTGTCTGCCTTGCTTCTTTCTTCCTCACTTCCTCTCCATTCCCGGTTTTCTCTTTCCACCTCCCCTGTATCTTCACTCTCTCACACTCTCCTCCAAAACGACAACAGTGAGAAGCCAAGCGTTTTCATTTCTCCCTCAGGGGGAACTCTCCCGCCAGCTCTGCGGAGTTCTGATTGCATGCTGTGGGGAGGGGTCTGTGCCACCTTCTGAGGTTCAATCCTGGAGCTGACTGTGGCCTCCTCAACCTTGCCAGAGAGGGTTTGAGGGGATTGGAAGCTCCTCCACATGGCCTATTGGCTATATGGAAGGATTAATAATGAGGTAGCCGTGAGTGGAACCTGTGCTGCAGCTCCCTTTTGGCTGTGTTATTATTAAGGAAGAGAAATTTTCAAACCATAAATGAAAGGGTAAGAAGAGAATTTTAAATGCACACTAAAATATAGACAGGGGTGCTGGGCTTTTGGAGTTGGGACTGAGAACATTACAAGTCTCAAATAATGCCTATATGGTCAGTAAATGTAAAATAACCTAAAACATCTTTAGCTGCCCTTTCATCTGCTCACCCTCCCTCCTTGTTTCCTTTAAGCATCATGATCCCCACTCCATGGGCAGAAACTGAGCCTTACAGAACCTCCCAGGACAGAGCTCCTTGCTGGGGGTCTGGCGGGGAGGGGTGTGGCTCTTGTCTCCTCTGTGTAACTCACTTCCTGTGGCAAAACTCAACATGTCACTTCTCCTGCTTCAACAGTTCCCCATTGCTCTCAGGCTGCAGCCCAAGGTTGGTCACTCTGCTTGTCCCACTGATGCATCTAGAGTTTCCTGTTCTGTCTCTCCAGCTTCCTGGTGTTTTTGTATGTTGTTCCCTTTATCCAAAGTACTCTTCCCTCCACTCTTACCCTTCTGGACTGAGTCTCGTTGTCATTTTGTAAGGAACACTTCTGGAGCTGCCCCCATGTCCCTTGGGTATAGGATAGGAGACTGTCCAATGTGTTCCCACAGGACCCTCACCTTTGCAGCACTCTGTCACACTGTCACATTACCAGATTACTTGCCTGTCTCCCCTACTATCGCAAGCTCCCTGATGAGCAGAGACACATCATCCACCAAATCCCCAGCACACTATAGGCAATTAGTGAACATTTGTTAAAAGATGCATCCTGGGCAGGAATATTTCCTCAAGCTCAGTGCCTCTGCATCTCTCTCTGTCAAACAAGAAGTTTGACACACAGAGAGAGGCCAGCATGACGTAATGATAATAAGG
Organism: Homo sapiens; assembly: GCF_000001405.40. Taxonomy (NCBI): domain Eukaryota; kingdom Metazoa; phylum Chordata; class Mammalia; order Primates; family Hominidae; genus Homo; species Homo sapiens. The sequence continues at coordinate 103,730,891 of NC_000023.11, forward strand.
AAAAATGAGAAAGCAGTTTTTATTCCCTTGTCCCTTAGGTCTGCGGCCTCACACTCGGTCATCTGGAATTCTTAGCTAATGGAAGGCATAGGCCCCTGGGGACCTGTCTATTGTCTCGGTCCCACCTCCTGTGTGCCAGATTGGATCTCTGAGTGCTGAGATCATAGCAGGATCAGCTTCATGAGAGGAAAGATCCCTTCTTGTGAGAGGCTGTAGCTATGACCAAATGTTTGGCTGACATGGTGAAGAGATACAGCTTTCCTAGGGTGCTGGAAGCAGGCTCTTGGGGTATAGAAGGGAGAAAGGGAGGTAAAGAACTGGGTAAGCTGCACTAGGCGTTCACAAACAGCAGGAGAGGTGGGAATTGGAAGAATTCCCTGTAACAACAGGAAGCAACACTTTCCAAAGATGACCTCAGCATTTTCTGCTGTGGGAAGAGTACAACGTTGTGTTGAGCCTCACCCCATAACCTTTTTCTCTTCTCATCACTAAGCTATGGAGTATATGCATCATCATGTTCCAAAATGTATCGCACCCTTTTCCTGTTTTGCAACTGGCTGCCATACTCACCCGAGAACTGGCTTTATTGCAGTGCTGAAGTTGTATAGAAGCTACAATAGGCAAAATGTTTTTCAGAATGAAAGATATTATTTTGTCATGAAAAAACTACCAAACTGCTAAAAATGGATTAAGCACATTTTCGTAAGTGTTTCATTCCAGAAAAGAGTCTGCCACGTTTCAACCCTATGCAGGGAAAATTGCAACTGTGCCCTGCTGATAAGCAGGCTTCCTGAAACCTCAGTCTGAGGAGCAGCAGGTCTGCATTGGGATGGGTATTGTTTGGTAAATTCAGTGACTTCTAGGGCTACATTTTGGGGGGCAAAGTTGGAGAACCATTTGGCATACCTTTCTGGACTCAACTTCAATTACCCAGATGGTATGGCCCCCGGATTGCCTATCTCACTTATTGAAGTAGAGAGAGAGCTGAGAGGTACCTTGAAAGGCAGGCTGTGTTCCCCAATCTGAGGAAACTCTCAGAGCTTTAGCTACTCTTCAGAAGCACTAGGCTAAGTAGTTGGAGGGGGGTTGAAAAAAAGACAGACACCTTTTTAAAAATCTGCTGACAATGACCGTGGCGTTTCAGTTGGATCTCTAAGGAGCAAGCCTGCATCTTTTTGCTGCGTGTGAATTTTTCTTTTCAGGGTTATTTTCAACTACCAAAGATATGACAATTTACTTGAAAGCGGAGGCTCAACTTCTGGTGCTGAGGAGCACTGGCATCAGAGGCAAGAAGCTCTTCCACCCTTGGGAATTAAGGGGATGGTGCCCAGTGTGTGGGGGCAGTAGTGGTGGTGGAGGTTTCACAGTCCTAGACTCAGGTGGAGTAAGGAAGAACAAAATTGCAGATATGATAGACACATTCAGTGCTCTCTTGACTTTTGGACAGTGACTGGTTCAAGTCTGATGCTTCAAAGATTTGGCTTCATTCTTTTGTTTAATAGAATATTTCAGGTATGAGTTTTGCAGACAAAAACGTGAAGTATGTGAACTTGGGGAGGCCAGTGGAGAGGTTAACCGAATTCCTCTCAGTCTCCAAAGACAAACCAGATGTGAGCACCAGGATGGCACCAGTGAACAATGGCCCTGCCTCTGTTGCTGGGCTCTCTGTTAAGAATCCAGGGAACAACAGAGTGGTGAAGCTCCAGCTAGGGAAGGTGTAGTGACTAGCATCCAGATATGCATCATTTCTCTCCTTCTGAATGGACCTTCAGAATCGTTACTCATCACATCAGCCACTTGAGAGCAATTCACTAGCTGTGCAGAAGAGTTTCATTAAGGTTTCCACAGAGTTTGCATTGACTTTCCTTGTCTCTTGGCTCTTGTAACTCTGCAACATTCTTGTTAGGGGATGATAGGACCATGTCATGCCTCTCCTCAAAGGTAAATTGGTTTTTGCTTGTGATCATGTTCATGAATATCTTATTTTACTCATTTGGGGATTGTGATAATGCATGCTATGTAAGGCATGAAGCCCTTACATAACATAAAAGCAACAGAACTTGGAAAAATGAATATTTACTGTGTGGAATGGATCACACTCCCGCTAATTCATGCATGCATTCAACAAATATTTATTGAGTGCAAATCATATGCCAGATGCCAGATATTCTAGGCTCTGGAGATACAACAGTGAAAAAAGCAGATGGAGTCCATGCCCTCATGTAGCTTAGATTCTAGTGGGTCACTAATGTAATTCCTTCCCAAAGAAGGCTTCTGCCTGAGTCATCAGCAATGCCCCAGGGCCTGAGTGCCTCTCACAGCATATGAGTAGGGCATTTATTATATGGCCTAGAAAATAGACTATTTTTTTCAGCAGGCAGTAATGAGCTTCATTTTTATCTATCCCAGAATCTTTCTGCTAGTCACATCACACAGGTCATCACCTGCTAGACACCCTTTCAAGAAGCTTATCCTTCAATAATCCAACCCTACAGAACACGCATGCCCAAGAACCCTGAAAAGATAATCTCATGATTATCTCATGATGCATACATATTTGTCTGCAACTGTTAATAAGCACCTTCCTCACTAGAAGAGTTAGGCGAGATTAACAGCATCCTTAGCTGTGGTGCTTCTCTGAGTGGTTTCCAATTATTTAGGATCCTTCCTTCCTTCCTTCTTCCCCCTTCAATCTTTTCACTTTATCTTTCCTTCAGTCTATCTTTCTGTCTGTTCTCCTGTCTTTTCTTCTGTTTTTCTTTTTTGGTTTTACTATGAATAAATTTAATGTTTGTTGTAATAGGACACTGGACACTAAAGTAAAGAACAGTTTGGTTGATTACTACATAGAATTGTGCACAAATCTGAATTTGCATTACTAACACCAATCACATAGTTATAGTTGGCAAATGTTATATGCCAAAATTATAAATTTAACATTACAAATGATGTACTAGCCTAAATTTGCACTTCTGTAGTGTTCATTATCTGAGTATACACGTGTGCATGCAGACACACACACACACACAGAACTCTCCTTGATAATCTGAAGATGATATCCCTGTTGCTAACAATTATTATCCAAGAGTGTGTGGCCAAAGAAATTGGAGTGTGATGACTAGTCCATTTTATCCTGAGTACAGGTAGATCTTGTCTTTGTTTTGTGGCTGAGGTCTCTACATTTACTGTGCTAATGAAGTGCTTCTAGCCAGTCACTTGCCCAGAATAATTGGAATCCCTAGGTAAGATGCCAAATTGAGCCACTTCTCTTTGTACAAGGTAGGGGAGGTATTCATTTTGCAGAGTTATGTCGCATATGGCCCCAAATCACAGATTCTAATCAATGACAGGCACTCCTAAAGAGTCATCTCAGATACTAATCAGACAATAGGCAACTCCAAACCACATAGCAGGTCACACACATGAGCTTTTGCTGCCACCCACTCCTGCACTGTCAGCAACATCATCGTCAGACACTAAGAGAGTGTTGCTTTGAGAACTCTGACTTTTCTTTCCTGCCCATTGTCAGTTTCTTTCTGTAACCTTTACATTGCCTTTCTAACCACACATTAAATCCCACGTGTTCTATAATCCCCTCACTTTCCACAGCAGTGTGCCCACTGCTGAGTCAAAGGCAGGTGCTGTTTCACAACTGCAAATCCAGTACAATCAGCCTCAATTATGGGCCAGTTTCAGGAAAGACAAATAGGATGCTGAGGACTTGACATTTTCAGACAAGCCATGGCATAGATCCAGGAAGTCTGCTCAGTTGCATCACCTTAAGCAAAAGCACTTGGGAGACCAAATTATTTTCCGTGTACAGAACCAGGTATATGAAATGGTAGGATAAAGTAGAAGAGGACTATTTAGAAAGTTCACTGAGTAGGGATGAACATTTTAGCACTGCAGAGAAACACCCAGGAGGAAACTGGAAGTGAGGGCCAGGGAGCTCAGCTCATCCTGAGCTCTGGAGGTAGAGAATTTGAAGTGGCTCTTTTCTGATGGCTCTGATTCTGGCTAAATGTTTGCTGAGATTCTGTTCAAGATAAAGTAGCAACCAGCAGCAGTCAGAAGATTCCCAGAGAAGGCTAAACTAAAGAGATAAGCCTCAGACCAGAGACCAAATCCTGGAGCAGCTGTTAATCAGTGCTAAGAAGACCAGGGCCTGGGGAGTCTTAGCTCATGTTAATTGCATTAATTAAATCCTGGTGTAGGCCGGGCACGGTGGCTCACGCCTGTAATCCCAGCACTTTGGGAAGTCGAGACAGGCGGATTATCTGAGGTCAGGAGTTCGAGACCAGCTGGTCAGCATGGTGAAACCACTGTCTCTACTAAAAATACAAAAATTAGCTGGGCGTGGTGGCGGGCGCCTGTAATCCCAGCTACTCGGGAGACTGAGGGAGGAGAATCGCTTGAACCCAGGAGGTGGAGGTTGCAGTGAGCTGAGATCGCACCATTGCACTGCAGCCTGGTTGATAAGAGCAAGACTCTGTCTCAAAATAATAATAATAATAATCCTAGTGTAGAGCTCAGTTCACCATAGATTCTAATGGTTCCATAGGTCCCTCCCCATTTCTTTACCCCAAAAAGATTCTTTTGACCCTATGAAGACTGGAAAGTCATTCTAGTTACTATGAAAGAGAAGTTTCTGGCCCTCATGTGTGTCCAAATTATCAGAGATCAGGAAAATCCTTTGTTTCAAGTTGATGGAATACATATCAATTATTCAATCAATTTCAGTGTCTTTAACTCCTAGTTTGAATGTGATCTACTATTATCGGTCTTTCTTAGATTCATTTTACAGATGGGAAAAAGAAGACTAAAAACTATACATCTCTGTCTTCTCTGCCTCACATTTTATACTTTCACTCTCATTCCAACTCCACTTTCCCAAACATAACTAATACCATGTTTGCAAGTTGGTGAAAATCAAGCCAACCAAAAAGATAGACTGGAGCAGAAATAATGCAAGGCTTCTTTTTGTAGTTAGTGTTCTGAAAATATTTAGATGTGTGTCTCATGTCCAGTTTCATATTCAGTCTTTGGCCTCTCCACTGCTCTGCATCTACTCAGACCTCTACTCACCTGCAGGTTCAGAGTATCATCTTCCAGAGATCAACTGAAGTCTCCTGATACCCAATAGGAATCAAGGTCATTCTCTTCATCTGAAGAATGGGGCAATAGGAAGTATAGAATGATCTGTTCATGAGCCTTGATTCTGCCATGCAGCTCCCTTTGGGCTCAGCAGATGAGTAGAGAGTAGAGAAAGGATAAGCATCCTGCTTTCCTAGGAATCAAAGGCCCCCTGGAGACTCTTTTTTTTTTTGAGACAGGGTCTCATTCTGTCACCCAGGCTGGAGCACAGTGGTACAGCCACAGGCTCACTGTAGCCTTGACCTTCCGGACTCAAGCAATCCTCCCACTTCGGCTTCAAGAGTAGCTGGGACTACAGGTGCATTCCACCATACCTAAGTTTTTATTGTGTAGAGATGGGGGTCTCACTTTATTGCCTAGACTGGTCTTGAAACTTGGGTTCAAGTGATCCTCCTGCCTCAGCCTCCCAAAATGCTGGGATTACAGGTGTGAGCCACTGTTCCTGACCTCCTGGAGACTTTTGTAGGAAGAAACTAAACTTTCTCCAGCCTGCATTCCACAGAGCTTGGCGATGGCATAGGCCTTTTTCCCAAAGTCAAACAAGTTCATCATCAAGTCAAGAGACAAAGCCACGTAGGCCTATCCCCCAACTGGCTGCTCCAGTCAAGTAAGAAGAAACTGGATCCTTAAATATTAAGTAACAGTGAGTAGTTGTGATCAATACTTCCTCCCAAATGAAACTTTGCTGTGACTTACGGTGAAGTTGTCTCCATCCTAGTAAGGGGATCATTTCAGCCACTAGACAAATCATGGATGAAATGAATATGGTGGTTTTTTTTTTTTTTAAGGGGTTAAATCTTCTTTGCTCCACCACTTCCTGACTCCTGCCACCAACCCTCTTCAACCCTGCCCTATAGCTTGGCCTAGCACTACCATGAGCAGAGATGGAAGTAGCCTTGACTGTAATTTTCGACAATTTAGAAGTGCCTTGTGGCTTCTATTTGGTGCCTGAAATATATTGATTTGGTGAGGAAAGGGAAAAAGACTGAAATTCAAGTGGAGATTCTTGCATGGGGCAAAGGAACAAGAAGGGCTAGAATCCCCCATACTCCCCAACATCTCATGCAAAACCACCAAGTTATATAACGTTAGAAATGACCAGATATTAAAGATCTAATTCAGTCTCCTCTTTTTGAAGGCCACAGAAGGGTGAAATGACAGGCTCAAGGTGATCCGTGATTTGGTGCAGGGTTTAGATTAGATCTCAGAAACTTTGGCTTCCAGGCCAGCTGCCCCCGTCACATTACTGCTTTCCCCCAAAAGCTCAAACCTGTCCTCTGCTTTGTGCTTTGTGACATTTCCCCTTGGCCTCTCTCCACAAGGCACCCATGTGCACTCCTATACACAGTGCACTGCACCGTGTAGCCATGAACTCTCCCTGACAGGCACAGGCCCAGGCAATCTGGCCTTCCCAAGTTGCAGAAAATGTTCAGCAGTGGGGCCAAGGGGGTCCTTTAATATTAAGCCAAAAGTCAGCTAAAGTATCCACACACAAACTACTTCCTCCACTATTTACTCAGTAACTCATTCTCCTTCTTAAATCAGAGCTGAGAGAATAAAGAGGATAAGAGAGGAGAAAGCAAGAGAGAGAAATGGAAATGGCCAGATTTCCTTAAAATTGTTTGTACTCTCCTCCCTTACCCAAATAATTTATTTAATGTCTGTTCTGTGGAACCACCTTCCCTTGCAACCCTGGGCATACATTGTCTCAATATAATAATAATAATGTTGCCTCAGCAGTGTCTGTCTGTATCTAGAGACTTTGTCAGCCCAGAAGATTGGTTTTGGAACCAAATTCTTGCTTTGCAGAGGGCTGGGTCTCTTTTTCTACCACAAGAAGTAAACCATCTGGAAAGAGGAAGCTGCTTACTCTAAGAGATAAGTAGGGGCATGCCATGGGCAGCCTTGGGTTTCCCTGCTTTGAGAGAGCCAACCCTGAGAGTTGGTAGGAGCCAAGCACCTTCAGGCCCATCTCACCTCTGGGAAAATTCAGCACCACCCTGCTTTGTTTCTGGTACAACTTTCCCATGTAGAAGTGATTCTGCCTCTAAAAAATTAACCCCTCTATGTCAGGCATCATGTTAGGTGTTTCCATAGCCGTGATTTCTGTCAACTCGTAAGCATCATTGTCCCCAGAAACAAGCTCAGAAATGGCAAGTGGAGAGACAGACTTCATAGACAGGATTCCTGACACTCAGCGGTCTCTCCACAACACAGTTTCCTATGGATAGGCTGGGCAGAGCCTAACTCATGGGAAATACTTGCTAAACGTGTGTTGCATGAATGAACAAATGAGAGACTGTGTGAACGAACTGAAGAGAGAAGAGGCTCAGGGTGAGAGCTCCTCCACTCCCTTTCTGCTTCACTGCTCCCATGGACCTAAGCAGAAGGACATGTGTTTTTTTTACAGGACAGTTTTATTGACCAGGGGCACCCTTCAAATAATGCTGATGAAAGGGTTTGCCAGGACCCCATTCCCATTCAATGAATGCAGACAGGATCTTCTTTTGAAACCTCTTCATGAAAGGGGGCAGACTTGGCTGTCAGACTGCCTAGGTTTAAATCCTGACACTACTACTAACTAGCTCCATGACCTTTTCCAAGTGTCATAACCAGTCTAAGTCTCCGTTTCCCTATGTGTGAAGTGAAGTCATAAATAATACCTACAAGGCCGAGGCAGGGGGATCACTTGAGATCGGGAGATCGAGACAAGCCTGGCCAACATGGTGAAACCCCATCTCTACTAAAAATACAAAAATTAGCAGGATGTGGCAGCTGGTGCCTGTAGTCTCAGCTACTTGGGAGGCTGAAGCAGGAGAATCGCTTGAACCCGGGAGGCAGAGGTTGTAGTGAGCTAAGATCGGGCCACTGTACTCCAGCCTGGGTGATGGATCGAGAGTCTGTCTCAATCAATCAATCAGTCAATAAAACCTATGCCATCAGAATTGTCATGAAGATTAAATGTGACAATAGATATAAAGCTCTAAAGTAGGGTCAGGCATATGATCAACACTCAAAAAACCCCAACTGTTACTATTCTCCACCTTGCAGCCTTTGTTTCCCTTCATCTGCTCTGTGGGCTAAAATGGTTTTACTAAACTGTGTCCCCTAGCTCAGGGAGATGGGATGGTGGTGGTGTGGTGAGACACCAGAAGAGAGGGCGTGGGATTTCAAGAGAGCACCATAGAGAACTCACCCAATGCAAAGACCAACACTTACTAGGCCATCAGAACCGCAGCTGATAAAATATCCTGGAAGAGGGCTTAGCTCTGGGAGAAGAGAGGTGGTTGGAAATATTTGTCTAGGGAAGCAGGGACAGGAATTGTGGGGACAGAGAAAAAAAAGAGATCGAAGGGAAAGGAAGGATGGGAGACAGGAGAAGAAAAGGTTTGGGAGAGACAGGGAGGGGCTAGGAAAGCCCAGAAGGAGCTAAATTGCTACTGGAACATTAAGCACAAATGAGGGGGAATAAAATTAACATCTTTATTGAAAAGAAAAACAAGGAAGTAAGAAATATCCCTGTTTGGGGAAATATTGTGTAGAATGGAGCAGGTGCTGGGGGCCTTTGGAGGCTGGTTGCCATGGCGATGCTATATGTCATCTTTTCTATTACCCTGTGAATATGTTAGCTGATAGTTTCTTTCTGCTCCAGTTTCTAAGACCAGGGCTTAGCCCTTGGTAAAGCTTTGATCATTCCCATCTCAAACACATTGGTTATGCTGTGGGACCTACTGGCTTATTGTCATGTCTCCTTTTTGATATGACACTGTCCAGAAACAAACAGGAGAAAGCATGCATGCTGGGGAGTTGGAGGGAGAAGACTCTTCTGTGTACCTCTTGTCACATGGATGAGAAGGCAAGTTTGGCAGGTGGGAGCACCTTGGCAGTAGGGAGACTGGGGAGACTTTTAGTGACTCCTCCCTTTTCTAGGTGAATCCAGCTAGGCACTTCTCTAGGACACTAGGTTAACCAGTCATCCTCATTTGCCAAAGATATTAGGGATCCAATTAATATCAAGACTGAGGATTTCCTGGGACACAGAATTTTTAATGCTAAAACTGGGAGAGTACCAGGCAAACCAGGAGGGTTGGTCTCCTTAAGAAAAAATCCACTTAGAAATTCCAAGCTGGCTGGGCGCGGTGGCTTAAGCCTATAATCCCAGCACTTTGGGAGGCCGAGGCGGGTGGATCACCTGAGGTCAGGAGTTTGAGACCAGCCTGACCAACATGGAGAAACCCCTTCTCTACTAAAAATACAAACAAACAAAACAAACACAATTAGCCGGACGTGGTGGCGCATGGCAGTAATCCCAGCTACTTGGGAGGCTGAGGCAGAAGAATCTCTTGAACCTGGGAGGCGGAGGTTGTGGTGAGCCGAGATTGCACCATTGCACTCCAGCCTGGGCAACAGGAGTGAAACTCTGTCTTAAAAAAAAAAAAAAAAAAAGAAACTCCAAGCTAAAGAGAGCCTACACTCTTCCGAGCCTGATATTAGAAAAAACGACATGCAGAGACCAGAGATAGCTTTTGAGAGAAAGTCACTATTAAACCCAGGCTTGTAAACATGGGCGGTGGTTTACTAGCTCAGTTTTTGCCACCAACCCATTTTCCTCATACTATGTAGTATGTCAAGAGATTCCCGGCCAGGCACGGTGGGTCATGCCTGCAGTCCCAGCACTTCGGGAGGCCAAGGCAGGTGGATCACCTAAGGTCAGGAGTTTGAGACCAGCCTGGCCAACATGGTGAAACCCCATCCCTACTAAAAATACAAAAATTAGCTGGGCGTGGTGGTGCATGCCTGTAGTCCCAGCTACTCGGGAGGCTGAGGCAGGAGAATCACTTGAACCCAGTGGGGCAGAGGTTGCAGTGAGCCAAAATTGCACCACTGCACTCCAGCCTGGGTGACAGACGAGACTCTGCCTCAAAAAAAAAACAAAAAACAAAAAGAAATTCTCCAAGCTTGAGCAACCTCTTGGGGTCCTTGTTAAAATGCATTCTTGGGCCCCATCATTACTGCTTGGGCCCCACCATTCTTGGGCCCCACTATGACTGCTCACTAAAATGCTCTCAGGCGAGTGCAGCCTAGGTATCTGTATCTTATCAAGTTTTCCTGGTGACTCTGATACACGTCGTATGTGGGCTAGGCTTTGGGAAAGCCCATGTGGTGGCAGTCAGAGTTTGACAAGTGGAAGCCAATAAGCATCCAGACCTCAGAGAGCCTCACTCCTCTAAGACAAAACCGTTTGGAAATGACCTGGGCCAGGGAAAGGAACTCACCTTGCCCTTCCACCTGCACCAACTTCTCCTTCACTCTTTGCCTGTTTGATGCCTTCTCTTTCTTTCTCAGTGTCCAGATTTAAACATCATCTCTTTGGCGTTCTTATTTATTTATGTGTTTTTTGACATGGAGTCTCCTTCTGTCACCCAGGCTGGAGTGCAGTGGTGCACCTTGGCTCACTGCAACCTCTGCCTCCCGGGCTCAAGCAATTCTGCCTCAGGCTCCTGAGTAGCTGGGTTTATAGGCGCCTGCCACCAGGCCTAGCAAATTTTTGTATTTTTGTAGAGACGGGGTTTTGCCATGTTGGCCAGGCTGGTCTCCAACTCCTGACCTCATGTGATCCACCCACCTCAGGCTCCCAAAATGCTGGGATTACAGGCATGAGCGACCTCACCCAGCTGCCTTGGAGTTTTTTCCTGGCCCCTTACCCAATCTTATTGGTGCTCACAACATCTTGGGTTTTTAAAAAACTCTATTGTGTCTCACATTCATGTGTGTGATTCTTCAGAGATGCTCCTCCTTAGTAGCTTCTAAGCTCCACGAGGGTGAGGCCTGGGCCTGATTTTCTCATTGCTGTGCACCCTACAGCACCTAGCTTAGGGCCAGGCACAGGGTAGGTGCCAGCTAAACATTTGTAAATGAATACATGAATGAATAAATACAAGAATGGATGAGGAGGCACTGGTGCCTGCCCTAGCTTGGACAACAGTGCTGAGTGTCAGTTGCTCCATGGGGGCTCATCTTAGCTGCTCTGGTGGCAAGGTTTCTTGCAGCATCATTGTCTTAGTCAGCTAGGGAGGCCATAAAAAAATACCACTGACTGGGTGACTAAAAAATAAGCGAAATTTAGTTCTCACAGTTCTGGAGGTTGGAAATCCAAGACCAGGGTGCCAAGATGGTCAGGATCTGCTGAGGGCCCTCTTTCTAGTGAAGGAAATCAAAATATTTTACCCCAAAATATAATTTTTTGACATATTTTGAAATGACTGCTCAGAGGGCCTGCAAACTCAAGTAGCCTTGCAAAGCTGTCTTCTGTAGGGGAGATTTGCATTTGTAGAGAAAACCTGCATCGCTGCAGCCAGACTTTCCAAAGGCCTTTCCTTTTTGGGATCTAGGAACGATTAACTGAGATTCTGACAACTTTAAAGGTCTGAAAGGAACATTTACCACCTATTCTCTGTGAGAGCTGCTACTTGTGAGGTTTCATTTACATAACAAGACTGCATTTGCTGGCCAGGCCTCCTCTTCTTTCTCTCATTAACCTGTTTTGCCACTCCAGGCCCCCATTCTTTCTGTAAGAGAGAGAGAGCGCGTGCACCCTAGTCTCTTCCTCTTACTTTTATTTTATTATTTTTTTGAGATAGTGTCTCATTCTGTCGCCCAGGCTGGAGTGCCGTGGTGTGATCACAGCTCACTGCAGTCTCAACCTTCCTGGCTCAAGCGATCCTCCCACCTCAGCCTCCCGAGTAGCTGAGACTACAGGCACTTGCCACCACACCCGGCTAATTAAATTTTTTGTTTTGTTTTCTTTTAGGGCTGGGGTGTCACTATGTTGCCCAGGCTGCTCTAGAACTCCTGGGCTCAAGTGATCCTCCTGCCTCTGCCTTCCAAAGTGTTGGGATTACAGGCATGAACCACCATGGCTAGTTTAAATGGTTTTTCAGGGTCACATATCTCGGAAGATATGTGGGATGTAAACCCAGCAGCCTGGCCCCAGAGCCCATGGTCTTCATGGCAGCAGCATGTGTGCCGCCTCTCATGTGTACAAGTGAATGAAGAATGAAAGGTAAGCAGCGCACCGTGGTCATCCCCGCAGCCAGGAGCCTCCAGAGGTGCCATTCAGTCTCTCAAGTCCCTGGGTTTTGGGGACTCCCTGTCACAACCCCTTTGGGGTAGCCTCCCACCCCTGCCACTGCATCTCTTCCTCCCCTTGTCTTCTCTCTGTCTAATTGTGAGTGCTGCGCTAAGTAGGTCACTCCCACTGAGGGCTTTTTTTTTTTTTTTTTTTGAGACAGAGTCTTGCTCTGTTGCTCAGGCTGGAGTGCAGTGGCCTGAACTCACTGCAACCTCCGCCTCCCGGAGTCAAGTGATTATCCTGCCTCAGCCTTTCGAGTAGCTGGGACTACAGGCGCCTGCCATCACCTCCTGCTAATTTTTGTATTTTTAGTAGAGACGGGGTTTCACCATATTGGCCAGGCTGGTCTCAAACTCCTGACCTTGTGATCCGCCTGCCTTGGGCTCCCAAAGTGCTGGGATTACAGGCATGAGCCACCGCGCCCGGCCTCACCCAGGGCTTTTAATGAGAAGTTTTGCCATACCAAGGCAGCAAAGATGAATAATTCAGTGAAGAAGGAATGTTATTCTTTTTTTTTTTTTTTTTTTTTTGAGACAGAGTTTTACTCTTGCTGCCCAGGCTGGAGTGTAATGGCGCAATCTTGGCTCGCCGCAGTCTCTGCTCCCAGGTTCAAGTGATTCTCTTGCCTCAGCCTCCCGAGTAGCTGGGATTACAGGCATGAGCCTCCATGCCCGGCTAATTTTGTATCTTTAGTAGAGGCTGGGTTTCTCCAAGTTGGTCAGGCTGTTCTCGAACTCCTGACCTCAGGTGGTCCGCCTGCCTCGGCCTCCCAAACTGGTGGGATTACAGGCATGAGCCACCACGCCCTGCCTTTTTTTTTTTTTTTTTTTTTTGAGATGGAGTCTCGCTCTGTCACCCAGGCTGGAGTGCAGTGGCACGATCTCAGCTCACTGCAACCTCCACCTCACGGATTCAAGTGATTCTCCTGCCTCAGCCTCCCGAGTAGCTGGGACTACAGGCACCCACCACCACGCCCTGCTAATTTTTGTATTTTTAGTAGAGACGGGGTTTCACCATGTGGGCCAGGCTGGTCTCGAACTCCTGACCTCAGGTGATCCACTCGTCTCGGCCTCCGAAAGTGCTGGGATTATAGGCTTGAGCCATCTTGCCCGGCTGGGAATGTTATTCTTTCACAGAAGAGTCCCTTGACAGTGGGAGAGGCAGGGAAGGACTGCTTATTATGGGAGGAGTGGGGGCTGGGGTGACAGAAGTAGAGAGAGGTGAGGAGGAGGAAAGCCCCACATGAATCACTAGCAGAATTCTGAGGGATCCTTGTCAAAGCCTCTTTGCCATTTAGGAGTTAAGCCTACTTAGGCTGGTGCAAAATCCCCAGTAATCTGATGGCTTTTGCCCCATAAAGCAGTGATCTCTTTATGACCAATGCCTCCTTCCAAAGAGAGGTGTTGTTATATCTAGGGGTGATGGCCTGTTTTCTTAATTCATTGAAATTTCAAAATGATTAAGACTGCTCAAAGGGGAAAGAGGACAGATGGAGGGGAGTGATGTGCATTCCCAGTCCTCATTCAATGCCTGTTGTGGGGTGGCAGGGGGGTTGCTAATACTTAGACAGCAACTTTCAGAAGATATAAAAAGGTTTTCCTGATGATGTCTTTCGAATTCTGACAGAACATATGAGATGCAAGCCTTCTTCTCAATTGTCAGTTAGCCATTTGGGACATAGAACTGGGGCTCTAGTTCCCCCTTGTCTGAATAAAATGCAGCAGTCTTTTTAGATGGAATCTTTCTGTGTTGCTCTGGCTGATCTCAAATTCCTGGGCTCAAGATATCCTCCCCTCAGCCTCCTAGGTAGCCAGGAATACAGGCATAGGCCACCAGCAAGCAGTAATCTTTTTGTGGGAGTTGGCATCTGACACAAAGCAAGGTTTCTAATGCTTTATGTGCCAAAAGGATCCAGTGGCTTATACTCTGGTGCTCTAGAATAAGAAGAGTGGATTTTAGCCCCTGTTCTACTACTTCTTGGCTGTGTGACCTTAGACAATTTATAACACTTCCCTGATCTTCAGTGTCCTTATTTAAAAACTGAGTAGCTGTAACAAAACTCTCTCATGCTTGCTGTGAAGACTGTAGGAAATAAAAAAGTATTTTTTTAAACGGAAACTTTGTACATATGTAAGGGATATTTACAAGTAGAAAAGGGTACTTGGCAACTTCTCTCTACTTAGCACACTCTCACCTGAGCCCCTTTGGATAAACTGATTTGCTAGGGTTGAGAACAAAGTATGTAGCCATGGAACTGTTTCTGTGCAAACCTAACTGGCATGTCAGAAAGCCAAATAGTGATCTTAGTCTCAATGGCACTTTCCTATCACCAGAGGCATAGAGAGGCAATCTTTGGAGTCCAAGGTATCTGAGTTTGGTACTAGGTTCTGCCATTTATTAACTATGTGGGAAAATTAATCAACATTCTTGAGCCTCATGATTGTCATCTGTGGAACAGAATTAATAACAGTTTCTGTCCCTCAAAAATGTCCTAAGTTTTAAATTAGAATGTCCATATGTAGTCCATAGCACAGGCTCTGTCTGACACAGTAGCTTTTCAATAAATGGAAGCTTTAGATGCTGCTGTTATTTTAAGTGAGCGAAAAACTCTGAGATTATACATATACTAAGATTCGTTTAAAATTTCTTCACTATAGTCTGGGCAATATAATGAGACCCCATCTGTACAAAAAAATTAAAAAAATTAGCCAGGTGTGGGGGTGAGCATCTGCAGTCCCACCTAACTACTTCGGAGGCTGAGGTGGGAGGATCACTTGAGCAGAGAAGGTCAAGGCTGCAGTAAGCCATGATTGCACCACTGCACTCCCCAGCCTGAGCGACACAGTCAGACCCTGTCTCAAAAAAAAAAAAAAAAAAAAGGATCTTTACTGAATGCCAACCATGTGCCAAGGAATACTAGAGATACAGTGGTAGCCAAATTACCTGACTTTCAACAAGCATTTGGGAGTAAGTGAAAGCAAGACTCTATTCTGGCTCAGAAATTAATATGCCTAAGCTATTAAGGTCTTGGAGGCTGAGGCTGAAGCGGAGATGATTTTTTTTTAGACTCTGGGACTCAGGTACTCACTAAAGGAATGGGAAAGTGTGCAGATAGTATCAGGCACAGGAGGACATACAGAGGAAGAAAGATAGTGTTTTTAGGGAGAAAGTAGTACTACTTCCCTTTGTAATAGGAAAAACCAAACCAAATAAGGAAACAAAATGAACAAATAACCATTCACTAGCTGTGGACAGGACAAAAACACCAAGGGGCCTCACCTGAGTCCTTCCTTTCCAACATTCTGCCTTTTCCTTGTCAAAGCAGGAATTTAAGAAAGGACCTAAGAATTCATTCATACCTCCGTGTTGTAGGACCAATGTGAATTGCCTGGAAACTAGCCTCAGGAGTGATATCATAGTCAAGTCCCAGTTCATTGTGGGTCAAGGAATCTGGCTCCAGCCTCAGTTTCTTAGGAAAGAAGCCAGTGGGAGTTACACAGCCTCTGATATAACTTGAAAAACTGCCCACCTTGGCAGATGGTTATCCATCCATGGGGCTCAGTGACCTGTGATCAGATTGAACCAAATGAGGGCTGTGGCAATGGTGCCTTTGGGAGGCTTGGTGAGGCAGAGTTGGAGGTCAGAGAAGCTAAGTTGCCCTGAACCTTTCCTGAGGAATGTGTCTTCTGTTTCTTTAGAGAGTTGCACTCTCACCAATGACCAGCTGCCTTCTGGGTGAAGTGAAAGTAAGTACCCTGCTGACTTTGACTTTCTGTCTCCTCTTCTTGCCTTTGGTTCAAGACGGAGCAAATCACTTTGTGCTGCAAAGAGCTGACTGACACCCCCACACACTGCATCATCTTGCCTTTGGGGAATGGGGAAGAGAGTGGGCAGGGTTGGCCTTCATCAAGACCGTTGAGGGTTAACACAAGTTGGCATTGGAGGCCCTTACCACCTTCCCAAGAGAGATCCTGAGACATGCTGCCTAATGGAAACTTGCCATTCCTCACTTCAGCATTCCCTTTCCTCTCTCTACCGCTTTCCTCCTTCAACTTCCACAGCTCCCCAGGACCAGTTTAATTTGTCCAGTATTGAAATCATCCCAGGCAAAGCAGCCAGCCTCCTCTCTTTACTAACAACTGGAGTGAGGACTGAGGAGGCCTGGAGGCTTACTGGTTGCCATGGTAAGAAGTAGGCCCTGAGAGGATTAATGAGCAGAGAGCTGGAGTTTTTTTGTTTGTTAGTTTTGATGAGTTTTGTTTGCTTTTCTTCCTCCACCCACCTGCCCCCCTGTTCCCCTCCCACCTACCCCTCCAGAGTCTCAAACCACTAAAGCAGAAGGAGATTACTAGGAGCAAAATCAGCTCCTGACGTGGGCTACACTAAATCCAGGCTGCCCTGCTGAGGGTAATTGGTGTACACTTTGTAATGTAGACTCTGGGAGAGCCAAGTTTGGAAGGCAAGATGTACCACCTTTGTGGCATGGCACAGCATCCTGAGGCAGAGGGGGCCTGCTAGGGGAGGAGGGGGCGTTGAAGCTCTCTGAAGCCTCCACACTTTTTCCTTTCTGGCCAAATAGGAAAGTCACAGGCAAACTAAAAGCCAGTTTAGGCTGAGAAAGGCAGCTAAGTCCTGACCTTCTGTCTTGTGTCTGCCACACCCCAAGATCCCTTTCTACCAGAGTCCAGGCACCCGCTCCACAAAATCTCCTTCAATCAGCTTCCTCTCTTCCCACTGGTGAGCAAGGTAGATCATATTCATAGAGAAGATATGAGCTCCTGAAAGGGTGTGAGGTTATTATGTTACAATTATTCCTGTTGTTATTAGTGTTTTTGTGTTATTATTATTATTTTAAATTAGTTCCCTTCAATTTAATCCATGGCTCTGAGAATGGAGACAGCTGATTCAGGGAGATTTTTTGGACTGGGTACCTGAACTGCACTAAAAAATGACCTTGCTTCCTTATTAATTAGTAATCTGGGGCTGAGGAGCAATAAGAAAGGAGAAGGGCATGGGAAGGAAACTCTGAGCGGACCAGCAAGGCCAGATAATGGCCAATGGTGAAGTCTCAGTGTCTCCTATCTCCTCTTTCATTCTGTGGCAACTGCATAAAGCTACCTTGATTCGAGGATCATCTCACAGTGAAAATATCCAATGGTGTCCCTGTACTTCTAGTTCAATCCTTTTATCCATCCCAGCCTAGGAATGGGTACCCTGCTCCCTTTTTGACCCTCCAAACATGTATTCTCAGTTTCCAAGGTTTCTATTTATCCTCACTTAGGTATTGCTTTATGTATACTCTCAAAACCTTTTCTTCTCTCCATGGGTTTATTTTCCCAGCAAGATGGCATATTTCCTGAAGGCAGGTTCTGTGTCATAAACTCCACTAGAATCCCGCTTCTTCAGGGCTCTGAATACGATGGGAACTTGGTGAATGTATCTTGATTTACTGCTCATGAAGCAAGAGCCACAGGAAAGGTCCATGCTATGAATAACAGGCATAAAATAGGAGAAATTGGCTTATAACATAGAAAAACAAGATTAAATGCTTATGTCATGCCACGTACGTAATAAACATTAGAGGTACTGCACACTTAAACATGAAAGGCAAAACTATACAACTATAGAAATATTGGAGAGGCCGGGCGCGGTGGCTCACGCCTGTAATCCCAGCACTTTGGGACGCCGAGGCACGCGGATCAGTACGTCAAGAGTCCTACACGAGCCTGGCCAACGTGGAGAAACCCCGTCTCTACTAAATTTTTGGTAGAGACAGGGTTTCTCCATGTTGGTCAGGCTGGTTTCGAACTCCTGACCTCGTGATCCGCCGCTCGGCTCCCAAAGTGCTGGGATTACAGGCGTGAGCCACCATGCCTGGCCAACATTTCTATATCCCCCTAGAACTACTCTCACAGGTACACAAAGTAGCTTGCATGAAATGTTTGTTGCAATATTGTAATACAGAGAAATTGAAAACAACCTAAATGTCCATCAACAGAGGAATGGATAAATAAAATGCAAAATATGCAAATCATGGAATATTATATAGTGGTTAAAATGAACATATTACTTTCACAGTTATCAACAGAATTAGCTCTCAATAATTATAATATTACATGAAACAAAGAAGCAGAGAAGATGTACAGAACAATACCATTTATGTAAATCAAACACACAAGAGTGCATATCTGGCCGGGTGCAGTGGCTCACGCCTGTAATCCCAGCACTTTGGGAGGCCAAGGCGGGTGGATCACCTGAGGTCAGGAGTTTGAGACCAGCCTGGCCAACATGGTGAAACCCTGTCTCTATTAAAAATACAAAAAATTAGCCATGCATGGTGGTGGATGCCTGTAATCCCAGCTACTCTGGAGGCTAAGACAGGAGAATCGCTTGAACCTGGGAGGCGGAGGTTGCAGTGAGCCAAGATTGCATCATTGCACTGCAGCCTGGGCAACAAGCGTGAAATTCTGTCTCAAAAAAAAGAGTGCATATCCATCATGAAAGGAGATGGGATTGGGAAGGGTGATAAAGAGGGAAATAAATAAAGTAAAAATAAATAAAAATAGAAATAAAATGATACAAAGTGGGCCATGCATAAACTGATGATGATAATATGACTCTAACAGTATTCCAGTCAATGAAATTCTTTGCACCTGAAGCACATCCCTTACCCTGAAAGAAAAAAAAAAAGAAAGAAATGAGATAAGGTATAGGAAAGTGCCCAAAGCAGTGTCTGGCAACCAATACTTGCTCAGCAAATGCAAGTTTCCATTTTCCTGCTTCACCCTTCTTCTTCCTTGAGAGGGAAGTGGTAGTGAGCAGGGAATACTAAGAGCCCAGAAACTAAACATCTGTTGTCTTAGTCTGTTTTGTGCTGCTATAACAGAAAACCAAAGACTAGGTAATTTATAAAGAACATAAATTTATTTCCATAGTTCTAGAAGCTGGAGAGTTCAGGATCAAGGCGCCAATAGATTTGGTCTCTGGTTCCAAGATGGGGCCTTGCTGTGTCCCCAGCATTGAAACGGATAAGGCAGAAGGACTTGAGAGTGAACCGACTCCCACAAGCCCTTTTTATAGTTGACATTAATCCATTCATGTGGTTGGAGCCTCCCAAAAGGCCCATATTCCAACACTGTCACTTTGGAGATTAATTTCCAGCATATGAATTTTAAGGAACACATCGAGTCCATGGCACCTGAACATTTAAACGTGTCCTTGGATGTCAATTGGTCCACCTGGAGGAGGTGCCCCTGCTGAAGGGCACCAAAAGTGAAACAAAAACACCTCATTGGAGACCAGCAAGGGGCCTCCACATCCTGAATGTTTCTCATTGGGATGTGGGCTCCCTTTGTTCCTCTTAATCCCAATTCCACCATCTTTGTGCTGAGAACTTGATCCAAGGAGCCTAATCAGTAAGGCTGCCAGCTTGGCAGTCCTGTATTTAATGAAACTAACCTCTCTATTCACTCAAGGATCATTAAAAAGCTTTATTTCTTCTTCTGACAGATGCAACACTACACTTGCCCAGAGATTCCCCTGGCTGCTCTGAGAAATGGGCAGCATAGCTCAGGAAGCTGAGGGCCGAGACACCTGACAGCTGGTTTAAGGAAACTGCCAGGCCGGGCATGGTGGCTCACGCCTGTAATCCCACTACTTTGGGAGGCTGAGGCGGGTGGATACCTGAGGTTTGGAATTCGAGACCAGCCAGACCAATATGGAGAAATCCCGTCTCTACTAAAAAATACAGAATTATCCGGGCATGATGGTGCATGCCTGTAATCCCAGCTACCCCGGAGGCTGAGGCGGGAGAATGGCTTGAACCCGGGAGGCAGAGGTTGTGGTTAGCCGAGATTGCGCAGTTGCACTCCAGCCTGGGCAACAAGAGCAAAACTCCGTCTCAAAAAAAAAAAAAAAGAAAGAAAGGAAAGAAAGAAAGAGAGAGAAAGAAAGACGGGAAGAAAGAGAGAGAGAGAAAAGAAAGAAAGAAAAGGAAAGAAAGAAAAGAAAGAAAGAGAGAAAGAAAGAAAACTACCTTTCTTGAATAGGGACACAGAATATGAACACAAAGGCAGGGATGGTGTTTGACTGAGTATACCCAGACACTTAGCTGAAGGGTCTCTGGTAGGGAAATGCTCAGACAGCCTGCTTTTTACCTGTTTCAGCCTTGATTTCTACTGAAGGCTGATCATTTTAGCCCAACCTAGCTTCAGCCTGAAGATGGCCAGTTCTAGGGATAGTAGCCTTTAGAGACCTTCTGCTAGAGAAGAGAAGAGAAGAGAAAACAATGGGCAAAGCCTTGCTCCCAAGGACATGGTTTTAGGAAGAGCAATCCCTGAGACTTGAGTGGTGACAATGGAGACAACCACACAGGAATGCAAGTCTCCAGTCTGGCTCTGACCTACTTTATTGCTGGGGAATAACATTCCCTTGCAGTGGTCCCAAGACAGAAGCAGGCCAGTTTTCTACAAACTAAGAAAATGGTATAGATGACAAAGGAACAGACAAATATATATGGGGTCATAAAAGGGAAAGACTTCTGCAAAGAGCACTTGCTTATCATTTTTTTTTCACTTCTTCTGAGCCAAGCTCCTGCTGGCTAGGATTGTCATTGGGCCAGTGTCAGGACCTGACATTAACCTTGGTTTTAGCAATACCGAGAAACAAGGAGGCCTGGTCCTACCAGGCCACAAAGCTGCTTGACTGTCTGCCTAGGGGAAAAGGAATTCGGCCACATGGTAAGCATCCCTATTTGTGTGCACTTGTCTCCTCGCCTTCATTTCGTCTTTATCTCTACCTCCTCCCCCAACCCCAAGCTGTGGGGTATTTGGTCCTCCTGGCTCCTTTCTCTACATCTGTTGTCTATCTGTCTTTTTTGCCTCCAAGATCAGGCAATTGGGATTTGCTGATTTAAAATTTGTATTTAAAGGTTTTGCATGCTGCCAGCTCAGGAACACAAATGGAGTACCAGTGCGCTCTGGATACTCTTTCGTCCAATGTCCTTGGTGGGATGAGGGAGGGAGGCAGGAGGAGCTAGGGCCAGGTGATAAGGGAATATTGCTGGTTATGTGTCCCAAAGCATACTTCTTCAACTCTATTACCAACTGCCCCTCCCCATCCTCCTGGACTCCTGAAGAGAGAGGCACTGAGGTTGGGGTGGGTGCAGAGAGAAAGGAAGAATTACTGTGTTATGGAGAACTCACTACATGCCTCCAACCATGTCAGGAACTCTACATATATTGCTTTACTTCGTGCTCACAACAGGCTGTGAGGTTAGTAATATTATCGTTCCCTAGTTTATAGTTGAGAATACTGAGCCCCAAAGAGGATAAGCAACTTCCCTCAGGGTCTCACAGACAGTAATAATGTTGAGCCAAGATTCAAACCCAGGTTTGGCTGACTAGCTGTAATGCCCTTAACAGCTGCTCTGTTAAGAGCACTAGTTAATGTTCCTGGCCATGTCACCAATATATGCTATTTTATTTATTTATTTATTTATTTATTTTTTGAGACGGAGTTTCCCTCTTGTTGCCCAGGCTGGAGTGCAATGGTGCAATCTCAGCTCACTGCAATCTCCATCTCCTGGGTTCAAGTGATTCTCCTGCCTCAGCCTCCCGAGTAGCTGGGATTACAGGCATGCACCATCACGCCCAGGTAATTTTGTATTTTTAGTAGAGATGGGGTTTCTCCATGTTGGTCAGGCTGGTCTCAAATTCCTGACCTCAGGTGATCCACCCGCCTCAGCCTCCCAAAGTGCTGGGATTACAGGCGTGAGCCACCACACCTGGCCCAATATGTACTATTAGTGAAAAAATCTGTTTGGGCCCCAGATTCCTCTGGTATAAAATGGGAATGATGGCCCTTTGCCTGACTACTGGGCTTGCTGTGAAGGTCAAACTGGTTAAGGCATATGGAATAATAAAGAACCATTTCCCTTTGTGTGAGGGTAGGGAATCAAAGCCTGATCTATGAGCTGGGCTGCCTGGGTTCCAGTCATGGCTGTGTCCTTCCCTGGTTCTTGACCTTGGATAAAATTACTTCAGGTTTCTGGGCCTCAACTATAAACTGAAGGAGGTGGCCTCAAAGGGCTCCTGCAGGTCTATGGGGCTGTGATCATTTCCCCTCTCTGAGTCTTAGGCTGTCTGCCTGCTGCTAGAGGGAGATGGTCCCACTCAGCCTTCTCCCTTCATTCTGCTTACATCGAATGGATCTGAAATAGTTTGGAATGAACAAGAAGCTAGAGTCCCAAAGTCCCCATGCCTTCTTCTGTCTTCCCTCACCTTCTACCATCACAGTGTTGGTCCCAGGTATTGCTCTCATTCCCACCTCCTTGTTATTAATGAGGGGAGAGACAGGGCCTTAACGCAATCTCCTCATAGCCCAGCATAGCCCTACTCCCAGTGTACCCTTCTAAAGAAAAAGTTGTGAAGTTGGCTTCACTTGTGTCATCTGATGATGCTCTTGGGGACTACGGGTAGGGCCTAGTCCAAGGCGTGGGCCATGAAGCAACTCACAGTAACAGAGGCTTGATAGTCATTTGCAATCCTAAAATGCTGCACTTCCTCCCAGTCATATCTTGAATTAATGAAGAGCCATTTTATTGGGAGTCTACTATGTACAAAGTACTCTGTTGGGCACTAGGAAGGGAACACTCAGACAAGAAGCTAACAGGCTGGTGGGTGAGATGGATGTGTTTTCTAGCACATAGAGCACTTCGTGTACTTCACAAGGGCATACAGGACTTTATCTCATCAGATTTTCAAAACTTCTAGGAGATATACAGGACAGTACCATCCTTATTTTAGTGAACTGAGTCGCATAAGTACACGCGAGCCTGTAAAAGTAAGAATAAAAATAGAAGAGTAGGTGCCAATTGCAGAGATGTCTGATGATGTGAGGTAGACAGGTTCTAACCACACAGTACAGTGAGCTTTTGGGAGAGAAGCACTATGGGAAGACCTTGCTTTCATGTTTAGCCAGCTTATTCTTGGAAAACTGAGGGGTCACCAAGACTATTTTTATGCAGAGGAGTCAAAGCCTAAGGAACTGATGAAGACTGAGTTCTGTTTTCAGGTAGCCCACTGATTGAGAAGATGGAGGGGTTTCTGCAGAATAATCAGGGCCAAGAGAAAAATTGCCACTAAGCCTGCCTTAGGAAGGTTCCAGAATGGAGTCTTAGAACTTGATCAAGAAGAGTCCAGGAGGCTGTCCACAAAGCTTGGCTCACAGAGTTTTGAATGAGCCTATCCTGCAGCGCAGCCCGAGGTCCTCTCAGCATCTGCCCTCTCTGGAGGCACTCTCTAAGCTCCTGGAGTTCTGCAGGTAACCCAGCCCCCAAAGCTCTGGCTTCTTTCAAAAACAGAGCTGGAGGGCACATCTGCCAAACTCCTTCACTGACAAGCAATCTCTTCTCTGGCAGCCCTGCTCTGCCCTTCCACTGGAATAATTGAGCACAGATGTATGTGCATGCGAGTGCATGCATATCTGTGTACTTGGGAGAGGTGGGGGATGCAGGTGTATTGCCTGGGGAGGAGAGGATTCTCGCTGTTCTGTTATCTTACTAGCTGCTTCCAGGTATTTGCTTTTGCTGCCCTCCCTCCTTTCCTATCCTGGCCCTCCTGCAGATTCATTGGAGGGGCTCTCTCCTTGCTCTATGCCCTAAGGCTACACTGTCCCAGAGCCCGACTGCAGCAAAACACTAAAAACCCTGCAGGCATCAGGAACCAGGTCCTGAGTGAAGGACTAAATCTGGAAGTGGAGATTCAGGAGAGGGGACTCATGTACATGTCGTGTGCCTAGTGGTTAGGAGCCTGGGATCAGCACATGCCTGTAATCCCAGCTACTTGGGAGGCTGAGGCAGGAGAATTGCTTGAACCCAAGAGGCAGAGGTTACAGTGAGCCGAGATCGCGCCACTGCACTCCAGCCTGGGTGACAGAGCGAGATTCCGTCTCAAAAAAAGAAAAAAAAAAAAAAGAACCTGGGATCTGATGACAGATTGTCTAGCTTCATAATGTTGTTCCGTATTCTACCACCAATGTAACCTCTCTGTGCCTCAGTTGCCTTGCCTATAAAATGGAGATAACAGTACCTTCCTTATAAGAGTGTTTCACAGAATCAATGCATAATTATCTATAAAGCAGTTAGAAC
Source organism: Homo sapiens (assembly GCF_000001405.40). NCBI lineage: Eukaryota > Metazoa > Chordata > Mammalia > Primates > Hominidae > Homo > Homo sapiens. The sequence continues at coordinate 103,755,325 of NC_000023.11, forward strand.
AGGGCTGGACATATACCAAGTAATCAAAAACTATTAGCTATTAGTTTCAGTCTGTCTTCTAAGATTTGTTTCCAACTCCCAAGCTGCCAGGGACTCCTATTAGTTGCCTGCCCTGATGAGGGTGCCTGCCCTCTTTAAGGCAGGTGCCATGGCACCTTGTAAAGGTTTCTTTCCATGGAACTTGGGCTCAGCCCTAGCCAAGTGTGATCAGCTCTGAAGCCTTGGAGATTTCTAGGAAGTGCTGCTTGTGCTGGCTCCAATGCTGTGATTCCTTCAGGAGCTTAAGGCCCAGTAGTCTTCTCCACACAGAGGGCAGAAGGAACTAGATTTGGGGAAGAGGTAGATGCCTGAGTAGAAAAAAAACATAAGCTGTTATTCTTATGCTCTTACCCAACAACATTCAACATGGAACACTTCTGTGACCAAATGTGTGGTGTGTTTCCCAATTTCTCACACACCAAGCAAGCAACTCTGCAGGAGACACCAGCTGGATGTCCTCCGATTCAATTCTGATGCTACCTACCTGGAGATAGCGTCAGATCCTGCAGGTTGAGGGCTCAGTCCCCAAGCCTGTCTCCCACTTCCAGTGCCAATCACAAGCCCCAGGTTATTTTGCCTCTGCTTCTGACTGACTGGCTATAAATCGGGGTTCCCATGAACCCTTCCGCAGGTTTGATCAGTTTGCTAGAGCAGCTCACAGAACTCAGGGAAGCACTTACTTAATTTTACCAGTTAGAAAGGAGATTTTAAAGGATACAAATGAATGGCCAGATGAAGAGATACACAGGGTGAGAGCTAAAGTCCTGAGCACAGGAGCTTCTGTCTCTGTGGAGTTGGGATATGCCATCCTCCTGGTGGGCAGATGTTCAAACTCCATGTATGGCTATCCACAGGCTTTTCAAACCCTGTCTTTCTGGGTTTTTATGAAGGCTTTATTATGTAGGCTTGATTGATTAAATCATTGGCCATCAGTGATTAACTTAACTTTCAGCCCTTCTCCCCTCCTAGGAGGCTGGGGGTGTGGCTGAACATCACAATCCTCTAATTCTGCCTTGGTCTTTTTGGTGATCAACTCCCATCCTGAGGCTACCTACCTGCTGCCAGCCATAAGTCAACTCATTAGCATACAAAAAAGCATCACTTTGAAGATTGTAAAGATTTTAGGAATAGTATAGCCAAGAACAGCAGGAAATGCCAGAAAAGGGTCAGAGAGGGAGTCTTGTCTTGCAAGGGCTGAGGAAGGCCCTTCTTGCCCTCAACAAGAGCATGATCCCCACTGACACCCACCTATGCAGTTTGCCAAAGAGGTTACCTCAGAAGGTTCATCAGCCCATGGCCTAAAGGATTAAGAGAGTTTCAAATCGATGAAAACTCCAGTGTAGAGAAAAGAGGAAAAATAGCTGTGAGCTCCAGGCCAACTTTTGGAGAAGCAAAAAATTAAAAATAGCTGAGCTTTAAATCTCTTTTTTTTTTATTTGGTGTGGTGGGGGGTGGTTGGAGCTTGAGGAGGGCTGGAGCTGAGCAGGATGCAAGAAACATTTGTTCTGCTTGCTCCAGGAAGAAGTGAGTGTGTGTGAATTCAATTTTTTGGATCACTGCCCAGAGTGGTCACACACCACCACAGATCAAGGATCCCCTTGCCACCAGAATTCTCTTTGCACTGAGCACCTCACCCCTACTCTCTGCCTGCAGCTGTTGCAACTTCTGGTCTTCCTGCTAGTGGCAAATCTGTACGGGTCTGCAGCAACCTCAATTCTCGACTCCTCAGAAGAAAGAATTCGATGGAGGGTCATAAGGCAAAGGGAAAGACTGAGGCAAGTTTTAGAGGAGGAGTGAAAGTTTCTGAAGAAGTTTTAGTGTAGGAACAAAAGGATGTAACGTATACTTGTAAGAAGACCAAGCAGGCGACTTGAGAGGTTCAAATGCATGGTTTGACCTTCGACTTGGGGTTTTATATGTTGGCACGCTTCTGGGGGTTTGCATCTCTTCTCTCTTGATTCTTCCCTTGGGGTGGGCTGTCCACATGTGCACTGGCCTGCCAGCATTTGGGAGGGGCCGTATGCACAGTACGTTTACTGAAGTTGTAAGCATGCTCACATGAGGCGTTCTTTCCTTATCAGTTGAGTGTTCTAGAGGAAGGCCATATACCAGTTAAACTCTGCCATTTTGCCTCTTAGTGCACATGCTTGAACCCACTAGCCCAGCTCCTGAGATCTTATCAGGAAGCTGCTGATCACCAGTTTTAGGTTTTTCTATCTATTGGGAGACATTCCCTGGTGCCAACTGCAACCAATTATTATTTTAGAGAGACAGTTTAACAATCACCTGACCATCACCTGATGGTCACCTGACATTCCTAGTTTTGGGGGAGCCCTCTCCTGCCCTGCTCATGTCTGACTACCTACTATAACATTTCCAGGGCCTGGGCATGCCTCTTTGCAGGATTCAGTGGCACCAGATTGGCTCACACTTGAAGAATACACATCTGGTCCTTGTGCATTCAACTGGACACTGGTAGTGGAGGGAGGCAGCATACCCCTGGCCCAGCTCAGCCACAGCGGTCAGCTCAGAGGACTCCAGAGGAGGTTGGAGCTGAGGGCTTGAGTCTGGAAGAGGGACATTACCCATCCCACAAAGACTTCTAAAGAGGTCCTCAGTAGAGAGGACCTCTTTGAAACTGCCTTTGCAAAAATTTTAACAGTGATAAAATTATGACAGTGAAAGAGATCTTACCTAACCAACTCCATCTTGCCTTTAACCTCCAAACTGCCCTTGATTATTCCTGGGTGTGGGCCAAGCTAACTTTGGTAGAAATTTATAGATTGAATGGTAATAGCCCTTCCCAAAACTAAACTGCCTTTATAAAACTAATACAAGGCCACAAGTTTAAGATTATGAAAGGGGCCTGAATTCTGCTAAGATACAGGTGTAGTGAAATGATTAATAGCCATTGTTCCAGAGATCACAAGATTTGCAACATTGCCAATTGCTCCTGTAAATAACATCACTATTGTGGAACTTAAGATTGGCTTTTTAAGATGTCTTTTCAGACTTTTACATTTCTGACAACTGACTGGATGACTCCACCTGGAACAGCGACTCCTCTGTGGTCCCAAGCAGAAGTGGACTCAGCACATAAGGACCATTTTCCACAGCCCTATGATTGTCTCTTGAATATCCATATCTGTATTCTTCCTATTCCCATTTCCTCTTTTGGCTATAAGGTTTACTGCTACCAGTTTTTCAAAGGGGAGGGAGTAGCGGGACAAAAAAGCAGGTTGATAACTGCCAGAGTTCACACAGAACCAAACCATCCTTGAAAAACCTTACCCTTCAAATTTTCAGGGAGGCTGATTAGACTAATAATAAAACTCCAGTCTCCTGTTTAGCTGGCTCTGCATGTATTAAACTTTCTCTATTGCAATTCCCCTGTCTTGATAAATTGGCTGTATCTAGGTAGCAGGCAAGAAGAATGCCTTGGGTGGTGTATTAGTCCATTCTCACACTGCTGTGAGGAAATACCTGAGACTGGGTAATTTATAAAGAAAAGAAGCTTAATTGACTCACAGTTCTGCATGGCTAGGGAGGCCTCAGGAAACATACAATCATGGTGGAAGGCACCACTTCACAGGGATGCAGAAGAGAGAATAAGTGCAAACAGAGGAAATGCCAGATGATTCTAAAACCATTAGATCTCATGAGACTCACTATTACAAGAATTGAATGAGGCAAACCGCCCCCATGATCTGATTACCTCCACCTGTTCCTGCCCTTGACACATGGGGATTATGGAGATTACAATTCAAGGTGAGATTTGGATGGGGACACAGAGCCAAACCATATCAGGTAGTTATAGCTTCACTTGGGACTTTGACATTTGTCTGGGATAGGATGAGGATGGAGCATGGACTAGTTCCTGAGGGTGAGATTAGGGAAAATGCTGCCAAGAAGACACTGGCCAGGAGGGAGCCGGATGCTAGTAACTGAGACAAGAAGCCTGCCAACTCAAGCCAGACCTTGGGCTATTGGAATGTGGGAAGGAATTAAAGAACGAAGATAACAGCAATATCTATTGGATTTGATAAGGATTAATGCAAGTGAAGCACTTAGTACAGAGCCTAGCACACAGTAAGTACTTAACTAATGGCATCAAGCTGCAAACTCTATCATCTCTGTCTTTTAGAGGCCATAATGCATGTTAGCATAGTGGAGGTTTTGTAAAGTCTCCCAAGTAGCTGAGACTACAGGCGTATGCCACCACGCCTGGCTAGTTTTTGCATATTTAGTAGAGACGGGGTTTCTTCAGGTTGGTCAGGCTGGTCTTGAACTCCCGACCTCAGGTGATCTGCCCACTTTGGCCTTCCAAAGTACTGGGATTACAGGCATGAGCCACTGTGCCCGGCCAAAAAAAAATCATTATTTTTTTTTTTCCTTGAGACGGAGTCTCGCTCTGTAACCAAGGCTGGAGTGCAGTGGTGTGATCTCGGCTCACTGCAAGCTCCGCCTCCTGGGTTCACGCTATTCTCCTGCCTTAGCCTCCAGAGTAGCTGGGACTACAGGCGCCTGCCACCATGCCCGGCTAATTTTTTTTGTATTTTTTAGTAGAGACGGGGTTTCACCGTGTTAACCAGAATGGTCTTGATCTCCTGACCTTGTGATCCGCCCCCCTCAGCCTCCCAAAGTGCTGGGATTACAGGCGTTGAGCCACCGCGCCCTGCCGAAAAAAAATTTTTTTTAAGAGTCAGTGTCTCACTCTATTGCCCAGGTGACAGTGCAGTGGCATGCTCCTAGCTCATGGCAGTTTTAAACTCCTGGGATCAAGCAGTCCTGCTTCAGACTCTTCAAGTAGCTAGGACTAGAAGTGCGTACCACCATGCCTGGCTACAGAGACACTAAAACAAACAAACAAACAAACAAACAAAACAAAACAAAAACAAAAAACTTTGGTTAACCCAGGCTTCCCCAAATATATTTGCCTGCAGATTTTTTTTTTTTTTTTTTTTTTTTTTTTTTTTTTTTTTTTAACATTAGACCTTTCACCATCCAGTGGAGATGACAATCTCTGGTCATGCTTTGGGAAACTCCACTCTCCTTCCAGTGAGGGGCTCTAGTAACATTTGTCACTGCCTTAAAAATGTTTCAATTTGATGTCAATTAATACTTTTTTTTTTTTTTTTTTGAGACAAGGTCTGTCTCTGTTGCCCAGGCTGGAGTGCAGTGGCATGATCTCAGCTCACTGCAACCTACACCTCCTGGGCGCAAGCCATCCTCCCCCTTAGCCTCCCGAGTAGCTGGGACTACAGGTACGCACCATCATACCTGGCAAATTTTTGTATTTTTTGTAGAGACAGGGTTTTGCCATGTTGCCCAGGCTGGTCTTGAACTTGTGAGCTCAAGCAATCCACCCACCTTGGCCTCCCAAAGTGCTGGGATTACAGGCATGAACCACTGGGCCTGGCAATACTTTCTTTCCTATTCATTAGCTCCTATTTGGAGAAGAAGTTGAGGGAGGTTCTCTTTAAAAATAGAGACTGTATCATCAGGGCTGCTGGGGAAAGGGAAAGAGACATTGTATCTTTGTTGGAATTTGGGCTTTCTAAGAGGAGGAGTAGAAACTATGCTGGTGGTTATGGTGGTTGTGGGATGAACAACAGGATGGATGTCCAGATGGACCAAGTCAGCCCTCTATTGTAATTCCTGGATGAAAGCTTGAAGGACCTAATCTCAAGAACACCAATGATCCTACTGTCCTCCTATATATATGAACAGAGATGGGAGGATGTTCTCTGGTTATTTAATAAAGGCCAGCCACAAACAAGGCACCATACTAGGTTTCATGCGCGTCCATGTGAAATCACCAAACAGGCTTTGTGTGAGCAATAAAGCTTTTTAATCACCTGGGTGCAGGCAGGCTGAATCCGAAAAGAGTCAGATAAGGGAGATAGGGGTGGGGCTGTTTTATAGGATTTTGGTAGGTAGTGGAAAATTACAGTCAAAGGGGGTTGTTCTCTGGCTGGCTGGGGTGGGGGTCACAAGGTGCTCAGTGGGGGAGCTTTTGAGTCAGGATGAGCCAGGAGAAGGAATTTCACAAGGTAATGTCACCAGTTAAGGCAGGAACTGGCCATTTTCACTTCTTTTGTGATTCTTTACTTGCTTCAGGCCATCTGGATGTATATATGCAGGCTTGGGCTCAGAGATCTGACATTCCTGTCTTCTTATATTGATAAGAAAAATAAAATAAAATAGTGTTGAAGTGTTGGGGCAGCAATAACTTTTGGGGGGTGGTATGGAGATATAATGGGCGATGTTTCTCAGGGCTGCTTCAAGCGGGATTAGGGGAGGCGTGGGAACCTAGAGTGGGAGAGATTAAGCTGAAGGAAGATTTTGTGATAAGGGGTGATATTGTGGGGTTGTTAGAAGAAACACTTGTTGTATAGAATGATTGGTGATGGCCTGGGTGCGGTTTTGTATGAATTGAAAAACTAAACGGAAGACACAAGGTCCGAATAAGAGGAGAAAAACAGGTATTAAAGGACTAACAATTGGGAGGACCCAGGACATCCAATTAGAGAGTGCCCAAGGAGGTTCAGCATAGCCCTGCCAGTAAAGATTATTTATTTACTTTAAGAGGGAGTTAAGAGTGGTGGGCGGTTTGGGGATAGCACCAGGAGATATCAGCTGTGATGGCTTGGAGAAACAGTGTAAACCGGCAGTGTAAACAAGAGCAGGGCATGTATGAGTAGTTGAGAACGGTGAATAGGATTATGACTAGACAGAAGATAGTAGGGATGACAAGTTTTTGGGGCACAGCCCAAGTTGGGCTGGTGTCTGGAATGAGACGGGGGCCTAATAAAAAGGAGTGTCTATACAGGAGCTCAAATGGGCTGTAACCTGTAGCATTCCGAGGACAGGCCCGAATTTTGAGAAGGGAAAGTGGTAAAAGTATTGTCTAGTCATTTTTTAGTTGGTGGCTGAGCTTGGTGAGGTGCGTTTTTAAAAGACCATTAGTCCATTCTACCTTTTCTGAAGATTGAGGATGGTAAGAGGTATGAGGGTTTCACTGAATACCAAGAGCCTGAGAAACTGCTTGGGTGATTTAACTAGTAAAGGCCGGTCCGTTATTGGACTGTATAGAGGTGGGAAGGCCAAACCAAGGAATTATGTCTTACAGAAAGGAAGAAATGACCGCAGTAGCCTTTTCAGACCCTGTGGGAAAGGCCTCTACCCACCCAGACCAAGAGGTATTTTAGTTTCCTGACTCGAGGCATGTGAGTAAAGTCAATTTGCCAGTCCTGGGCAGGGGCAAATCCCCGAGCTTGATGTGTAGGGAAGGGAGGGGGCCTGAACAATCCCTGAGGAGTAGTAGAATAGCAGATGGAACACTGAGAAGTGATTTCCTTGAGGATAGATTTCCACGGTGGAAAGGAAATGAGAGGTTCTAAGAGGCGGGCTAGTGGCTTGTAACCTACATGGAAGAGGCTATGAAATGACGACAGAATAGAATCGGCCTGTGAGGCTGGAAGGAGATATTTTCTTTTTTTTTCTTTTTGTTTTTTTTTTTTTAAATAAGAGAGATTTTATTTTATTTATTTATTTTTTTGAGACAGAGTCTTGCTCCTGTAACCCATGCTGGAGTGCAGTGGCATGATCTTGGCTCACTGCAACCTCAGCCTACTGAGTTCAAGGGATTCTCCTGTCTCAGCCTCCTGAGTAGCTGGGATTACAGGCACCCACCAGGAAGGAGATATTTTCCTTGGTTCAAGAACCATTTGCCTTGTGTGGGAAGAGATTGATAGGTGGAAGTTTCAGTAGGGGAGTAGGTAGGAGTGACCGATGAGAAGGAGAAAAACTGGCCTTGAGGGACGAAGTTGTACTCTAGCTGCTTTTTTAGCTACCTTATCAGCATAAGCGTTGCCCTGAGCGATGGGATCTGACGCCTTTTGACGGCCCTTGCAGTGAATGACTCCAGCTTCCTTTGGAAGTAAAGCAGCCTTGAGAAGAGTTTTTATTAAAGAGGAATTAATGATGGAGGACCCTTGCGTAGTGAGGAAACCTCTTTCTGCCCTTATAACAGCATGGTGGTGCAGAATATAGAAGGCATATTTAGAGTCAGTATAAATATTGATGCGTAGTCCTTTTGCAAGAGTGAGGGCTCTAGTTAAGGCAATGAGTTCGGCTTGCTGAGAGGTAGTGGAGGGGGGCAGAAAGTATGTGCATCTGGTGTGAGGAAGAAAATAGATTTTGGAAGTTATGAGAACTGTAGAGAGTGAGTTGAGCACAGTTTGTGATTTTGAGGGCCTCTAAAAGTATTAAAACAGAGGCAGCTGCCGCATGCAGACATGAGGGCTAGGCTAAAACAGTAAGCTCAAGTTGTTTGGATAAAAAGGCCACAGGGAGCGGTCCCAGTCCTTGTGTAAGAATTTCGACCACACAGCCCTGCACTTCGGCTGTGTGTAATGAAAAAGGGTTGGGATGAGTCAGGGAGAGCTAGTGTGGAAGCATTCTCTAATGCTGTCTTCAAGGAACGGAAAGAGGAGTGGGAAAAGGATTTAGGATCTATGGCATCAGCTAGGTTTTCTTTTGTGAGTTTACATAATGGTTTTGTTAGGATGGCAAAACCAGGTATCCAAAGGTAAAAGTATCCAACCATGCCCAGGAAGGAAAGGAGTTGTTGTTTTGTAGAAGGGGTTGGGGTTTGAGAGATCAGTTGGACAGGATCGGCAGGGAGAGCACCTGTGTTTTTATGAAGAATTATGCCGAGATAGGTAACAGATTAAGAAATTCGGGCTTGACTGAAGTAATGGGGGCTGTCTGTGAAGCCTTGTGGCAGTACAGCCCAGGTAATTTGCCGAGCCTGATGGTGTCAGGGTCAGTCCAAGTGAAAGCGAAGACAGGCTGGGATGAAGGGTGCAAAGGAATAGTAAAGAAAGCATGTTTGCCACACAGAACAGAATAATGGGTTGTGGAGGGAGGTATTGAGGATAGGAGAGTATATGGGTTTGGCACCATGGGGTGGATAGGCAAGATAATTTGGTTGATAAGGTGCAGATCCTGAACTAACCTGTAAGACTTGTCTGGTTTTTGGATAGGTAAAATGGGGGGATTGTAAGGAGAGTTTATAGGCTTTAAAAGGCCACACTGTAACAGGCAAGTGATAACAGGCTTTACTCCTTTTAAAGGCTGCTGTGGGATGGGATATTGGCGTTGAGTTGGGTAAGGGTGATTAGGTTTTAATGGAATGATAAGGGGTGCATGATCGGTCACCATGGATGGAGTAGAGGTGTCCTATACTTGTGGATTAAGGTGGTGAGATACAAGGGGAGGATGTGAAGGAGTGTTTGAACTGGGGAAAAGGGTGGCAATGAGGTGTGGCTGTAGCCTAGGAATAGTCAGGGAAGCAGATAATTTAGTTAAAATGTCTCAGCCTAATAAGGGAACTGGGCAGGTGGGGATAACTAAAAAGGAGTGCATAAAAGAATATTGTCCAAGTTGGCACCAGAGTTGGGGAGTTTTAAGAGGTTTAGAAGCCTGGCCATCAATAACCATAACAGTCATGGGGCAAGGGAAATAGGCCCTTGAAAAGAAGGTAATGTGGAGTGGGTAGCCTCCGTATTGATTAAGAAGGGGACGGACTTACCCTCCACTGTAAGAGTTACCCAAAGCGTATGTGATGGTCCAGGAAGCTTCTGAGGTGATTGGGCAGCATCAATCTTCAGCCGCTAAGCTGAGATGATCTGGGAAGGAGTCAGTCAGAGAGCGTTGGGCCAGAGTTCCAGTGGCTCTGGGAGTGGCTGCCGGGTGAGTTGGAGAGTCCAATTTCCAGTGGGTACCTGCACAGATGGGGCACAGCTTAGGAGGAATCCTGGGCTGTGGGCATTCCTTGGCCCAGTGGCCAGATTTCCAGCACTTGAAGCAAGTTCCTGGTGGAGGTGGTCCTGGAGGAATGCCTGGCCACTGCGGTTTATGTGTTTGGAAGTTCCTGTGTGCTGGAGATGTGGCTGGGGTTTCTCCCACACTGGAGGCAAGGAATTGCAACTCAGAAATATGTTGCTACTTGGCTGCCTCTACTCTATTATTGTACACCTTGAAGGTGAGGTTAATTAAGTCCTGTTGTGGGGTTTGAGGGCTGGAATTTAATTTTTGGAGTTTTATTTAATGTTGGGAGCGGATTGGGTAATAACATGTATATTGAGAATAAGACGGCCCTTGACCTTTTAGGGTCTAGGGCTGTAAAGCGTCTCAGGGTTGCTGCCAGATGAGCCATGAACTGGGCTGGGTTTTTATATTTGATGAAAAAGAGCCTAAACGCTAACTGATTTTGGAGAGGTTGGATAAAGAAAAAGGAGCATTAACCTTGACTATGCCTGTAGTTCCAGCTACCATTTTAAGAGGAAATTGCTGGGCTGGTGGGGGAGGGCACATAACGAAACTGTAAGCTGGACTGGGTGTGAGGAGGGGAGGTGATCAAAAGATTATAGAGTGGGGGAGCAGAGCTGAGGAAGAATTGGGACCTGGCTTGGCCTGGTGAGGAGCAGCCTGGGGAGGAGGGCAGAGGTCAGATGGGTCCATAAAAAAGGAAGATTGGAAAGACTCAGCAACACTTGGGGTTGGGACTGAGGGGACAGGCAGGAGGGAAAGAAGGAAGATTTGGGAGGAGCTGCATTGGGAACAGAGACTAGGGACGGACCGATGTGTAAAAGAATGCCTGTATGTCAGGCACCTCAGACCGTTTGCCCATTTTATGACAAGAATTATCTAGATCTTGTAGGATGGAAAAATCGAAAGTGCCGTTTTCTTGCTATTTGGAACCACTGTCGAGTTTGTACTGGGGTTAAGCAGCATTGCAGAAGAAAATAAGGCATTTAGGTTTTAGGTCAGGTGTGAGTTGAAGAGGTTTTAAGTTCTTGAGAACACAGGCTAAGGGAGAAGAAGGAGGAATGGAGGGTGGAAGCCTGCCTATAGTGAAGGAGGCAAGTCCAGAGAAAAGAGAAGGTAGAGACATGGAGAGAAGGGGTGGGGGATGCTTGCCCCCCAGGAAAGTGGAGAAGGGGTGGGGGGTGCTTGCCCCCCAGGAAAGTAGAGAGAAAAGAGAGGGTAGAGACACAGAGAGAAAGGGTGGGGGGTGCTTGACCCCCAAAAAGTGGTGCTTGCCACTAAGGGTGAAGGATCAAGGCAGGCGTCCCCATGGTGATCAGACACCTCTGAAATGTGGGTGAATAATCAAGCAGGCGTCCCCACAGTAATTAAACACCAAGGGAAGACTTTCTTTCCGAGTCCGTGACTGGAGCCGGCGTTTTGGGTTCACGGATAAAACGCATCTCCTCTGTCTCTACCAGAAAAGGAAAGAAACTGAAAATAAGAGAAGGGAGAAATTGAAGTGTGGCACCAAGATTGAAAGGAGAAAGAGGTTGAGGGATAGTGAGAGAGGTTGGAGAAGAGAGTAAAGAGAGGCTGCTTACCGGATATAAAATTGGTGAGATGTTCCTTGGGCTGGTTGGCCTGAGGACCAGAGGTTGTAGGTGGATCTTTCTCATGGAGTAAAGAGCAGGAGGACAGGGGATTGATCTTCCAAGGGAGGTCCCCCGATTCGAGTCATGGCACCAAATTTCAGATGCGTCTGTATGAAGAGACCACCAAACAGGCTTTGTGTGAGCAATAAAGCTTTCTAATCACCTGGCTGCCGGCGGGCTGTGTCCGAAAAGAGAGTCAGAGAAGGGAGACAGGGGTGGGGCTGTTTTACAGGATTTGGGTAGGTAGTGGAAAATTACAGTCAAAGGGGGTTGTTCTCTGGCTGGCTGGGGTGGGGGTCACAAGGTGCTCAGTGGGGGAGCTTTTGAGCCAGGATGAGCCAGGAGAAGGAATTTCACAAGGTAATGTCACCAGTTAAGGGAGGAACCAGCCATTTTCACTTCTTTTGTGATTCTTCACTTGCTTCAGGCCATCTGGACGTATACGTGCAGGCTTGGGCTCAGAGGCCTAACACTAGGCTAGGGCTTTGTGGGGAGAGGATGTCTTGTGCTTATAGCTCCTACATGTGGGCTCTGTCCAGCACACATCTCTACCCCTAGCAGCCACAGTGCCCTTGAGGGAAGGTTCTGAGTACAATCTCGGACAGCCCATAGCAGCCACTGACTCAGCTGATTCTCAGGAAAAAGGCACTGAATCTGACACAGTTTGGAACCTGGCAGCCCCTTCTCAAAACTCCAGACCCTCCTCCTTGGTCCCATCTCATTAGCTTCCTCGGTTTCCTGCCTGGCCCAGGGAAGGAGTCACTCTCATGACACTGTGAACCAAAAGTATCTGAGAGAGATCTCAATAAATTTAGAAAGTTTATTTTGCCAAGTTTAAGTTCGTGCCTGTGACACAGCCTTAGGAGTTCTGACAACATGTTTTCAAGGTGGTTGGGGCACAGCTTGATTTTATACTACATTTTAGGGAGACATGAGATATCAATCAATATACGTAAGATGTACATTGGTTCAGTCCAGAAAGGCCGGGCTACTCGAAGTCAAAGAAGGGGGCTTCTAGGTCATAGGTAGATAAAAGAAAAATGGTTGCATTCTTTTGAGTCTCTGATTAGTCTTTCACTGAATACACAATTTACATGTGAGAGGTGGATAGAGGAGTAATCACTTATGCCTTAGTCTGGCTTTGTGAATCTGCATTTTTACATAAACAATAAGGCAGAGGACGTGATCAGATATGCATTTGTCTCAGGTGAGCGGAGCTATAACTTTGAGTTCTGTCTGTTTTCTGGTACCTATGAAGATAAGCTATCAGTTTACATTGCCAGGGTGAAATTAAACAGAGCTCTTTTAGGGTAAAGATCTTGAATCCCACAAGAAATTTCCTTGTGACAAATTATGAGGGAGGTATGTAGCTTTTTATCTTTGTAGCTATCTTACTTAGGAATAAAATGGGAGGCAGGTTTGCTTGACATAATTCCCAGCTTGACTCTTCCCCGGGCTTAGTGACTTTGGGGTCCTGAGATTTATTTTCCTTTCACAACACCTTAGAGCAGCTTTAGCTCTACTTTTACTGATACAAGCTACCAACTGCTCAGCAAGCCACCCAAAATGAATGCATAATTCAAAAAAGGGAAAAGGCACACTCCCTTGTTCCCCTAAGACACATTTCAGATAGCTGTCCCTAAGCCCCTGCTGCATAAAATGCCTAAAACTTTGTTGCCCTCCTCCTTCCCTACTTTGTTCCTCTCCTCCTTCCCTTTCTCTCACCTCCCCAGCCCTGGAGACCTTCTTGTCTGGTCTTTATCCTAGAGCTGACATGCCTAGGTCAATGAATGCTTACATTTTTTTTTTTTTTTTTTTTGAGACGGAGTCTTGCTCTGTCGCCCAGGCTGGAGTGCAGTGGTGCGATCCCAGCTCACTGCAAAGTCTGCCTCCCAGGTTCAAGCAATTCTCTGCCTCAGCCTCCTAAGTAGCTGGGATTACAGGCACCCGCCACCACGCCTGGCTAATTTTTGTATTTTTAGTAGAGATGGGGTTTCACCATGTTGGCCAGGATGGTCTCAAACTCCTGACCTCGTGATCCACCCGCCTCAGCCTCCCAAAGTGCTGGGATTACAGGAGTGAGCCACTGCCCCCGACCCGAATGCTTACAGTTTTCATCTAAGGTCTCTTATGCCTGTGCTTCATGCCCACATCCGCCAGCATATCTACCCTCTGCCCCCAGGAGTATTTCTTTTAGCATCTCAACACTTGGTCCCACATGAGAAGGAAACAAGAGAAGGCAGGAGACAGTCTCAGTAGGGGAGGCTGAGGTAAGCTTCCCAGAGTAGAAGCCATATGTTATACCCCTTCTGAACCCCTTCCTGCTCCTCTTGTGTCCAGCACATGGTGGGCAGGAGGCTGATGGCAGTAAGAATCCACTCCATCTTTGCTGGATGACTGATGGTGATTTTCCACTGTCAGCACTAAACAGTCAGAAGCTCTGCAGAGGCAGCTTGGGCCCCTTTCTTCACGCTCTCTTGAAACTCCTGTGCTGAGCTAGCAGCAGCCTCACCATAGCCTGCCAAGTTCTCAGCTCTGTTAGGGCCAGCCTGGAAGGGACCTGAAGAAAAAGATTCTGCCTGTTTTTGTTCTGTGCAGATATGGTCGGGGTGATTCTAGTAACCAGGCACAGCTCCAGACACACACACACACACACACACACACACACACACACACACACACACAGAGTTAAATGAGCAACTATAGTGTGCCAGGTAAATGAGAGCAAAGTGGCCAGGGATAATCATGGAAGGGATGATATGCCAATATGTCAACTAATAGTAAGATGCAGACTGTTGGAAAATGAAATTTTCTTTAGAGAAATAGCCAGGAATGTAATAGAATCCCCCTTTAAGCACTCTTTTAAGGGCAGTGTGGCACACTGCAAAAAGCAAGTCCTAGTTCTTGTATGGTTTCTCAGCTGACTAGCTGATCAGTCTTGGGAATGTTAAATTCTGAGCCTCACTTTTATTATCTGTAAAATGGGGGTGACCATCATTTCTTTCTTGTGGGATAAAAGTGAGATAATAAATTGCAGTAAGGGAGAGTGCACACTATGAGGAATCGGGGAACCTCAGTAAGACAGTGTTAGGAATGACTTATAGGATTTGGATTTAAGTGATTTTGGGGAGGGTCTAAGGAAGTGGGGCTTTACTCTTGATTGGATGCTGTCAGGAAGCAGGGTAGTTCTATAATTGGGTATTTCAATAAGTGCTATCTATAAGGACGGATGATTAGAGCAAAGATAAAGATGTAATTAAAGAAGAAGCAGCCATTCATATTCCCCAGAATAGAGGGAAGTTTGATCACGTTTATGGTTTAAACACTGTTTATGTTTTATCTGTGTTCAGATCTGATTACACAGTGGTGTTGTTATGTCTTGATCCATCATGGTCACGGAGTGGCCTTGTCTGATGTTGATATTCTGTGAAATTGTTTAGCAGTAGAACAGTAAGTCCCAACTGATAGGGCCAGGCCAGGTCCTAGCTGACAGGGGGCTGCTTGTTTCTTTCTTAGTGCCTCCCTTATAGCCAAGGGCCGACAAAGTCAAGCTGCAGATAATTAATCAATGATATACAGGTTTTCACCATTGCCAAGATTTTGCTGATCAGGAGGTTGTTTAGAGAATGTAATCTGGGCCTGCATGGTGACTCACGCCTGTAATCCCAGCATTTTGGAAGGCCGAGGCGGGCAGATTGCTTGAGCTCAGGAGTTTGAGACCAGCCTGGGCAACATGACGAAAACTCATCTCTACAAAAATACAAAAAATTAGCCAAGCGTGGTGGCTTGTGCCTGTAGTCTCAGCCACTTGGGAGGCTGGGGTGGGAGGATCACATGGGATCCGTAGGCAGAGGTTGCAGTGAGCTGAGATCACGCCACTGCACTCCAGCCTAGGTGACAGAGTGAGACCCTGTCTTGGGGAAAAAAAAAAAAGAGGTTGTAATTTGTAGTAGGACTAGAATAAGTCTGTTCTGCTCATTATGTTGCAGGATGAGCCTTTTCAGATTCTGAGCCCTTTCAGAATTCTCAGAAATCTTGAGGAAGACACTGGACTTCCCTGGTAAGGGGTAACATGGAACTTGAACCAATTATATTTGAACTGGAATGGACAGGATGACACTCTGCTGACATTTGGCTTACTTGTGCACTTAGGGCAGGGCAAGCACAGCATAGGTGCTCAATGTTAGTTTTGTCTGAATTTTCATTTTGTTAACGCCTGTAATATTCCTTCCAGAGGAGGCTGTAAGCTCTCTCAGAACAAGGGTTGCATCCGGAAACCATCTCATTTCTCTGTTTTCCCCTCGATGTCTGGCAAAGTGCTAGATACAGGATAAGAAGAGAAAAGAAAAGACAAAGGTCTGCAACTAAGTAATTTTTTTTTTTTTTGAGAGAGGGTCTCACTTTTTTGCCCAGGCTGGAGTGCAGTGGCACAATGAGGGCTCACTGCAACCTTGACCTCTCGGGCTCAAGTGATCCTCCCACATCAGCTTCTGAGTAGCTGGGACTACAGGCATGCACCATGACGCCCAGCTAATCTTTAAATTTTTTGTAGAGACGGGGGTCTCACTATGTTGCCCAGGTTGGTCTTGAACTCCTGGCCTCAAGTGATCCTCCTCCCTTAGGCTTCCCAAAGTGTTGGGATTACAGGTGTGAGCCACTGTGCCTGGTGGCCTCTAAGTATTAACAGGGAATTGCCATTTACTGTGCTATGTCCCAGGCTGAGGGGGGATATGAACCCAATTTGGCTACCTACAAAGCCTAAACTCCTAACCATTATGGATTATGTATCCTGCTTCAGGACCCATCTCATCTTGCCTTGCCCCAGATGATCCTCCCCAGAACAAAGCATGACTGGGGTGCCCAGGGCAGGCTCACAAGATGAAGAGATTGAGGGCTGAGATGCAGAGAAGAAGGTGTGTCCATAGGGAACATGATTTCCTGTGTGAGATTTCCCTAGCCATTCTCGTGGCTCACACCCCAAAAGCCAGCTTGTCTTGCCACAGCAGACTGCCCTTGCCTGTAGGGCTGCCGGATTCACTAATAAAAATACAAGGCATTCAGTTAAATTAGACTTTCAGACAAACAATGAGCAATTTCTCAGTATAAGTATGACCCATCCAGTATTTCGGATATACTTAAATGATTATTCATTGTTTATCTGAAAGTCAAATTTAATTGAGTTGAGCATCATGTATTTTATCTGACAACCCTACTTGCCTGGGCGTGATATTTCAAAGAGCAGAGGAATGGGGGGCTTTGGGGACTTCCCATTTAGTGATTTCAGCAAGGGGAACCTAACACCTGCTTTTGTTGTTGGCAGCCCTTGAGGCAACTGCTTCAAGCACAATGCTTAAGGCAGTGTTCCAGTGCTGGTGTAGGCTGACCAACTTGTTTTGGTTTTCCCAGGCCGTACCCATTTTTAGCACTGAAAGTCCCACATCTTGGGATCTCTTCGTTCCTGGCAAACCGGGATGATTGGTGATTGGTCACCCTAGTGATAGACATACCCAGAGGTGCTGGTGGAGATGTTAGAAGACAACAAATACACAAAGAAACTGCTAGGTGTGTCTCAAAGAGTCTCAACATTTCTTCAAAGCACATATCCTTGGCTCCATTTTAAAGATAGGCAGGTTCAGGGGAAGTATAGGAATCCTGGATCTGAAAGGTGTTGGTTCTAGAGATCACTAAAGTTCAGCCTCTATTTTTTAAATGCTTATCAAACATTTGCAGAGATACTCTGTCACCCCATCTGGTGATTATTATTATTATTGTTATTATACTTGAGCATAGGCACTATGGTAAGAATTTTATGTTCAGTATCTTGTGTAATCTTTTTTTTTTTTTTTTTTTGAGATCTGTCGGAGCGCAGTGGCACCATCTCGCCTCACTGTAACCTCTGCCTTCCAGGTTCAAGCACTTCTTGTGCCTCAACCTCCCGAGCAGCTGGAATTACAGGCATGCACCACCATGCCTGGCTAATTTTTATAGTTTTAGTAGAGACAGGGTTTCACCATGTTGACTAGTTACTGACTAATTTGGAACCCCACTGATCCTACAAACTGCCGGAAGTTTGCCTCTGCCCTGGGTTTCAAATAGCGGCCTCCTACTTAACCTGAGAAGTGTAGAAGGTTGAAAACTTGGGCTACAGCAGCCCGAAGCCTGTCCATCCTCCCCCAGCCCCCGGCTGTTGTTGCTCAGGGCAAAGGCTCTCTATTCACACATTTTTTCACAGCAGAACAACCTCCCAAGCAACTTCCAAGCAATAAGAGTCTGGAGACAGGCATTCTCTAGAGATGGCTCTGGTCTTTGCTTGCTAGGTGCCATTGGGAAAATTGTCTCAGTATCCCATCAGTCAAATTGAACAAATAACATTGGTTCCCCAGAAATAATACTAGTTTTATTTCTACTTTGCTCAGAAATCACATCAAACAAGCATCCTCCCTGCAGGGGCAACCCTGCAAAAGCTGGCCAAGTTTTTATGTTGGTGGAGGTGGGTTCTGTGGACAGCTTGTTTCTTCACATTGCTAGTAGCTATGTGGTGCTCCTCAGGCATTCTTTAGCTGAGATTTTTCATGTGATTATTTTGGCTTCCAGGCTACTCTTTACTCCATCCCAAGCCACGGGCATCTCCCCCTCACAAATACACCCCATGGCCTGCCCCTATCCATCCTCCCATTGTTCCTTGAACCTTCAGGAAAGGCAGAAGATCACCCTCCACTCTCTACCCCTGTCTGCCAGCTCAAAGTATGTGACATCTCTGGCCCTCAGCCCTCGGTTCTCTTGGCCAGAAAGGCATAGTCTAGCCAATCGGCATGAAGTTGGGTGTGGAAAGTTCTAGCCACAGTACATAGGACATAATATACTGCCTGCCTGCCAGCCAGCCAGTCTTCTATGCCAGGGCTAGGAAAGCTGCCTTCCAAAATTTGGTCTGGGAAGACATTATCCTGGGAATGAGAAGCAAAGCCTCAGCTCTAGAAGCCCAAATAATAGCAGATGACCCAGGCTTTCACTGGTACGCGCTTCTCTCTTCCCCTTTATGTTCTTCTCTGTGCTCAGGGAGAAGTTGGCCACTAGATTGGGCACTTGATCCCTTATCTAGTTTTTCCTGGGAGAAATTCACTGGACTTCTCTGAGTTTTAGAGTTCAGTCTACACAATGAAGCAAGGAGAACCCACTTGATCTGTGGCCTTCAATAATCTGATACTATGGGATCATAGAGCAGAGAGTGGAGGTAATATTCAAGTGTTTTCGAGTTATTTGCAAGAAAGCTGCACAGTCAAACCAAGCCATGATCAAGGGGGCCCAGATTCTCTGAGGTACCATCAGAATTGCATGAAGCAAACTGTTTACGAGTTTTATACAATCCTGCATTGTTCCCACAGGCACCCAGTACAGGCAGCAGGCTGCACCAAGAAGGCTGGCAGTGCCTCTTGAGGAATCCCTTGGCAGTGCAGGAGCCTAGCTGGACTCAAGAATATTTTGCCAAGGGCACCCAGCAGAACCAATGGAAGCAGAATCACAGAAATAGGTGGGGGTATGTAGATAAAAATGGGCTCTGGAGGACCTGGGAAGATACCCTATGAGGTCTGTAGGGAGCCCTCAGGAAAGGTCTGCTGACGAGGTACTGAGGCAGAGTGTCGGGATGTACAGAGCAATGAGAACACACTAGATTCTAGGGAGTTGGGAACCTTAAGGCACTGGGATGAGTGAGACACGGTCACCTGGCTGGGTCCCTTTTCTGGCCCTGGGCATAAGAACAAGCATAAGAACAAGGCGAAGACAGGGAATGTGGAGAGAGAAAAAGGAAACAGAGACAGACACATAGAGAGAAACAGAGACAGAGACAGGTAACAGAGACAAAGAGATTGAGACTTGGGGAGAGGATAGAATGAATATTAAGGCAATGGAGATGGAAGAAAGGAGAAGAGAAATGTGTGTTAAGGGAATGTGGTTGATAAATTGGTATCTGTGGGTTTATTGGGAACACATATTTTCTTTCCAGTAGAGTTGCTGTCCCCAGAGCTGCTGCTGAGAACTCAGGGGAAGCTTTGTGAGAGGGCTCAGTCTGAGTGATGTCCCCTGTGTGGAGAGCTGTCTCATCTATTCGAGCTGTGAAGGATCATTTGCCTCATCCTCTAAATCTGAACTCCCAAAGTTTGGGCTCACTCCTGCCATCTGATGAGCTGAGGAGACACATTTGGCGATTTCTTGCTCTTGGTCCTCCCCCTTCTCCAGGGCCATTCCGACAGTGACCATCCAGAAGTTTATTGCTGGCTCAATCCTACAGTTGAGCTTCCAAAGCAGGCATAGTCTGTGGCTGGCGAGCAGGGCTGGGGAGGGCGAGGGGCTCTAGGACCCTTTTCCATCAGTCACATGGCCTTAGTCTCGTCTGCTCTGGAAAGCTACTATTATACCGTTTTGCAAGGGGCAGCATTTCCAGAGATCCTTTTTTCTTGGGGCTGATACAAGAGCAAAGGATCTAGAGTTCTAGTACTCTAAGCAAGCCTCAAACGGTGCAGGATTTGGCCCCAGTGGGCCCACAGGGGCATCTGCCAAAGACTCGTCCATTTCCTAACAGCAGAGCCCAAGCCAGTAACATGTCCAAAGTCACAGCCCAAAGAGAAAACTGTAAGACACAATCTTGCCTTTCTCCCACCCCAGGAAGGTACTAGTCTCTGCTCAGTATCTCCCTCCTCTTCTCTCCTCTCCCAAGGCAAAATCACAGGAAAAGTTCCAGGAGACCATACCTTCCTTCTCCGGAGTCTTCCAACAGGTGCCCCTCTTATTATATGCCAGCCAGTTGTTTTAAAGGCCATCCATGGGAGGACACCGGCCTCTAGGTCAAGGGAGCTGTGAAGGGAGACAGGACTGACAAGGAGCCCAGACAGACACTGTTTAAGATTCACCTGTTCTAGAAAACCTTCCCAGGCTGATCCCATCTAGCAGTGGGCATTTAAATACCTTCACAGTCTTTAGAAATAGCTTATTGCTAAGGCAGGTTTTATATAGTATTTCCCTGTTTTTGCTGCTTAGCCATTTTTGTCTTACCGCTTCTTTCTCTGTGGCAAGGACTATATTTCGTTTCTTCTCTCCACCCTCACTGCCACCTGCTGCTTCACTCTAACCCACTCCCTGCCTCTTGTCTGCCTGGCTTAAGCTCTCTGATGAAGATATTACACTCTCAGGATAGAATACTGACTACCTGATTCCCAGATCGTGTTCTTGACTTGTCTCGAAGTCGATTATCCTTCTTGGAAATCACCCACATCTTCAACGCTGGCCTTTTCTTTAACCTAGTCTGTGAACTTGCATAGGTCTTGCCCACTTCTGGGTCTTTATTATTGTAGCTATAAAATTATTACAATTCTAGCCTCCCCCAGCCTAATCACAATCTGTTCATCGAATTGACAGCCTGCATTTTGTCTTCATGCAGTTGAAACTGAGAAGGATTTGGAGGAAATTATCTTAAAAGACAATTTTTTCTTCTCTATTGTGTTCGTAGAGCTGGGGGTGGGGGTGGGGGAGGAACGCTTATTTTCCAAGGAATCGGGAGGGGAAAGGTGGAGAGGGCCAAGGGCAGCTAGGAGTGATGTGGGGAGCTGGAGCAGATTCGGAAGGACTTTGGGAGCTAATATCTAGGTTTTTGACTCTGAGCCCCTGTTGGGGCTCTCACTTCATGGCTTCTCACGCTTGTGCTGCATATCCCACACCAATTAGACCCAAGGATCAGTTGGAAGTTTCCAGGACATCTTCATTTTATTTCCACCCTCAATCCACATTTCCAGATGTCTCTGCAGCAAAGCGAAATTCCAGGCAAGCCTTAGGGAAAAAAGGAAAAACAAAGAAAATGAAACAATTGGCAGTGAAAGGCAGAAAGAGAAGATGGAGCCCTTAGAGAAGGGAGTATCCCTGAGTAGGTGGGGAAAAGGGGAGGAGAAGGGAGGAGGAGAGGAGGAGGAAAGCAGGCCTGTCCCTTTAAGGGGGTTGGCTGTCAATCAGAAAGCCCTTTTCATTGCAGGAGAAGAGGACAAAGATACTCAGAGAGAAAAAGTAAAAGACCGAAGAAGGAGGCTGGAGAGACCAGGATCCTTCCAGCTGAACAAAGTCAGCCACAAAGCAGACTAGCCAGCCGGCTACAATTGGAGTCAGAGTCCCAAAGACATGGGTAAGTTTCAAAAACTTTAGCATTGAAGATTCAAGAGGACACAGGAATTCACAAGAGAATTTCCAACTTTGGGGTTCGGGGGTTCCATGGTTTAAATGAGTCGTGTTTTGGCACTTGTTTTCTTTTTAAATTCCTTAACATTCAGTTAGATTAACTCCTTCTCCGCTGTACTAAGCATGATGCTTTATTACCAAAGAATTCCAGCAGCACGTGGAGAGTCCCACAGATCTCTGGAGAGAGTGCCCAGCTGGATGGATGTGGTCATGTGTCCTCCTACCCCCTCACTTCCCTCTATCTTCTCTTTTCCCTTGGTTCCAAGGCCCTGGCAACGGTTGGGTCAGCTTGCCCTCCTGGTTCTGCTGGAGGCCACTGAGCACTGTCTAGCCCTCAGATGTACAAAATAACTGCTTGCTTGATGCAAACTTTGAACCATGTTTGGCATTAATAGGAAGCTGGGGATCGGGCAAGCTGGACTCAGGCTTGGCTATGGCTGAGGAGGCCATTCTCAGGTTCAGGAAATGAAAGTAAAGTCCTCAATGGCTTGACCATGGGAAACAGATATGGGTAGGAGTGTGTGTGTGTATGTGCATATGTGCATGTGTGTGCACATATAGGGTTGATCATTTCTAGCAAATATCACAGACACAGCTTTCCTGAAGGCTCTTTGCTGTGACAAGGAGGATGCTGGGACATTAGGGCTCTTGCTAAGTTGGCTGAGTATTGAGGGCTTTTCTAGGTTCCGTGAACAAAGACAGAAGCTATGAAGTTCTGGTGGTAGTTTCTACTCAGAGTAATGTGTGCAGAGCACAAGGGTCTTTGTCCCTATTGGACTCCACAGAGTCCTGTAGACATTGCTAACATTTGGCAAAACAAAGATAGCAGCTTAAACACATCCTAAATGAAATGAGACTCAGTTGCCCCATGTATTCCCTATCAAATGTAGCATCCAGTAGACAACATCCACAGAGATCAATTTGCAATTATACTGAGCTGGTTCAGCCTTTAGGTTGTTTCATCATGAAACACAGAGAGAACACTTTGAAGCATGTGTTCAGGTAAAACAGGAGGGAGAGCACTGGACAGGGAGTCGGAAAAATCAGATTCAAATCCCAGATCTGCTACTTATGAACTATGTGACCTTGGACAGGTCACTGAATCACCACTTCCTCATCTGGAAAATGGGGACAGCAATAACTACTTTGTCTACTTTCAGGGTTGTGAGAATCAAGTAACAATAATGTCAAAGTCCTTTGAAAATGGGCAAGATCTATAACAACTGTAAATCATGATAATACCTACTATTAGACAATAATGTGTATACAGGCGAACTCTTCCTCTTTCCAGGGTGGTTGGGTTTTCTTTGCGTGCTTGGGTCAGAATCATTTGACCAATTATGTGTGACCAGATGAGAGGTGAATGTTGGAGGAACTCAATTCCTGCCCTGGGTAACATCAGGAATCCTATCTAATGTCAGCCGAGCTGACTGGATAGGTTGTGCATTAAAAACAGAGAGGGAGTAAAGAAGGATGTTGAATATTACTTCCTCAGGGGATGAAATCCCTGAGGAAAGGCAGGAACAAATAAAGTGACCACAGGGACAATTGCCTGTTATGGAGGCTGGGTGGTTTCCTCCAGAGGAAGAGTGCCACAGATAAGGGCACGATTGAGGATGCACATTGGGTCCCAGGTCCTAAGGGTGGACGATACTTGGGCCAGGTACATATGATGGAGCAGCCACTGAGTTTTCATTTATTCAATAACAGAGTATCTAAAGTACTTTGAATTATAGATCATCTCTAACAAGGTACTGGACTGCCACTACTTCTGATGTGGAGTGCACTGCTGTTCAACAATTGCAGTAAACACATTGTATCATGGAATCCGGGATTGGAAGGAACTTTAGAAGTTGTCTGAGCCAACCTTCAATGCGGGATTCATTTTTACAACAACCAATTAAATGTTCGTACAGCCTCTGCTTAATCACCTCCAGGAACAGGGAACTTACTACTTCAACCATATAGAATCCCTTAGGATTGGAAGCAAGGAGGAACACTGATTCAGTAGTGTCTGCACAAAAGATTTATGGGGAAAATGATAGCTCATTAATTTTTGCCTTGATTTGGAAGGGGAATGTTCCAAGTGAGTCTTTGGGATAATGATGGAACCAGAAAGGAGCAAAAGAGCAGTAGCTGATTATTCTCTGCTCTGAAACACAATGCCATTATTGAACAGCAAAACATTGTCTGCAAGCCTGTTGTCGTCTGAGAACAGTGGCTGTTACCCTGGTAACCAGACTGTGATGCCTCCATCCAAAAGTGGCTGTTTGCCAAGCAGTGTAGTTTTGGCTGGCTTGCAGTAAGTGGGTGTAGCCCAGGCAAAAAGTGTGGCGGCAGAGCGGGGGTCCAGTTTTATAAAATGCCCGAAGACTAACTGAGTCCCATCAAAATGGCAAGAATGCCCCAAGAATACCAGGAGCCAAAAATAAACCAGATCCCAGCCAGCATGTTCACCTAGTCTTCCTGGAGACACTGACTAAAATAATCAAGTGCAGCCTTCTCTACCTCACTTCTCCCTTTGGCCGTGCAGAGCCAGAGGAGTTCTTGGAAAGCCAGGCAGTTTGAAAGGTCTACCCTGCTTTAGGGGGCCTTGGGCTTGGCTCTGAGCTAGGAAAGCCAGAAGTTTACTTAACAGGCTGACAACTGGAACTGCTCTCTCAGAGCGATCTGAGTAATAACAACCTCAACCCTGGGAGGTGGGTGGGAGGGGAAATATAGTCTCCAAACCCATTAAGGTAGAACTCCAGCCAGTAACATCACTTTCCCCCATTGCTTTTGTCTATCGTCCTGAAGCCTTGAAAGCCATCCCCTGGGTACAGGTCTTTGTCTTGAAAGAAAGCAACAGTAGAAATGCCTTCCCTGCCCACAGCACTTCAGGTCTAAAGAAGACCAAGTGAGGACAGTGACATGATCAGGAAGGGTCACAGCAGCCATGGTAGGTGAATGGAGCAGCTTTTCCTTCCTTTCCTGCTTTCAGAGCCTACTCAGTGCCAAACTTACATCAAAAGCTCAGCAAGTACTGATTGATTAATCCCTCTTGCCTACGGCAAAATGGCCCTGAGGGCTATCTCTCAGCTCTGCACTGGCCTCTGAGCTGTCTGCCAGGCAGGGCTCTAGAAAAGAGTCCCAAGGAAGAGAATAAGGTTCCCCAAATCAGCTTCACACTGCAACAAGGAGAGAGGAGGAAATGGTGGGAGACTGACCTGAGGAACAAGGTATGGCTACTATTGTCTCTAGTACCAGTTACTTCCCTTTCATCTTCCCATTCGTGGGCAAGGTGGAGACAATGTGCCAAGGATAAGTTTTAACAATCAAAGTCCTACCTCAGCTTCCCAATGCTTGCACATAAATTGGAATGTGTACATCATTCATTCTGTCTCTCTCTGTGTGTGTGTGTGTGTGTGTGTGTGTGTGCGCGTCTGAAGAGGAGTGGGGAGTATAGGAAACAAGATAGTCCAGATGCTGTTGCCGTGGTAATACTAAATCGTGTCCAAAGAGGAGGCTGAGATTCCTTTTTAGTTAACCTTGTCCACATGATTTGACTATCCAGCAGGCTTGGATTCCCAGGCCCCAGAGACTTCGGGACTGTTTTCCAGCACTTGAATGTGGTATATAAGTGCTGATATCAAAAGGGATATGTAGGAAAGACAAGATTATAGGCAGGGCATTGTCTGACCAGGACGAGGCCCGAAGCAAAAGTCTTTGTTTGTCTCTGGCACCTCTTGATAATTGTTGTTTTACTCCTAGAACCCACCCACTGATCCCCATCCATCCCTAGTACCAGTCACGGCTGCTCTAGCATTTCGGCCTTGTCAACTACTGCAGGCCCTGATCAAGGAGGCCTCTGTTCATGGGGTAAGGTTAAGGGGTGGGTTCTGGGAGGAGGGTAAGACTGTAGTGCAGATTCGAGACCTAGGGAGGTGGGGCCAGTTTCTCACTCAATGAGCCTGCCTGTTGTTTAGCTCTATTGTATAGGGTTCTTCTATCTCTCCCTTTGTCAGCTGGATTCAAGGGACAGGCTGGGAATTGTGCAGGGTACAATTGGTCTCTTTCTACCATTCCTTTCGATGAAAGCCCTTCCTCTCCTTCCTTTGATGAGTTCCCAGATTCACACTGAATTTCCATCATGGAGCTGGTCCTTGAGGCGGGCCCAGGGCATGGGAAAGGAGGGAGGGAGGGTTGGGAGCTCTTGGTGCCTGCTTAAAGAGACAGCATCAGGATCAACACAGTCCCTTGATGAACCTGGATCTGTGTAAGTCACATTGGTTCTGTTGATCTCTGTCAGACCGCTGTGAAGAGCGCTGGTGAGAAGGGCTTAAAGTTGGAGTATCAACTATCACAGATTGATTAGACTTGTTTTGGGAGTTTGTATACAAATGTAGCCAACCATGACATGATCTTTTCCCTTTGCTTACATTTTGCCCACACAACTTCGTTATATCCATTTTAACACTTGCTTATAGGTAGCTTTAGATTTTGATTCACAGACATATGTTTGTTCACCCCAACAGGATTTCAAGTTTTCTAAAGAAAGGGACTGGCCTTTTAATTCCCTTCTGTTTCTCCTAATGTCTATGTCACTGCTAGTGTGCTTAATTCTTGTACTGAATTCACATAAACAGAAATGAAAGAAAAACACTGGAGGGGGTCATTATTTTTCTCTATGACCTTTCATCAAAGTCAGGTGGCTTAATCTGACTGAGTTGCATTGAGAAATGTTATTACTATATGGTTCTTTTATGCCAACTCTCTCATCTCGCAGTCTGTACTTAGACTGGAAATGTGAGAATGTCTCTTGAGAGAGCCAAGGAACTTCTCCCCTAGAATCTCTTCCAGCCTTCTTGAATCAAACTCACACCCTTTCAACCAGGAGGGGTTCTGAAATGGAGAGCTTTTGGCTTTAGGCTATTGTTCACACATACCCAAGGGACATTTCTTGGACTGTGAAAAATCAAAGGGAGCCCAATGGATCTTTTCTCAGAATGCTTTGATTGTCAACTACTTTGATGAAAAAATAATTTCTTGCAGGCTCTGAGTTTTTCTCAGTTAGAATCTAAAATCTGATTCTTGCTTGGACAGACTGACTGAGATTCTTCACTTCTGCTGAACTTAAATGCCCCCAAAGCAAACATTTCATCTAGGTTGTGAAGAGATGAACATCTGATGCTTATGCTGATATTACTGAATTGTTTATAGCTTAATAGTGATAGATTTATCTAAAGTCATTTATTTCAGACTTTACATTAGAAACTCATTAAAGCCTACTTCTTTCTTGTCCCTTGCTTTGAGCTGTAGTGGAGCAGAAAAGGGGATGCTAAGTTATTCAAGTTCTAAGAAAATAGAGGAAAAATGGATGTAAAAAGAAAGGCTATGATCTGGTGACTCAGAATTGCTCCTAAGGCTTAGCCATTTATCACCCAGTAAGAACACAATCCATGACACTCTCAGGTTATTTGGATGATGATTGAGGGATCAGATACACTCAAGAGGATGTTTCCCTCTCATCTTTGCAACCCTAGAGGTGGCATCACCTAACGCTTAAAGTGGAGTTCTCTTTTGGCTAGCAAGAGTTCAAGTTCCTCCATCCCTGACCATACCTGCACAAGCACTTAGCCCTTCCCAGATGAAAATGCTGGGATGAGTGAGTAGGCCCAAGATGGTCACTTGCTAGGGTGGATGGCTCTTCTTACCCTCGGCTAAACAAACAGTCCTGCCATTGTTCCCTGAGTCTGACCCCCTCCCCACCCCCCGGCTGCAGGCCCCTGTGGAATACCAATCAGGCTCCTGAGATCTCAGGAAAGAACAAGGCTTCTTTGTCCGGGGGAGCTATGGAGGGCTCTGTCCAAGCCCTGACCCTGTGCTGGGGAGAAAGGGAACAGTGGGGTCACTGACCTTCTTCTCCCCCCATCCCCAGGCTTCAGAGACTTTCTTTACTAGAAAAGTCTAAGAGTTTGGGGGTGGGGAGGAGTTGGATAGGCAGAGAAGGAAAATGGCAGTACTGTTTACTTCTAAGCTCCTTTTCTTGACTTATAGGCTGAATCTAGTATCTTAACCTGTTGAGAAAGAGGAAGATCAATTTCTGGAATGTTTTCTGAGAACAACAATCGATTTCAGTTGTTGTGTTTTTCTCTGTGGTATACATGTGTGTATGTGCACATTTGTACACATGCATGCATGTGCGTGTGCACACACACAGACACACCCATGGGCCAGCTCTGAAAAGACACTCTTCCCAAGCACGTTTGCAAAGTTCATGCTGAGTAAACTCAGCCTCCACTCACAGCAGCACAGCTACAGATTGCTTCTTATAGAGGCCAAGTTTCCTGGCAGCAATGCTTTAGTTCTTGGAAAAGGAAGTTCTGCTCCAAATGTTAGCTGCTTACTTTGTTTGGCTTGGGCTTCTGAGGCTCATCTTTGGTGTGACACTCTTTGAAGGCCAAGAAAGGGCTGTCATTTCAGGGGATGGTGGGTAATAGGACTCACTCCTTTTGTGTCTCTGAGAACAGAGGCAAATGCCTCTACCTCGATTTTCCCATGACAGAGATAATTTGATCTTTCCAAATCTGTTCACACTGATGCAATTCAGCCATGTAAATCACTAGGTATTCATGCTCTCTGGGCTAAAAACAAACTGTAACTAATGTTAACAGAATCAGGAAAAGGAGTCCCCTTTCCCTGGTACCCTATAGAAAAGTGAGTGTGGCTTGGAGAAATGCTTGAATACAAAAATCCAAGCCTAAGTAATTAATACAATTTATTTTTATTGTACAAGCTGTCACAACCTGCTTATTCAAAAATAGCAGCTTCCCAGTACATTTGCTGAGTATTTGTGTGTGTGCATGTGTATACTGTGTTTATAGATATATAAAATCAGTGGGTATATATACATATATTTATATATATACATACATATGAATTAAGACATTTTTTCTGAAGAGCTTAACATTCTCATTTCTTCTACATTTTAGGGATCTGGCCGAGAGGCCAGAGGAAGCCATTCTTTTCCTCATCTAGTCAGTCATCTACTTGGCATTTGCTAAGGTTCACTCCATATGACATCTTAGAGCATGGGACTAGTACTTGGAACACAGCTGCTTTCAGAGCCTGTGACTTCTTGTGTGCCTCTCCTGTTTCTCAGCAACACTGGCATAGGGCCTGGGATACCAGGTCTGGGGATCTCAGGGACTCTTAGCACTTTAAGACACATGTGTTCCCAGGCCCTGGTGTGTTCCTCTAGTGCCAGAAAGATGTTTCATGCTTTGCTGACTTTGTATAAAGTCTGTTTGTAGCTGTTTTGACAGAATCTCAGCGTATAACTGAGGGTGGGGACATTAGCCAAGCTGCATTATAGGAGGACAAAACTGCCATACAAAGTGTCCAAAATCATTAAGCCTGCATTTTTATTATTGGGAGTAATATCAAACCTCCTATTTTCCAATTTTCATTTCTTGTCCTGTGCTAGCTCCATCCTGTTTGGACTGCTCCTCCCATATGTAAACTAAGAAGAATCAAGCATTCTTTGCAACAAATACACACGATGCTCAAAAATGTCCAGGAGCATCCAATTTCCAAAGTTTCCTCCACCTGGAATGCTCTTCATGCTAAAATCCTGTCTGACAATACCAGCATCTCTGGCCTGCACTCATCCCTTCCTGGAACTCCAAGTGCATTTACCCTCTGTTACCACTTACTTGGCTGCCTGAATTGTTAGTTGAAAATATTAGGTCTACTTAGCTAATTCTTCCTCAGGAAATTAAAGACTCCCATATGGCAGAGTCTGTGTCTTTTCTCTCTTCATATCCCGTATAACACCCAGCATAATGCTGGGCATATAGTGAGTATTCCATAAATAGTTGATGAATGACTAAAATAAGCAAGCAAACAAACAGACTAGAACAATAAGAAAGAAGGGACTGATTTCATAATCTCTCTGGCTTGCTATTTGAATTGCTGAATTATTATTATTTATTAAATATTTTTTAAATTCTGGCAATAAAAGGTAAGGATTTATTTTCTTTCTTTCTTTTTTTTTTTCTTGAGACAGAGTCTCGCTCTTACTGCCCAGGCTGGAGTACAATGGCGCAATCTTGGCTCACGGCAACCTCCGCCTCCTCCTGGGTTTAACAGATTCTCCTGTCTCAGCCTCCTGAGTAGCTGGGATTACAGGCATACGCCCATGCCCGGCTAATTTTTGTATTTTTAGTAGAGACGGGGTTTTGCCATGTTGGCCAGGCTGGTCTTGAACTCCTGACCTCATGTGATCCACCTGCCTCAGCCTCCCAAAGTGCTGGGATTACAGGCATGAGCCACCGTGCCCGGCCAAAGATTTATTTTCAAGAATGAAACAAAGTAAGGATTCTGGGTCAATCTCACATGCTGAAAGCCAAAACCTCTAGCCGCTCCTGCTTTTTGACTTCGGAGTGCCCACTATCTCCGAGCCTGTGAGCACAGGGCCTGGCAGAGGGGTTTGAGTGGCATGAGCTACCTACTGGATGTGCCTGACTGTTTCCCCTTCTTCTTCCCCAGGCTTGTTAGAGTGCTGTGCAAGATGTCTGGTAGGGGCCCCCTTTGCTTCCCTGGTGGCCACTGGATTGTGTTTCTTTGGGGTGGCACTGTTCTGTGGCTGTGGACATGAAGCCCTCACTGGCACAGAAAAGCTAATTGAGACCTATTTCTCCAAAAACTACCAAGACTATGAGTATCTCATCAATGTGTAAGTACCTGCCCTCCCACACAGACCCATCTTTTTTTTCCCTCTCTCCATCCTGGAGATAGAGAACTCTTCAGTACCTTAGTAACTAGCAGGGGACTGGGGTGGAGCCAGACCGGATTCCCGAGTCTTCCCTCTGTGCAGATCTCTCCTGCTCCACATTCGAAGCCCATTCAGAAAGGAGGGGTCTGCCTGCCTGCCTGTCAGCCCCTCCCACCCCCGCCCCCTTGTTTTCTTACACGTGTTCTGACTTCTGCTAGGTGTGGTTCATATTGCCCAAGTTGGAGCCTCCAGCGTAGTAGGTATGGAGAAGCCAAGGGAGGCACTAAGCCTCTCCTGTTCCTAGAACAAGTTAGGCTCCTGTTCCTTCACCCACCTTTCTTCTTGTCTAGCTCCCTACTCCTGTGAGTTAGCATGTCTGAAGGGTGGGGCAGGGAGAGTAGGTCCCTGGTTCTCCAGGTCCCAGGGTAAGCAAGGTGTGGCGGGAGGGGCATATGTTTCTGGTCACATACACCCTGTCTTCACTTATTTCAACAAAGATAAGGTGAAAGCATGCAGGAGGAACCTGGTGATTCCTCTAGAAAATCCCTAGCCTTGTTAAGGTGCTCGCTCTGGTGTATACCTCACTTATGTCGGGAAAGAAGCCAGGTCTTCAATTAATAAGATTCCCTGGTCTCGTTTGTCTACCTGTTAATGCAGGATCCATGCCTTCCAGTATGTCATCTATGGAACTGCCTCTTTCTTCTTCCTTTATGGGGCCCTCCTGCTGGCTGAGGGCTTCTACACCACCGGCGCAGTCAGGCAGATCTTTGGCGACTACAAGACCACCATCTGCGGCAAGGGCCTGAGCGCAACGGTAACAGGGGGCCAGAAGGGGAGGGGTTCCAGAGGCCAACATCAAGCTCATTCTTTGGAGCGGGTGTGTCATTGTTTGGGAAAATGGCTAGGACATCCCGACAAGGTGATCATCCTCAGGATTTTGTGGCAATAACAAGGGGTGGGGGAAAATTGGGCGCGAGTCTGTGGCCTCGTCCCCACCCAAGGCTGGGTCCTCTCTAGGGGCCTGGCATTTGAGTGAGGAAGCGATGGCTGCAGCCGAACGAGAAGGTCAGGAAGAACGTGGTGCCCAGCTGGCTTAGCCTCACCTTTCAAAGGTTCCCTAAGCAAATTTCTTCTCAAAACAGAAAGCATGAGTTTTGTGGGATGCTTTGTACAATCAGACCATTTCTAAGCCATCTGTTGGTATCCCTTTGTTCCCTTCCTAGTAGGTACCACAAGAGTGGATCTAACTGGACAAGAGTCTAAAATGCTGCTCATGTGATTGAGACTTGGGCACCTGATCTGAGAGGGAGGATGGATAATAAAAATTAAATAATTAACTCCAAGGTGAAATTTACAATGTTCTGGGATCCTGCACAGTTCGAGGTCCCAGAGGGAATTGGAGTAGATCTGCATGTTGAATGTTTTATTGCCTGAGGGTTATCCATGCTTTGAGTGAGGTGCACATTTGTTTTCAGTCTCTGGAGTTAAAGATCCTTTGGCGGCTGAACATGTGTGGGTTCCAGCAATGTCTTTTTGTGGCCAGCAGTTAGCTTAGAAAGGTTTTGTATCTGAAATTTTAATCTCCTATTGGCTTTGTTCAATGGCTAGGGAACAAAAATGTTCCTATGGCAAGGAACATGTTCTAAGCTCAGCCTAAGGCACAAAATGGCACGACTTTCTTTCAAGATCTGTTTTGATTTCTTTACACCTTATCTGCCCAAAAACATCCTCTGAAGCCTCTCTAACCCAGGGATCCTCCTCACTCTTCCCCTACCCATTCCCCCCACCCTCCGTTATACTGGGGCCAGTTATCTAGTAGATACTGCCAATTACCCTTGGCAGAGGTGCCCTGCTCACTAATTTCATTTGAAGGAGAGCCCTGGAACCTGGTTTTAATGTCTGGCACACGCCACTCCAGGATCTCCCAGTTTGTGTTTCTACATCTGCAGGCTGATGCTGATTTCTAACCACCCCATGTCAATCATTTTAGTTTGTGGGCATCACCTATGCCCTGACCGTTGTGTGGCTCCTGGTGTTTGCCTGCTCTGCTGTGCCTGTGTACATTTACTTCAACACCTGGACCACCTGCCAGTCTATTGCCTTCCCCAGCAAGACCTCTGCCAGTATAGGCAGTCTCTGTGCTGATGCCAGAATGTATGGTGAGTTAGGGTACGGGTGCTTTGGCTCTCCTACCCACTATGGAAGCACTATATATTTGGTTATTTTCTTAGTGTAAGGAGGGTGGTGATTATGAGAAAAATATAAGATGATGAATGATTGGGTCTTAGTTTATTAATCCTTCCCTACTGAAACCAGAGAGGTTTCTTCCCCGGGAAGGGAACTTGGAAGTGGTGGGAGTTTTCTTGGCCATTCACATTGGCCTACTCTAGTTGACTGCTGTTCACAACCCCAAAGCAGCACATTTCAATAACAAACACAAGGTTTCACCACTGTTCAATACCACCTTCTCTTTTTTGTAAACCTGTAGAAAAGAGGATCCTGATTGTTGGTAGAATCCAACTTTACAGCCAGGATAATTAGAGATGGAAGAAGGGCTCTGGGGGAAAGTCTCCATGTGGCCCCGTAACTCCATAAAGCTTACCCTGCTTGCTTTTTGTGTCTTACTTAGGTGTTCTCCCATGGAATGCTTTCCCTGGCAAGGTTTGTGGCTCCAACCTTCTGTCCATCTGCAAAACAGCTGAGGTGAGTGGGTTATTTGGGTTATTTTACAAGGGAGTAGCTAATACCATACAAATTACACCCATGGCCTTCAATTTTAAGGACTGAAAGTTTCCCTTTGCTGGATTTTGAATTAGCCGATTGCCTTCTACAACATGTTGGCTAAGTGTGCCTGAGCCAATGAGCATAGAAGGTAAAACACCTGTTTTCTCTAGAGTTGCATAGAAAGACTTCCTTTCCAACCCTTCCCCTCTTAAAAGAGAAGTTTGTAGCTTTAGGTAAAGATAGAGCCTAATGGCAAAATCCCCCACATGAAAATTTTCATTCCTTTAGTTAAAAACCATATCAAGAAAATGGGCTGTGCACAGAGGCATTCATAGGTTTTATGAAAACATTTTCAATTTGGAACTTCTTTATCTCAAATGAGAGGTAAAATAAGTACATTTGAAAGGGAAAGCACTGTATTGAGAACAGATATTATATACAAATGAGGCAGGGGAATAAAAGTAAATCCGGGGGAGACAGGCAGTAAATTATTTCTTTGACAGCAAAATGTTGACTTTAAATTTTGGGCCCCTGGGCACAACTGTAGGGAACCAGTTAATTATTTTGGAGTACTGTACTATTTCATGACTATTCTGTGATCTGGGTGTTAATGGGCCAGGTGCTATGGTGTACACTGAAGACTGGGAGGCCCACATTTAGGGAAGTGAAAACTTAGTTAGAGATGTGGAATTAGCACACAAGAAAGATATCAACACATTCAGAAAGCTGTATTCATGATTTACAGTGGAGCATATTACTGCTGTTGCAAGAAACAGTTCTTCCTCTTTCATTTTCCTGCAGTTCCAAATGACCTTCCACCTGTTTATTGCTGCATTTGTGGGGGCTGCAGCTACACTGGTTTCCCTGGTGAGTTGACTTTGAATGATCTTGGCAAGTAAATAGGCCTGAGATAGTGTGGGTACAGCTATTCTGAAAGGCAAGAAGGTAGACTGCTTCCATCCTTGAAATGCTGGAGGGAAGCTTCTGGGAAGATAGCAAAGGGTGGAGGCTCCGTACTTCTACTTGCATTGGCAAGGCAGAAAGACATCACAAATTAGATGGGAACAAGAAAAGTGGTATGAGGAAAGAGGTAAGAGATTCATAGACACGAATGATAATATTTAGTATTTATAGAACATGTAATGTTGCCAAGTACTTTGCAGTCATAAATTACGGTTAATTCTCAATACATTTTGATCAGATCAGTGACAAAACACTGAAACATCACGAAACATGACTTGCTATAGCCTGGAATTCTATATACTATCAATATGAATCCACTTTGGATACTCTCCAGTGGATTTAGTTACTCATATGGAAATACTGGGAGGACCTCCTAACATTATTAGAATTGTTATGATTATAATACAATGCTATGTCCCAGGTCTTGCTGATAGTGCTACAGTGCCCTGTGAATGTAGTGTGCTCATTGTGCAGATTAAAAACCTAAGGCACTGAAGGGTGAAGTGATTTATCTGAAGTTATTTTATAAGCAGTGATCAGACAAGATGAGCTCACAGAACTCCTGGCCCCTACTGCTGAGGTTTCCATACAGAGTCAAGTAATTTCTCACCTTGTAAAACGAATTGATTCATTAACCAGGGGAGAGCTCTACTGCATGATGTGGCTGTGTGTCTACAGCAAGCACCCTATGACTCTAAGTCACTCGGACATATTGATGTGGCAAAGCCCAAATATTGTTCACTTCCCTGAGGAAAACTCAGTGCTAGATCAAACAGAGGTGTGGAATAAATCTTTATGATTTGATTCTCTGGGCCTGGGCCATGAGACCCATGATGCCTCAGAGACATCGGACTTCCAGTCAAGTGTATATGGAGAAAGCCAAGCCTGGGATGTACTGCTTTTTGCAGAGCATGGGTTTTTCCCTTATTTAGTTATGATTTTATTTCTACCCTTCCTCATTCCCAAAGGGATTTGAGGAGGGAGTGCTTTCTTTTCTACTCTCATTCACATTCTCTCTTCTGTTCCCTACAGCTCACCTTCATGATTGCTGCCACTTACAACTTTGCCGTCCTTAAACTCATGGGCCGAGGCACCAAGTTCTGATCCCCCGTAGAAATCCCCCTTTCTCTAATAGCGAGGCTCTAACCACACAGCCTACAATGCTGCGTCTCCCATCTTAACTCTTTGCCTTTGCCACCAACTGGCCCTCTTCTTACTTGATGAGTGTAACAAGAAAGGAGAGTCTTGCAGTGATTAAGGTCTCTCTTTGGACTCTCCCCTCTTATGTACCTCTTTTAGTCATTTTGCTTCATAGCTGGTTCCTGCTAGAAATGGGAAATGCCTAAGAAGATGACTTCCCAACTGCAAGTCACAAAGGAATGGAGGCTCTAATTGAATTTTCAAGCATCTCCTGAGGATCAGAAAGTAATTTCTTCTCAAAGGGTACTTCCACTGATGGAAACAAAGTGGAAGGAAAGATGCTCAGGTACAGAGAAGGAATGTCTTTGGTCCTCTTGCCATCTATAGGGGCCAAATATATTCTCTTTGGTGTACAAAATGGAATTCATTCTGGTCTCTCTATTACCACTGAAGATAGAAGAAAAAAGAATGTCAGAAAAACAATAAGAGCGTTTGCCCAAATCTGCCTATTGCAGCTGGGAGAAGGGGGTCAAAGCAAGGATCTTTCACCCACAGAAAGAGAGCACTGACCCCGATGGCGATGGACTACTGAAGCCCTAACTCAGCCAACCTTACTTACAGCATAAGGGAGCGTAGAATCTGTGTAGACGAAGGGGGCATCTGGCCTTACACCTCGTTAGGGAAGAGAAACAGGGTGTTGTCAGCATCTTCTCACTCCCTTCTCCTTGATAACAGCTACCATGACAACCCTGTGGTTTCCAAGGAGCTGAGAATAGAAGGAAACTAGCTTACATGAGAACAGACTGGCCTGAGGAGCAGCAGTTGCTGGTGGCTAATGGTGTAACCTGAGATGGCCCTCTGGTAGACACAGGATAGATAACTCTTTGGATAGCATGTCTTTTTTTCTGTTAATTAGTTGTGTACTCTGGCCTCTGTCATATCTTCACAATGGTGCTCATTTCATGGGGTATTATCCATTCAGTCATCGTAGGTGATTTGAAGGTCTTGATTTGTTTTAGAATGATGCACATTTCATGTATTCCAGTTTGTTTATTACTTATTTGGGGTTGCATCAGAAATGTCTGGAGAATAATTCTTTGATTATGACTGTTT
The DNA here is from genome assembly GCF_000001405.40 of Homo sapiens. Classification (NCBI taxonomy): domain Eukaryota; kingdom Metazoa; phylum Chordata; class Mammalia; order Primates; family Hominidae; genus Homo; species Homo sapiens. Next base: position 103,791,748 of record NC_000023.11, read on the forward strand.
TTTAAACTAGGAAAATTGGACATTAAGCATCACAAATGATATTAAAAATTGGCTAGTTGAATCTATTGGGATTTTCTACAAGTATTCTGCCTTTGCAGAAACAGATTTGGTGAATTTGAATCTCAATTTGAGTAATCTGATCGTTCTTTCTAGCTAATGGAAAATGATTTTACTTAGCAATGTTATCTTGGTGTGTTAAGAGTTAGGTTTAACATAAAGGTTATTTTCTCCTGATATAGATCACATAACAGAATGCACCAGTCATCAGCTATTCAGTTGGTAAGCTTCCAGGAAAAAGGACAGGCAGAAAGAGTTTGAGACCTGAATAGCTCCCAGATTTCAGTCTTTTCCTGTTTTTGTTAACTTTGGGTTAAAAAAAAAAAAAGTCTGATTGGTTTTAATTGAAGGAAAGATTTGTACTACAGTTCTTTTGTTGTAAAGAGTTGTGTTGTTCTTTTCCCCCAAAGTGGTTTCAGCAATATTTAAGGAGATGTAAGAGCTTTACAAAAAGACACTTGATACTTGTTTTCAAACCAGTATACAAGATAAGCTTCCAGGCTGCATAGAAGGAGGAGAGGGAAAATGTTTTGTAAGAAACCAATCAAGATAAAGGACAGTGAAGTAATCCGTACCTTGTGTTTTGTTTTGATTTAATAACATAACAAATAACCAACCCTTCCCTGAAAACCTCACATGCATACATACACATATATACACACACAAAGAGAGTTAATCAACTGAAAGTGTTTCCTTCATTTCTGATATAGAATTGCAATTTTAACACACATAAAGGATAAACTTTTAGAAACTTATCTTACAAAGTGTATTTTATAAAATTAAAGAAAATAAAATTAAGAATGTTCTCAATCAAACATCGTGTCCTTTGAGTGAATTGTTCTATTTGACTTCACAATAGAAACTTAATAATCGTACCTTGTTCAAGGAGATCATTCATTTTTCAGCTCATCCAAGTCATTCTCATAACATTTCTCTGAAATAAATAGTATATGAATAGATTACTTCTACTTTTATAGTTGAAGACACTAAGAAATAGAAGCAAAGTAATTTGCCCAAAGAAATCCAGTAAGTACATGTCTGAGCTTGTGTTAAAACGCAGATATTGAAACCAATTTATTGCCTACTTAAAGGTTTCTTTTCTCTTCGAAGTTGGGTTTCAGAATGTTCAGAGTCAACTATGGTTACTTTTTCAATACCTTAGTGGTGCCCCAGTCCCCGGTGCATTTAGATTTAAGTTATTGTTACCTTCTCTTTAAATTGTTTGGATATTCCAGTAATGATCCCTTAGTAATTCATACGTGACTAATATTTAGTTTTATTTGGATAGTACTGGATGGAAGGTTTAGTACTTAAAGGACAGAGCAGGTATGGAAAGGGCAACGTAAATGTAAACAGGCTGTGGCAGGGCAGTACTAAAATAAATTAGTGACACCTACCACCCTGGATGGCCAGCCTACTAGCCCACCGGGGACATAGCATTAAAGCCCTTTCACAACCCTAGGTTAGAATTTGGCACCCTTGGACAGCACTCTGATGACCAGCTTAAAGAAAGCTGTCTTAAAATCATTTCATTGCCCCATAGTTGCAGCTGGCAAATGACTGGAGAGAAAGGAATCTTTAGCTGGAGGGATGACAAGTCAGTCATCAGTTAAGGAGCTCCATTCAAAAGCAGTTTCAATTTAATTTCCTGATTTCTGCTTAACCACAATTAATATTCTGCAAGCGAGTCTGGTTGAACGACTTTAAGACATAAAGAATAAAAATATGACAGGGACTTATTTTAAGACACTGCAAACAAGGACACAGCACCATATTTTGGAGAATTGATTCAGGGTTCTACAGAGTGATTGTATTTTTGCCTCAGAGGAACCGAAAGCCAGTTCCCAAGAAAGCTATGTTTTCCATCTGCCCTTATTTGGCTCTGCCTCTGGGATGAATCTATAGATGGAGTTTCTAGGCTCTCAGAAGCTGAGAGCATCTCCAGTCTATCAATTGAACCCATTGTTCTTAGCTCTCCCACACACCATAAACCTCCTTTTTTCTAACTGAAAGAGCTCTCTTTGTGCTGAGATCAGCCGAAGATCAAGATGCAGCAGTATAAACAAGAAACATTTTCTTACAGCACCAGTTGTATTGCTTTTCCTATCTTCAGGGTCAGTACTGAGTGCAGTTATGCAGGACGTGGAAGCTGCAGCTTTGTCCAGAGCAACATTTGTTCATTCCTTAATTCGTTCTGTGAACATTCATTGAGAAACTACTAAGTATTGTGTTAAACCCCAGGAAGTTCAAGTTTGGGGGCAGTGTGGGTAGAAAGGTGATCAAGACCAGATCTTACACTCAAGGATCTCTCTCAGATTCAGCCATAGCAGACAGGTCTTCCACGGTAAACTGGAGTGGAGGCAAGGAGTGTGCAAAAGGCAGTCTGATCGGCTGACTCCAGTGGGCATCTGAATTCTCCCCTCAGTATGTGGGAGGGGTGGGTGTTAAGGGCCTTGACTTCACGTGGCTCTGGGTTTTTAGGGCATGGATACAAACAAAACTTCAATTTAGAGTCCTGACAACTTGTGACTTGCTCTTTCTGTGTCACCCTGCTTCTTGCCTTACATGTGACAGCATTTATGCACACACTGGCTCAATGCATGTGCGTGCTTCCACCCACTCAATCATTTGGGGAGTCAGAGGGCACATGAATCAAGATTGATATAAACACAAGCTATTCAGTCTGGCCTTTTGTCTCTATCCAGGCTAAGTCTGAGAAGCCAAGGAAGGGTAATGTAAGATATAACATATCAAAACTGCACTTGTATCCCCTAAATTTATACAACAACAACAAAAAAGATACCAAGTCCTTCTCTGTTTGGATTTCCTTAACTGTGAACACAGGTAGTGTGGCTATTTTGACATTAACAGTTAACTTCATGAATATTAAGTAACAAATAAAAGAAATACTCATTATTATATTTACGAAATCAATACTTGGCCATTCCTACATCAATAAGCAGGTAAGGACTTCAAGTCAATATTTATATATTGGGAAAGATTTTCCTCGTTCACTCACTTGTTTGAAAGACGCAAACATACTCTTCATTATATTTGTTGTCCCACAAAGTTTGGTGTCTATGTGCTCCTGTTCTGAGACTCCTTGAATTGATTGACTTTATTCTAAAGGAAAATATCAGATAAGGTAATGAGTGTTTTACTGATTATGGATCAGTCCAAAGAAATCCAGTCTTAACATTTTACTCAAACTCTCAAAAAATATTTATTTGATAAATTATCTGTGCCAAGTATTATGCAAAGTGTTTGTGGTATAGCAGTTAATAAAAGAGATACAGTCTCAGCCCTCATGGAGCTCAACTAAAGACAGAAAGGGGTAGGCAGGGAGACAGGGAGCATGGTGAAGAATGAGGCTAACATCCTTCCACAGAAACAGTGGAAAAGATAGAATCAGGGAGAAACTTGCACAGTCCCATGAGAAACAAAGAGTCATGTTAAAAAAAAAAAAGATATAGACATGTAAGTCTGTATTTAGATAAATGCAATGGTATTTAAGATTGAAAAACATTAAATAGGCTTGGACTGTTTTGCCCCCCAATGTGGAAAGTCACCCAGCTCTAGGTTCCAAAGGAACTAGCTTCATGGATCTTCTATATATTATGTGAAACCCTATCTTTCAAGCATCAAAGGGGCAAAATACAAAGCTGATTCTGAGGGTTACAATATTAAAACCAAACAAGCCAACTGATATCTGAAAGTGTATAGATGGTTTTAATTCTAGTTGATGATGAATTCACATGTAGACCAACTTTAAAAAACAACAGGGAAATGTGGCTCTTGCAATCAAAGCTTCCTTCCATGTCCCCAACATGTACCAGATAGAAATTTGGTGAAATCTCATTTGACTTAAAATATTAAATCAGCCCACATTATCCAAAAAAAAGTGAAGAGAAACATAAAAATTATCCTATATGCAGATGATATTATCACAAGTGAACAGAAACACACAAATTATCCTATACGCAGATGATATTATCACAAGCTCAGAGTGGTCTTAGCAAACAAATGGCTCAGCTAATTACTGCTAGGAAGAAAGTATACATATCAGCTTTCCTAAAAAAAAAATTTGTCATTTTCAGTAGATGTTCCTACCTTCCTGTTGGTGAATAGTGTGAATAATTCCATAAAGCAGGTACCTCAGGATATATTCTGCAGCTGGCTTATCTGAAAGGACAAAAGTAAATTACATTTCTCAAAGCCAGGTAATATATGGGTGCTTATGGAATTTCTGCACATGTGTTGTTGTTTGTTTGTCTTTAATAGCTTAGCGGGTTACAACTACTTTAAAATATTTCCAGGTTAAAAAATTTTAAGTCATGCTTTATGCCCTATTTGTCTTGGTGTTAAAGAAGATTCAAAATAATTGTCTGGGCAGGGCATGGTGGCTCATGCCTGTAATCCCAGCACTTTGGGAGGCCAAAGAGGGCATATCACTTGAGCTTGAGGTCAGGAGTTCAAGACCAGTCTGGCCAACATTGCAAAACTAAAAATACAAAAATTAGCCAGGCGTGGTGGTTCAAGCCTATAATTCCAGCTACTCAGGAGGCTGAGGAACAAGAATGCTTGAGCCTGGGAGGCAGAGGTTGCAGTGTGCCGAGATTGTGCCACTGCACTCCAGTCTGGGCAACAGAGGGAGACCCTGTCTCAGAAATAATAATAATAATAATTGCCTGAAGATAAACTTGGCCCGGACTGTAAGCAGCCTTGCCTCCAACAATAATAGCTGCACTTTATCAAGCACTGTATCTGCAAAGTACTTTACACATCTCATTTTATCCTCACATCAGTCTTATGAGGCAGAAGCAACTATTATCCTTCAGTTCCATGCTGGAGCATGTGGCCTTGTTGGTCACATCAGTTTACACATGAGCATGTTAATCCTATCCTAGCTCAGCTGACTGGCAAAGCTGCAGAGATTAGCTGAATCCCGGTATTTGTCAGGGAGCAGAACCACTATCATTGTAGCTCAGTATAGTGAACAAAAGTTCTCTGAAAAGGGGCCACAAAGCGAGACACCGCCTCTACAAAAAAAAAAAAAAAAAAAAAAAAAAAAAAGTACTCCAGCATGGTACCTAGTGCCTGTAGTCCCAACTACTCTGGAGGCTGAGGTGGGAGTATAGCTGTAGCCCCAGAGGCTGCGGGTGCAGTGAGCTGTGATTGCACCATTACACTCCGTCCTGGGCAACAGAGCGAGACCCTGTCTTGAATAAAAAATAAAACAAACAAAATTATTAAAAATAAAAAGGAATTTAGAGGAAAGAGACCTTTTTTTTTTTTTTTTTTGAAACAGGGTCTCACTCTGTTGCCCAGGCTATAGTGCAGTGGCACCGTCTCGGTTCACTACAGCCTTGACCTCCTGGGCTCAAGTGATCCTCTCACCTCAGCCTCCAGAGTAGCTGGGACTACAGGCGACTGCACCATGCTCAGTGCTAATTTAAAAAAAATTTTTTGTAGAGACGTGGTTTTGCCATGTTGCCCAGGCTGTCTCGAATTCCTGGCCCACCTCAGCCTCCCAAAGAGCTGGGATTACAGGCATGAGCCACTGCTCCCAGCCCCAAGGAAAGAGACTTTATTCCAGAGAACAGTTTGGACACCAGAGACACACAGCCTTAGGTGTAAAATGAAGGTGTGCTCCAGAGAGCAAAGCTAGGGTTATACTTTTACAGCAAAAGTTTATGCAAATGAAGTATTCAAACTCACCTAGTTCTGACTGGTTGATAGAACTGAGCCCTGATTGGTCAAGGCAACTGAGCCTGATTGGTTGAGGCAGCTAAGCCATGATTGGTCAAGGCAGATGATCTCAGATTGGTTGGTTCAGGTGAGCTCTGGAAGTCCCAAAGTTGAACAGAGGTGTGGGTTTTGGAGGAACTTGAGACCTCTGACCTATAGTTGGCAGATGGCCACTTGGCTCTATTTAAAATTTAGGCCCAGTTAGCCACTCAGGATCCATTTTGGAGCACTGCCTATTTCAGGTTCACATTTGTCATAGTACCTGCCAAAAACTCCATTGAGAGAAGCAGTGGTTAAGGGGGGATAACCTGAAGGAAGTGTACTCCATTCATTCCCCAGTCATCTCCAAATATTTTTTATTGTGCAATACTATGAGTAAAACATGTTGGAGCCCACATCCCCCCGCCATGACCTTGCTGCTCTAAGTGTGGTCTTAGAACAAGGAGCATCAGGATCACCCGGGAGCTAGTTAGAAATGCAGAATCTCAGCCTGATCTACACCCACTGAATCAGAAACTGCACTTTAACAAGATCCCAGGACGATTTGTATACATATTAAAATTTGAGCAGATTTGCTGTGTGTCATTATATAAAATGTACTGAAATATATATTAAACATATGCTTTAAATATTGACATTATATTCATGTACTGCTGTTCTAATATACACATTACAAAGCATGGAAAACAACATTTAAAAGTATAAGATAAATATGAAGTAATATTTTAAAATATGTTTTATTTGATAATATATACTTACACAATTTATATCTTATTTGAAACATGATATTATTAATATTTTAGTGAGAACAATGTGACTGAATATGCCTCATTAATTTTGAAATCATGGTTTAACATTTTAGAATACTGAGTTCAGTTTAAACTGCCCTTGGCTCGAATGGATGTTATAGCTGAAAATAATAACTTACAAAGATTCATAGATGTAAATGGATGCAGTATGACATTGGCAGTGTTCAATAAATTACGTTAAATTTTCAGCCTCACTTTGCAGTTATGCAAAGATTTTTGTTGAAATTTGACTATCAAATTTTCACTCTCCCTGCCATCATTTAGTGGCCCTTGCAAACTACAATTTTTTTTTTTTTTTTGAGATGGAGTCTCACTCTGTCACCCAGGCTGGAGTGTAGGGGTGCGATCTCGGCTCACTGCAACCTCCGCCTCCCAGGTTCAAACAATTCTCCTGCCTCAGTCTCCTGAGTAGCTAGGATTACAGGCATGCATCACCACACCCGGCTAATTTTTTATTTTTAGTAGAGACGGGGTTTCACCATGTTGGCCAGGCTGGTCTCAAACTCCCAATCTCGTGATTTGCCCGCCTCAGCCTCCCAAAGTGCTGGGATTACAAGCGTGAGCCACCGAGCCCGACCCAAACTAAAATATTTTTACAAATGAGTTCAAGCTATTAGAGTAGGTTGTTTTAGGCAAGTTAAACATGCCCTGTTACTTTAAATATATATATATATAATTTTATACTTTTAAGTGTTCTGTTTTTCATGCCTTATATGTGTATATTAGAACAGCAGTACATGAATATAATGTCAATATTTAAAGCATATGTTTAATATATATATTTTAATACATTTTATATAATTACACACAGCAAATCTGCTCAAATTTATATATATATATAGGGAAAAGAAGTGACACACATAGTTTTCAGCAGCAAAGTCACAAGCTGATGAAGGTATCTCCGCATATCTGTTTTCAAATTCTCTCTGTATGGCATATTTCCTTTGAAAGGCACTTACTTTCTCACTGATTGTTAAAAAGGCATATTTCCTTGACAAATCAGCAGAGTGAGAACACCAGAGTCAATCTTTTTAATATTTATTGATATTAGATATTAATAAAACTTTATTCTTATTTTAAGATTAAAAATTAGTACAAATACTAGTTCAAATGAATCATGTTGCAATCACCACAGAGTGCACACACATCTCACATTAGAGGTCATACTGTGTAGAAGTTTCTCCAAAACATTTTGAGGGTGGAAATCTCTTTCTAAGGTGATAAGTTTTTCAGGCCTCTACCATAACAGGTGGAGGGAATTACCCATTGGTTGAGAAAACATTTAAAATATACAACCAATTCAATAACGCTGTTTTAAAATTTTTTCTTACAGAAAATTTCAAACATACACAAAAGTAAAGAGAGTCCCTAAATGCAAAGAGCCTCATGCAACCATTACTCAGCTTCAGTAATGATCAATATTGAGTAACATTTTAAAATGAGTTTGTATTCTATTGATGTCCACACAGATGAAGACATATCATTCATTCATTTTACTGACAATCCTTGGTGTTCAGATGGATGCGGGGCGGGGGACTCCTTGCAGCAACACCTGCATTTTCTACTCTACCCCCAAGAGGACAGAGGACAAAGCTTGGGGATTGCTCTACTTTAGAGTCTAAAACATCTTCCTGATTTATGCCAGACCAATAGGTAGCAACATAATACTTGAATTGCTTCACAGTGGCCATCTTGGAATTATTTTTACTAAATTGCTCTGTTTTGTGATGTCAGTGACCTGTATTAAGGACCATTTTTTAAAAGCCGTCCTATGCAACAGTGGCTATGTTTACTATGGTCATGTTTTTGTGGGTGTCATTCATTATACTATATTTATCCAGAAGGCTACAGGGGACATATTTCTCTACAGTCTAGTATCAAAACTAGTTGTGCTTTATTTGAGTGTTGAAGTAAGAGCAGACTGTTATTATGATTCCTGATGTGTTTTGGATTTCTTTTGGTGGGGGTGGGGGGCAGAACACATTCATTGCTTTAGTAATTTAATCTTGCTGAGTTGTTGAAACCAAGTGAAGTTTCCAAAACCACCTCTTACTTTGTTGGGTTCTTTTTCTTTCTCTTTCCCCTCTCTTTTCTGTGGAAGTGTGAAAGGTGGTCAGAATTGAAAGAAGAAAGAAAACAGTTCTAGGTCTCTTCTTCCCTCACCCTCATTTCAAACTCTAGAATTCAGAAAACCGTAAAACACTGGACTTAGATGTGGTTTTGTCAGTAAGTTAATAGATGGATTCAAGTATGGTGAATTAACATCTTCTCTCAATCAGATCTGTATACTCCAGCCCTAATAAGAACTCTAAGCTCTTTACTCATTTTAATGTATCTGCGTGAGAGACCTTGTCTGGCAAAAACTTGGAGAAATAGGTATAAATTTGACTTGAAATGGCTCCATGTCAAAAGCTTTTACCTTCACAGGTAAGAAAGGCTTTTGATATCGTTCACTATCTTTTTTCCCCACAGTAAAAGCCTAGGGTAGCTCATTTCCAGGGCTGTTTTCAACATGCTGGGACAACTCCAATTGTTTCAAAGAGTATTAGGAAAATGATACAAATAAGACTTTAATGCAGTTCAATTTTAAATGCATATACCATACACCTTTAGGAAAAAAGAATGAGATAAACTAAAATAAAAGAAGTGATAGTTTTCAATTCTAAAGTATTTGGGGATTATTGCTTTAAAACAGGGTTACCAACAAGCATAGATCCATTGTAAGCTCTGCCTCATTCTCTCCCCTTCTGTCTTCCTGGGCTTACAGTGGAGTATGATGATGTCTCCAGGACTAGGTTTCCTGTTACCGTGGACACTCATGACCCCTCCTCCACAGTGTTCCAGCACCCCATTCTCCTAGTCTGAGTACCCACCTTGTTTACCATTTATAGTAGGGTTGTCCCCACTTCAGATCACTTTACACTTATTGCTCCAATCCCCTCCTAGGAGTGTGGCTCCTAGGCTCCTATCATTTGGTCCCACCACTTTCCCAGGTATACTGTTCCTGCCAAGTGGTGACAGGCCTCCTAAAGACCACGGCCTGATGTTCTCTAGGTTTGTTTGTCATTGGGCCTAGCATCTGCACTCTGTCCACCTTACTGAGTGTGAATAAATTATTGTTTCACCAGAAGATCCTGAGATCCTGGAACTGACAACCTGGGAATCTAACAATGGCAAACAATATGACTTTGATTATGTACCAGCATTGTTGTTTGTACTTTGCAGATATTAACTCATAAAAGCCTCATAACAGTCCAGAGATGAGCACTATTATTATCATCATTCTAATTTTAAAGATGAAGCAACTGAGGCACAGATAGGTTAACTGCGTTACCCAAAGTTACAGGCTGGTAAGTGGTAGAACTATGTTTTAAACTTAGGTAGTCACATTCCAGAGTCTCTTTACTTAACCACTGCTCTATGGTTCTCCCAGCACAGGGATACATCCTATCACAGGGGAGGAAGTCTTTAAAATGAAAGAAAACATTTTATATAACAAACTTTCCTGTTTGTTGTCCTGGGAGAGGGGCATGTCAAGGACAAAATGAGATTAATGAGAACAGAACACTGAGGGCCAGAACAGGCTAATCAGAACTTGGAACACCTAGTCTCTACCATGAGGGGAGTCAATGCCACTGTGCAACTTATGTAACCACTAAATACAGAACAAATTTTATCAAGAAATTAACAGTTAAAAAGTACATAATACATAAACACCAGTGGATAACTTACGAAGATACCAGCATGTTTAAGGACAATATTAAATGGATCGAAGTGGGTGCCTGAGGTGAGAGAGGAAAATAGGGGTAGGGATGATAGAAGAAGAAAGAGAGAGAGAGAGAGAAAGAGAGAGAGAGACAGAGAGAGAGAGAGAAAAAAAGGGAGAGAGACAGAGAGAGAGAGAGAGAGAGAGGCGGGGGTGAAGATAGAGAGAGAGGGACCTTGCCTGAAATGATAATGAAAATATACTAAGAACTCAGAAATACGATCAACTCAATTCTCAGCCACCTGAGGTTCAAATTAAACAAACAAATGATTGACCTGGAATGGCATCCTTTGCTCTTGAGGGCACTGATAATTTTTCTAGTTGGATACATAGAGTTTCTGATACATATTAAGGGTAAGCAGGACTACAGTTTAGGAAGTGGCTACATAGGAATGAACCTTGATGTAGCCTTTGCTTTACTGGGAAATGACTAGGTTATTCTTTGCCTCTGCTTTTCTTTGCAGTTACATGTGAAAATAAACTCATATCACCAGCTATCAGTGTATGATAGGTTACTTTTTTACAACTTTATGGTTATATAATTCATATACAATTGACCCATTTAAAGTGTGCAATCCAATGAGTTTTATTAATAGTATGCTCACAGAGTTGTGCAACTATGACCACAACCAATCTTAGAACATTTTCATCACCCCCAAATGAAGATCCATACCCACTAGCAATGTTTCCCTATTCTTTCACCCTCACACCCCCAACACTAGGCAATCACTAATCCACCTTCTGTCTCTGTGGATTTGTCTGTTCTGGGCAGTTCATATAAATAGCATCATATACTATGTGGTCTTTTGTGACTGGCTTACTTCCTTTAACATAATATTTTTGAGGTTCATTCATGTTGTAGCATGTATCAGTACTTTGTTCCATTTTATTGTCAAATAATATATATTTCAATTGCTGAATAATATATATTCGATTGCATGGGTATGACACATTTTGTTTATCTATTCTTCAGTTAATGAGCATTTGGGGTTTATCTGTTTCTTTGCTGTTATAATAGTGCTGCAACAAACATTCCTGTACAAGTTTTTGTGTGAACATATGTTTTCAATTCTAATGGATTTATGCCTAGGAGTAGAATTGCTGAGACATATGATAATTTTATGTTTAACTTTTTGAGGAACTGTCAGACTGTTTTCCATAGTGGCTGCAACATTCTACATTTCCAATAACAATGTATGAAGGTTGTAATTTCTCCACATCCTTGTCAACACTTGTTATTATCTGGCTTTTTAATTATAGCCATCCTACTGGGTATGAAGTGAAATCTCATTATGGTTTTGTTTTGCATTTCCCTGATGACTAATGATGTTAAACATCTTTTCATGTACTTATGGTCCATTTGTATATCTTTAGAGAAATGTCTATGAGATATTTTGCCAATTTTAAAATTATTTGTCTATTATTGTGTTATGAGTACTTTACATATTTTTATTTACTTATTTATTTTTGAGACTGAGTCTCGCTCTGTCGCCCAGGCTGGAGTGCAGTGGCATGATCTCAGCTCACTGCAGCCTCCGACTCCCTGGTTCAGGTAATTCTCCTGCCTCAGCTTCCTGAGTAGATGGGATTACATGCACATGCCATCAGGCCAGCTAATTTTTGTATTTTTAGTAGAGACGGAGTTTTACCATGTTGGCCAGGATGGCCTCCATCTCCTCATCTCGTGATCCACCCGCCTCAGACTCCCAAAGTGCTGGGATTACAGGCGTGAGCCACCGCGTTTGGCCTACTTTACATATTTTAGCTACCAGTTCCTTGTCAGATACATGATTTTCAAATATTTTCTCCCATTCTTTGTGTTGTCTTAACTTTCTTGATGGTGGCTTTGAAGCAAAAAAGTATTTAACTTAGATGAAGTCAAATTTATCTATTTTTTCTTTTGTCGCTCTTGTTTTTGCTATCATATCTAAGAAATCATTGCCTAATCTAAGGTCACACAGATTTTTACCTATGTTTTCTTCTAAGAGTTTTATAGTTTTAACACTTACCTTTACATCTATAATTCATTTTGAGTTAATTTTTGTTTATACTGTGAGGCAGGAGTCCAATTTCATTGTTTTCCATGTGGATATTCAGGCATCCCAGCACATTTGTTGAAAAGATTATTCTTTCCCCCATTAAATTATCCTGGCAGTCTTTTTGAAAATAGATTCATCATAAATGTAAGGGTTTATTTCTTGGTTCTCAATTCTATCCCATTGACCTATGTGTCTATTATTATGTCATTATTACACTGTCTTGATTACTGTAGTTTTGTAGTAAGTTTTGAAATCAACAAATGTGAGTCCTCCAACTTTATTCTTTTCCGAGTTTGTATTAGCTATTCTGAGCTCTTTGCACTTCCATATCAATTTCAACATCAATTTCAGCATCAGCTTGTCAGTTTTTGCAAACAAAACAAGACAAAACAAAACAGCTTGGATTTTGCCAGGGATTATATTGATTCTATAGATCAATTTGGGGAATATTGCCACCTTAACAATATTGAGCCTTTCAATTCATGAAAACAGAACACCTTTCCGTTTATTTAGGTCTTGTTTAACTTATTTCAATGAAGTTTTGTCATTTTCTGTGTACAACTCTTGCACTTTTTTGTCAATTTTTTTCTAAGTATTTTTGATGCTATTATAAATGAAATTATATTTTTAATTTTCTTTTTGGATTGCTTATTGCTAGTGTATAGAAATATGACTGATTTTTGTGTGTTGATCTTGTGTCCCGCTGAACTCATTTATTAGCTCTAATAGATTTTTGGGGCTTCTTTACAATTTTTTAATATATAAAATCACATCATCTGTGAATAGAGATTATCTTACATCTTCCTTTCCACTTTGGAGGCCTCTTGTATATTGCTTCTGCCTAATTGACCTGGTTAGAACTTCCATTACAATGTTAAATAAAAGTGGAAAGAGTGAACATCTTGTCTTTTTCTTGATCATAGAAGGAAAGCTTGCAGTCTTTCCCCATTAAGTAGAATGTTAACTGCAGATTTTTCATAAGTGCCCTTTATGAGGTTAAGGAAATTCCCTGTATTCCTAGTCTGTTGAGTGTTTTCTTTTATCAAGAAAGGGTGTTCAATTTTGTCATCTATTAAGATGATGATACATTTTTTACCCTTATTCTAATAATATGGTGTATTCTATTGACTGGCTTTCATATGTGAACCAGGTTTGCATTTCTGGGATAAGTCCTAGTTGGTCATGGTGTATGATCCTTTTTATATGTTGCCTGACTCAGTTTTCTACTACTTTATTGAGGATGTTTGCATCTATATTTGTGAAGGTTGTTGGTCTGTATTTTTCTTTTCTCGTTTTCTCTTTTACCTGGCTTTGGTATCAGGAGAGTAATGGTCTCATAGAATGAGTTGGGAAATGTTCCCTCTATTTTTGGAAGAATTTGTGAAGAACTGGTGTAAAAGCCTGGTGGAATTCACCAGTTAAGCTGTCTGGTCCTGGACTTTGTGGGAGGTTTTTCTCATTATTAATTTAATCTCTAAAATTTTCTGTTTCTTCTTCAGTCAGGCTTGGCAGTGTGTGCCTTTCTAGAAATGTGTTTATTTCATTTAAATTATTTAATTTGTTTACTAGGTTTTTTTAAAAATAATTTTCTTTATAATTAAAAAAATTCTTTAAGGTGATACTTTATTTCTGATTTTTGTAAGTCAACTCTTGTCTCTTTTCTTGGTAGGTCTAGCTAAATTTTGTTGATCTTTTCAAAGAACCAACTTTTGATTTTGTTGATTTTCTCTATTGCTTTTCTATTCTCTATTTCATTTGTTTACCTCTAATCTTTTTGTTTGATTGCTTTTGAGAAACAGGGTCTCACTCTGTCACCCAGGCTAGAGTACAATGGTGCAATCAGAGCTCACTGAAACCTTGAACTTCTGGACTCAAGTGATTTTTTCACCTTAGCCTCCCAAGTAGCTGGGATTACAAGTGTGACTCACTGCACCCAGCTCTAATCTTTGTTATTTACTTCTTTCTGCTTGCTTTGGATTTAGTTTACTCTTCTTTTCCTAGTTTTAAGATGAAAAGTTGGTTATTGATTTGAGATCTTTCTTCCTTTTAAATATAGGTACTTACAGATACAGTATAAATTTCCTCTAAGCACTGCTTTTCCTGTATCCGGTAAGTTTAGTCAGGTTGTAATTTCATTTTTATTCATCTCAAGGTATTTTCTAATTTTTCATGTGATTTATCCTTTTATCTATTGGTTATTTAGGTGGGTGTTAATTTCCACATATTTGTGAATTTCCCAAATTTCCTTCAGTTGTTGATTTCTAATTTCGTTGTACCATGATCAGAGAATATTCTTTAGATAATGTAAATCTTTTAAAGTTTATTGAGACTTTTGTTATGGCTTAACATATAATCTATCCTGGAGAATGTTCATTCTGCACTGGAGAAGAATATGTATACTGCTGTTTGGGGGTAGAGTTTTCTGTAGATGCCTGTTAGGTCTGGTTGGTATATAGTGTTATTCAAGTCCTTTCTTAGTTGTTTAGTTGCCTAGTTTTTCTACTCATTATTTCAAGTAAGATATTGAAGTCTTTAACTATTATTATTGTTGAATTGTCCATTTCTCCCTTCCATTCTATCAGCTTTTTGCATTATGTATTTTGAGGCTCTATTGTTAGGTGCATATATGGGATAGATTTTTGAAGGTTGTTCAACTTGTTTACCCAAGGTGATAAAAGAATGTACTCAGACCGCAGAAGAGATTTAACCAGATCTCTTCATGTTAGTCTCAAGGCTAAGATGGAAAAACATTGACTATTTGATAATATAGTTATGTGGGCCTTAGCAAATAAGTTCCTGAGGAAGGAAAAGTTAAAAGATGGGGCAGGGAGGGGGCGGTCCTCGTGGCCCAAAGCCTGCCTTATCTTCCACATGCCAGGACATAGGCTGTCACTAGATTCCATGCTGGTGGGAAGAGCAGCTCATGGTTGCATTTTACTCTTTGATGTTCCAAACACTCCTAAAACGAGATATTTTAAGAGAGAAATGAACAAATGAGAGTTTGCTTTGAAGTGCTCAGAAACCAAAGAATCATTCTAGACTCTTCCTTCATGAGTCATACCTAGTTCTGTCAGTCCTACCTTTTTCCTCTTATTATAACTGAAACCTGAATGATTGAAACAGCCTCATCTCTGCTCCTCCTACCCCTCTTCTAGCCCCAAGTCTGATCTATCTCCTCACTGCCGTCAGACTACTCTTTAAAAAGGCAATTCTGATCTCCAATCACTTTTCTGTTTAAAACTTTTTACTGAAAGCAAGCACAGTCAGTGATTTCTGTGGGGCTTTCCTCCTCTTCACCTCTCTCTACTGCTGTCACCCCAGCCCCCACTCCTCCCATAATAAGAAGCAGACCCTCCCTGCCTTTCCCACTGTCAAGGGACTCTTCTCTGAAAGAATAACATTCCCTGGGCTTCTTCACTGAATTATTCATCTTTGCTGCCTTGGTATGGCAAAACTTCTCATTAAAAGCCCTGGTTGGGAGTGACCTACTCAGCCCAGCCCTCACAACTAGACAGAGAGAAGCCAAGGGGAGGAAGAGATGCAGTGGCAGGGGTGGGAGGCTCCCCCAAAGGGCTGTGACAGGGAGTCCCCAAAACCCAGGGACTTGGGAAGCTGAATGGCACCTCTAGAGACTCATGGCCCTGGGGTGACCATGGTGCTCATCTGGGCTGTCATCTTTCTCCACAGCTGTGGTCAAACCCAGAGGCCTGTTTCCACCATTGATTCCCAGTCCTGGAATCTTCTGAGCACTGAGCAGTCATAGAAAATCCAGTCATGGGATGGAAGAGACCTCAGCTGTGTAAAATGGGACGAGTTATCCCTATTGTACCTTGAGTGACTGAGGCCATGTCAGGAGGAGAGCCAGAGTGGGGGAGAGAAGACTGCATTTCTAGTTCTAGCTCTGGTATTAACTGGCTGTGTGACCCCAGGGATATTGCCTGCCTTCTCTTTGAGTCTTTGTTTGCTAGTACACAGAAGGCAACACACATGCTGATGCCATGAAGACCATGGGCTCTGCTGCCAGGCTGCAGGCCTCTGTTTCTTCCAAGATATGTAACCTTGAAAAACCATTTAGCTTGACAAAGCCTTAGTCTCCTCATCTGTAAAATGGGGGCAACAACAGTACCTACCTCAGACGATTGTTGAAAATGCACATAAAGCACTCAGCACATGGCCTTAATAAACACCCAATAAATGTCAGCTACTGGTCTCTCATCAGAGAGCCTCGTTCTCCAGAACTTGGTTTGTTGAGCCGTAAACTGTCAGGTCTGTCTTTCTGGAAGGAATGTGACATTCTGGCCATATCGTCTCCCAGAAGAGGCTGTTTGCAGGTAGCCTGAGCCATCCCTTCAGAATATGTTTAGATCGATACACATCACACGTGATGCCATGCAAAGGCACATGACCCACCCCTCGTTTTCTCTGCACCCTTGAAAACACTGCCTTGGAGCCCAGTGCTCCTGAGCTTTAGAAGCCACCTTCTCATGATTCTGTACACAGCAGCTGTAAGAGAAACTCTGAGGGCCCACTCTCAGGGAGACAGGAAGGCTGGGGAGCCAGAGGCCAGGTGAGCTGGGGCCAGGGCAAGAGGGTCAGTAAGAAACAGGGCCCCCTTCCCCCTGGGCTTCGGGGATCCAGCTAACTGGCTGGAAATGCACCTTTGCCTGTGGCTTCTTGCCCAAGACCTGGCTAGCTTGGCTTTCCTGTTTGCTGTACATGTTGGGATTGACTTCATATTCTGCCTAGAGACTAGGACCCATGAAGAAGGGGCCCAGGCCCTTTCTTTGTCACCTTTCAAGCCTATTAATGGTTGTTATGGAATGAATGCTAGTGAAATTCATATGTTGAAGCTCTAACCCCTTATAGGATGGTATTTGGAGAAGGGGATCTTTGGGAGGTAATTAGGTTTAGATGAGGTCATGAGGGTGGGGTCCTCACAATGACATTGGTGTCCTTATAAGAAAAGGGAGAGACCAGAGCATGATTTCTCTCTCTCTGTCTCTCTCGCTCTCTCTCTGTTATGTGAGGAAACAATAAGATGGTGGCCATCTGCAAGCTAGTAAAAGGGCCCTCTGGAGAGCCTGACCATCCTAGTCTGGGATTTCCAGCCTCCAGAACTGTAAGAGATAAATTTCTTTCTTTCTTTCTTTTTTTATGGAGTTTTGCTCTTGTTGCCCAGGCTGGAGTGCAATGGCTCAATCTTGGCTCACCACAACCTCCGCCTCCTGGGTTCAAGCAATTCTCCTGCCTCAGCCTCCCGAGTAGCTGGGATTACAGGCATGGGCCACCACACCCGGCTAATTTTGTATTTTTAATAGAGACAGCATTTCTCCATGTTGGTCAGGCTGGTCTTGAACTCCTGACCTCAGGTGATCTGCCTGCCTTGGCCTCCCAAAGTGCTGGGATTACAGGCGTGACCCACCATGCTCGGCTTAATTTCTGTTGTTTTTAACCACCTAGCCTGTGATATTTTTTATTGCTGCCTGAGCTGACTAAGACAATGATGCTGCAAGAAACCTTGCCACCAGAGCAGCTAAGATGAACCCCCATGGAGCCACTGCCATGCAGCATGGTAGTTCAAGCTGGGGCAGGCACCAGTGCCTCCCATCCATTCTTTCAGGTATTCATTCTTTTTTTTTTTTTCTCAGAGGCAGGGTCTCTCTTTGTTGCCCAGGCTGAAGTCATACTCCTGGGATCAAATGATCCTCCCACCTCGACCTCCAAAGTAGCTGGGACTGCAAGTATGTGCCACTGTACCTGGCTTAATTAAAAAATCTTTAGCTGGCACCTACCCTATGCCTGGCCCTGCACTAGGTGCTGTAGGGTGCACAGTAGGCCCAGGCCTCAACTTTGTGGCGCTTAGTGGCTAGTAGGAAGGAGCCTTGCTGAAGAATCATACACATGGAAAGTGAGACACAATAGAATTTTTTAAACCCCAGGATATTGTGAACACCTATAAGACTGAGTAAGGGGCCAGGAAAGAACTCCAAGGGGGTGATGTTTAAGTCTGGACACCAAGAAAAAGAAGGCACCAGCTAGGCAAATAGTGAAGGGGAGATTGGTGCAGGTGGAGGGATGAAGTGAATTCCTGCTTCCCAGGCAGGGCATTTCCAAACTCTTTTGTCTTAGCAGAGTGTGGCTTTTTGAGGTCTGGATGCCTGTTGGCTTCTACTGCCCTAACAAACTCTCTGACTACTGCCATCTGGGCTTTGCATCAGAGTCACCAGAAAAACTTGATAAGATGCAGATGCCTGGGCTGCACCACCCTTTGAGACTTTAAGCAGGTCATGGTGGGGTCCAGGAATCTGCATTTTAACAAAGCCCCCAGGTGGATCTGCTACAAGTAGTCTGCTGTTCTGTGAATGCTTCTTTGAAGGCACTGGCAGGATAAAGTCTAAATGCCATGGCATAACCTGCGTGACTCTTCAGCTTTTCCTGTCTATTGTTATAGCTGTCTCGCTAGTCACCTTCCTCTAGGCTTCTCATGCCCACTCCCACCACACCTATCCTCCACAACATGAGTAATCATTCTCTAACCCAAACCTAAGCTTCCTACCCCTTTGCTTAGAACACCTTCTTTTATTCCTTTTTCCTTTCACAATAGATCCCCATTTCTTAACATGGTATCAATCATGCTTCTGCCACTTCCCATTTACTCTCTTCACCTTCATACCTCAAACAGTACCTGACGCTGGGAAGACATTGAACAGATATTTATTTAATTGCTACAGTAATGGGACTTAAATATGTCATATTTCACTGAAAAACCTGGGGATATTTCAAGTTATAAAAATCATGTCCAGGAGGGAAAGAACTGTCTTTAGTTATCGGAAGTCCTGTGTCATGTGGAATCCTTGTTTTGAGTGGCCCTAGGACCAAGGAGTGGAAGTCATAAGAAGTCAGAATTTACTCAATATAAGGGATCATGTGCCATTTTTGCAAGATATAATGATCTGCTTCAAAAAATGGTAAGTTTTCTGTCTCCTGAGGTATTCTAGCATTGACTCTGTGGCAGGCATTTGGTGAAAATACTCAAGCATTGGGTGAAAATACTCAAGCATTGGGTGGAATTTGGACAAAACAACCTACTAGTGAAATCACAGGATTCTATGAGGAAGTAAAAGTGAAGAGGGGAAGAAAATAATCTCTCCATTCCAGGGAAATAGAATATTGTGGTTAATTATCATGTCACTATGCAACATGCATGAAATGCTTATTCTCCATACCATAAAATAGACCTAATAATAATAACCCTTAGTTTTTCTTTGATGATCCAGAAATTAATTTGGGCTCTTGCAATGTCTAGGGGTTCCCGTTATAAACATTAATTTTTATTATAATAGTGACATGTGGAAATGCCAGTTAAAATCTCTGCCAGAATGTCAAATAAACATGCTTTATTACTGTAACTAAAGAAATATTCTAGAAAAAAAATTTAAAAATGTATCATGCAGAGACACAATAGCTTTCCAACTCAATTTAGTATATACAAAAAAATTACCTTAGGACAAAGAGCCATGCCATCACAATCTAAAGAATAACACTACAGATTAGAAGACTCATTTGGCTGAAATACAGCTAATAACAAAAGCTAATGACTTAGTCTTCTTAGGTGGCTATAAAAATACCATAGACGGGATGGCTTAACAACAGAAATTTATTTCTCATAGTTCTGAAGGCTGGGAAAGAGCCTTCAAGATCAAGGTCTTGGCAGATTCAGTGTCTGGTGGGGCCCCCTTCCTGGTTTACAGATAGCTACCCTCTTCTTGTATCCTCAAAGCAGAAAAAGAGAGAGAAAGAGAGGTCTCCTCTCTTTCTCTCTCTCTCTCTTTTATGGAAAGCGGGGGCAAGGAGTTTCTCTCTGTCACCCAGGCTGGAGTGCAGTGGCATGAACATGACTCATTGCAGCCTGGACCTCCTAGGCTCAAGCAATCCTCCTGCTTCAGCCTTTGAAGTAGCTGGGAAAACAGGTATGTGCCACCATACCCTCTTTCTCTTCTTATAAGGGCACGAATCCCATTATGAAGGCTCCACTCTCACGAATTAATAGCTAACTGTAATTACCTCCTAAAGACTCCACCACCAAATACCATCACATGGAAGATTAAGTTTTTAACATATTAATTAGGGAGATATATTCAGCCAATAGCAACCAAAAACTGCTGCATAGTTGTCAATTAAACACCAATTTCCACAGTTCATTGCCAATAGCTATTTTTCTTATTTTATCTCTACATGAAAGAAACAAGGAGAGTGTGGGACTGAGTAGTAGGATCTTGGTGATCCTCCCTGTCAAGTACCTCTTTCTTTGTTCTATTTAGTATGGACACTTAGATTGTATCATTTAGGTAATTTTAAATCAGACTTTTAAAGACTTGGGTCACTAACGAAAACCAACAACTCTGATTTTAACAACAATTTTCTGTAGCTTTTGTTTATTCAGTAAGTCAGAGACTATTGTGGAGGCACAACTTCTCAGTAGTTCCTAGGGTTACTTCCTTTTGGGAGGAGCAACAAGGATATGACAGACTCTGGGAAAATTTCTTCCAGGCCAGAGCTGCTTGCTACTGTTTGCTTCTGCCCCTTCCACTGTCTGATGCCTAAACCCTGCTTTGCTTAAAACCAAACCTTTCCTTTTTTTGCATCTCAGGTTTCATTACTTCCCCATCCCTAACTCTCTGTGTCCTCCAAACTACAGTGTTAAAACCATAGCCCCAGATTGCCTTTAGCAATTTGCTTAACTTCTCGGTTCCTGAGTTTTTTTTTTTTTTAATTTTTAAATTTTTTTTTTTTGAGGCAGAATATTGCTCTGTCACCCAGGCTGGAGTGCAGTGGTGTGATACACCTCCTGGGTTCAAGTGTTTATTGTGCTTCAGCCTCCTGAGTAGCTGAGATTACAGGACATGCCACCACGCCTGGCTAATTTTTGTATTTTTAGTAGAGACGGGGTTTCACCGTGTTGGCCAGGATGGTCTCGATCTCCTCATCTTGTGATCTGCCTGCCTTGGCCTCCCAAAGTGCTGGGATTATAAGCTTGAGCCAGCACGTCCAGCATCAGTTTTATTGTCTATAAAAAGAAGGGATTGGATCTAAGCATCTTAGAGTCTGTTCCAACATTTGACCTAAAATGGCACACATATCACCATATTTTCTGCACCTCACCCCTAAACTGGACTCAACCTTCCTTTTTTAGAATTTTTCTAAAAAACCTGTTTGTTTTAAAGAGACCTTTTTGCATCTATTAAATACTGCAATCTGTCGCCAATGATATCACAAGA
The DNA here is from genome assembly GCF_000001405.40 of Homo sapiens. NCBI lineage: Eukaryota > Metazoa > Chordata > Mammalia > Primates > Hominidae > Homo > Homo sapiens. Next base: position 103,813,445 of record NC_000023.11, read on the forward strand.
ACTGTTTGTTTTTGTTTTTGTTTGTTCGTTTGTTTTTGAGACAGAGTCTTGCTCTGTCTCTAGGCTGGAGGGCAGTGGCGTGATCTTGGCTCACTGCAACCTCCGTCTTATTCACACATAACACTATTAACCTTAAATGTAAATGGGCTAAATGCCCCAATTAAAAGACGACGACTGGCAAATTGGATAAAGAGTCAAGATCCATCAGTGTGCTGTATTCAGGAGACCCATCTCATGTGCAAAGGCAAACGTAAGCTCAAAATAAAGGGATGGAGGAAGATCTACCATGCAAATGGAAAGCAAAAAAAAAAAAAAAAAAAAAAAAAAGCAGGAGTGGCAATCCTGGTCTCTGAGAAAACAGACTTTAAACCAACAAAGATCAAAAGAGACAAATAAGGCCATTACATAATGGTAAAGGGATCAATTCAACAAGAAGAGCTAACTATCCTAAATATATATGCACCCAATACAGGAGCACCCTGATTCATAAAGCAAGTTCTAAGTGACCTACAAAGATATTTAGACTCCCACACAATAATAATGGGAGACTTTAACACCTCATTGTCAATATTAGACAGATCAATGAGACAGAAAATTAACAAGGATATTCAGGACTTGAACTCAGCTCTGGACCAAGCAGACCTAATAGACATCTACAGAACTCTCCACCCCAAATCAACAGAATATACATTCTTCTCAGCACCACATCACACTTATTCTAAAATTGACCACATAATTGGAAGTAAAAGACTCCTTAGCAAATGTAAAAGAACAGAAATTACAACAAACTGTCTCTCAGACCACAGTGCAATCAAATTAGAACTCAGGATTAAGAATCTCACTCAAAACCGCACAACTACATGGAAACTGAACAACCTGCTCCTGAATGACTACTGGGTAAATAACGAAATGAAAGCAGAGATAAAGATGTTCTTTGAAACCAATGAGAACAAAGGCACAACATACCAGAATCTCCTGGACACATTTAAAGCAGGGTTTAGAGGGAAATTTATAGCACTAAATGTCCACAAGAGAAAGCAGGAGAGATCTAAAATCGACACCCTAACATCACAATTTAAAGAACTAGAAAAGGAAGAGCAAACAAATTCAAAAGCTAGCAGAAGACAAGAAGTAACTAAGATCAGATCAGAACTGAAGGAGATAGAGACACAAAAAACCCTTAAAAAAATCAATGAATCCAGGAGGTGTTTTTTTGAAAAGACCAACAAAATAGGTAGACTGCTAGCAAGATTAATAAAGAAGAAAAGAGAGAAGAATCAAATACACGCAATAAAAAATGATAAATGGGATATCACCCCTGATCCCACAGAAATACAAACTACCATCAGAGAATACTATAACACCTCTATGCAAATTAACTAGAAAATCTAGAAGAAATGGATAAATTCCTGGACACATACACCCTCCCAAGACAAACCACAAAGAAGTTGAATCTCTGAATAGACCAATAACAGGTTCTGAAATTGAGACAATAATTAATAGCCTACCAACCAAAAAAAAGTCCAGGACTAGATGGATTCACAGCCGAATTCTACCAGAGGTACAAAGGGGAGATGGCACCATTCCTTCTGAAACTATTACAAACAATAGAAAAAGAGGGAATCCTCCCTAACTCATTTTATGAGACCAGCATCATCCTGATACCAAAGCCTGGCAGAGACAGACACAACAAAAAAAGAGAATTTTAGGCCAGTATCCCTGATGAACATCGATGTGAAAATCCTCAACAAAATACTGGCAAACCGAGTCCAGCAGCACATCAAAAACCTTATCCTCTGCAATCAAGTTGGCTTCATCCCTGGGATGCAAGGCTGGTTCAACATACACATATCAATAAAGGTAATCCATCACATAAACAGAACCAATGATAAAAACCACATGATTATATCCATAGATGCAGAAAAGTCCTTTGACAAAATTCAACAGCATTTCATGCTAAAAACTCTCAATATCGATGGAACGTATCCCAAAATAATAAGAGCTATTTATGACAAACCCACAGCCAATATCATACTGAATGGGCAAAAACAGGAAGCATTCCCTTGGAAAACTGGCACAAGACAAGGATGCCCTCTCTCACCACTCCTATTCAACATAGTATTAGAAGTTCTGGCCAGGGCAATCAGGCAAGAAAAAGCAATACAGGGTATTCAAATAGGAAGAGAGGAAGTCAAATTGTCTCTGTTTGCAGATGCCATGATTGTATATTTAGAAAACACCATTGTCTCAGCCCAAAATCTTCTCAAGCTGATGAGCAACTTCAGCAAAGTCTAAGGATACAAAATCAATGTGCAAAAATCACAAGCATTCCTATACACCAATAACAGACAAACAGAGAGCCAAACTATGAGTGAACTCCCATTCACCATTGCTACAAAGAGAATAAAGTGCCTAGGAATACAACTTACACAGGATGTGAAGGACCCCTTCAAGAACTACAAACCACTGCTCAAGGAAATAAGAGAGGACACAAACAAATGGAAAAACATTCCACGCACATGGATATGAAGAATCAATATCATGAAAATGGTCTTACCGCCCAAAGTAATTTATAGATTCGATGCTATCCCCATCAAGCTATCAATGACTTTCTTCACAGAGTTGGAAAAAACTACTTTATACTTCATATGGAACCAAAAAAGAGCTCGCATAGCCAAGACAATCCTGGGCAAGACGAACAAAGCTGCAGGCATCAAGCTACCTGACTTCAAACTTTACTACAAGACTACAGTAACCAAAACAGCATGGTACCGGTACCAAAACAGATATATAGACCAATGGAACAGAACAGAGGTCTCAGAAATAACACCACACATCTACCACCATCTGATCTTTGGCAAACCTGACAAAAATAAGAAATGGGGAAAGGATTCCCTATTTAATAAATGGTGCTGGGAAAACTGGCTAGCCATATGTGGAAAGCTGAAACTAGACCCCTTCCTTACACCTTATACAAAAATTAATTCAAGATGGATTAAAGTCTTAAACGTAAGACCTAGGACCATAAACATCCTAGAAAAAAACCTGAGCAATACCATTCAGGACATAGGCATGGGCAAAGACTTCAAGTCTAAAACACCAAAAGCAATGGCAACAAAAGCCAAAATTGACAAATGGGATCTAATTAAACTAAAGAGCTTCTGCACAGAAAAATAAACTATTATCAGAGTGAACAGGCAACCTACAGAATGGGAGAAAATTTTTGCAATCTATCCATCTGACAAAGGGCTAATATCCAGAATCTATACAGAATTTAAACAAATTTACAAGAAAAAATCAAACAACCCCATCAAAAAGTGGGTGAAGGATATGAACAGACACTTCTCAAAAGAAGACATTTATTCAGCCAACATACATATAAAAATGCTCATCATCACTGGTCATTAGAGAAATGCAAATCAAAACCACAATGAGATACCTTCTCAAGCCAGTTAGAATGGCAATCATTACAAAGTTAGGAAACAACAGATGCTGGAAAGGTTGTGGAAAAATAGAAACGCTTTTACACTGTTGGTGGGAGTATAAATTAGTTCAACCATTGTGGAAGATGGTGTGGCAATTCCTCAAGGATCTAGAACTAGAAATACCTTTTGACCCAGCAATTCTATTACAGGACATGTACCCAAAGGATTATAAATCATTCTGTTATAAAGACACATGTACACGTATGATTATTGTGGCACTATTCACAGTAGAAAAGACTTGGAACCAACCCAAATGTCCATCAATGATAGACTGGATTAAGAAGATGTGGCACATATACACCATGGAATACTATGCAGCCATGAAAAAGGATGAGTTTGTGTCCTCTTGTGGGACATGGATGAAGCTGGAAACTATCATTCTCAGCAAACTATCACAAGATCAGAAAACCAAACGCCGCATGTTCTTACTCATAAGTGGGAGTCGAACAATAAGAACACGTGGACACAGGGAGGGGAACATCACACACTGTGGCCTGTCAAGGGTTGGGGGCTAGGGGAGGGATAACATTAGGAGAACTACCTAATGTAGGTGATGGGATGAAGGGTGCAGCAAACCACCATGGCACGTGTATACCTATGTTACAAATGTGCACGTTCTGCACATGTAACCCAGAAATTAAAGTATACATATAATATATATATATACTCTCTCTATATATACTATATATATGCACACATATATATAAGTTTAGTCTATGGCGGAACACTAACCGGTCTTTATTGCCCCCTTGTGGTTGAAAGTGGAACTGTTTCTATCTCTGCATTTATATTTAACACAAGGCTTCAGAATAATCTGATTATTACAGCAGTAGACTCAATTCAAACCAGTCATTTGACATCATGCAATTAAAGCATCTGGATGAATGAATATTTTTTATTTCTAGCAATTCTTTTATCATGGTGACCAAAGCTTAGATTCATAACCTTTCTAAACAAAAGTAGTCTCGAGTATAATCAGAAACAAAGGACAAATCAAATAAGCACCTCTCTTTCCCCAACCCACCAGTTTTCTAATTTATCAGAACATAACCTTTTCTATAATATGGCAGTATATTTTTAAAATACCATAAACAAAATTAAAAGGCAAGATCTATGGGAGGGGATTGCAGAAAACTAGCAATGTGGATAAGATCAAAGGTTAATACCCACAATATAAAAAAAGATTTCCTTGGAATCAATAAGAAACAAAAATGAATGTTCCCCAACCCCCATAAGGGTCCATTCACTCAAGGAAAAATAAAAATGGCCAATGAATGTATAAACAATTACTCTCAAAAAATTAAATAAATGTAAATGACAGCATGAGATCATTTTTTCACCCATCAGACTGCACATATGGGGTTAAAAAGGAAGATAATAGTCCATACGTTTGGGTGTTGGAAAGATAGTCTTCCTCTTATTCTACTGGTGTTGATGTCATTTGGGATAAGTTTCTAGAGGCCAATTTGCCAGTATATATTAAAATTAATAAAAAATTCATAATCTTTGACCTAGAAATTTTACTAGTAGGAAATAAACAGAGGTGAGAGTTAAGATTGATATTAAGGAACTTCACTGATGCTTTATTTTATGAAAAGAAGGCAGCTGTAAAACAACCTAAATGTCTAGCAATAAGTGTTTTATTAAAAGTTTAGCAATATGGGTAATTGTGGTAAACCCTTCAATACAATATTATGCAAACAGCAAATATAATCTTAGAAGAATATATGTCTTAGAGAAAAGTTAAGTACTATAGATATATATTAAGTAAAAAAGATTACAGTGTGTGCAGTATCAAATCAATTTTAAAAATACATAAATATATTAAAATCTACACTAAAATGTTAAAATCTGCTTATCTCAGGTTAATAGGATTACATTACAGATGACTTTAATTTTTTAAATCTTGCTTTTCTATTTCTTTCATTACTTCATTTTTCTACGGTGGATGTGTATGGCTTTTGTAATCAGAAAAAAAGAACATTTTAAAGCATTTATCGGTCACTCTAAGTTTTCTAGCAGGGAACAAATGGAAAAAGAGAGAACTCAGAGGCTACTGGCACTTGTTCATCTATTAACAGACTCTATGTTGAGCAATATATTACAGGACACACCCTTGGATATGTCGTTTCTAAGGCAGCCAGGAACAACGTAAGAGAAAAGAGATGATATGAGCCTGTTTCTTGCTTCCTCATGAATGCACCACAGGAAAGTGTGATTTGTATTTTTACTCTAATCAATATAGCTAATGTTGAATTAAGAGCTATTTCTTTCATTAAGGCAGCATTTCCCAATTCTTTTTATCAATCAGTTAACTAGATGTGGCACAGCTTGGCAGGTCTGATTAAAATTCAGGAGTGTTATAGTGAGACCATTATACATTTACCCATAGTTCATACAGCACGAAAGGAACTGACAGATTACTTAAAAATACACATGCTTGCACACACAAAACCCACTGTTTAAAAAGACATTTATATATAACTGAATCATCATTCTCTGTGTTTCCTTGGAGAAGGCAAAGAGATTTATGAAGACACAAAGATCACTGCAGCAGTTTCTATATGACTACAGGTGACGACGCCACATCTTGAGCTGTGAAGATGCTTATTTTCACTGGGAAAATATTAAGTAACTTCTTGCCCCCTTAAAAAAAAACCCTTTCACACATTATTACCACTACCATCACTAGCAGAATAAGAGATCCTTGCTCACCAGTTTTGGCAAGCATATCAGTAAGAAGGCATTTAATAATTTTTCCTTTATTCCATAAACATGCCTAGCTTTTGTCATTATCCCTTCCTTCTCTTAAAGAGAAAGTAGTAAAGAATGAGAGCTCTTTTGGTGATGGAAACTTGAGGAAATTAAAATGACCAGTTTGGAAAAAGAAAACATTAGTGAATATCCCAAATCATGCACATTAACGTTTTATCAAAAGGTGTATGCTATGCTCTGAATCTTTTTGTCCCCCTCCAAAATTCATAGGTTGAAATCCTAACCCCCCAAGGTTATGGCATTATAAGGAGATGGGGCCTTTGGAAGGTGATTAGGTCACAAGGGTGAAGCCCTCATAAATGGGATTAGTGTCCTTATAAAAGAGGCCCAGGAGAAACCCCTTCCCCCTTCCACAGAGCTGGAAGGTGCCATCTGTGAACCAGAAATCAAGACCTCACCAGACCCTGAATGTGCGGATGCCTTGATTTTGGACTTCCTAGCCTCCAGAGCTGAGAAATGAAATTCTGTAGTTTATAGCCTACCAAGCTTATGGTATTTTGTTAGGGCAGCCCAAATGGGCTAAGACAGTATATTACAGTTTATCTGCCCTAAAATCAAGTGTAAGAAAAACACTGCACTGTAGTAAATTTTACATTTCCACAGCAAAGAGAGAAAAAAAGTGAAATGATTATCTAGATCACTGAGGAAAAAAAATTGCTGCAAGATCTACTTTGGGTAATTCAAATGAAAGTAGAGATGTCCATCCCACCTCCCAGCTTGAAATTACTCAAATTGATACCTCGATTTTCCAGTGTGTTTTAAAACTACAGTTACAAGATGGAAGACAAATTATGTATTCCACACCTTCCTGTTTCTGGAAGGACTATCGCCAAACCATTTCCAAAAAATGAGACCGTACTGTTTCTTAAGACATCATGAGGAGATTTCCCACTGGGTTATGAATGAGGCAGAAAAACATTAAAGACAGGAAGTTGGCATTCTGTTTTTAAAATATCAGTTATGGGCCCCGGTGCATTGGCTCACACCTGTAATCCCAGAACTTTGGGAGGCCAGGTGGGTGGATCACTTGAGGCCAGGAGTTCAAGACCAGCCTGGCCAACATGGTGAAGCCCTGTCTCTACAACAAATACAAAAATTAGCCAGGTGTGGTGGCGGGCGCCTGTAATCCCAGCTATTAGGGAGGCTGAGGCATGAGAATCGCTTGAGTCCGGGAGGCCGAGGTTGCAGTTAGCCAAGATCAGGCCACTGCACTCCAGCCTGGGCAACAGAGCAAGACCCTGTCTCAAACACACACACACACACACACACACACACACATACACACACACACACACACACACACACACACAAAGTTAGCTGGGCATGCTGGTGCATGCCTGTAATCCCAGCTACTCAGGAGGCTGAGGTGGAAGGACTGCTTAAGTTCAGGAGGTGGAGGTTGCAGTGAGCCAAGATCAGGCCACTACACTCTAGCCTGGGCAAAAGAGCGAGACCCTGTCTCAAAAAAAAAAATAATCAGTTACAAATGAGCAAATCCTTATTAAGTGGCTTATAAATCTATGACTTTCTATATTCTAAAAGTTGCATCATTATAGACTAGTCAAAATGATTTGGGGTGCTGCATTTGAAGCATGGTCTGATAATGTGTTAAATTATAATCCTCAGAGATGGAAATGGTACATGTGGCAAAAAAAAAAAAAAAAAATCTGTTTCCCAACAAATTCCCCACCCCCAATTTCAACTGCCCAAAGTTGCAACAGGCAAAAGTAGACAGAGAGAAGAGAGTGAAATCTGTGGCAGATGGAATCAATGTAATGAAACTATATATGCTGTGGAAAGATTTGTGTCCATAATTTTAAAACCGCCATTATGTATATTCAAGCCATTGGGTGCTAATGTATCTTTAAAATCCAATATGTGAGAGGCAAGAGAACAGAATATTTAACAAAATTATTCTTTGCTTTTCTTATTTGTTTCACCTATATTTTCATGTTTTCCTAAGGTCTGGACAATTCACCAGTCAGGAAAATAAAGGGAATATGTCTACTCTGTTTATATTTTTTGATGGTTTAACATTTATCTTATTTTTTATGCAACGTTGTTTATTATAATATTTTTTCTTTTATTTGTATAAATTTAGGGGGCACAAGTGCAGTTTTGTTATATGGGTATATTGCAGATTGAAATCTGGGCTTTTAGTGTACCCATCACCAGAATAGTGTACATTGTATCCATTAAGTAATGGTTTTAAATTATAATAAAGAAATAAAGTGGAAAGTTAAGATTCAATTTCCAGTCCCAATACACGTCATGCATTAGAAAGTGGTTAAACCCATGAGTTTGAGGCTGCTATGAGCCATGATTGCGCCACTGCACTCCAGCCTGAGCAATGGAGGGACCCTGTCTCTAATAACTAAATAAATAGAAAGAAAGTGGTATAAAATAAAAAGGACCTCCCTGCCCCAATCTTTAGAGTTTGCTTCACAATCAGTATAGAAATATCTGATCACTAGATAGTGGCTGCTTGGAGTACCACATGAAACATGATCCAGAGGCCACATCCAGTGCAGCCTGAAAGAGTGACTTGATTAATAAGTACTGTCCATCACACCCACCAATTTCTCAAAAAGAGAAAGGGAGGGAATAAACACAAACATTGTGTGCTGGTTATTCAAAATGCACTTTTTATTCACTTTAACACAGATGATTTTTTACAGTTGAAAGAAAATATTTGATACACAATTTTGAGTTTTTTTTAGCAGCACCTGCAACAAGAGGATTGTGGAATACCTCAGAATAAAGTAGAGATGGCTGGGGCAGGCACAAATTAACCTGATATTCATCAATCCACTGAAGACATATGGAATCTGAGGCCCCTGAAAGTTAGCCAATACATGACAATAAACTAAATAAATATTCTGTATGATGTTTTAACAGACCATTGAAAAACAGTATAGTCCTAATTAGAAATATATTATTCCAAAAATCTAGTGTTCTTTAAAAAAACACCTATTGAAAATATTACACTGCACATTCTAGGGTACACAGTCAATTTCTAAACCTATATGCACAGTTCTTGGTACTCACAGATTTCAGCCTTTGGTGTTTTTTAATCTTACCCAAACTGTATGTCAGCACCCCACTGAGTGTTGCTTACCCAAATGCCACTGTTTATGTCACTTAATGTTGAGTGCTTTCATTAAGATATTGAGTGGTAATTTGGTAGAAAACAATGGTATGGCTAAGAGGAAAGGGGCTCCAGCTGATGGGCCAATAAAATTAACACTTGTCTTAGATGGACAGGATGCCTATGAATCCGATACCCATGTAATTTTTTTTTTTTTACTCAAATGACCACATGCCACTCTAATAGAGACAAATACTTTTGTGAGTTGATAGAGGTCTTTATGATGAAGGCCTGAGATCTACAAATAGAAACTAGTATAAGCAGAGTGCAAGTAGAAAGAGAAGGCCCCAGGTCTCATGCACTTAAAAATAATTAGCATTTAACAGTTCTGACGTACAGATTTTCACCCTAACATGATTGTAGCAAAATGATCACAGAACTTGGAAACCAGTGTGGCTGGCTATAGGCATAGGCAGGATAGGGACCAGTACTTAAGAGCTGTGGGGTCCCAGTTCTGGCTTTGACTTCTGGCGTCAAAGTTAATTGAACAATGGTGTCAGGATTATATCTTAATTGGAAATATTGAGTATGACTGAGTTGAAATACTGTCCTCTTCTTTTCTATTTGGCCAATATGTCCCAGAGCTCTTAAAGCACAAAGGTCCTACATGTAAGTAAGGCTGATTCCATACGTGGCTACAATGGAGAGTTCTAGGCTGTATTCCTATGAAAGCTCCCACCCCCTTCCTGGCCTAGGTCTCTTTTTGGGGTAATTTCTGTCTGTCACTATTTTTATCATAGATGTTTTAAAGTACAGATTAAAATCTATGCAGGGTAAACAGATCAACCAACAAGAACCACACTGCATATTCATAATATAGTATATAACTGACAGTCATGGTAATCAAAAATTGTCAAACCATTTTTATATTTTAACATGGGAGCTTTAAGATGTTTTTTATCAGTCACATAAAGATTACTCAGAGCTCAAGAATTTTTCCTGCCACAGTGCAAAAGCAAAAGGAAGAGCTATGTAGTTGCTGTTAAAGATTGATCACAGAATGGTTTGAGAATTTTTAAAGTCCCTCTCCATAGTCTTAGCTGTTATCATCAGATAAATCTAACCACAGCATGGCACTGATGTAGTTTATATATTCATAGAACTTAGAGCCAGAAAGGACTTTATATTGAACATGTAGCCAGCACAGAAAATCTTTTTATGGTATTCTAACAGATGGTCATCCAGTGAATATTTTCAGAGGCAGGGAGCTCACTATTAAGGCAGTCCATTCCACTGTTGGACAACTCTGTTTATGGGAAATTCATTCTAACACTGGGTTAAGATCTGCTCTTCTGTCACTTTCAATGTCCTAATTAGGCTAGTTGAACATACAGTGCAACATATAAGAAACCAGTTCCTTCTTCTGCAATAAATATTTGAGTTAAGGAGCCTTGTGAGAAAAGTTCATTATCCCCCAATCTTTTATGAAGCCTTCTCCATGAGCCCAGCATGTTGGATCAAAGGACCATCTAAATGATGAGCAGAGAGCACTGCATCCAAATTCATATACTAAGCAGCATTGCTAAATTGGTAAGAGGTTGTCAGAGAAGCAACATCTCTATGCAGCAAAAGTAGACTTAGGAATTAAAAGCAGACCAACCATTTATTTGCAAAGGTGGTTGGCATATTTAAGCATAATCCATTCACTAGTATCCTATGACTTCAAACACAAGAAGTATAATCAATTGCCAGTGTCATTAGAGTATCTCTTATTGAGATGGGATTTTTTGAAAAGCTCAGATGGGAGCGAACCATACATAAGGATTTAAACAAGTCAGTGTATATCATTATACTTTTGCACTCCTAATCATTACAACTTCTTTAATTCAAGCCTAGGAATCCTTATTTGCATTATTATTTTTATTGTAATACAGCTCAAAGTCTGATTTTTTTCCCCTTTGGCAGAAATGTCAGAAACTGCTTGGCAAGAGTCTGATAGTGACATTTGTTAGTTGATTAATGGAACACTTTAAGAAATAGTTGTAGCTCTTTAACTCCTTCATGCAGCTGGGTTCTAGGTTTAAACTGTGATTTAAAAAATATTTAACTGTCTCAGGACTAAAATTTTCTGATATGTCCTGAGACACACAAGAAGGGGAAATAGCAGAAATCACGCAAAATACACTTGGCTTGATAGAGCTTCATTTTTTTTAATTTTTAATTTTTTTAAATCAATCTACACTTCAATTTGAAAGGCTCTGTTTCACAATCAGAACCTTGTCTCTTACCCTCTTGTGTGCGTGTGTGTGCACTCTTAGAGGGGCACAGTTATTCTTACACTACTGACTGATCAATTTGGGGCACATTTTTAAAAGGCTCCCTATCTTTAACAGCACGAAGACCCTGCTTTGGAGCCACTGTTCAAGTCAATGGTGTGACCCAACATGCAATGCTCCAGCTGTTCCTCTACAGCCAGCACCTGCCTGACAGCTTCTTCAAAGGCCACTGTCACATTAGTATCATCTTTGGCACTAGTTTCTAAATAAGGGTAATCCCCATTCTCCATGCACCAGGTTTGTGCCTCCTCAGTAGTCACTTGCCTATCCTCTTTGTCTACCTTGTTACCCAGAACTACAAAGGGGAAATGCTCAGGGTCCTTCACATCCGCATAGTAAATAAATTCTTTCTGCCAGTTACCAAGATTCTCGAAGCTCTGCCGATCATCCACGCTGAAGGTCAAGAGGCAGCAGTCTGCTCCCCTGTAGAAGGGTGTCCTAAGGCTCTTGAAACGTTCCTGCCCTGCAGTGTCCCAGATCTGGAGGGTTACAAAGCGTCCATCTACCTCCAGATCTCGATTTAAGAACTCTACCCCTATGGTGTGAAAAGCCTGGGAGTCAAATTTGTTGGTTACGTAACGGTTCATAAGCGAACTTTTCCCAACTCCACCATCACCCAAGAGAATGACCTTTAAGAGCAGGGATTTCCCACTCATTTTTGCAGCACCAGAAGGGAAGGAGTTTGTAACCAAGAGAACCTGAAAATAAAAGGAAAAGTAGGAGGGAAAACAGTTAAACCTGAAACTGAAATCAACTTCATAGCAAATTTCTCTGAATTATAAGGCCTTCTCATTCAACTTCTCTGATTTATGCTCATTAATTGATGTAGTACAGCAGAAGAAATAACACTAATTTTGCATAAGGGGAAAAATAGGTCTTGTTTTTCTGAGGTCTTTTGTTGTGCCAGGAAAATGGCTGAGTGCCATGGGTAAATGGACTAGCAGATGGTCCTGTAATTTGGTTCAGTTCTGACCCAATTCTAGGAGAGGAAGCCTAGAACAGGAATGCCACTCAAATGTGTGACAACTTTAGCTTCCGGTTTGGACAGTTCCAAACAATAGACAAATAGTATGAAATTGACTTGGGGTTTGAAGTCTGCTCCTGATGGATACAAAAATTACTGAGAAGAGAAAGCTACATAAACTGGATTCTTGATTCTGTCGGTAGAGGTCTGGGCCAGAATTAGACTGCACCCCAGAATTTGAAAGAGAGAACAAGGTTACGTTTCTTCAGGCATTTACCCCATTATACTTGCATTGATAGGAACACCCTCTCAAGTAAGGATCTTCTATATTTTTTTCTTCATGGAACAATGGCATTTAAGTTGATGACAATTGACTGATATCAATATAACAGCTGTCATGAAGGAAGGAAATCTTGAATAGCTTATTAGTTTTTGGATTCAGGTTTTAATTCCATAATAGCAACATTTGAAAACATACTGCAAAATTTAAAGTGCTAATATTTATACAGTACCCTACTTGTTACCTCCACAACATGTCTACACATGGAACACCTAGAATGTGTCTTAAAATAAAAAGATCAAATGCTTACTGAACAAATACTACCTTTTCCTATATTCTGTTAGGTACTTTCCCACTAGGTCTATTGTGGGAACTCAACGGTGATGAGGTTAATTGGATGATATTTATACAATAGACCCAAAGGGATGAAAACGAATCACTAATCGAAGGAGTGCATGCAAAACAGTTTCTGGAAGCACACACATTTGAATATAATTTTACAAAATTTAGTAGCCCTTAAAATGATTTTGGAATGCCTATGTACTAGCTATATATTTTTCTAAATATTCATTTTTAAGAGATCAAATATTAAAATATCCCAAATCCACAGTGTGCCCCCTTGAAATACCTACCCAGTGGGTTTTTGTCACAATTTAAATATTTTCCTTTTTTTCCTGTTGTTGTTTTATTCTTTCTTTTTAGGGTGCTATAAAACAGAATAGAAAACATTATTTTAAAAAAATCTATAATAAAATAACGTTAAGGCTCTATATAAAAATATATTCAAGTCAGAAAAAAAAAAAGAACCCACAGCAACCTCAAGTAACCTACAGAGGGTGCTTTTCAAAAATAAAAGTTCAAAATGCTACCTATGCTTAACATAAGCAAAATAATTTTATTCCAAGAACTTTAACTTATCCTAATTTGTAATTTATATAATTTTTTACATTTTATATTGTCTCTCAATTGAATTCTCCATTCAAAGTAAAAGCAAATTAAAGAAAGATGATATTCACAATAGATGACATTCAGGAAAAGGAAAGTACAGAGCAATCTAAGATATGCTGAAATCCTAAGTCGGAGATGAAACTTCTTCCTTTTATACCTACCAACGTTCCCATCTCCAAGAAAGTTGTTAGTGCACTCACCAGTCTGTCTCAAGGTTGTCTCTGCAATTGATTCCACATAATTAGAGAGCAGAAAAAAATTGTGTTTGTGGGCTTCCTGTTTACAATAAAGTATATTATCTTGGCTAATTATTTTATTAATTAGTTTAGGTCATTTTTCTTTTCTTTATTTATTTTTTAAATTTGAGACAAGGTCTCATTCTGTCACCCAGGCTGGAGTGCAGTGGTGCAGTCATGGCTCACTGCAGCCTCGACCTCCTGGGCTCAAGTAATCTTCCCACCTCAGCCTTCTGAGTAGCTGGGACTACGGGCATGCACCACCATGCCCGGCTAAGTTTTGTAGTTTTTGTAGAGATGGGGTTTCACCATGTTGCCCAGGTTGGTTTCAAACTCCTGGGTTCAAACGATCTGCCCACCTCATGTTCCCAAAGTGCTGGGTTCACAGGCGTGAGCCGCTGTACCTGGCAGTTCATCTGTCTTAAACACCAGTTTTAATATTTAGCTGGTGTTATTAAATTTAAATATACATTCATCTAATATTATAATTAATTATGGCAAGAATCTTATTTAAGCAGCATCAAGAGTACTGGTTTAAGAAGAAAAACAGTGCCTAGATCTGTGTAGTGTTATTTCTTACTGAGGAAGAACGAAGCTTTAAAAAAAAATCTGCTGCTTAATAATCACATGTTATTTTCTAAATATAGATAAAACTTATAATAAGGATTCATTAGATATCTAAATCAGTAATTATGAATTTAAATAATATCTCCTAAATGGATAGGCTTTATCCTCCTTCTTGGTTTATATACACTCTACAGAATTCTCAAGTTTCCTACAATTCCTAATTTTTGTCCTCTTTTTCCTGCTCCCAAATTGCTGTCTTTGGAATTAGCTCAAGTAACAAACATTTCTTTAAATGGAGATGAAACAAGTGTTAGCACACTTTTTTATTTTTTTATACTGGTCTGTAGGATAATTTTACAGAGCAAAACTCTTGAACTCTCATTTTGAAAAGCAACAGAAGTACAAACTTGGGCATGATTCTGATGGCTAGTATTAAGCGTCCAGGCCACACAAGCTTCCTTGAGTTCCTAGCAAACAGGCGTTCACATCATTAAAAGACTCACTGACCCTATTCTCCCAGTTGCAGATAAACTCAATAGACAGGTCAAGGACTGAGTGAATATGGAAACCAAATGCTCAGCTCCAGGAATAATGATGATGTATTAATAACTGTCTGAGATAATGCTGCAGTTGCTTGTGCATTCCCTATTTGGTTATGTGCACACATAACTTCTGGGCCTATAGGCTCTATGCCAAGGGAAAAAGAGGAAAAGCAATGTGGTTCAGTGTCAAGAGCACTGAGCTAGCTGGCAGTAATCAGGACACCAGGGTCTTCATCACTGTTACACCATTCATTTATTTTATGAACTTGGGCAGGTCATTTAATCTTTCTGTTTCAGTATCTTCTTACATAAAAATAGAGCAGATAATACCTGCCCTACTTAACAGGATTTTGGGGGAGAATGAAAAGCTTATGAAGTTTGCAAAGATTTGTAAGCATTTTTTGAAAAATTTGGTTTGAGATTTTTATTCCTCTGGCTCCTCCACCTCCTTTCATGCACTGGTGGGGGCCTTGTGGCTCAGTATTAACCCTTCTCAGAAAGGGCCTGCTAGTGAAAGTATAAGAATTCTTCCTTTTCTCTTTCTTCCATATTTGAGAATGCCTTGTTCCTCAACAAGCTTGAACATCTGCATATGGCACAGAATCTCAGCATTGAAGGGACCTTCAGGGTCTTCTGGTCCAATCTTGCTACTGATATTTGAGAAAACACTACAGTGCCTATTGTGTGTTGTGTCCTTACTAAGGAAACCCTCCACTCTCCTCTGCTGTCTCCAACTCCCATTTATTTTCTAGAAGTAAAAATGAATACAGTTTAGATTTGTCTCCTTGCCTTCATTCAATCCTGCTGATTTTCCCTTGAAGTATCATTTTCTAGTCCTGTGCTACCATCCTCATTTTGGCCCACAATTTCTCACATCTAATCTATTGTGAAAGTTCTTCTCTCCCTGCTTCTGGTGTCTCCCCACTCAATCTACTTTGCAAAGCTTCATCACTCAAACATCCATTGGATGTAGATACTGTTGGGAATTAATAAATGTTTAAGGCAAGGTCTTGCCCTCAGGGAGTTTACAAATTAACATGCAAGCTCAGGATCTCATTGTTTACAGTTGAAATAATGTCATTATACTGACTTATTTTGTTAACAAACTTTTCCTGTCTTTCTTACATGATCAATTTTAAATTCCTAGATAGTAAGCTCACTGTATACATCTTTGAAGCCCCTTCAGTGTGCAGCACCAGGATCCTCCATGGAGATAATAAATATTTGTTTACCAATTAAATGATTAGGTAGGTGCCCAGAATTAATGCCTCTGAATTGATGCCAAGGTACAATAGATCCATAGTTCTGTAAGATGCCAAAATACTATTATTTATAAGGTAACTAAAGAGCAGAAGTTATGAACTTGACTCGATCATTTTCTGGATGGGGAGTAATGGGAATTCCACCTGTTGAAAGTCAAGGGAAATGCTCCAGTTTTCCTCCCCCTACTCTCACATTTTAAAAATAAGTATATACATTTCCCCATTCCTACCCAAAACAAGAGCAGAATAATGATATCCAGTTGATGTTGTCGGTGGGTGCTGGCCTCTCCACAATCATTTATCATTGTTTGAAAATGAATGTCATGTCCTTTAGTACATACTTAAATTAAAAAGAACTAGCACAGTGTAAAAGCAAATGAAATCATTTTTTCCTCCCCCAGAATATGCCGGATTTAATCCAAACCTTTAAACAAGGTAACATTAAGCAGGCAAATGAATTCTTTGATAACACTAAATACGTAAATAGGAAAGTCAAATGACGTATGCATCCCTTATGGGTCCTCTGTCGGGCGAGCATTTGGACCAAAACGCTTATTCTGATTTTGATCCCATTCAGAGAAAGATCTGACTCTAACTGAGTAAAATATTCGAGAGACGCAATTCCCCTTTCCTACCCCCACAAACTCATTAATGAGCATGCTCTAAGGATAGTTTACTAACTTTTTTTTTTCCCATCAGGGTCTCAGTCTTGGAGAGTAAGGTGAATTAGGAATTTCCATAACCAATACTCCCCAGCTCTTTGTTCTTTAACACACTTGAAACCTTCTGAATCTGCAGTACCCACAAAGCCTTATTCAAATTATTGTATTTAGTTGGGAATGCTTAGAGGTGGGAGTGGAGGTGGGGGAGGAGGCAGTACAATGAAGAAAAAGAAGTTGAACCTTTGAAAATAGTACATTTTAGTATGATGATGGAGAGAAGAGAGGCAGAAAAGCAAATTCGCATCAGTTCAGTTGCCATGGAGTGGAATGATGCTCAAAATCAGTAGTGCAGATTGCTCGGAGGCAAGTCTTGAAAGGGATGTGTACTGCAGGGATCGATAGGGGAAGAGCAACTGGGGAGGGCTAGGCACTGGATGAGAGTGGCACTGTTGGAAGTCTGTACAGGGGAGGAGCCATGGTTGGACCTGTGGGGAAAGCCCATCTTGTGGCGACACACTGGTAAGGGCTACTCAACTCACTGTTGAATGCTGGCACAATAATTGGAAATATTGCACTGAAGAATTGGGCGCGGCTATATTTATGTAAAATTCAACACGGATGAGAAATGATTGAATGTTTGAGTGTGTTTCCAATACAACCCAATACTTGGCGTTGGTGCTGGTGGTGGGTGCTTCGTAGCGCGGAAACCCTCTGACGCACTGGATTCATTTTGCAGAGCTAACAAGTTATCAGCTACATCCATGCCGACTCCAAATGCCACAGCTGTCATGCCACTGAAACGCTATTCCTACATTCATGCCCACATTTATATCCTATATGCAACTCAAAGGGTCCAATGTGGAGTCCCACATCTAACCTTTCACTGCTCACAACGACAGCTCTAGGGCTATAAGCCCAAAGGCACACTAGATAGCAATCTGGCATCGTCCCCAGGACACTTCTTCCTCAGTAGACTGCCCAGGGACAGATAGGTAGATAAGGTTTGGATGACATCAAGCGAGCTGAACACAAGGAAAAAAAGCTTCCTTGGGAGACAAGAATGCTGGCATCTCTACGACAGGGGCACTGTTAGCATTACGGACCTAGAAAGTGAGATGTCACACATAGTCCCAACTACCTCCGACCCAGGTCCTCTCACCTCACCCCCAGCTCTTAGAGCTAGTCGGCTGTGGCG
The DNA here is from genome assembly GCF_000001405.40 of Homo sapiens. Taxonomy (NCBI): domain Eukaryota; kingdom Metazoa; phylum Chordata; class Mammalia; order Primates; family Hominidae; genus Homo; species Homo sapiens. The sequence goes on from NC_000023.11 coordinate 103,831,785, forward strand.
CATGCGCACTGAGCCACACCCGCTCCCCACGGAGCCCTGCGCCTCTCTGCTCGGCTCTGGCAGCAGCTCGGGATTACTCAGCAACGCCCCCCTGCACTGTCACCTGCCCCCGACTCCGACCTCGGGAGCGGCTCAGTCCCTTTTCTCAAGCTACGAGTGGTCCTGGGGATCAACTAGACTTTCCTTTCTCCCTCTTCTCACAGGCCCCCCACCTCCCGGCCTTCCGGGTCCTCCAGCCCCTAGCCCCTGTTCCTGCCCACGCACAGGCACCTTACCCAACACAATGGGAAGGAAACAGGAGAGGGCCGCGGGTGCCAGGCAGGTCAGCTCTGCGTGCCGGGAATCCGGCTCCTTAGAGTCACCGTCACTGCTCCTGCTGCCTCCTCGTCCTCAATGGGGCAGCAAGTGCGGCTTGGACCTCGGTGGCCTGACAGCTGCCGCTCGCGCCCGCCGCTGCCGCCGCGCAGCGTCTCGAGCCCGCGCCCGCGCCCGCCAGGGGAGGGGGCGGGGCCCGCGCCGCCTCCTCGTGCCCCTTTCTCGGCGGTGGGGACCCGGTGTAGCCGCCTCCCGCCCTCCATGTGGCAAGCGCTCCCTGGCTCGCCCACTCTTCTTTCATGCTCATCGTCCAACCCTGGTCTCCCTTGTCCTCCTTCTCCTCCCCTAGCCGATTAGTAGGCACAGCGGCAATAGACCGTCAAATATTGCTCTTCCACTTAGCTCCTCTGCAGCCTGGGCCTAAGCCCTCAAGCAGGGCTAGCCACTGCCCCACTTCCTGCAATTATCCTCTGATCTACCTCATTTATCCTAGCTCAAAATCCTTTAATTTTGCCAAGAGGGTAGTACATACACCCTCTTGTTTCAAATAACTCAGGAAAACACATGATCACAACACATTGCTAGGCCCTCTAACTGGCTACAGCTTATGAAATTTTCAGGCAATTAAAAAAAATGTCCACATCTGTAGCGCAGGCATAGAGGACACACTGCCCTTTACTCTTACCAGATACAGTTCTAGAGGGCCACACAGGGGGCATTACTTGAATTTCCCGGAATTGCTGCTGGGGCAGAATTTGATGTTTTAATTGTGCCTAGCCGACCAGCTAGTCTCTTTTTGTTGTTTTCTGTAGCCCTCTGGTACTTCCAACTAGTTTGTGATTTTCCCCCTGGAATTGAAGAAGGACAAAGCTCCTGAGGTCATTTAGCCTGCACTCCACCTCTCTGTCAGGCAGCTCCATCTCTGAAGCTTCCCCATTGCCCGAAACCCTGTGACCTTGTGGCACAGGCCCTCACTCATCTCATGACCCCGTCCAGGCCCTCACACATACCCGCTACTTCCATCTAGGCCACTCTTCCTCTGTCTCTTGACAAGGCAATCGTGCAATCAATCTCCGCAGGCCCCAGCTTAAATGTCACTTCTCAGGATAACCTTTCTCGATAATCTCAGAATAGAGATGGTGCCCCAGTTTATACTCTTGTAGCCTCCTGTAACTTGCTGTATTTTTCCTTCATAACACTTACCCATTTTTGGTGGTACATTTAAGTGTATGATTATTTGGTTGACAGCTGTCTTCCCTACTAAACTATAGTGGGGAAGGACTATGAGGTCAAGGACAACGTTTGTGTTCACCACCGTATGCACAGAGCCTAGGGCAATGCTTGCTGCATAGGACATGCTCAGAAAATATTTGCTGAATATGAATGAATGCTGTATCACTAATAGTTGTTATATTTAAATAAAATAAATTGATGTAACTGAATCTCATGTGCTCCTATTTAAACCAACCCCGTTCCCCACACATACACTCTAAAACACTCTTCTGATGAAGACGAGATTCACACAATCCTCTAAATCAAATTTTCCGCATACATTTTAGTCTATTAAAAAACTATTGAGCATGGGCCCCAACATATGTATAAGGATTTATAGATTATATACATGTACTACTGTACATGTATACATTACACATTACTTTAAACATACATTTTAATGAGTAAACATTAAAATACTCCACAGAAATTTTAAAAGAATGAGAAAAATAAATATATTGATGTTCCAATGTTTTCTTTTTGCACCTCAATAAATAGTTTTGTGAAATGCTTTAAATAACAGTCCTTCATATTAGAGTAACTCGTCTTTAGGTGTAACAATCTAGACTACTTTTTCATTTTCTCATAGATGCCATTTTCCAACAGTTTAAAAATCTCTGAGAAACCCCCAAACCAACTGGCAAGTTTTAAGGATCTTTTAGTTTCTAAGCTACCTCGTTCTGTAGTCAGGATCTCACAACTGCTGAAAGCACCACACGTTTAGTGAATGTTGGAACACCTAAAGGTAAGAAAAATCCTTTGTTAGACCAAAGATTCCTACATGTAAATCCTATATTAAAAGAGTCTCTAGAGGCCACTTAAAAAGCAGCTACTATTATCTTTCTAGAATGGAAGCAACATGACTAACACTAGTTGTGAGGGATCAGCAAAAATGGACAGCACGAAGATTCAAAGTAACAGCTGTGGATGGTTTTGTGGCTCTCAGATGGGACTATTCCCAATGGTCAATCATTGAGATCTGTCAAATAGTGTCCTTCACACACAATAAAAATTCTATTTTTATAACACAGTTACACACACACACACACACACACAATAGAATCATAGTGTAGTCGGTAGATAGAAGGCCAAACCAAGATTGCGTTTGGATACCAGAGATAGGGTTACCTTCAGAGTCACACACACACACACACACACACACACACATACGCTCTTCAACATTCAATGAACAAGATCTCCCAAAGTCTCATCCTGATCAGTTTGAAATACATTGACCTGAGCTTCAGGAAGACATAATTGTAATGTGATTAATTTAAAAGAACAGCCTGGTCCAGCAGTCACAAGTTGTTATGTACAAGAGGGTTCCGTGAAGCATTCAAATAAGTGTATAAACACTGCATACTATTTCCCTTCCAGAAGAGTCACGTTGCATATTAAAACATTAACGTCTCTTGGAGTCCTGAAGTAAAGAAATCTGTTGTGTTGTTTTTCAATCTTACATTTCCAAAACTTTTGTGAACATGAATTTCTTTTGTTTATGGAACATCTATTAGCAGGACTAGAACAGCTCAGGACCCAATTTAGCAACTACTGTCCTAATCATTAATATTGAACATATTCATAGGCCAACGTATTTGTCATCTTTGTCCTAGAATATTTATGTGGCAACTATACACGTTATATTTTCCAGATAGTCCTGATTTCAAATACTTTGTCCTATTGTCCTAATTTTTACAACAATACTCATGAGATCATCTAATGTTTTATTCAGAAATTATGGCAGTCATAGATATGTAAATAGGAAATTAGTAAGAATTTGTGAACTATTTACCTATCATTGTCCAAGAGCAAGTCACAGTTTCTGGTGATACAATATTTTTTTAAAAAATCATTTGACACAGGGATAATATTATGGAATAGGAATACTTTGCCAGATTTTTCATAGCCTGAAGGAAAGATCTCTTAAGATTATCCAATTATGGAAGGCATCAGTATGAACTCAGTTTAGTCATTTAAAAAAAATTTTTAAGCTCTGTCCACTAAAAATACTTAGAAACAATGAAAATCTCAGTGTCCAAATTCACCTATAGTGCCCATAGGATGGTTCTAAATGCTATTTCCCAATAAAAGGACCCAGGATTACTTAAATAAATGGCTGACTTCAGATATGTGGCAAGAAATATCCAAGATGAACATAAAATATCTTGTCACACCAGATAGCAAGGAAGCTAAAAACATTATTAGAGTTGAGTCAAAAGGACTTGAAGAGGCTGTCATCAGTCAAACACGGGGCAATTTGAGCATCAGTAAAGATAATAACTACAATGAATTGAAATATATCAAATATGTTTAAATATACAAATTCATAAAAACACTTAAAAACATAATTGCTCAATTTGGCCAAACCTAGAAAGCTAGCTCATTATTTTAAAACTGGTAAATAAAGAGAGTGACTCAAACATTTAACCTGCTTTTTTTAAATACAAATTATTCCTTGGTGTAACAAAGGAGTTGGCGAGGAAAGTGTTTTAAAAAGATTCCCAGCTAATAAATTATGAAGGAATGATAAAATTACAACCTTTAATGAATTAGTGGATCTAGGTAATAATAGTTAATGTCTTCTAACATTACAAAAGGAGTGTTAACCATATATCATATGCCTCTTGATGGAAAAACACAGCAGCACATAGAAAGTATTTTTTGTCAAAAAATGCAATTTGAACCCTATCAAGCTCCTAGATATAACTATGAATTTTTAGAAAAATACAAGGAAAAATATGTTAACATTGTAGGGATGTAAGCAACAACATCCAGACTTAGGTTTAGAGTGCAGGTGTGTGTGTGTGTGGTTTAGAGTGCAGGTGTGTGTGTGTGTGTCTGTGTGTTGAGGGGGGAGAAACTGCAGAAAAAAACGTGGTTTCTTCAACAAATAAATTTTAAGAAAGAATACAAAAATGAAAGTTAAAAAGAATGCATTTACAATGACATCAAAGAGAATGAAATATTTAGAAGTAAATTTTAAAAAAGAAGTGCAAAAAAAAGAAGTGCAAAAGTAACACTCTTAAAAACACAAAACTTTGTTGAAAGAAATTAAAAAAGATCTAAATAAACGGAAAGATATCATATGTTTGTGGATTGAAAGACAATATTTATAAGGTGGAAATACTCTTCAAATTGATCTACAGATTCAACGCAATTCCTGTCAGAACCCCAGCTGGCTTCTTTGTAGAAATTTACAAGCTGATCCTAATATTCTTATGGAAACTCAAGGAACCCAGAATAGCCAACACAATCCCGCAAGAGAACTCAGCCTTTTCAATTTCAAAACTTACTACAAAACTACAGTTACCAAAATAGTGTGGTACTGGCATAAGGCTAACATGTAGATCAGTAAAATATAATTGAGAATCCAGAAATAAACACACGTGTCTATGGTCAATTGATTTTCAACAAAGCTGCCAAGGCCATTTAATGGGGAAAGAATAGATTTTTTCAACAAAGTGTGCTGGAATAACAGGATAGCCACATGCAGAAGAATGAAGTGGGACCCTCACCTCACAGCACATACAAAATTAACTAAAAATGGATTATACTATAAAATTGTTAGAAGAAAGCAGTAGTAAGTCTGGTCTTGAGTTAGGCAATGGATTCTTAGATATGACACCAAAAGCAAGGGCAACAAAAGAAAAAATAAATAAATTGGACTTCATGAAAATGAGAAATGTTTGTGCTTCAAAGAACACTATCAGAAATGTAAAAAGACAACTCACAGAATAAGGGAAAATATTTGCAAATAATATACTTGATAAGGAAGTTATCTAGAACATATTTAAAAAAATCTTACAACTCAAAGATAAAAAGATAACCCAATTTAAAAATGAGCAAAGCATCTGAATAGACTTTTCTTCGCAGATGTACAAATGATTAATAAGCACATAAAAAGATGCTCAGCATCATTAATTATAAGGGAAATGCAAATCAAAACCACAATGAGATACCATCTCACACTTATTAGGATGGCTATAAAAATTAGATAATACCAAGTGTTGGTGAGGATGTGGAAGAAATGAAGAGCATAACATTCATACACTGCTGATGGGACTGTAAAAATGCTGCAGCCACTTTGGAAAAGGCTGGCAGTGTCTTAAAAAAGATAAGCACAGAGTTACCTTAAGATCCAGTAATTCCGCTTCCAGTTATATACCCAAGAGAAGTAAAAACATATATCTACACAAAAGCTTTTACATGATTGTTTATTGCAGCGTCATTCATAATGGCCAAAAGGTGGAAAAATCCCAAATGTACATCAACTGATGAATGTCTAAATAAAGTGTAATATATTCGTACAATGAAATATTATTCAGCCTTAAAAAGAGATGAAGTACTGATACATGCTATAACATGTATGTATCTTCAAAACATTACGCTAAGTGAAAGAAGCCAGTCATAAAAGACTACATCTTATTTGATTCCATGTATATGAAATGTACAAAATTGGCAAATGTACAGAAAGAGAAATAGATTAGTGATCACTTAGGACTAGGGGACAGGTAGACAGGGATGTTGGGGGACTGATAGCTAAAGAGTAAGGAGTTTCATACACTTGCTGAAAAAAATAAGGTTTTACTTCCCTATCAAAGAAAATATATTCAATCTTCTGTCAGTACAATAACCCACTCGAGCATTCAGTTCCCAGAGTAGGAAATACTATGTATAAATTCTATACTGTAGATAAACAGCAAATGTACAGTACATTAAGCCACAGACTGGAAGGGATGCTGAGGGATTCATAGTTATTGTTAGTTAAATTTATTAAGGGGGCTAGGATAGAATATGGGTGAAATTTGTTTCTATTACTATTTGGAGGAGGCAGTTGACCTCATGCAAAATGCATGGAACCAGTTGTCAGCATGCCTGGGTTTTGGTGCTGGCTAACTCTGTCATATAGGATATATGAGAACTCTGCTAAATCACTAGACTTCTTGGCCACAATTTCTTCATTTATAAAAAGAGACTAATATTACCTACTCTGATATCATTATTATGTTACTGGGACCAACTAACTGAGACAAAGTTCACTAAGCACCTTGGAAAATGAAAAGCAGTACAAATATAAATTTCTTACATTAATTAGTCATTGTGTTTTAATTCTAGATAGGGTAGAAAGGTGCCATCCCCGTTAAAGAGTTCTGTAATTCTTCCATAAGGGAATTTTACAATTTGTATAATGCTTTAAAGTTTCAAAAGCTATTTTTGAAAAAAATCATGACCCTCTCTCCCCAAAATCATGCCAACACATGACCAAATGAAGAGCAAGTAGAAATAGTTATTTTTCTGATGAATTTCAGTCAAAGGTAAAATAAAGTAATAAAATACTTCATCTTTTGAAATAGCTCTTACTGCGTAATTATTCCAGCTTGTATGAAAAGTGTATGTCATGATCTTTTTGTTAGTATTTTATGTTGTCTATACACTTCTGATGCATTTGTTTGAAGCTTTTCTAGGGCCAACATGAACAGAAATATCACATAAGTTTTTTGAAATAAAAACACAATTTAACATAATATCACTGATTACGGGAGGACACCTGTTGGCACTGAAATTACTGAGGATGAGTAAGCTCATGGAAAAACTCAGTCTTCAAAAATAATGAAAAGCTTCAAGGTTTAGAAGATATAACCAGTGGCCTTCAAATACATTCCTCTTTCGAGATTATCTGTCTTTAGCATTCTCAGTTATGAGCTTAATGCCTTCTTGGTCATTTACAAGGTATCAGACAGCAAATACCAGGAAATATGACATTGCTTTCAACTTGTGCATTATATGGTATTAGTACTGGTGATGATGCCAACAGTTAAAAATACACTTCAGGTGCACCCACTGTCCCCTTCTCTCTTTCACCCCCAACTGCTACCACAAGATAGAATAACTAGCACACTAGAACAAGCAATGCAGACTTAAAAAATGATAGCTATAACCTGAACCAGTGGTCAATATTAGCCTCGCTTAGAAATTGATCAAGGACTTGCATCAATTCACAAAGCATTTATTAAAAAAAATCATCTGAATCTCAGTAAGACCAGGGAGATTTCTGGCATTTTAACTCATCCTATTCCCATCCTCTCTCCTCACTTCTGTGGTAAACTTGAAAACCAACAACTCACAATCACACTGAAAACCAGCAGTCTTGCAGTCACTGGAGGGGTCAGAATGGGACTGGAACACTTCCAAAGCCTCATCCCCAGAGAATTGTCATTATTTGACTGGTCTGGCAGTTTCCTGGAAACCCCCACTCACAGAGTTTCTCTTTAATTCACCTGACTCAGAGCTTGCTCATAGCAGAATACTCTTTTCCTCAGAGCATTTGTCTAAAACAACCAGCAGCAATTGTTTAACATTGCAGTTGCCTGTGGTAACGATAACAATGGGAGAAAACAAGAAATTGACATAAAAACATAGAAGGAAAATCTGAGGAGTGAGATGTCTATAGGTGGCATTAATCATTTCGGTAGACACAGAAAAAGTAGGTGACAAAATCCAACACCCTTTCCTTGATAAAAAAAAAATCAACAAACTAGAAGCATAAAAGAAATTCCTCAATCTTATAAAGGACATAAATGAAAAACCCACTGTGAGCATCACATTTAAGGATAAAAGACTAGATGCTTTTCATCTGAGATCAGGAACAAGACAAGGATGCCCATTCTCGTCTCCAATTTAACATTGTATTGGAGGTTGTAGCCAGGGCCATTAGGCAAGAAGATGAAGCAAAAAGTATCCAGATCGAAAGGAAGAAGTAAAACTATTTTTATTTAAAGATTACATGTTCATAAATATAGAAAATCCTAAGGAATCTATTAAAAAACTACTAAAGCTTGCAAAGAACCTGAACAGTCATTTCTCTAAAGAAGAATAGACATTTCTCATAAGAAAACATAAAAATGGCCATCAAATATGAAAAATTGCTCAACCTCACTAATCATCAGGGAACTGCAAATCCAAACCACTATGAGATATCACCTCATACTCACTAGGATTGCTATAATAAAAAAGACAAGAGATAACAAATCTTGGTGAGAGTGTGAAGAAAGGAGAACCCTTGTATACTGTTGGTGAGAATATAGGTTGGTGCAACCATTATAAGAATCAGTATGGAGAGTCCTAAAAAAATTTAAAACAGAACTACCATATAACCTAGCAAACCTACTCCGAATTATAAACTCAAGGGAGATGAAATCACCACATTAGAAAGATATCTGCCCTCCCTTGTTCATTGTAGCATCATTTGTAATAGTCAAGATATGGAATCAACCTAACTGTCCATCAATAGGTAAATGAATAAAGAAAATGTGGTACATATACACAGTGGAGTACTATTTAGCCATAAAAAGGAGACTGCCATTTGCCACAATATGGATGGTACTGGAGTACATTATGCTAAGTGAAAGAAGCCAGACATAGAAAGAAAAATATTGCATGATCTCACTTATATGTGAAATCTTTTTAAAAAAAGGTCAAATATATAGAGATAGAGAATAAAACAGTGGTTACCAGGGGTGGGGAGTTTTAATTCAAAGGATACAAAGTAGCAGACATGTAGGATGAACAACTCTAGAGAGTGAATGTACACCGTAAAGACTATAGTTAATAAAATTGTATTGTATTAGAGATTTTTATTAAATAGATTTTAGCTGCTCTTGTCACACACGCATAAGAGTAACTATGTAAGATAATAGGTACGTTAATTTGCTTCACTATAGTAACTGCTTTTCTATCTATACATATCCCATAACATCATGTTTTATACCTCAAATATAAGCAATAACATTTATTTAAAAAACGATTAAATATAAGTGAGTTCAGAAAGTTTTCAGAGTAAAAGCCAATATATAAAAATAAATAATGTTTCCATAGATTAGCAATGAACAATCTAAAAGGAAAATTAAGAAAACAATTCCATTTATAATAGCATCAAAAGGAATGAAACACTTAAAAATAAATTTAACAGAAGTTCAAGATGTGTACACAGAAAGCAAAACCACATCATTGAAAGAAATTAGAGAAGACCTAAATAAATGGAAAGACACCCCATGTTTATGGACTGGGAGATTTAAAATTGCTAAGATGGTAATATTCCCCTAACTAATCTACAGATTGTACACATTCCCTATGAAAATCACATCTGCCTTTTTTTTTTTACAGAAATTGACAAGCTGATGCTAAAATTTATATGGAAATACAAGGGACCAAATTAGTTAAATCACTCTTAAGAAAGAAAAACAAAATTGTAGGACTCATACTTCTTGATTTCAAGGCATACTACAAAGCTACAGTAATCAAGATAGCATGGTACTGACATAACAACAGACATATAGACCAAATGAAGTAGAATTGAGAGTTCATACATAAATCATAAGCTTTATGGTCAATTAATAATATTTTTGATACAGAAAACTTAAAAACACCAGGCATGAGGGCTTCCTTTAATATATTTTGGCAGTCCAGATTAACAGAATCTATCGAGAGAGAACATGGAAGACATAGGAACTTCTGATGGTAAGCTCAGTCATCTAAGCAAAGAGTATTCCTTCCTCGACCTTCCCCACTCCTAAGGAGATTCAGCATTGCTCTATTTAGCCAAGGTCTTTTAAGGCCTGTGGCAGAGGTTTTTGGACTAGGGTCTATGAATAGGATCAAGTGGTTCATAAAACCTCTAAAATTCTAAATAATAATTTATGAATGTGTGGATCTCTACATTTTTCTAGGGAAAAATTCTACAGCTTTCATCAGATTCTCAAAGGGGTTCATGACCAGAAAAGGTTAAGAATCACTCACTGAAGGGTCCTTCTCTGGGATTTAGGCCAGCCAGCAGTCCTGAACTGCCCTAATTGAAATGTAACTGGATAACTTAGTTGAGGCAACTATTTCTTTAGAACTTTTCTTGGTGCTATGAACAGACCGGCTTGAGACTGGCTTTGGGGCACCTTTTTAGTATTATATAATGTACCTAAATCCTACCTAGTCTTGCTCTGCTGCCATGACTTACGCGGACCTGATATTGCCCATTACTATGATGGTCGTTTCCTGCCTCATCCTGGATCCTGACTAGATCTGTGGTAGTATCACTATTATGTTGATGTCACTAGCACAACCTTTTTCTGACTATTCTGTCAGGACACTTCAGTCATCCTAGATTGATGAATTAGGAGAATTATTATGTCATTGACAAAAAAATTTATAAAGCAGGAGTGGAGGGAGAACTGCTTCAAAAGAAGTTGCTGAGTTTCTTTGTAGACATATTAAATGACGGTGGGACATATGAGTAGAAACCACCAGCAGATGCTGCGTCATTTTTGTCTACTGCCTGGCCCCTGTGAGAACCTGAGTTTGTGAGCACTGGCTATAACTGAATCCTTGGGAAAACCCCAGTTAGGGGACTGGAGGAGAAAGAGGATTGCTTAACAAGATCAAGAAGAAACAGTTATACAGGTGAGATCCTAAAGAAGGAGACACTGCAATAAATCTTGGATAAGGGTTCTAGAAGTAATGGGATAAGAGCATGAGTGAAACAATTAGTTTTGGATAAGAGGAAGAAAGTTTCCAGTATCTAATTAGAGACAGAGACTCTTGGAGTTCCAAAGATGCCTAGCCCATCACTGTCATTTTCCAGGCTTGTGGTATATTAAAAGAAAATAATAAAGACATGTCAAAACAGGATCTAAACATTGTGAGATGTTTAAAATGTTTATACTTAACATACTGACACTTCTATCACCACCAAAATTTCCACATAATGTAATATAATATATTTACAAAACAAAAAATTTAAAATGTAACCAGTAATATTCTTTATTGTCTATGGTTTAGTAATAAGACACAAGTTTAAAGTTGTCTAATAAATTTCATTTTCTTTAATCTTGTCAGTTTATGTCAGGAATTAGGACTAGACTTTCTGAATGTACAATCTTTCTGAAAAAACATTAAAAGTCTAAATAGAGGCCTTCAAGAATATGAGACTGGTCAAAATGGTTTTTCCTTTTTTAGAGATGTGAGACTTCTGAAACAGTAGGAATAAAAGGAGGGAATGAGTATGCTAGTCTTTTTTCAGATATATGATTTATGAACACAGTATATAGTTTTTTTTTTTGTTGTTGTTTTTTTTTTTTTTTTTTTTTTGAGACGGAGTTTTGCTCTATCACCAGGCTGGAGTGCAGTGGCGTGATCTCAGCTCACTGCAACCTCTGCCTCCCAGGTTTAAGCGATTGGCCTGCCTACTATTCTGGAGTGGCTGTGACCACAGGTGCGCGCCACCACACCCGGTTAATTTTTGTATTTTTAGTAGAGACAGGGTTTCACAGTGTTGGCCAGGATAGTCTCAATCGCCTGACCTTGTGATCCGTCCGCCTCGGCCTCCCAAAGTGCTGGGATTACAGGTGTGAGCCGCCACACCCGGCCAGTATATAGATTTTTAGATCTTAAAGGAACCTTAAAACCTGATAATCAAAGCTAAATCTGGTAATTCAGATTCTCATTTTATCACAGGCAGAGAACTTCTACAAATTTATGTTACTAGCCTAGACTCAAGATGAGAAATCAAGTCCTCTTCAGAGTTCTCCAAATTTGCCTGATCATATGAATCACCTGGGGGCCTTGTGAAATACGGATAAAACAAATTCTATCCACCTGACCTACTAAATCATAATCTTGATGTGTGGTGCCTGGGAATTTGTATTTTAACAAGGCCCCACAGCAACGTGAGTGTATTATGATCAGGTAGTTTTGGGGGACATTGCATCTGGTTTGCAACTCACTCATCTTTCCATCTTGACACTTGCCCTTCACAATTGCCACAATTTATGGCATTTTAAAGACTAAAATGTTCACATTTTATAAAATTAATTAGGCAGAAGGTTTTGAGTAGTGAATGAAGGCAAAGTTGTGGACTTAGCCTTAATCATCCAATTTACCCTCATTTATGTTCAAGTTGAAGCACTTCGACTTTCAGTCTGTGTTAAATTATTCTGAGGCTGATTTTCATAAGGGTTCTTTTTAGCATGGCATTTGGTTTCTTGAAATCTGAGGACCTCTCAGCTGCAGTTAACCCAGTGTATACTCAAGAATCTCTTCTTGGAGAATGTAAACATTCCATTATCCAGTCACCTTTGATAAAAGACCACTTTCACCAAAAAAGAGCCTCATAACTCACATTTTATAGATGATGAAATGGGCACTCAGAGAAGCTAACTGATTCACCCAAGGTCATATAGCTGTACTGTGGCAGGGCCAAAGCACAAACCTGTTCATCTATCTTGTGTTGACTGAGCATCTGCTTCCCCTGGGAAATACACTCACTGATGGGGATACAAAGGTGAAGAAGACTTGGTCCCTACCCCAAAAGAAGCCCAGGTCTTCAGATTGCAGAATAAGTCAGACAGCCTGAAGATGCTGGGCCACCACTAATGTCACTTCAACTTCATCAGAGCAAGTAGCTTCTAATTTTGACTCCCATATTTATTAAAACAGTCCTTGGGACTGTTTCAGAAGAAAGAGATGTTGGAAACTGTTATCCTAGAGACTTGCTTTGCTTGGTCTCATGACCCTTACATTGTTTAAATTGTCAGTTAAAAATTGGGAAAGCTCATTTTTTGAAAATGTAGACTTCTGAATTATCTTGAAAAAAGAAAACAAAAACAAAAACAAAACACCTCAAGATCTCTTCTTACTGGACCAGTGTTCCCTTGCTGTGATAATCCTTTGGAGGTAAGGCGCTATTGCCTACTTTATTTGGGCTGGTGCTAGCCAATTCAACATAGTTCCTAACCAGCACCTTTTACTCACTCCTACTGCTTACCCTATTCCCAAAGTGTTTAAGTTTGCTAAGCCTGGCCACTAACTTCTGGGGCGACAGTTATTGTCTGAACCATGCTTGACGGCAGGTGGCAGCAGTAAGCTGTTTTATTACCATTTCTCCTCCAAGTTGGAAGGATGTACTGCAGCCGCAATCAGCTTCAGGGATTTTTTCTTTCATTCCTCTGAAAACAAAACAAAACGAAAAACCCAAGGTCATCAGGTTTTAGTTGAGTAATATTTTGACAATGTAAGTTATGAAAAAGAGATTTAGTGTTAGTAATGAGAAAAAGCCAATTGTGTGCAATAGGAATCTACCAGGAAAAAAAGCTGGCTGGCTACCAGGAAGAAAAGTCCTGAACCTGAGAGATAGGGCAAGCTGGCTTGCAGCCACTAGTTGGGGAATCTTTTTTTCACACCACATAATAAAAATTAACTCAGATGAGTCATAGACCTAAATGTAAGAGCTGAAACTTTAAAACCCTTAGAAAAAAAAAACCCATAGGAGTAAATGTTTGTGATCTTGGATTAAGAAATAGTTTTTTAGACATAACACAAAAAAGCACAAGCAACAAAAGAAAAAACAGAAAAATGAGACATCAAAATATAAGGCTTTTGTGTTTCAAGGTACATCATCAAGAAAAGAGACAGTCTCCAGAATAGGAGAAAATGTTTGTGAATCATTGATCTCATAAAGGACTTGTATACAAAATATATAAATAATTCTTGTAACTGAACAATAAAAAGAAGACTGACCCAATTAAAAATTGTTAAAAGATCTGAATAGACATTTCTCCAAAGTATACAAAAGCTAATAAGCATATAAAAAGATGTTCAACATCATTAGTCAACAGAGAAATGTAAATCAAACAATAATGAGATACCACCTCACTCCTCATGGTTAAGGATGGCTATTTAGGATGGCTAAGATACAGACAATAACAAGTGCTGACACCGATGTGAAGAAATGAGAACCTTCATAACTGCTGATGGAATTGTAAATGGAGCAACTGTTTTGGAAAACAGTTTGGCAATTTCTCAAAATGTGACCCAGCAATTCCGTTCCTTGTTACACAGCCAAGAGAAATGAAAACCTGTACACACAAAAGAGTTGTACATGGAGATAAATAGCGGCAATACCCAAAAGATGAAAACAACATGTCTATCAATTGGTGAATGGATAAACAAAATGTGGTAAGCAGTGCCCCCTTATCTGTGGTCTTGCTTTCTGTGGCTGCAGTTATCTGTGATAAACTTCAGTCTGAAAATATTAAATGGAAAATTCTAGAAATAAGCAATTCATATGCTTTAAATTGCATACCATTCTGAGTGTGATGAAATCTGGCATCATCCCACTCTGTCCTGCCTGGGACATGAATGATTCCTTTGTCTAGCATCTCCACACTATATGTTACCTGCCTGCTAGTCACTTAGTCATCTCAGGCATCACAGTGCTTATGTTCAAGTCATCCTTATTTTACTTAATAAAGGCTCCAAAATGCAAGAGTAGTGATGCTGATTCAGATATGCTAAAGAGAAGCCATCAAGTGCCTCTTTTCACTTAAAAGGTAAAAGTTCTTGACTTAATACAGAAAGAAAAAAAATTGTATGCTGAGATTGCTAAGATCTACGGTAGGAATGAATCTTCTATCTGTGAAATTGTGAAGAAGGAAAAATAAATTTGTGCTAGTTTTCCTGTCACACCTCAAACTGCAAAAGTTATGGCCACAGTGCCTGTTAAGTGCTTAGCTAAGGTGGAAAAGTCATTAAATTTGTAGGTGGAAGACATCAATAGAAACATGTTCTGACTGATGGCAGTTGAGTTCAGTACTGTTGAGGTTTCAGGCATCCACTGGGAGGCTTGGAACATATCCCCTCCAGATAAGTGAAGTCTATCTACTGTGTATCCATACAACAGAATATTATTCAGCCAGAAGAAGAATGAAATACTGATACATGCTACAACATGGATCAACTTTGAAAACACTAAGCTAAGTAAAAGAAGCCAGTCACGAAATAATTCTATTTATGTGAAATGTCCAAAATAGGTAATTATATGGAGACAAAAACTAGATTGGTGGTTGCCAGGGGCTGCAAGAAGAAATTGGAGTGACATGATCCTAATGGATATGTTTTTTTTTTTTTTTTCCCCAGAGGAGTTGCGAAAATATTCTGGGGAATAATAGTTGCGAAATACAGTTTTTTGACACTGAGGAAATATGGTTCAGTGTGGGTGATTTTTAGGTGAATGGATGTGGGTTAAAGCAGCTGTGACTATGGCTCAGACCCCCTTCTCTGGCTTTTGGAGGGTCTTTCTTATAGCCTGGCTTTCTGTTGGGTTCCACCTTTGAGAAGTCCTGGCAGGAGATCTGTGAGAGGAAGGCGAATGAGGTCAGGGTGTTTATTCACTCAGCTCACTCTCTGCAGCGTCTCTGTGGGATGGCTAAATTCACAATACTTAATAGATGACTCTCTCAATATCTCCACCTCCCATCAACTAACTTTGCCCACTTCCTCTTCTCCCTCCTACAGGACTGGGAGTAGTAATAACCTCACCATTATTCATCTGGGGTCCTCTGCTATCCCTTGTGATTTTCCTATACCCTACCCACATCTTTCATAATAGTCCTTTTATTACTTTTATTAAATTTTCCTAAATTGTCTCATACAAATGTGCCATCTGTTTTTTGCAATCACCCTGACTAATACACTCATTAGCCTTCACATCCTTAATTCTCACCACAACCTTATGAGGTAGATATTACTATTAACCCTATCTTACAGATTTGCAAATATGAGGCTAAGAGAGTTTAAGTAACATGCCCAAGAACCTTCTGACTCTAGAGCTTTGGCTTCAATACACTATATGGATTTGTTTCCTTTTTTTTTTTTTCCCCACTCTGGTGGTATCCCTGCATCCAGATCCAAGCAATCTGATACACTCTGACCAGTTTATTCTTCCCAAAATATTCATCCAAGGCCCTCTAGGATCTGGCTCTTGTCTATTTTTTATCTTCCCCTGCTTCTTCACTGTACAAATATTCCAGTCAAGCTAAACTGAGCTATTCAATTTTTCCTAAACACACCTTATTAGTCCTAACTCATTCTTGTACTCATAAGGTGCCCCAACCCTGGGTTTCCCTCCTCACCCCAATCCCATATTCTTCTCTGCCGTTTTCAATTTTCCTTTTACTTTGAGGCCCAACTGAAATCCTCCTTCCTCCATAGAGTCTGGCTAATCCTAGTCTGCCACTTTCTAGTAAGTGACCTTCAGCAAGTCATCCTAACCTCTCGAGTCTCAGAGAGTTTGAGCGTTAAATTCATATCAATTATTGGTCCACTGATCTCAAAATACTAATATTTACTGTTCTCAAAATGGCCACCTAGCCTAAGGACTCTTCTCTTCAACAACTTGATCAAGTTTTCACAGTGTTGTCTTGTGTTAAATATCTGCCTTTTTTTTATGGTTGCATAGTATATGAACCCCTTTCCAATTTGGAGGACTTGTCCATTGCATTTTTTTTTTTTGAGACGGATTTTGCTCTTGTTGCCCAGGCTGGAGTACAATGGCATGATCTCGGCTCACTGCAACCTCCACCTCCTGGCTTCAAGCAATTCTCCTGCCTCACTCAGCCTTCCGAGTAGCTGGGATTACAGGCATGCGCCACCACGCCTGGTTAATTTTGTATTTTTAGTAGAGACAGGGTTTCTCCATGTTGGTCAGGTTGGTCTTAAATTCCCGGCCTCAGGTGATCCGCCCGCCTCAGCCTCCCAAAGTGCTGGAATTACAAGCGTGAGCCACCACACCCAGCCCATTGCATACATCTTGATGGAAGAAAAGGCCCTGCCTCTCATTACAGAGACCAAGAGGAGCCAAACATTCCTACTCCCTGCTCCCAGCTATAGGCACATGACCTAGGTTCCGCTACATGACTTAGATGTTTAGCTCCTTCCCATGACTTTGAATGTGGAGGAAGTGGATACAGGGGCAATTGGAAATTTCTCTCTAGCCATAGTTTCACCATCCTTCACAGGCTATAGCATGGTTTAGTATTAATAGTTGGAGAACTTCAGTGTGCAACTGAAACTCCTTGGCATGATGTACGTATGTGGGTGTGGGGGGGCGGGGGAGTGTTTTTGTTAAAATACAGCTTCCTCTGCCCTACATTGACCTGCTAAATCAGGATCCTTGGGAGAGGGACATAAAAATCTTTATTTTTCACAGACTCCTAAGGGCCTTGATGATGCTGATACCCACTAAAGTTTGAAAATCACAGCTCTAGGAGATCTGTAGATAATATGTATAATATGTTATTCGGGCCATACTCATTCTTTCTTTCTTTCCCCATAGCTGTCCAGTATCTCTCATTATTTGGTTCTACAGAAGACTAGATCTATTTTCTCTTCAGAGTCTTTTGCTTTATTTTGAATATTCTTTATATAACCACCACCCAACATACATTAAATACCCAGCCCCCACACACACATCCTGCTCTGACATGTTGAGAGATAAACAGGGCTTATATGCCATCAATCATTCCGCTTATTTCTCATTCTTCTAAGATCAGGAATTTGCTGAGTTTACATAAACCTCTTCCAAGTTCCCAGTCTTTTAAGAATTTAATTTACATTCTTGACACAGCATGGTTGGAAATGATGACAACTTTCAGTGCACTTTGCAAGACTTTTGTTATTTCTTTCACATAAATCCTATCAATTTTATGGATATCTTTAATTTTTTGGTTTAGTGTAAACTGGATTGATGGTATGAATTTATCTCAATCAGTGCTTCCAATCCTTTATTATACTAATGTTAACCACTTGGTTTCATAGGTCATTCTGATTACTTCTCTTTCCCAAGACATTTGAAAATCTCTCCCCAGTCCCTGATCTTTCTTTATATATTGGAGTAAGACATTACTTTCTCTGTCATAGATCTTTTCAGGGGCACGTGCATTCTTCATAAATTGGATCTTTTATCACTTTGAATACAAAACTATAATCAGTCTTCTTGCCACACCTCATGTCTTTTTGACATTTTTATTACAATCTTGGGTAAGTTAAAAATTAACATGGGTCTCTGTTCCTACTCTAAAAGAAGAAGATTGAAATTAAGGCTCTCTAAAGGACCTTCTAGATAGTTTATGCCTACAAAGCACTGGGTAGTTAGATATCAAAACTCAGCACTGGGAAGCAGATACGAAAGTTTCAGTAAATCAAAGCATTCTTGAACGTTATAGAGCAAGGTTTATAAAACTTGCCTCATACCAAGAATATGCTTAGAAGATTGTTTTTTAAATGATGATTCTCTGCAATCTCCCATGCCCATAGATTCTGATTCAGCAAATCTGGGATAAAGACTGGAAATTTACATTTTTAAACAAAGGCCCCAAGCAATTCTTATAATCAGGTAAGCTTAGGAGACACTACTAAAAGAATGAAATATGATGCAGAGTTCTGTTTGTAAGGTTTATTTTTTCTTGAAGTAAAACATACATACAAATTGCATTTTTACAAAGTGAACACACCTGTGTAATCCACACCAAATCAAGAAAAAGAACAGTACCAGCACCCTAGAAGCTCCCTAGTGTGCCCATCCATGCTCCTTAACTACTTCATCTAAGAGTTGCCACAATCCTCATTTCTCCCATCCAAATACTAACCAGGTCTGACGCTGCTTAGCTTCTGTGATCAGATGAGATTGGATGCGTTCAGGGTGGTATGGCCATAGACAGCACAATCCTCATTTCTAACAGCATCGATTGGTTTTGACTGTTTTTGGACGTTGTGTGAATGGAATAAAATACCATGTACTCTTTTGTGTTTGATTTCTTTCTCTTACTGTTATTTTTGTGAGATTTGTTGCTCCCTGAATGACAGTTATTCTTACTGCCATTCTATTGCATGGATATACTGCCACTTATTTATTCATTCTATTGTTGAATTGTTTCCATTTGGGGGCTACCATGAATAGTATGACTATAAACTTTCTCGTACTTGTCTTCTGGGGTACAAATACACTCATTTCTTTTAGGTAAATACTCAGGAATGGAACTGCTGGGTCACTGGATATGTGTATTCTTAGCTTTAGTAGATACTGCCAAACAGTTCTTCAAGGTGGTTGTTCCAATTTTCACTCCCTTGTGCAGTGTATGAGAGTTCCAGTTTTTCCACTTCCTTGCCAACACATGGTTTTGTCAGTTTTTGATTTTAGGCACTTTATTCAGTGTGCAGTGGTATATAGTTGTAGATTTAACTTGCATTTCCCTGATGAATAATGAAGTTGTTACTGCAGGGTTTTAAGGTCTAAAGAAAACTAGCATGTTCTTTGAAACCAATGAGAACAAAGACAAAACATACCAGAATCTCTGGGACACATATAAAGCAGTGTGTAGAGGGAAATTTATAGCACTAAATGCCCACAAGAGAAAGCAGGAAAGATCTAAAACTGATACCATAACATCACAATTAGAAGAACTAGAGAACTTGCAAACCGAATCCAGCAGCACATCAAAAAGCTTATCCACCATGATCAAGTGGGCTTCATCCCTGGGATGCAAGGCTGATTCAACATATGCAAATCAATAAACGTAATCCATCATATAAACAGAACCAAAGATAAAAATCACATGAATATCTCAATAGGTGCAGAAAAGGCCTTTGACAAAATTCAACAGCCCTTCATGTTAAAAACTCTCAATAAACGAGGTATTGATGGGACGTATCTCAAAATAATAAGAGCTATTTATGACAATCCCACAGCCAATATCATACTGAATGGGCAAAAACTGGAAGCATTCCCTTTGAAAACTGGCACAAGACAGGGATGCCCTCTCTCACCACTCCTATTCAACATAGTGTTGGAAGTTCTGGCCAGGGCAATCAGGCAGGAGAAAGAAATAAAGGGTATTCAATTAGGAAAAGAGGAAGTCAAATTGTCCCTGTTTGCAGATGACATGATCGTATATCTAGAAAACCCCGTCGTCTCAGCCCCAAATCTCCTTAAGCTGATAAGCAACTTCAGCAAAGTCTCAGGATACAAAATCCATGTGCAAAAATCACAAGCATTCCTATACGGCAATAACAGACAAACAGAGAGCCAAATCATGAGTGAACTCCCATTCACAATTGTTTCAAAGAGAATAAAATACCTAGGAATCCAACTTACAAGGGATGTGAAGGACCTCTTCAAGGAGAACTACAAACTACTGCTCAACAAAATAAAAGAGGACACAAACAAATGGAAGAACATTCCATGCTCATGGGCAGGAAGAATCAATATCTTGAAAATGGCCATACTGCCCAAGGTAATTTATAGATTCAATGCCATCCCCATCAAGCTACCAATGACTTTCTTCACAGAATTGGAAAAAACTACTTTAAAGTTCATATGGAACCAAAAAAGAGCCCGCATTGCCAAGAAAATCCTAAGCCAAAAGAACAAAGCTGGAGGCATCACGCTACCTGACTTCAAACTATACTACAAGGCTACAGTAACCAAAGCAGCATGGTACTGGTACCAAAACAGAGATATAGACCAATGGAACAGAACACAGCCCTCACAAATAATACCACACATCTACAAACATCTGATCTTTGACAAACCTGACAAAAACAAGAAAAGGGGAAAGGATTCCCTATTTAATAAATGGTGCTCGGAAAACTGGCTAACCATATGTAGAAAGCTGAAACTGGATCCCTTCCTTACACCTTATACAAAAATTAATTCGAGACGGATTAAAGACTTAAATGTTAGACCTAAAACCATGAAAACCCTAGAAGAAAACCTAGGCAATGCCATTCAGGACATAGGCATGGGCAAGGACTTCTTGACTAAAACACCAAAAGCAACGGCAACAAAAGTCAAAATTGACAAATGGGATCTAATTAAACTAAAGAGCTTCTGCACAGCAAAAGAAACTACCATCAGAGTGAATAGGCAACCTACAGAATGGGAGAAAATTTTTGCAATCTACCCATCTGACAAAGGGCTAATATCCAGAATCTACAAAGAACCTAAACAAATTTACAAGAAAAAATCAAACAACCCCATCAAAAAGTGGGTGAAGGATATGAACAGACACTTCTCAAAAGAAGACATTTTATGCAGCCAAAAGACACATGAAAAAATGCTCATCATCACTGGCCATCAGAGAAATGCAAATCAAAACCACAATGAGATAGCATCTCACACCAGTTAGAATGGTGATCATTAACAAGTCAGGAAACAACAGGTGCTGGAGAGGATGTGGAGAAATAGGAACACTTTTACATTATTGGTAGGACTGTAAACTAGTTCAATCATTGTGGAAGACGGTGTGGCGATTCCTCAGGGATCTTGACCTGGAAATACCATTTGACCCAGCCATCCCATTACTGGGTATATACCCAAAGGATTATAAATCATGCTGCTATAAAGACACATGCATATGCATGTTTATTGTGGCGCTATTCACAATAGCAAAGACTTGGAACCAACCCAAATGTCCATCAATGATAGACTGGATTAAGAAAATGTGGCACATATACACCATGGAATACTATGCAGTCATAAAAAGAATGAGTTCATGTCCTTTGTAGGGACATGGATGAAGCTAGAAACCATCATTCTCAGCAAACTATTGCAAGGACAGAAAACCAAACACCGCATGTTCTCACTCATAGGTGGGAATTGAACAATGAGAACACTTGGACACAGGGTGGGAAACATCACACATGGTGGCCTGTCCTGGGGTCGGGGTAGGGGGTAGGGGGTAGGGGTAGCATTGGGAAATATACCTAATGTAAATGACGGGTTAACAGGTGCAGCACACCAACATGGCACATGTATACATATGTAACAAACCTGCACGTTGTGCACATGTACCCTAGAACTTAAAGTACAATAAAAAAAAACAGAAAACTAGCTAAAATAACAGCTTGATAAGCATGCCATTAATCAAATTTTGTTTTCCTGATGGCTCTTAGTAGAGCATATGCCACACATGAGGTGTTAAATAAATATTTGTTAGGTGAGTGTCCAGTGAGTAAAAGTAAAGGAAAGGATGCTTAACTGTTGCTTATAACTCTTCAGTTGACTTCACCAAGCCTTCAGAGCTTTGTTGAAGGGAATAGCTGTGGAAAACCATTATTTAATGATGTAAGGGATCACAGCTCTTCAGCAATTCTGAGTTATTTATATGAAGGAGCCTAGAAGACTTCAAGGTAAGTTATCAATAATTAAAAGGCCAGATTGAGTAGTGAAGTATCAGTTGAGAATTGCAGTGGAGAATTAACAAGTAGGGACTAAAATGTAAACTTCTTGTTTGTATCTCTTTAAATTATTCCATATACTGTGTATATTTCATATGTATAATTTGAGGCTGATGAATACCACCAGTGCTCTAGTCATTTTTCAACAGATATTTATTGAACACCTACTAGATACCAGGCATTGTGTTAAATCATGGTAAAACGAAAACAGTATAGGCTTTGGACATCAGTACACCTGGGTTTGAATCCCTGATATTCTGCAAGTTATTTAGCCTCTCATAGTCTTAACTTCCTCATTTATAAAACAGAATTGTAATGCTTATTATGCAGGTT
The DNA here is from genome assembly GCF_000001405.40 of Homo sapiens. Taxonomy (NCBI): domain Eukaryota; kingdom Metazoa; phylum Chordata; class Mammalia; order Primates; family Hominidae; genus Homo; species Homo sapiens. The sequence goes on from NC_000023.11 coordinate 103,854,765, forward strand.
GTTGTGAGGATTAAATAAAGGAAAGCATGTAAAGTCCCCGGTACATGAAAGGCACATAATACCTTAGTTCCCTACAGCACCTACCAGAGTGTGATTTATATTATAATAGTATGCATTCTGCCTCCCCCTTCGGATTGTGAGTTCCTTAAGAGGAGGGAGAATCTCACTCATCTTTGTAGCCTTCAGGCCCTAACAGAGTGCCTGGCATATACTGAAAATTAAATAAATGTTTGCAGAATTAAAGACCCACTCCCTTCCGTCCAGAAATTTACAAGCCAATAGGTGAGCTAAGAGATTCACATAAATAACTATAGTAAAAGGCAGAATATAATGACTAGCATGTGAAAGGTACAAGCAAAGTGCTTTGGAGGTTGAGAAGAGGGAAATGAAAATGTCTGAATGTCTGACTATGTAGGTCAAGGAAAGCTTCATGGAGAGACCCTGAAGGATAAGTAGAATTTTTAATAGACAAATACAATAGGAAGGATATTTCAGGCAGAGGGATTGCTGTTAGCCAAGATTATGAAGTGTGTTATAATAAAATGTAAGCTTTTTATTTTAAAAGTTTTATATTTTCAGAAAAATTGCAAAGCTAGCACAGAGAGTTCCCATATACTCTGCAACCAGTTTTCCCTATTTTAACATCTTACATTAGTATGTTATATTTGTCACAATTAATGAACCAATATTGATAATTATTATGAAATAAAATCCATACTTTATTCAGGTTTTTATAGTTTTTATCTAATATTGTTTTTCTCTTCCAGGACTTCATTCAAGATACCACAATACATTGAGTTGTCATGTTTAAATGTTGGGCTTCTCTTGTCTGTGATATTTCTCAAATTTTCTTTGTTCTTTATGAAGCTGACAGCATAGTCGAGTACTGGTAAGGGATTTTGTAGAATGTCTCTCAATTGGGATGTGTCCAATGTCTTTCTCATGATTAGATTGGGGTTACATGTTTTGGGGAAGAAGGTCACAGTGGTAAATGCCATTTTCATTACATTATATTAAAGGTACATACTATCAACATGGCTTATTCCTGTTGATGTCAATCTTGATCACCAGGCTGAGGTATTATGTGTCAGGTTTCTTCACTATAAAGGAATACATTTTACCCCCTTTTCGTACTCTACTGTTTGGAAGGAAGTCACTATGCACAGCCCACACTTAGACAATTGGGAGCTATGGTTCACCTCCTTGAGAGTATCTACATAAAATATTTGGATTCTTCTGCATGGGAGACTATTTATTTATTCATCCATTTATTTATGGCAGTATGAACACCTACTTACTTTATACTTAGAGTTATAATCCAATAATACTTTTTATTCTGTTGCTTAAATTGCTCCAGCTTTGGTTATGGGGACCTCTTTCAGTTGGCTCTTATATCCCTTTGAGATACCCTCATCATTGTGGGATTTTTTGAGTGCTTTATTACTTTTTGACACTCTGAGATGCTTCAGGCTCATCTTGTATATTTCCTGCCTCAATCATAGACTCAGCCCTTTATCCAAGGAGCCTTCATTCCTTGTGTTGGAGAATGGTTTTGGAAACCATGATCTAGGCACTAGGTGTGCCCATTGCTACTGGGATGTTAGGTTAACTTTTAAATAATTTGCAGCAGTGGAAGAGCTTTTTATTTCCTCTTCCTGTCAGATGAGAATTTATTTGGGTCATATCTTACTTTTTTGTACTTTATGATCTTTGATGCCATTTTTCCTTTACCTAGGTAATCAGCCTCATTACCTAGGTTTAGTGACTTTAGAGTAGCAGGGAAAAGATTGATAAAAACCTTTATTTACATGAAATGCATGCATGTACATCACATGTATTTTATCCTTGTTTGTTACCTGTTCAATAAGATAAGAGGGATTTTCCTTAGGTGCCAACAGCTTTGTCATTCAACTCCCTGTCCCAAGAAACAGGCACCAAAAAGTTGTTTTATTTTATTATTCGCAATTTTATAACCTATCCTATAACACAGACCTCTTAGAAATACATTTTGCAAAAACCACACTAAATTGTTCAATTTGCCTATTTTTCTTTTAGGAAAACATTTTAACTGACTATCAGAAATAGAATGGATTTTCTATAGATTCAAAAGAACTTCTCTTTCTCTCATACCCATTTGAAACATTTGTAGAGGCAAATTTATCTAAGATTTAGATGTTATGTATCAAGCAACTACAACATGTGTAGCACTTATAGTTTACATTTTATTGTTTGACCCTGAAAATATCATGTTGGGAGACAGTTCTCCATGAATTTTTCTTGTTTCTGCATGTCTTACAAACAAAACACTGATTGCCTTTTGTTCTGGACTATCTTTTCAAGGGTTTTTGTGATACGGCTCAGATGACTGGAGGAACACCAGGGTCCTTTGTCTCACGCTGATTTAAATAAAACGACACGGACACACGTGGAGTGGTTTTAAGGAGTGGAGAGTTTAATAGGCAAGAAAGAAGAAAGAGGCTCCCCGTACAGAGACAGAGGGAGGGAGCTCCAAGCAGAGAGAGGAAAGCCCGAGTGTGGCAGAAAACAGTTCGTTATATTAGGAGGCTGGAGGAGGCGGTGTCTGATTTACATAGGGCCCAGGGAATTGGTTTGACTAGATATGTCATTCATGTAGCCCGCGAAAAAACTGTGCCTCCCACCCTAGCCTTTTAATATGCCAATGCAGGGTGCCATGATGTTCTACACATGTGGGGATATCTGGGGGCGGCTGTGATGCTAGGCACAAGTGGTGACAAGAAGAAGAAGGCGGGGATCGCCATATTGGATGGACTCAGTTTCTAATGGCCTGCATTTGCATATCAAAGCTTGTGGGACAAGAAATGTTTCTGGAGCTTGTTTAAAAGGAGAAAAAAAAATCTTACCAAGGGCCCCTTATCCTCTCTATCTGCCTAAAATAATTTCTTAATAACTCTAATATGTGTATAGGAAACAACCTTGCAAGATAGAGAAGGTATCTTCCAAAGGAAGAAAGGCCAATAGGCTTATAGCCTTAGAAGATAGAAATAGTGAATCCTTCTGGAGCAAAAGATGGGCATAAAAATTTTGTGTTCCCTAAGCTTAGATTTTTTTCCTTTTAATGCAACTCAGTGAGTGTGAAAGTGTCATTTTTCCCTCTTCCTCTTACCCTGTAGGAACTGAGGCTTGAAAAACCAACATGAAATGCTGATACTCTGACTACTGCTATTGCGTTAGTAATAAACAGTCCTTTGTCCCTACCCTAGGACTGTTACGTAGTTTACCAGCATCTATAAAACTGTGGCAAACTAATTTTCATAGTTATTCACAGTTCTTAACAGTTTTGATGATGAGGTGGTGATGAGTTGGCAATGATGCTGATAGAGACAAGATTTTCTAGAAGAGGAAGATTGAGGGCCTTATAGGCTAATAAATGGGATTTGGGGCAAATCTATGTGAATCAGTAGCAACTTGTTGACCAAATTGTATGGTCAACCAGGCAATACATGGTTCTTTACTTTACTTCCTGTTAATGAGACATTGGGGAGGTGATTATAGGCTGATAATTGGAAAGTGAGTTTAAAGACCTCTGCCTGAATAGTGGTCTGGTTGTTGCTAACTCTCCTACTCAAAAGGGATGTCTTCATTAATCTGGTGGTTACCCTAAGGCCCACTCCACTATAACCATCAGCACTAAGATGAAACCTGGATGGGCAGAAGTTCTTGCCTTTTTTAGACAACAGTTACAAAACCACTGTGGGTACAAACTAAACTAAGGGAGGAGACCACCCCTCATATTGTCTTATGCCCAATTTCTGCCTCCAAAGAAAGAAGAAGTAAAAACTAAAAGGCAAAATGAAATCCACAGGCAGACAGCCCGGTGCCACACCCTGGACCTGGTAGTTAAAGATCAACCCCTGACCTAATCGGTTGTGTTATCTATAGATTACAGACATTGTATAGGAAAGCATTGTGAAAATCCCTGTCCTGTTCTGTTCCGTTCTAATTACCAGTGCATGCAGCCCCCAGTCACGTACCCCCTGCTTGCTCAATCGATCACGACCCTCTCACGTGGACCCCCTTACAGTTGTGAGTCCTTAAAAAGCACAGAAATTGCTCACTCGGGGAGCTCGGTTGTTGGAGATGTAAGTCTTGCCGAAGCTCCCAGCTGAATAAAGCCCTTCCTTCTTTAACTCGGTGTCTGAGGGGTTTTGTCTGCGGCTTGTCCTGCTACAAAACCAGGTGATTTTTTAAAAATGTTGACTGCTTCACTTAGAGATTGGGTTTGTGGGGAATGTAACGCTTGTTAAGGAAGAATAGCAATAGCTGGGCCATCTTACAAATCAACCGCTCCTTCAGCCTATCAATTCAACCTTATAACCTGGCTGCTTATAAGAAAGTTTAGGTACTCTCTGAGAGATTTCCTTGAGACAACCAAACTCCCATGGAAAACCATAGATGAGGTATTTACTAGTAGTCAGGTTCTTATTGGCCTGGATTTGGTTCATGATGCTGATGAAGGTGATCCACTGGAGAATGAGAAATTGATCCAAATAAATCTAGATAAATTCTGGTGACCAGCCCTGCTGTTTTAGAAAACTCTCTTCACTCTAATATTGAAATTGCCCCAAAACTTAGGAGATGTTATGGCAATGATGCTCTAGGTGCCCTGGATTAAAGCTGACTTGTTAAGGCAATTTGCTGTTGTTTAAGTGAAGCCTAGGTCAGCCAGAGGATGTAAACCTCACAGTCCAAGCCAGAAAGCAATGTGTCTGTTGCTGTGTCTGTGGCTGCTGAGTCCGTGTCCTTGAGGCTAAAATAAATGGTGTCAGTTATTGGTGCCTTGCCACTCAATATAAAGCATTAGACAAATTGAAAACATTGGAAATTCATTTGGTTGAGTCATGAGTTGCCATGCCAATAAAAACTAAAAGTTAATGCAAAGCCTTGTTGAATGACACACAGCTTCTCTTCCCTTACATGCCACCTGATCCCTCCCCAGGCACCCCAATCTCAAATGTTTTAAAAATAAAAACAGAAACGTGACTGATTCCAAGGGGGATAAAAGGCCATACACAATCATCTGAATATTCTGGGGAATTTGAGGGAGGGGAAGGACTCGAACTTTAGTGGTTTTATTGGATATGGGTGCTGAAGTCATTATTCAACCTGAACCTGTAGAAGGAAAATGTGCCCAGATTCAGGTAATAGGGCTTAAGTAGGGTTTGCATTGGGGCCAGAAAAGTAATGTCAGCTTCTAGGTGGACCCTTTAGGCCAATTCAATGTACTATGATGCTGTTTCTGCATCTGAATGTATAGTAGGAATTAATGCACTATATTCTTGTACTTCTTTGTCTCATAAGTGGGGATTCTCTAAATTGTAAAGAGCTACATGTAGAGAAGTGGTAGTGAGACACTTTCATTGCTTTCTTCCCCTACTGTGCAGTTCAACAGAGACAGTATAGAATCCCTGGAAGAAGAGGAATTGTCTTGACTAATACCTATAGGCAGCAGAGGTAGTAAAAGATACAATATTTCAACACACCAGTCTTGTATGGCCAGTGAAAAAGACTAACAGGAGCAGGAAGCTTACAGTGAATTGTTACCCATTGGATTCAGTTTTTGTTCCCATAGCCCCAACTCTCTAGACATTGTGACTGTAGCTGAATTCATTACATGGAATTATGGCACTTAGTGTGCTGTTTTGAACATTGCCAATGACTTATTTGCCATATCAGAGGTATCAAAGATCAATAAAAGTTTGTGTTCATGTAGCAAAACCTCAAACATGTATTTGTAGTCTTCCTCTAGGGATACTTAAACTTCCCTGCCATTTGACACCAGTGAATAGGTCAGGATTTAGCATGAGTGTCTCTACCCTCTGAAGTCCATAGTTTTCATGATATAGATGATGTCCTCTTGGTTGCTAAGTCAGACGCCTCAGTCTCAATAGCTCTGACTTTGGTGTTATCACACCTTTGCAAATAGAAAGGCTAATAAACTCCAAAGACATTTAGGGATCTACTTGCCAAATGAAGTTTCTTGGGATGATGTGGGCAGATTCACATTGCCTAATCCCTCTGGCAATCAAGAAAAAGCTGTTTTTTCCTAGGCCCCAGGCATCAAAGAAAAAAACCTTCTTTGACTCTTTGGGTATTGAAGACAGTATGTGTCTCTCTTGGGCATTCTACTTGGTCCTTCATATTAGCTGTCCTTCAAATCAGTATCCTTTGAGTGGGGCCCAAGCCAAAAGGCTGAATTGGAATCTTTTCAGCAAGCTGTGACATGCTGTCTATCTTTGGGTCCTCACAATCCTAATGACCCCTTTAAGCTACAAGTCTCTGTGACTGATTATTTTTCCAATCAGATCATCTGGCGAAGGGAGGCAACCTCTTACCTTTTGGGGCTTTGAACCCACTGTTCCCCTGATAAAGCTACCACACATGCCTCTTTTGAAAAGTAGCTATTAGCTTGCTAATGGGCTCTTGTCAAAATTGAACACCTGACCCAAGGAGGCCTTGTGACTATCCAGACTGATATTTCCACTTTGGGGTGAGTCAACTTAGACTCAATGACTAATAAGGTGAGGAAAACTCAACAAGCCTCACTTTTCAAATAGAAAAGGTGAATTCAAGAATGCAGCCAGCCTAGCTCCAGCAGCATCATGGCTTTACATGACAGAATGGCAGCTATCCCTAAGGGGGAAAATTTATTCCTCACTCTGCCATCTGAAGCAAAGCCACTGGTTCCATGGAATCCTCAATTCACATAGCTTCCCCAAATTCCTGGGCCTGATTCACTTATATTTACACTAATCTGAAACCAATGGTGTCCACTGGTCTGTGACAACTGTTCAACCTCAGCTTCTGCTATACAGAGCTGAAAATGGGCACGGTCACTCTACTTAAAGGACAGAACTCAAGGTCATTCTCATACTCTGGCAATACTATTCTTGATGAACGTTGTTATATTTTTACTGTTGTCAATGGCCTAGCTGTTTGGTCTACCACTTGGAAAACTAGAGACAGACTGATTAAAGACTTCCCTCTTTGGGACTGAAAGCTGTGGAAACTATTTGCAGCTACTGACCACACTATCAGAGTCACATATGTAGATGTCATGTGAAGGCTCATTCTCTGATGAGACTGTAATCAAGCTGCTATTCAGGTCTGCACTGACCAGATTGCCAGAAATGCTGCCTGTATCACATGTACCATCAGAGACTGGGCACAAAGAAAAGGACTTGATGTTTGTATTGCAGAGGACACCACTGTATGACACACTTGTGATCCCTGCCAAAAGTTGACCTAGTTGTTTCATGGTGAGAGAGAATACATAGGATAGGGCCCTGTCCATTTCTGGATTAGCTACATCGAACCTTTGGCCCTACCTCAAGACTATCAATGGTACCTCACCTCTATTGACACTTTTTTCACATTATGGTACTGCTGTTCTAGTCCAACCAACTGACTCCAGCCACACTATTGTGGCTCTTGAAAAGAATCTCAGCATTCCAGAGTATTTGAAATCTAATGATAGTTTACCCTTTTTGGCAAAAGAAGCCAAGTGTTTAGGGAAATGCCACCAGTGGATAATGTAGCCTTCAGAACACTGCAGATACTGCTCCAAAATGAGAGTAATTTGATTACTCAGAGGAGTTTGCTGGAGGGATAACTGACTTGTTATTTATGTGCATCCTGTGGGTAATTTTCCCTACAGTGAGAGCCTTTCAATTAGAAATTGTGGTATAAAATTTGTCCCTGGCTTTAGCTAAAGTGATAAATGGCACCACATTGGCCCTGGAAGTCATTGGGGTAAAGTTCAACTTATTGGCCAGGGTTGTTATAGAAGATACACCTGCCCTAGAATTCCTCCTTAAGGACAACAGTAACTGTGAAATTACTAATATATCCTGCTGTACTTGTATTAATACTCTAGGCAAAGGGAAAAGGTCAACACAGAAACTTATGGCTTTCTAAGGTCGTTTATAGGATTTGTTTAGCTGATTTGGTTTGGAATTCTGAGGGGCACGGTTGAAGTCAAGACTGCAGGTTGCCCTTATCCTGCTGCTTGGAATCCTGTTTTGTTGGTGGCAGCCTTAATTAAATGTTCTATGATACAAATTGAACAGATGTAGTCCCAGTCTCTGTCAGTCAGAGTAGTCAGAGAGGCTGATGGAGTGGTATACTTATGGGGAAATTTACCAGAAGCTAAGATTGTGTAAAAATGAAAAGTACATATTGTTGGGAGATAATTCTCCATAATCCTCTTGAGTCTCTGCATGTTTTTTCAAACAAGGAGCTGAATGTCTTTTGCTTTGTATTATCTTTACAAAAATATTTGTATAGCAAATGGCCTTAGAAGGTAGAACTAGTTTCTCCATCAGGATCAGAAAGCAGACCTGCTTTTTGTTTAGTACGATAAAGATTATATCTTTCACTGAAGCAAAGGGTAGGCATATTGCTGCCCATTGTAAAATATTAAAGTTCTCTAAATTCAGGGTTCGTCTCCTATAATGCAACATGTTATCCTGTAATGCACATAGATGCCATCTGGACCTCTTTACTTTGTCCTTTGGAAATTGGAGCTCTGGGAACTAGTGTAAAAATGCTGACATTCTGGTTACTTCCATGGCTATGAGTAATAAACTTTCTTCACTGGCTAAGGAGTCTCATGTTTTTTTTTTTTTTTTGAGACAGGGTATCATTCTGTCGCCCAGGCTGGAGTACAGTAGTGTGATCTCAGCTCACTGCAGCTTCGACCTCCAAGGTTCAAAAAATCATCCAGAAATTTTTAAATTTTTGGTAGATATGAGTTTTTGCCAGGTTGCTCAGGCTGGTCTTGAATTCATGGGCTCAAGTGATTCACTTGCCTCAGCCTCCCAAAGTGTTGGCATTACAGGTGTGAACCACTGTGCCCCACCAGGAGTCTCATGTCTTCTATCAGCATCCATCAAACTGTCACCAGATGACTTGTTAACTTGCAAGTAGGGTAAAATCTCAGACTTTTCTCAGCTCTTGATGCAACCCCTGTGTAGTAGACATGGCTGTTCCCATTTCACAGATAAGAAAACTGAGACTCAAAGAGACTTAGTAAGTTGTTTTTGATGAATGTCACCTAATTGTTCTCCAGAATGCTTGTATCAATTTAATCACCAACAGAATGTAATGTATGGATGTGTCCATTTTTTGCATCCACACCAATATTGGACATTATGTTTTTTAAAAAATCTTTTCCTTGTAATGAAAAAAATGGTAACTCATAATTATTAAATATGAATTTTTAAATTACTATTAAAGGTGAATTTTTTTTTGCTCCATGATCTCACGTGGTCAAGAATTCTTTTCCACTTGTATTCTTTCTGGGTGAAAAATCCAACCAGAGTGATTCTCTTGGTGAGATGGTGACAAAAAGGTAGGCTTTCCATTTAACACAATTATAAAGGACTTTCGTCATCTGGTAGTGAGGGGGTCTCCTTTGGTATAAAACAAACAAGTAAGCAAAACCAAAAACCTTGGTTATCAGCTCCTAGAAAATGAGGCCAAGGTTTAGGAACGATAATAGTTAAACATTAAACAATGGGTAACTATATTATTATGTACCTTAGCACCATGTCAGACAGTTTAACATATTTTTAAAAAGGTATTCAGTACACAAATTGAACTGAATCAAATTATCTTATTGACACTTCGTAATAACCTCATATGATAGGTATTACTGTCACTATTTTACAGATGAGGAAATTGAGGCTTAGAAATGTTCAGTAAATTGCCTAAGATCACATAGCTATTAAGTGGTAAAACCAGGATTCCAACTAAGACAGGTTTGACTTTGAGACTTGTGCTAACTTTCTTCTAGTGCCTGAGCAACAGCTAGTGAGCTAATATTTCTTCTGGGCTACCACAGTGGAAAATATTAAAATCCTGATTATCAGTGTTGTAGTTTCATTCACATATTAAAATATGTAGTAGTGTTTTATTGTTTGACATAGTATTTAGAGTTTTTTGTTTCATGCCTAAGAGAATTAAGGAGTATGGACACAAGGGTGAGGTTGGAGTTAAAGTTTAATAAGTGAAAGAAGAAAGTTTTTTGTAGTGGAGAGGGGGACCTGAATGGGTTGTCCATTATGAGGTTTGGGTCTGGGGTTTCTATGGATTGGGAAAAGGAAGGAATGTGTTTAGTCTGTGGGTTGTCTTGGAGAAAGTATGATTCAGTTTGGCCTGTGACTTTGGTTCGGGGCTAATCAGGAGTTGAAGTGACAATTTATAGGGTTTTTCAATTTGGTCTGGGACTTATCAGGAGTTGAAGTGATGATTCATGGAGGCTGGGTTTACAGTCTAAAAAGGAAAGGAAAGTGTACACTGGAACCCACTGGAGCTTATTTTGTTAATGTTTATAAAAGGAGAAGAAACTTTTTCCTGGGAGTCTGTTGATTATAAAGGACAAACGCATTTTTATGTTGGGCCTTGTTTTTTTTTTTTTTTTTTTTTTTTTTTTTTTTTTTAATCTGAGTGAGTCAGAGATTTCTGTAAGGTTTTATCTGAATGGGCTGGAGGTTCTCCTATGTGTGTAGCCGTGAGTATGTCTCCAGACACAATCTTCTATGTTAGTTCTCTTACTGGCGTCCGTAGTATGATTTTTTTTTCAGGCTGCTTTTCTGTGTTATGTGAGGATGAGGCACTGACCTGTGGGTCAGGGGCTCTCTAGGGACCCTTTTCTTGTTTATCTAAGGCAAGTTAGTTAACTTCTCTCAGTCCTCCCTCAGAAGTGGAGACTTCAACTGTTGTTAGGGAGATTGAGCGTTAATTTTTTTGGCTACTTTTTGTTGGAGAGGGGTGTTGTGTAGGGAACTGTAGTTAGGATTTTTCTTGGGGCTGGTTTAAGGGTTCTTAGAGGAAAGGGGTGTTTATGCATCATTTCACTTGTATTATTATTTGGAGTTTGATAGTTTTTAGATAAAAAGAAATAATTTGGGTTATTAGAGGACATGTATTAAAATGAGACAACATGGGTAAGGACAAGTTTAAAAATCTTGAGGCTGTTGATATGTTTTGATAATTGGTGGTTATAATTTTTTTTTTTTTGAGACGGAGTCTTACTCTGTCACCCAGGCTGGAGTGCAGTGGCGCAATCCCGGCTCACTGCAAGCTCTGCCTCCCGGGTTCACACGATTCTCCTGCCTCAGCCTCCTGAGTAGCTGGGACTACAGGCGCCCGCCACCACGCCTGGGTAATTTTGTTTTGTATTTTTAGTAGAGACGGAGTTTCACCATGTTAGCCAGGATGGTCTTGATCTCCTGACCTCGTGATCCACCTGCCTCAGCCTCCCAAAGTGCTGGGATTACAAGCGTGAGCCACCACACCAGGCCAATTGGTGATTATAATTATGTCTGTTAAGATTTGGGTGTATTTGGGCTTTGTTAGTTTCTTTGGTCTTGTTTTTCTAAATAAATAAACCTCTGGGTTATGGGCATGCTATTTATTTTCATTATTTGGTAGGATTTGTAGGATACTTGTCTAGAATTAGACAGGTTTTTAGTTTTTATATTATTTATTATTTTTTGTTTTTTTAAGTTATAGTTGGAGATCATTGGTTGGTTCACAGGAATAAGTAGGGTTAGTTTAAAATGTAGGCAAAAACTTAAAAATAACTATTAGAATTTAATGACAAATGTATGATAAAATTTGAAACATAATTTCTTTCTCTTTAGTCCTCATTTTTGTTAAAAATAAATCATGATAGGATAGAATTGAGTTGTTTGTAAAATAAACTTTAGTCTTATGTTTGGTTTGATTATTTGTATAAACAGTAGTAAGAATAATTATATATATATATATATATATATATATATTTTTTTTTTTTTTTTTTTTTTTTTTTTTTTTGGAGATGGAGTCTCTCTCTGTCGTCCAGGCTGGAGTGCAGTGGCGTGATCTCGGCTCACTGCAACCTCTGCCTCCCAAGTTCAAGCAATTCTCCTTCCTCAGCCTCCTGAATATTTGGGACTACAGGCGCACGCCACCACACCTGGCTAAGTTTTTGTATTTTAGTAGAGATGGGGTTCACCGTGTTGCCCAGGCTGGTCTCGAATTCCTGAGCTCAGGCAATCTGCCCGCCTTGGCCTCCCAAAGTGCTAGAATTACAGGCATGAGCCACCGTGCCCAGCACAGAATAATTATCTTTATATAGACTTTTAAAATTAAAATTGGTTTTGATGGAATTTTGTTCCATGAGGAATTTTAGATAAGACCTTTTAAAGTTGTGTCTAGTCTTGGGTTTGTATCTTTCAATATTTATGAGTTGGGTAAACACTTTTCTTCTTGAGGTCCCAAGAACATGGGGTTCTTGGGCCTGTTAGAAAGTCATATTTTTTATTTACCACAGGTTAGGAACCCTGTATGGGGACTGTGTAGACAAGGTATGAGGCCAGTGTTTTAAAGGGCTTTTATTGGTTTTGTGAATCCAGTTTGATTTTTTAAAGGGAAATACATCTTTCAAGTAAAAGTCTTGTAAAATAACCAGTTTTTAAAATTGTGTCCTGTTGTAAAATAAAATGGATTTTGTTGTATTGATGTAAATAAGTATATTGTTGTAAGTTAAAAATATTCATAATCAGTTTCTGAATTCTAGAGGAACCAGGCAAAGAGAAATAAATATGTTCTAAATTTTGTTTATAGGAGTATGTTTTGCTTAGTTGTTAAAAGTTTTAACTTTCTAAGTAAAAGTTAAAAACATTCTTTCAGTTTTTTATTAGTTCAGTTTATTTTGTTAACTTTGGTTCTGTTTGATATTTGTAAATATTTTAAGTTTTTTATGAGTTCCGTATGTTTTTCTGTTATTAGAAACCTGTATTTGATAGTATTTATTAAAGTCTTATAGTTGATTATAAATCATTTTTTGAAGAGGATTCAAACAAGACAATTGTTTGTAAAATGTTTAGGGTGGTCACAGTTAAGACACTAGAATCCGGCGCCCGCCATTGCCCAGGCTTGCTTAGGTAAACAAAGCAACAGGGAAGAGCCCACCACAGCTCAAGGAGGCCTGCCTGCCTCTGTAGGCTCCACCTCTGGGGGCAGGGCACAAACAAAAAGACAGCAGTAACCTCTGCAGACTTAAATGTCCCTGTCTGACAGCTTTGAAGAGAGCAGTGGTTCTCCCAGCATGCACTGGAGATCTGAGAATGGGCAGACTGCCTCAAGTGGGTCCCTGACCCCTGACCCCCGAGCAGCCTAACTGGGAGGCACCCCCCAGTAGGGGCAGACTGACACCTCACACGGCCGGGTACTCCTCTGAGACAAAACTTCCAGAGGAATGATCAGACAGCAGCATTCGCAGTTCATGAAAATCCGCGGTTCCGCAGACACCGCTGCTGATACCCAGGCAAACAGGGTCTGGAGTGGACCTCTAGCAAACTCCAACAGACCTGCAGCTGAGGGTCCTGTCTGTTAGAAGGAAAACTAACAAACAGAAAGGACATCCACACCGAAAACCCATCTATACATCACCATCATCAAAGACCAAAAGTAGGTAAAACCACAAAGATGGGGAAAAAACAGAGCAGAAAAACTGGAAACTCTAAAAAGCAGAGCGCCTCTCCTCCTCCAAAGGAATGCAGTTCCTCACCAGCAACGGAACAAAGCTGGACGGAGGATGACTTTGACAAGTTGAGAGAATAAGTCTTCAGACGATCAAACTACTCCGAGCTACAGGAGGAAATTCAAACCAAAGACAAAGAAGTTAAAAACTTTGAAAAAAATTTAGACAAATGTATAATTAGAATAACCAATACAGAGAAGTACTTAAAGGAGCTGATGGAGCTGAAAGCCAAGTCTCGAGAACTACATGAAGAATGCAGAAGCCTCAGGAGCTGATGCGATCAACTGGAAGAAAGGGTATCAGCGATGGAAGATGAAATGAATGAAATGAAGCGAGAAGGGAAGTTTAGAGAAAAAAGAATAAAAAGAAACGAACAAAGCCTCCAAGAAATATGGGACTATGTAAAAAGACCAAATCTATGTCTGATTGGTGTACTTGAAAGTGACGGGGAGAATGGAACCAAGTTGGAAAACACTCTGCAGGATATTATCCAGGAGAACTTCCCCAATCTAGCAAGGCAGGCCAACATTCAGATTCAGGAAATACAGAGAACGCCACAAAGATACTCCTCGAGAAGAACAACTCCAAGACACATAATTGTCAGATTCACCAAAGTGGAAATGAAGGAAAAAATGTTAAGGGCAGCCAGAGAGAAAGGTCGGGTTACCCACAAAGGGAAGCCCATCAGACTAACAGCGGATCTCTCGGCAGAAACCCTACAAGCCAGAAGAGAGTCGGGGGTGAATATTCAACATTCTTAAAGAAAAGAATTTTCAACCCAGAATTTCATATCCAGACAAACTAAGCTTCATAAGTGAAGGAGAAATAAAATACTTTACAGACAAGCAAATGCTGAGAGATTTTGTCAGCACCAGGCCTGCCCTAAAAGAGGTCCTGAAGGAAGCACTAAACATGGAAAGGAACAACCAGTACCAGCCACTGCAAAATCATGCCAAATTGTAAAGACCATCGAGACTAGGAAGAAACTGCATCAACTAACGAGCAAAATAACCAGCTAACATCATAATGACAGGATCAAATTCACACATAACAATATTAACTTTAAATGTAAATGGACTAAATGCTCCAATTAAAAGACACAGACTGGCAAATTGGATAGAGTCAAGGTCCATCAGTGTGCTGTATTCAGGAAACCCATCTCACGTGCAGAGACACACACAGGCTCAAAATAAAAAGATGGAGGAAGATCTACCAAGCAAATGGAAAACAAAAAAAGGCAGGGGTTGCAATCCTAGTCTCTGATAAAACAGACTTTAAACCAACAAAGGTCAAAAGAGACAAAGAAGGCCATTACATAATGGTAAAGGGATCAATTCAACAAGAAGAGCTAACTATCCTAAATATATATGCACCCAATACAGGAGCACCCAGATTCATAAAGCAAGTCCTGAATGACCTACAAAGAGACTTAGACTCCCACACAATAATAATGGGAGACTTTAACACCCCACTGTCAATATTAGACAGATCAGCGAGACAGAAAGTTAACAAGGATACCCAGGAATTGAACTCAGCTCTGCACCAAGCAGACCTAATAGACATCTACAGAACTCTCCACCCCAAATCAACAGAATATACATTTTTTTCAGCACCACACTACACCTATTCCAAAATTGACCACATAGTTGGAAGTAAAGCTTTCCTCAGCAAATGTAAAAGAACAGAAATTATAAAAACTGTCTCTCAGACCACAGTGCAATCAAACTAGAACTCAGGATTAAGAAACTCACCCAAAACCGCTCAACTACATGGAAACTGAACAACCTGCTCCTGAATGACTACTGGGTACATAACGAAATGAAGGCAGAAATAAAGAAGTTCTTTGAAACCAACGAGAACAAAGACACAACATACCAGAATCTCTGGGACACATTCAAAGCAGTGTGTAGAGGGAAATTTATAGCACTAAATGCCCACAAGAGAAAGCAGGAAAGATCCAAAATTGACACCCTAACATCACAATTAAAAGAACTAGAGAAGCAAGAGCAAACACATTCAAAAGCTAGCAGAAGGCAAGAAATAACTAAAATCAGAGCAGAACTGAAGGAAATAGAGACACAAAAAACCCTTCAAAAAATTAATGAATCCAGTAGCTGGTTTTTTGAAAGGATCAACAAAATTGATAGACCACTAGCAAGACTAATAAAGAAGAAAAGAGAGAAGAATCAAATAGATGCAATAAAAAATGATAAAGGGGATATCACCACCAATCCCACAGAAATACAAACTACCATCAGAGAATACTACAAACATCTCTACGCAAATAAACTAGAAAATCTGGAAGAAATGGATAAATTCCTCGACACATACACCCTCCCAAGACTAAACCAGGAAGAAGTTGAATCTCTGAATAGACCAATAACAGGAGCTGAAATTGTGGCAATAATCAATAGCTTACCAACCAAAAAGAGTCCAGGACCAGATGGATTCATAGCCGAATTCTACCAGAGGTACAAGGAGGACCTGGTACAATTCCTTCTGAAACTATTCCAATCAATAGAAAAAGAGGGAATCCTCCCTAACTCATTTTATGAGGCCAGCATCATCCTGATACCAAAGCCAGGCAGAGACACAACCATAAAAGAGAATTTTAGACCAATATCCTTGATGAACATTGAAGCAAAAATCCTCAATAAAATACTGGCAAACTGAATCCAGCAGCACATCAAAAAGCTTATCCACCATGATCAAGTGGGCTTCATCCCTGGGATGCAAGGCTGGTTCAATATACGCAAATCAATAAATGTAATCCAGCATATAAACAGAACCAAAGACAAAAATCACATGAGTATCTCAATAGATGCAGAAAAGGCCTTTGACAAAATTCAACAATGCTTCATGCTAAAAACTCGCAAGAAATTAGGTACTGATGGCACGTATCTCAAAATAATAAGAGTTATCTATGACAAACCCACAGCCAATATCATACTGAATGGGCAAAAACTGGAAGCATTCCCTTTGAAAACTGGCACAAGACAGGGATGCCCTCTCTCACCACTCCTATTCAACATAGTGTTGGAAGTTCTGGCCAGGGCAATTAGGCAGAAGAAGGAAATAAAGGGTATTCAATTAGGAAAAGAGGAAGTCAAATTGTCCCTCTTTGCAGATGACATGATTGTATATCTAGAAAACCCCATTGTCTCAGCCCCAAATCTCCTTAAGCTGATAAGCAACTTTAGCAAAGTCTCAGGATACAAAATCAATGTACAAAAATCACAAGCATTCTTATACACCAATATCAGACAAACAGAGAGCCAAATCATGAGTGAACTCCCATTCACAATTGCTTCAAAGAGAATAAAATACCTAAGAATCCAACTTACAAGGGATGTGAAGGACCTCTTCAAGGGGAACTACAAACCACTGCTCAACGAAATAAAAGAGGATACAAACAAATGGAAGAACATTCCATGCTCATAGGTAGGAAGAATCAGTATCATGAAAATGGCCATACTGCCCAAGGTAATTTATAGATTCAATGCCATCCCCATCAAGCTACCAATGACCTTCTTCACAGAATTGGAAAAAACTACTTTAAAGTTCATATGGAACCAAAAAAGAGCCCGCATCGCCAAGTCAATCCTAAGCCAAAAGAACAAAGCTGGAGACATCACGCTACCTGACTTCAAACTATGCTACAAGGCTACAGTAACCAAATCAGCATGGTACTGGTACCAAAACAGAGATATAGATCAATGGAACAGAGCAGAGCCCTCAGAAATAACGCCACATATCTACAACTATCTGATCTTTGACAAACCTGAGAAAAACAAGCACTGGGGAAGGGATTCCCTATTTAATAAATGGTGCTGGGAAAACTGGCTAGCCATATGTAGAAAGCTGAAACTGGATCCCTTCCTTACACCTTATACAAAAATTAATTCAAGATGGATAAAGACTTAAACATTAGACCTAAAACCATAAAAACCCTAGAAGAAAACCTAGGCATTACCATTCAGGACATAGGCATGGGCAAGGACTTCATGTCTAAAACACCAAAAGCAATGGCAACAAAAGCCAAAATTGACAAATGGGATCTAATTAAACTAAAGAGCTTCTGCACAGCAAAAGAAACTACCATCAGAGCGAATAGGCAACCTACAAAATGGGAGAAAATTTTTGCAACCTACTCATCTGACAAAGGGCTAATATCCAGAATCTACAATGAACTCAAACAAATTTACAAGAAATAAACAAAGAACTCCATCAAAAAGTGGGCAAAGGAGGTGAACAGACACTTCTCAAAAGAAGACATTTATGCAGCCAAAAAACACATGAAAAAATGCTCACCATCACTGGCCATCAGAGAAATGCAAATCAAGACCACAATGAGACACCATCTCACACCAGTTAGAATGGCAATCATTAAAAAGTCAGGAAACAACAGGTGCTGGAGAGGATGTGGAGAAATAGGAACACTTTTACACTGTTGGTGGGACTGTAAACTAGTTCAACCATTGTGGAAGTCAGTGTGGCGATTCCTCAGGGATCTAGAACTAGAAATACCATTTGACCCAGCCATCCCATTACTGGGTATATACCCAAAGGATTATAAATCATGCTGCTATAAAGACACATTCACACGTATGTTTATTGCGGCACTATTCACAATAGCAAAGACTTGGAACCAACCCAAATGTCCAACAATGATAGACTGGATTAAGAAAATGTGGCACATATACACCATGGAATACTATGCAGCCATAAAAAATGATGAGTTCATGTCCTTTGTAGGGAGATGGATGAAATTGGAAATCATCATTCTCAGTAAACTATCGCAAGAACAAAAAACCAAACACCGCATATTCTCACTCATAGGTGGGAATTGAACAATGAGAACACATGGACACAGGAAGGGGAACATCACACTCTGGGGACTGTTGTGGGGTGGGGGGAGCGGGGAGGGATAGCATTAGGAGATATACCTAATGCTAAATGATGAGTTAATGGGTGCAGCACACCAGCAGGGCACATGTATACATATGTAATTAACCTGCACATTGTGCACATGTACCCTAAAACTTAAAGTATAATAAAAAAAAAGACACTAGAATCCTAGACATATCACACGATTTTGGACAAAGAAATTTGGTTATTTCTGATTTTATAATATTGTAATATAATAACCTTAATTATAATTGATAGCATATATGTATACACTAGAATCTTAGACATTTTATACAATTTTGGAACATATATTAATGTTATTTATCGAAATATAATCTGAAGAAGATTAAATATCATTTTTGCAATCCCACCTATTTAAATATATTAAATATCTTGTTTATCTTTCTTTTGATGTTCTAGGTGCCCTAAAAGTTAGGGGTTAGGAAAGATAATCTTGAAACTGAAGTTTAATTTTGGGACGTTTGTTGAATATGTTAGAGTTTTAAAACATTTGATATTATAAAATAGACTTTTAGATTATTATAAGTTACTTATTTTGTTAAAATGACTCAAATATTTGAAAAAGCAAATATCTTTTATTAGTCTTAATTATTACGTGAAAATTCTGTTTAAGAGAGAAAGTTAATTTTAATTTTATCTTTGTACTAGTCTATTATTAATGTTAATCCCAATTTTTAATGAACTTTTATGGATAACTTTATTTAATCTTAACCAGTTTGACTATAAGGTGAGATTTTTACAAACCTTTTATAATTTTTTACAAATTTAGTTAAAGAGTAGATTAGTGTTTTAAGAGTATTTTGTTGTGTTTTTATTTCAACGTTTAATTTACAGAAAAATCCATTTAACATCTTTTTGAATTTAGTCAATATCTCAGCAAACTATCGCAAGGAGAAAAAACCAAACACCGCATGTTCTCACTCATAGGTGGGAATTGAACAATGAGAACACATGGACACAGGAAGGGGAACATCACACACCGGGGACTGTTGTGGAGTTGGGGGAGGGGGGAGGGATAGCATTAGGAGATATACCTAATGCTAAATGACGAGTTAATTGGTGCAGCACACCAACATGGCACATGTATACATATGTAACAAACCTGCACGTTGTGCACATGTACCCTAAAACTTAAAGTATAATAATAATAAAATTAAAAAAAAGATATATCATTAGGTTAAAAAAAGATTAATTTTTATAGTTTTTCCACAATTTGTTTAAACCTTTTGTTTTATTTTATCTAATTTAAGACAATCTTTTATTTTTAGGCAAAATGTATATTTCTATGTATTTTTATAATTATTTACTAAAACACATTTTACTGCTTTTACGTACCCTGTATGTAAATCCATTTTCAGTAGTCTCAATGATATATTTTAATGGTAACTTTTAGTAATTTTTAACATTAATGGAAAATCTGATAAGTTGTTTTAATTATATACTAGATTTAGATAAAGTTTGACTTTTTCTAGTATAGTTAGGGGAGTGGCTATTTCCATATGTTCCCAGGCTTCACCCATTGTAAAGTAGGCAAGTTGAACAGTTCTTAAAGGCCAAAGTAGTTTACAACCTTAAAATATTTAGTAAATCTAGTATCTGACCTGTATAATTTAGACCACCTATCTGTATTTTGAAGACATTTGTATTTTATCAATAATTTTTAAGACGGTTTTTATTCTTTAAAAATTAAAGTTATGTGAATTGAAAGGTACCATAGTTTTTATATTCTTTTTAAAAAATGTTTGATTCAAGTGTTTATTTTTTAAGTCAATTAATTAGCTTTTTTTTTAAATAGACATCACACACATGTCACATATATGACTACACAAACAGAAGAGGATTCAGTAGTTCAGGGTGGAGTCTTTTAAGAATACGGCTAGGAAAGTATGTAGCTTCTGGGGCATAGCTGGAAGGCAAAAGCTGATTTTGAGAGGGATTTGTCTGTCTCTAATTCTAGGGTTTCTATGAGGAAAATATAGATTTTTCCCAAAATGGGATCTGTAGTGCCTTTTCTGTTTTCTCAAGGAGGCTTAGGCCATCAGAAGTTATCTCAGGGCCTTTCATGTATGTACCAAGAGTGGCAAGACAGAGTGGAGAAAAGTCATTCAGTCAACTGAGAAAAAAACCTTTTCCAGGAAAACAAGATTGATGAAGAAAAAAACATAAAGGCCTTTTGAATATATCTATAGTTTGGATATCTACTTTTAATTAAGTTGAATGTTTTTAAAGAAAATCTTTTTTATTAATTAAAACTTTACAGAGAATATAAACAGTGATTCTTATCATTTCTTTTTACCAGTTTGTACCATTACCTGTTCACAATTATGTTCAGGTTCTCTAGTTTCTTCTGGGAGAAAGTGACTGGGTTTAGGCAAGGGCAGGTTTTCAATTGGACTGTAGATTCTTCTAGTGATAAAGTTTGATATTTGAGGAGGTGATTGTTAGAGAGAATTCTTTTAAAGAACAGTAGTCCTGTTATATTGTGTGGGGTGTAAACAGTTATTCTTAACTTGGTGGCCTCTGGTACCAGTGGAGTCACCGTTGTAACTGGAGGCAGGTTGGCCATCTTTTAGTCATCAAGTCAAGTTTGTTGTTTAGGTAGTCCACTGGTTGTTGAGTTGGATCTTGAGTCTTAGTTAAAACTATCAAGGTTATTCTCTTCCTTTCTGATACGTAATGATTAAATATCTTCCCTATTGGAAGACTGAGGGCAGGTGTTTTAAGTAAGGCTTTTTTTTAATTGGTTAAGGTTTTTTGAGTTTTAGGTTCCCAAGTTAGGGAGTGAGTTTTAGATGTTTGAGGTTTTTTTTATGAGGTGGTATAAAGGGTGAGTTATTTCACCATACCCACATACCCATAATTTGTAAAATCCAGTAATGTCTAAGAATCCCCTTAATTGTTTAAAAGTTTTGGGAAAGGGAAAAAAGGAAATGGGCTTAATTTTTTTCTCTCCTGGTGTTCTGGTCCATTCTGATAAGACTAGACCTAGGCATTTTACTGAAGTTTGATAGAGTTGAATTTTAGATTTTGAGACCCTATATGCTCTTTCAGTTAAGAAATTAAGAAGAGTTTCAGTGTTTTTTTTGAGACATCTTTGGTTGGGGCACAGAGGAGAGCGCTATTTATATACTGTAAAGTTTTAACTTGAGGGTGAGAAAAATCAGAGGGATTTTTGGGCAGGGTCTGTTTCTGTAACTTCTTTATGATATTAGGGGCTGTTTGAGTAATAAATCTGTTCTTTATTGTATTGGTAGGCAGGGAGGTGTGTTTTATTAAAGCTTTTCTCAGCCCTTCCATAAAGGCTGAGGGATTTTTATCTGGATTTTTATTTAACATAGACAGTTTAGAGTAATTAAGATGTTTGGTTCTGTTTTTTGTAAGTCTTTTAATATGTATAATAGAAAGTGTTTTTTTTTTCTTTCATTCATCTATGGGATCACTAGGGCTCTAATTAGGATTTTCAAGGGGCACTGTTTCTCTTCCTATTGGGAATTGGGATCCTGTCTCTTTTTCACCTCTTTAATATTTTGACTGGGTTCTTTTTTTGACTGGTTATAGGAGGCATGTTCATCTCTGAATGTTCCTGTTGTCTGTAGGGTTGTCTGTTTCTTGGTAGTAGTTAGGGTTTGGCTTAGGAGTAGTATACTATTTCTCCATGTAAGATTAAACACTTGTATTAGATTTTGGAAAGCCTTTATATATCTATCAGGGTTATCAGAGAACTTTTCTAGGTCCCCCTTTATTTGTCTAAGGTCCTGTGATGAGAAGGGAACTTGAACCCTAGTAGTACTATGTCTGCTGGGCATTTCTTGTAGAGGTAACAGTGAATTTAGGGGTTTCTTGGGTAGCAAAACTGGAGGAGCTGATGATATGGCTATGGGGGCCTTGGATAAGGGGGGCAGGAAAGGCACCTAGAAGTTGTATTTGTCTCTGACTTTGGGGAATTATCTTTTGTAGTCTTGTCTGATATGGCTGTCAAGAGGGCAGGGTTAATTTTACAATGCTTATAAAGATTTGGGTTGTCTTGCAGGGCAAAGAAAGTTTGTATATAGGGAACCTTGGACCATTTGTCCTCCCATCTGTAGAAAAGATCTAGTTGTTGGATAGTGTTAGAATTAACACTTTTCTGAGAAGGCCAGGCCTCCTGTCTGTCTTGTAGTTGGTAAGATGACCACACCCTTGTGTAATAGAATATAAGTTGTTTTTTCTTCCAAGTCTCAGGGTCAAAGGAGTTCCAGTGTTTCAGAATGTACTTGAGAGGAGTGTAGACTGTAGATGGTTTGTTACCCATCTAGAAAGATACGAGAGACAAAGGCATCCCTTAGTCTTCTCTTTCCCTTCTGAGTGACCTAGGGTGGAGAGAAAGAGAGAAAGGGCATCTTCCTTCTCCTCTTCACTTCCTTGACCTCTGGGTCTTGGTAACCACCATAGGTTCCACCCGTGGATGAAAGTGTGATCTTCACCCATATATCTGGAGGACGTAGGTGGCAGCATTAGTCATGTGTTACTCATCTGTGTAAGGTCCTAGTTTTCCACTCTGCTGGTTTCCTAGACCCACTCAGCCTAAAAGGCTCCCAAGGTACCCCAGGGATCTGGGAGAGATTATGTTGTAGTTGGATTTGGGCAACAGTCTTTAATGGAGGGAGCGTCTAAACACTATCTCTGGCTTCCCTTGTTATGGTCCCAGGGAAACACTGGAATCCCAGAGAGTGGGACCAATTGACTTTTAAATATAAAATCCTTTTTTTGTTTAAATCACAATGTAGTTGGATGTAGAACAGGTGGCTCAAGAGAACATAAGGATTGAATAGCTGTCCTTCCTTTGATGGAGATAGTATAAAGGCTAAAATCTGTCTTGTCAGGATGGCTTCCTCCGGGCTATTGAAAGTGGAATTTTCTTGGCAAATGGGGTGTGGGGACTGATCACTGACAGAGGGACTTAAAAGAGAAAAGAATTGGGAAACAAGGTTTGGGGCAAAGGGTTGACAGGGCTCCCCATGGAGAAAAACCCCATCCCACTAGGTGGTCCTGTAAGGTCTGAAATGTTAGGTAAAAATTCTGACTAAATTCTTTTCAGGCAAAAGTTAAAAAGAGACGTCTGGGGCTTGATAAGCTGTCTCCACAGTATGTCTCTTAGTAGAAGAAAATTAACTTGTTTCATAGCAAGGCTGTCTAGTTCTGTTGGACAATGTTGGCTTTTCACATGGGAAAAGAAAGAGTTTAAATGAAGGGGGGATAATTGTCCTGGGAGAAATAACCCCTCATCTAACCCCATTGAGTGTTATCATTGGGAGATAAATAGGTCTCCAGATCCAGGTCTTGGAATTTCTTCATTTCAAGGAAACCACAGAGACAATAATTCACTGAATTGCGTTTCTGATTACTAAGGCACTGACTGACTTTACCCGACAAGACTATATCTCCAGGTTGTAAAAACACCCACATCATTGTACGCAAAGAAGGGATAGGCAACATGATAGTCGAGAAAAGCAAGGAAGAAAATGCAATAGAAAAGTCTGGAAGTCGTGATGCTGACACCCGATGGACTATCAGGGACTGGAATTAGCCCAGGGGCCTTCAGGTAACACCAAGGTGTAGCCTTGGCCAGAAGCCTTCAGTTGCCTCGGGACCTCCTTCCAGCCCCATGTGACAGCTAGGCCCTCTGTGAAAGGAAACTGGATTGGAACAGAGCCAACATTCCTAACAACTTACAGCGATGGGGATTGACAAATTCCTCTCCAGCAATCCTGTCCCCTGAGTCTTAAGGCTGGAAGCCACCCTATTAGTTTTTTAACTGGCTGACAGGGGCCCAGTGTTTTGTTTGTTTCTTGAGAAGAAAAAAAAAAAAACTGAGGACTAACCTCCAAAATGAAAGTAAAGAATTAAATGTCCACTCTTACCTTTTAGATGAATCCCTTTCTTTCCCAGCCAATGCACCAAAATATGTTGTAGTCCTGTCAGTGCATTAAAATATGTAGTAGTCTTTTGTTGTTTGAGATAGTATCTGAAGTTTTGTGTCTCACATCTAAGAGAATTAAGGAGTGTGGACACAAGCATGAGGTTGGAGTGAAAGTTTAATAAGTGAAAGAAAAAAGTTCTCCATAGTGGAGAGGGGGAGCCAAATGGGTTGTCCACTATGAAGCTGGGGTCTGGGGTTTTTATGTATTGGGAAGGGGAAGGAGTATGTTTAGTCTGTGGGCTGTCTTGGAGAAAGTGTGATTCAGTTTGGCCTGGAATCTTGACCTGGGACCAATCAAGAGTTGAAGTGATGATTCACAGGGGCTACTCAGTTTGGCCCAGGACCTATCAGCAGTTGAAGTGATGATTCGTAGAGGCCAGGCTCACAGTGCAAAAAGGAAAGGAAAGAGTCCACTGGACCCACCGTGTTCATGCCCACAAAAGGAGAAGAAAAGTTTTCCTGGGAGCCTGTTGATTATATAAAGGACAAAGGCATTTTTATGTCAGGCCTTCTTTCTTTATCTGAGGGGGTCGGAAGTTTTTGTAAGTTTTTATCTGAATGGGCTGGAGGTTCTCCTATCTGTGTAGCTATGGGCATGTCTCCAGGAACAACCACATGTGTTAGTTGCCTTATTGGTGCCCGCAGTTTGATTTTTTTCTCAGGCTGTTTTTTGTGTTATGTGGGGATGAGGCACTGACCTGTGGGTCAGGGGCTCTCCAGGGACCCATCCCTTGTTGTCTACCTAAGGCAAGTTAGTTAACTCCTCTCATCAGCCTCGGTCAAGCAGTAGAAAAATATTTGTCCTGGGTAAGAGAATGGCTCCATTTTGGTGCCTTAGTGACCATGCAGGGCAAATGCAAATTCGTCCAGTAGGCCACAGGGGAAAGACTTGAACTGCAGCTAAGTTGAGTCTTGGCAGAACACCTTGTGATTCTCCTAAAACATGAGAACATGGGATGCTTGAGGCCATCTCCCACTCTTCTTCCTACTTACCAAGGAGGCTGTCATGAGACAGTTTCTCATTGCCTTCTGAGTTTTGATAAGATATGAAGATTTCTGTCTTGCCCCCTTGGGGTACAACTGCAGGTTATAAAACTGCTTAACTGCTGCATAGCACTGGCTCCTCAGCAATAGGGTGTCCCACAACTCAAGATGCAAACTTCCAATGGCCCCCTCTGTTTTGGTTTTGGCTACCTTGGTGTGTAGGACCAGGACCATGGGGAGCTTGTTCCTTTGGCTACTCTTCCTTTCACTGTGTATGTATGTAGTAAACTTTCTAAATCTGAAAAGGGCTTGTTTCATATTTACTGGCAAAATTTGTCAGACCTGGCCTTGCCTTACTTGTCTGCTCAACACTGTATAGGTAGAGTGTATCTATTTTTTGCACCTTTCCTGAGAGGCCTTAACAAATATGATCATATTCTTTAAGCAAACAAATTTATGTATAGTTTATTGGGTCTTCATAATCACCATGACAATAAAGTATTAAACAGATATGAAAACTGAGACACAGAGGGGCTAATCAATTTTCTCAAAATCACAGTAAGCAGCTGAGCTCAGTCTAAATTCAGATGTGATTTCTAGTTCAGCGCTCAATGCTCTTGCTATTGCACGTTTATAGTATATATTACTGCTGTCAAGTTTGCTACATTTTCGATGACAGATAATTAAATGATCTAAGAATTGACCCATCGAGACAGAATCATTTCTCTGGTGTGGCAGCAAGCAGTGCTATGTAATAATCTGATAATACTCTTTATATAGTTTGGCATGTGTTTCTCTAAATGTATTACTATACTTTTCCACATTGAGGTTCATCTTACACTTTCTTGACCACTCATTGCTTGTTTCTGCAATTTTTCACTGCTGACTTGTCATAGTTTACTTGAATAAATCTACTGCAAAATTGGTATGTTCTCTGTCTTCCACGCCTTTTATAAAAGTATGAACTAAGATGGATCCTAGTACTGAATCCCAGGTTTTCCTACTCTGAAAAACAAAACTTCTATGATAAAATTTCTCCCTCCATCTTATATAGTGAACATGTTTTTAAAAGTGGTTATGAATGTGTATTCCAGTATTGTTTGTAATAATGAAAAATTATAAACACCTAAATATCCATCAATAGAGAATTGGATTAATAATGTGTCAACCACACAATGGAATACCATGTAGCTATTAAAAATAATAATGTAGATGCATAACTACTAATGTGAGTAAACAACTATTGTAAAATTTTCACATTAAAAATGTGAAATTTTCTGTCTATTGGGATGTGCATATGGCATCCTCCCAGTAAGTAGAAAAACAACAAGGAAAAACATCAAAAGTTTAAAAATGGTTTCTTGGGGTAGTGTGAATACAGGTAAGTTTAAAAATGAACGTGTGTTTTTATAATCAGAAAAAATCTATTTCCATTGTGAAAAAGTAAAAATGGTAAGAATTACCTTTGACGTAAAAACACATCAGCTGCTTTTCAAAAATTTCAATAATTTGGAGATTGCAAAATGTTGGACAGAAGGTTTTCTTTTAATTTTAATTAGTTGCCTGCATTTAAAGATGTGAGGGATCAAATACAAATCTAAATTTCCAGCTTTACTTGAATAATCAGAAGATCTGGACAACCATCACAGTCTCACATGGCAATTACTGCCTGAAACAGAGGGGTGGCTACTCCTGTCAGGTTCTCTTCAGTGAACCATAGTCTTTGCTTGGCAGCCAGTGCTCATGTGTGGTAACTGCCTTACCAAAGAAATGTTGACTTGCAGTTTTCCACAAGCCCTTTTGTCTTCTCCATCTTCTCTGTTGTCTAATCCCCCTTCCCAACTGTGGAGTAGAGAAATCATCTCACTTTCAGCTGTGCATATGTGAAGACAGAAGCATGTGTGCACTCCTGTGTAAGAAAGCGTCAAGAGTTAGGTGGGAGAAAGCACACACAAACATGTCATATTTCAAAACAAAGTGAGCCTGAGGTCTGTGTCAGTAGCCAAGGTACAGAGTCAGGGAAAGTGAGAAGAAGGAAATGCAGGTCAAAATAGGCAGGCAGGTTAGCCTTAGCAAAGGTCAGAAGAGAGGGTTATTACATCCTACCCGCAGCATGCAATATACCCATGCAACAAACCTGCATGTATATCCCCTGAATCTAAAATAAATGTTAACATTGTTTTTTTAAAGAAATATGTTTCCACTTGAAATATCATGCTGGTTTCTCTCCAATACGTAATGTTTGCTTAAGCATTAATGATAATACTTTAATCAGAATATTGAAAAAATAATATATATCCAAATTAAAGGTAAAAATATATACATACATAAAAATTTCACTATCACCCTTGCTCCTATACACCATTTCCCCCTGCTCTCTATAGCAGCACTGTCCAATAGAAATTTCTGATAATGAAATGTTCTATATTGGCACTGTCCAATACAGTAGCTAGCAGCCACAGGTGGCTATTTTAATTTAATTTTTTGAAATTAAAAAGTCACTTTCTCAGTTGCACTAGGCACATGTCAAGTGCTCAAGAGCCACACATGACTAGTGTCTACCATATTGGACAGCACAGCCTAATAGTTTATTGTTTATCTTTCCAGAGTTTCCGTATACAAATAAAAGCAAATTAATATTGGTTTTTATTTCAGATTCCATCCACTTTCCCATAATAGAAATCAAATTTACCAATCTTTGGTTTGCGAGATTCTTTCAGAAACAAGTCTTATGAATGTAAGACACCAGGCAATCTGACAATATGTTAGCACAGTGGCCATAAATTGACAGTAAGACATACATTTTGGCCAAAAGTTCTGCCTTAAAGCTCTGTGATTTTGAGCAAGTTACTTAATTTTTCTGGGTCTATTTCCTCATCTGTAAAATGGAAATAATGTTACCTATCTCATGGGTATTGTGAGGACTAAGTGAGGACGTAGATGTATAATTTAGAATGGTGCCTACCTTGTACATAGTGATAAATACAGGCCTATCTCATTTTATTGCACTTCACTCTATTGCACTTGGCAGATACTGTGTTTTTTATGAATTAAAGACTTGGAGCAATTCTGCATCAGACAAGTCTATCAGCGACATTTTTCCAACAGCATGTTCTCATTTTGTGTCTCTGTGTCACCTTTTGATAATTCTTGCAGTATTTCTAACTTTTTCACTATTATTATATCTGTTGCAGTGATCAGTGATCTTTGATGTTACCGTTGTAATTCTTTTGGGGTACCATGAACTGTGCCCATATAAGATGGCAGGCTAACTCAGGCCTCCCTATTCCCTGAGACACAACAATATTGAAATTAGGCTAATTAATAACCCTACGGTGGCCTCTAAGAGTTCAAGTGAAAGGAATAGTCACATGTCTCTCACTTTAAATCAAAAGCTAGAAATGATTAAGCTTAGTGAGGAAGGAAAGTTGAAAGCTAACATAGGCTAAAAGCTAGGCCTCTTGTACCAGACAGTCAGCCAAGTTGTGAACACAAGGGAAAAGTTTGTGGAGGAAATTGAAAGTGTTACTCCAGTGAACACGTGAATGATAAGAAAGCAAAACAGACTTACTGCCCATATGGAAAAAGTTTGAGTTGTCTCCATAGAAATTCAAACAAGCTACAACATTCCCTTAAGCCAAAGCCTAACCCAGAGCAGGGCCCTAATTCTCTTCAATTCTGCAGAGGTTGAGAGAGATAAGGAAGCTGCAGAAGAAAAGTTGGAAGCCAGCAGAGGCTGGTTCATGAGGTTCAAGGAAAGAAGCTATCTTCATAACATAAAAGTGCAAGGTGAAGTGGCAAGTGCTGATGTAAAAGTTGCAAAAAGTTATCTAGAAAATCTAGCTAAGATAATCGATGAAAGTGGCTACACAAAACAACAAATTTTCAATGCAGACAAAACAGCCTTATATTGGAATAAGACGCCATCTAGGACTTTCACAGATAGAGAGAAGTCAATGCCTGGCTTCAATGACTTAAAGGACAGGCTGACTTTCTTGTTAGAGGCTAATGCAGCTGGTGATTTTAATTCGAAGCCAATTCTTATTGACCATTCCGAAAATCCTTGGGCCCTTAAGAATTATGCCAAATCTATGCTGCCTGTGCTCTAGAAATGAAACAACAAAGCCTGGATGATAACACATTTGTTTACAGCATAATTTACTGAATATTTTAAGCCCACTACTGAGACCTACTGCTCAGAAAAAAAGATTCCTTTCAAAATATTATGGCTCATTGACAATGTACCTAGTCACCCAAGAGCCCTGATGAAGATATACAAGGAGGTTAATGTTGTTTTCATGCCTGCTAACACAGCATTCATTCTGTAGCCCATAGATCACGGTGTAACTTTGACTTTCAAGTCTTACTATTTAAGAAATACATTTCATAAGGCTATAGCTGCTGTAGATATTGATTCCTCTCATGGATCTGAGCAAAGAAAATTGAAAACCTCTGGAAAGGATTCACCATTCTAGATGCCATTAAGAACTTTCATGGTTTATGGGAGGAGGTCAAAATATCAACATTTACAGGAGTTTGGAAGAAGTTGATTCGAACTCTCATGGATAACTTTGAGGGGTTCAAGACTTCAGTGGAGAAAGTCACTGCAGATGTGGTGGAAATAGCAAGAGAACTAGAATTAGAAGTGTAGCCTGAAGATGTGGCAGAATTGCTGCAATCTCTTGATAAATCTTGAATGGATGAGGAGTTGTTTCTTTTTTAAAAATTATTATTATACATTAAGTTCTAGGGTACATCTGCACAACATGCAGGTTTGTTACATAGGCATACATGTGCCATGTTGGTTTGCTGCACCCATCAACTCATCATTTACATTAGGTATTTCTCCTAATGCTATCCCTCCCCCAGCTCCCCATCACCTGACTGGCCCCAGTGTGTGATGATCCCTTCCCTGTGTCCATGTGTTATCATTGTGCAACTCCCACCTATGAGTGAGAACATGCGGTGTTTGGTTTTCTGTCCTTGTGATAGTTTGCTGAGAATGAGAGTTTCCAACTTCGTCCATTAACCTGCAAAGGACATGAACTCATCCATTTTTATGGCTGCATAGTATTCAATGGTGTATATGTGCCACATTTTCTTAATCCAATCTATCACTGATGGACATTTGGGTTGGTTCCAAGTCTTTGCTATTGTGAATAGTGCCACAATAAACATATGTGTGCATGTGTCTTTATCATAGAATGATTTACAATCCTTTGGGTATATGCCCAGTAATGGGATTGCTGGGTTAAATGGTATTTCTAGTTCTAGATCCTTGCCACACTGTCTTCCACAATGGTTGAACTAATTTTCACTCCCACCAACAGTGTAAAAGCATTCCTATTTCTCCACATCCTCTCCAGCATCTGTTGCTTCCTGACTTTTTAATGATCTCCATTCTAACTGGCATGAGATGGTAACTCATTGTTTTTGATTTGCATTTCTCTGATGACCAGTGATGATGAGCATTTTTTCATATGTCTGTTGGCTGCATAAATGTCTTCTTTTGAGAAGTGTCTGTTCATATCCTTTGCCCACTTTTTGATGGGGTTGTTTTTTCTTGTAAATTTGTTTAAGGTCTTTGTAGATTCTGGATATTAGCCCTTTGTCAGGTGGGTAGATTGCAAAAATTTTCTCCCATTCTGTAGGTTGCCTGTTCACTCCGATGATAGTTTATTTTGCTGTGCAGAAGCTCTTTAGTTTAATTAGATCCCATTTGTCAATTTTGGCTTTTGTTGCCATTGCCTTTGGTGTTTTAGTCATGAAGTCTTTGCCCATGCCTATGTCCTGAATGGTATTGCCTAGGTTTTCTTCTAGGGTTTTTATGGTGTTAGGTCTTACATTTAAATCTTTAATCCGTCTTGAGTTAAATTTTGTATACAGTGTAATGAAGGGATCCAGTTTCAGCTTTCTACATATGGCTAGCCAGTTTTCCGAGCACCATTTATTAAATAGGGAATCTTTTCCCCATTTCTTGTTTTTGTCACATTTGTGAAAGATCAGATAGTTGTAGATATGTGGCATTATTTCTGAGGGCTCTGTTTGGTTCCTTTGGTTTATATATCTGTTTTGGTACCAGTACCATGCTGTTTTGGTTACTGTAACCTTGCAGTATAGTTTGAAGTCAGGTAGCGTGATGCCTCCAGCTTTGTTCTTTTTGCTTAGGAGTGTCTTGGCTATGCGGGCTCCTTTTTGGTTCCATATGAACTTTAAAGTAGTTTTTTCCAATTCTGTGAAGAAAGTCACTGGTAGCTTGATGGGGATAGCATTGAATCTATAAATTACTTTGGGCAGTAAGGCTATTTTCACAATATTGGTTCTTCCTATCCATGAGCATGGGGGAGTGGTTTCTTATGGATGAGCAAAGTAGCTTCTTGAGATGGCATCTACTCTTGGTGAAGGTGCTGTGAATAGTGTTGAAATGACAACAAAGGATTTAGAATATTACATAAATTTAGTTGATAAAACAGTGTCAGGGTTTGAAAGCACTGACTCCAATTTTGAAAGAAGTTCTACTGTAGGTAAATGCTATTAAACAGCATCACATGCCACAGAGAAATCTTTCATGAAAGGAAGAGTCAATTGATGTGGCCAACTTCATTGCTGTTTTATTTTAAGAAATTGCCACAGCCACCCCAACCATCAGCAACTGCCATCCTTATCAGTCAGCAACCATCAACATCAAAGGAAGACCCTCCTCCACCAGTAAGATTACAACTCATTAAAGGCTCAGATGATCATTAGCATTTTTTAGCAGCAAAGTATTTTTAAATTAAGTTACATATGTTTTTTAGAATAATGCTATTGTATACTTAAGAGACTACAGTATAGTGTAAATATAACTTTTATATATACTAGGAAACCAAAAAATTTGTGTTACTGACTTTATTGTGATAATTTACTTCATTGCAGTCGTCTGGAACTGAACCCACAATATGTTCAAGGTATGTGTGTATTTGAAGGTTGATGAGGCTAGATTTGTTGGAGTATGTGTTGGGGGATAGGGATGGGTTGGGGAATAAAAGCCAAACTTCAATCATTTGAGGAGTGAGTGGGTGATGAGAAATGGACATATAAACAGAGTACTCTTTCAAAGAAGTTTGAATTAAAAACAGAAAATGGATACTGGTCAGTGAGTAGCAAAAGTGAGGTGTGGTATCACAGGAGAGTTTTTTAAGACTGGATATCTAAGAATGTTTCAGAGGTATCCAATAATAGTGGTAGAATCTCAACTAATGATATTGTTGTTATATTACTCTCATCATCACTATACCTCTACCATACTAATTTCCATAAAATACACATTTTATCTCCCCACTTCACTGGATAAACTCTAAATTCCTCTGCTTGGGATGTAGGGTCTTCCATAAAGGTAGCATACCATCTAGCTTTATCATTTATATGCTTCATAACATTGGGCAGCTTGCTTAATTTCTCTGAGACCTAATTTCCTCATCTGTAAATTGAAATGGCCCACACTTAACCTTAGCAGGATACAGAAAGATAACTTGGGGCTTCTTTCTAACCTCACTCCTGATAGTCCTTGAAGAAGACCCAGCTTCCATGAGACTTGTTTTTAATTCCTACTGCAGAGAGGTGCTGGAGTTTGCTAGTTCTCTGTGTATGCTGAGCAATTAAATGCTGCCTCTTAATCAAATGCTGATTGCATATTTATTTCATTTTGGTGTTGGAAATCCAAAGCAACATCAATGGGTTACATTTCATGAGAACTTGCTAAATTTTGTGAGATGTGTAGACATTTATTTTTTATTTTTATTCTTTTCTTGAGACAGGGTCTCATTCTGTCTGCCAGGCTGGAATGCAGTGGCACAATCATGGCTTACTGCAGCCTCAAACTCCTGGGCTCCAGCAATCCTCCTGTCTAGTTTCCTGAGTAGCTGTGACTACAAGTGTGCACTACCACATCTGGCTACTTTTTCAATTTTTTTGTAGAGACAGTGCCTTGCTATGTTGCCCAGGATGATCTTGAACTCCTGGGCTCAAGCGATCCTCTCACCTTGACCTCCCAAAGTGCTGGGATTATAGGGGTCAGCCACCGTGTTCAGACTACACGTTTATTTTTAATCTAACAAACACATAATGCTTACACTAGGATTGTTTCCAAGGAACACTTAATATATACTAGAATGTTTCTAAGCACTCCAAAGGTATTAACTCATACAACCCTCATAATAATCCCACTTACAGGTGGGAAAATTAAGGCACATAAAGGTTAAGTAAGTTGCTCAACATCACTTAGCTGGTAAGTGGTAGAGCTTGGATTTGAAACCAGGGCATCTAGCTTTAGATTTTGTGCACCCCATCACTACACTATAATGCACCTCACTTAAGCTTAACAACAACCCAGTGAAGCAGGTACTGTTATTATTCTTATTTTACCCTGAGACTCAGAGAAATTAGGTTACTTGCCTAAAGTCACATGGCTAGTAAGTGGTGGGTGAGGTTTGAACCAGGTTTGTCTGATTCCTAGGCATTTTGACAACATGTTAACTAGTCATTCCACTAACAGTTTGATCCTTTTTTGCCATATGTGCATATCACCCATACAATTATTTATTTAAGAAAGCTATTTTAATTAACTGATTTTAAATAACTTTTTTGTATTTTGTAAGCAATAATATCTATGGTTTCACAGATAACATGTTATTGACATATTTTTAATTAAACGGCATAAACTGTTTTTAAAAATCTGTGTACCTCCGTGGACATAGAGCGTGGAATAATAAACATTGGAGACTTGGAAAGGTGGGAGGAGGGTGAAGGATCAGAAATTGCTTAATGGGTACAATGTACACTATTTGGGTGATGGTTACACTGAAGGCCTGGACTTCACCACTGTGCAATATATCCATGTAACAAAACTGCACCTGTACCTCTTATATTTATACAAATAAAAAATTCCTTACAAGTCTGTGTACCACTTAAAACTATCTCATGTACCTGAAGAGGCATGTACACCACATTTTGGGTATTGCATCATATTACACTTTTAACCCATAGCCCACTCTTCATCTCCAAAGTTCTGTTCAAACCCCTTTTCCCAAAAATCACATGGGCTATTAGTTTCTCTTCTGGAGTCAAGGAAAGAAAATATCTTTAGTGGAGTACCTAGACTGGTCAAAACCCAGTGATTAGGATAATACGTGCATTCCAATGGATGCTGGTAATATTTTGCGGTTGGAGGTGGGGGAGCAGTGCAGGAGAATCATTCATCATACAAACAGAGCCAATAAAAACATTATTCAAATATTTACAAATGTTTCACTTGTACTGCAACATGCTGCCGTCCTAGAAGGGAGCAAAACAGGCTTGGTCCACTCTACTTATTCAAATTATCTGCTTGGCTTTGTAGATCTTTTCAGGACATATCTGTACTGCCACGTTCATTGTGGCTTTATTCACAATGGCAAACTCAGTGCTCATAGATGTATGAATTGATAAAAAGTTGTGACATCTATATCTGTATATAGACATAGACATATACACACACATTAAGATATTATTTGACCTTAGAAAAGAAGGGTATAATGCCATTATGACAATATGGATGAACCTGGAGGATAAACCTCCAGGTTTATTAAGTGAAATAAGCCAATAACAGAAAGAAAAATGCTGTATCTCACTTATACGTAAGATCTAAGAAAAAAAGTCAAACACACAGAAATAGAGTAGAAGGGTGGTTAGCAGGTGTGGAGGGGGGGTGGCAGGAAATGGGGAGATGTAAATTAAAGAATGCAAATTTGTAGTTTTGCAGGATAAATAAATTTAGAGATTTCTACAAGAGTAGAGCTGTAGTTAATAATATTGTATTGTATGTTAAAAATTTGCTAAGAGAATAGATTTTATGTGCTCTCATCACACACACACACACACGGACAAACACAAAGGTAATAAACTAATAACAGACTAAACTGTGAGACTTCCAGAGCTTACTCGAACCAACCAATCAGAACTCACACACACAAAGGTAAGAGACTAATAACAGAACAAACTGTGAAACTTCCAGAGCTCACTTGAACCAACCAATCAGAGCTCACGGGCCTCAACCAACCAAGGCTCAACTGTCTCGACTAATCAGGGCTCAGTTCTATCATCCATCAAAACTAAATGAGTCAGAATCCTTCATTTTGCACAAACCTACCTGAAAGGGAACCTGGGAAGGAAATTTTGCTATAAAACTTGAATTCTTCCTTTCTTCTTTGGAACACATCTTTATTTTACATCAAAGGCTGTGTCTCTGTGGTTTGCCAACTATAAAATGGAACCTAGTTGCTCTCTTACAAATTGCTTTACAGATAACTTTTTTTTTTCAAAATGTCATTTACAGGTTCCTACATTATTATAAAAGGGTTATTTAATTTTATTTTTAAACAGTGAGTGGAATATTTAAGAAAACTGATGAAATATTGGGCATTGAAGCAAATCAACAAATTTCAAGAATAGATTCACAAAGTTTATTTCCTTTCCACAGAGGTAAAAAACTACAAATCAATTATTTAAAAATGGAAAATCTCCAACTGCTTTGAGATAAAGCAATACATGTATATAATAATAAATCAACAAAAAGTACTAGGGCCATGAAGAAAACACAGTGGAAATTAGAAAACATTAAAATAAATATTAACATTCAAGTTGCTTGAGCAAAAAGCAGTCATCCTAATTTTTTTTAATTGCCTACCTTTCTCCTGTTTCTTTTTCTTTTTTCTTTTTTTTTAGTTTTGATATTTATTGCACACTAGGGTGGCTGTAGTCAATAATAATGTATCATAGATTTCAAACTAACTAATAACATATTATATATTTTGAATGTCTCATCAGCATAAACAATAGGTAAGTGAACAACAGGTGATAGATACGTCAATCAGCTTTTGTTTTTGTCTTTATTTATTTATTTATTTTTATTACACTTTAAGTTTTAGGGTACATGTGCACAACGTGCAGGTTTGTTACATATATATACATGTGCCATGTTGGTGTGCTGCACCCATTAACTTGTCATTTAACATTAGGTATATCTCCCAATGCTACCCCTCCACCCTCCCCCACCACACAACAGGCCCTGGTGTGTGATGTTCCCCTTCCTGTGTCCAAGTGTTCTCACTGTTCAATTCCCACCTATGAGTGAGAACATGTGGTGTTTGGTTTTTTGTCCTTGTGATAGTTTGCTGAGAATGATGGTTTCCAGCTTCATCCATGTCCCTACAAAGGACATGAACTCATCATTTTTTATGGCTGCATAGTATTCCATGGTGTATATGTGCCACATTTTCTTTTCTTTTTTTTTTTTTAATTATACTTTAAGTTTTAGGGTACATGTGCACATTGTGCAGGTTAGTTACATATCTATACATGTGCCATGCTGGTGCGCTGCACCCACTAACTCGTCGTCTAGCATTAGGTATATCTCCCAATGCTATCCCTCCCCCCTCCCCCCTCCCCACCACAGTCCCCAGAGTGTGATATTCCCCTTCCTGTGTCCATGTGATCTCATTGTTCAATTCCCACCTATGAGTGAGAATATGCGGTGTTTGGTTTTTTGTTCTTGCGATAGTTTACTGAGAATGATGGTTTCCAATTTCATCCATCTCCCTACAAAGGACATGAACTCATCATTTTTTATGGCTGCATAGTATTCCATGGTGTATATGAGCCACATTTTCTTAATCCAGTCTATCATTGTTGGACATTTGGGTTGGTTCCAAGTCTTTGCTATTGTGAATAATGCCGCAATAAACATACGTGTGCATGTGTCTTTATAGCAGCATGATTTATAGTCATTTGGGTATATACCCAGTAATGGGATGGCTGGGTCAAATGGTATTTCTAGTTCTAGATCCCTGAGGAATCGCCACACTGACTTCCACAATGGTTGAACTAGTTTACAGTCCCACCAACAGTGTAAAAGTGTTCCTATTTCTCCACATCCTCTCCAGCACCTGTTGTTTCCTGACTTGTTAATGATTGACATTCTAACTGGTGTGAGATGATATCTCATAGTGGTTTTGATTTGCATTTCTCTGATGGCCAGTGATGATGAGCATTTTTTCATGTGTTTTTTGGCTGCATAAATGTCTTCTTTTGAGAAGTGTCTGTTCATGTCCTTCGCCCAATTTTTGATGGGGTTGTTTGTTTTTTTCTTGTAAATTTGTTTGAGTTCATTGTAGATTCTGGATATTAGCCCTTTGTCAGATGAGTAGGTTGCGAAAATTTTCTTCCATGTTGTAGGTTGCCTGTTCACTCTGATGGTAGTTTCTTTTGCTGTGCAGAAGCTCTTTAGTTTAATTAGATCCCATTTGTCAATTTTGGCTTTTGTTGCCATTGCTTTTGGTGTTTTGGACATGAAGTCCTTGCCCACGCCTATGTCCTGAATGGTAATGCCTAGGTTTTCTTCTAGGGTTTTTATGGTTTTAGGTCTAACTTTTAAATCTTTAATCCATCTTGAATTGATTTTTATATAAGGTGTAAGGAAGGGATCCAGTTTCAGCTTTCTACATATGGCTAGCCAGTTTTCCCAGCACCATTTATTAAATAGGGAATCCTTTCCCCATTGCTTGTTTTTCTCAGGTTTGTCAAAGATCAGATAGTTGTAGATATGTGGCGTTATTTCTGAGGGCTGTGTTCTGTTCCATTGATCTATATCTCTGTTTTGGTACCAGTACCATGCTGTTTTGGTTACTGTAGCCTTGTAGTATAGTTTGAAGTCAGGTAGTGTGATGCCTCCAGCTTTGTTCTTTTGGCTTAGGATTGACTTGGCAATGCGGGCTCTTTTTTGGTTCCATATGAACTTTAAAGTAGTTTTTTCCAATTCTGTGAAGAAGGTCATTGGTAGCTTGATGGGGATGGCATTGAATCTATAAATTACCTTGGGCAGTATGGCCATTTTCACGATATTGATTCTTCCTACCCATGAGCATGGAATGTTCTTCCATTTCTTTGTATCCTCTTTTATTTCCTTGAGCAGTGGTTTGTAGTTCTCCTTGAAGAGGTCCTTCACATCCCTTGTAAGTTGGATTCCTAGGTATTTTATTCTCTTTGAAGCAATTGTGAATGGGAGTTCACTCATGATTTGGCTCTCTGTTTGTCTGTTGTTGGTGTATAGGAATGCTTGTGATTTTTGTACATTGATTTTGTATCCTGAGACTTTGCTGAAGTTGCTTATCAGCTTAAGGAGATTTTGGGCTGAGATGATGGGGTTTTCTAGATAAACAATCATGTCGTCTGCAAACATGGACAATTTGACTTCCTCTTTTCCTAATTGAATACCCTTTATTTCCTTCTCCTGCCTGATTGCCCTGGCCAGAACTTCCAACACTATGTTGAATAGGAGCGGTGA
The DNA here is from genome assembly GCF_000001405.40 of Homo sapiens. NCBI lineage: Eukaryota > Metazoa > Chordata > Mammalia > Primates > Hominidae > Homo > Homo sapiens. The sequence goes on from NC_000023.11 coordinate 103,893,564, forward strand.
GAGAGGGCATCCCTGTCTTGTGCCAGTTTTCAAAGGGAATGCTTCCAGTTTTTGCCCATTCAGTATGATATTGGCTGTGGGTTTGTCATAGATAGCTCTTATTATTTTGAAATACATCCCATCAATACCTAATTTATTGAGAGTTTTTAGCATGAAGGGTTGTTGAATTTTGTCAAAGGCTTTTTCTGCATCTATTGAGATAATCATGTGGTTTTTGTCTTTGGCTCTGTTTATATGCTCGATTACATTTATTGATTTGCGTATATTGAACCAGCCTTGCATCCCAGGGATGAAGCCCACTTGATCATGGTGGATAAGCTTTTTGATGTGCTGCTGGATTCGGTTTGCCAGTATTTTATTGAGGATTTTTGCATCAATGTTCATCAAGGATTTTGGTCTAAAATTCTCTTTTTTGGTTGTGTCTCTGCCCAGCTTTGGTATCAGGATGATGCTGGCCTCATAAAATGAGTTAGGGAGGATTCCCTCTTTTTCTATTGATTGGAATAGTTTCAGAAGGAATGGTACCAGTTCCTCCTTGTACCTCTGGTAGAATTCGGCTGTGAATCCATCTGGTCCTGGACTCTTTTTGGTTGGTAAGCTATTGATTATTGCCACAATTTCAGCTCCTGTTATTGGTCTATTCAGAGATTCAACTTCTTCCTGGTTTAGTCTTGGGAGAGTGTATGTGTCGAGGAATGTATCCATTTCTTCTAGATTTTCTAGTTTATTTGCGTAGAGGTGTTTGTAGTATTCTCTGATGGTAGTTTGTATTTCTGTGGGATCGGTGGTGATATCCCCTTTATCATTTTTTATTGTGTCTATTTGATTCTTCTCTCTTTTTTTCTTTATTAGTCTTACTAGCGGTCTATCAATTTTGTTGATCCTTTCAAAAAACCAGCTCCTGGATTCATTGATTTTTTGAAGGGTTTTTTGTGTCTCTATTTCCTTCAGTTCTGCTCTGATTTTAGTTATTTCTTGCCTTCTGCTAGCTTTTGAATGTGTTTGCTCTTGCTTCTCTAGTTCTTTTAATTGTGATGTTAGGGTGTCAATTTTGGATCTTTCCTGCTTTCTCTTGTGGGCATTTAGTGCTATAAATTTCCCTCTACACACTGCTTTGAATGCGTCCCAGAGATTCTGGTATGTTGTGTCTTTGTTCTCGTTGGTTTCAAAGAACTTCTTTATTTCTGCCTTCATTTCGTTATGTACCCAGTAGTCATTCAGGAGCAGGTTGTTCAGTTTCCATGTAGTTGAGCGGCTTTGAGTGAGATTCTTTATCCTGAGTTCTAGTTTGATTGCACGGTGGTCTGAGAGATAGTTTGTTATAATTTCTGTTCTTTTCCATTTGCTGAGGAGTGCTTTACTTCCAACTATGTGGTCAATTTTGGAATAGGTGTGGTGTGGTGCTGAAAAAAATGTATATTCTGTTGATTTGGGGTGGAGAGTTCTGTAGATGTCTATTAGGTCTGCTTGGTGCAGAGCTGAGTTCAATTCCTGGGTATCTTTGTTGACTTTCTGTCTCGTTGATCTGTCTAATGTTGACAGTGGGGTGTTAAAGTCTCCCATTATTAATGTGTGGGAGTCTAAGTCTCTTTGTAGGTCACTCAGGACTTGCTTTATGAATCTGGGTGCTCCTGTATTGGGTGCATATATATTTAGGATAGTTAGCTCCTCTTGTTGAATTGATCCCTTTACCATTATGTAATGGCCTTCTTTGTCTCTTTTGATCCTTGTTGGTTTAAAGTCTGTTTTATCAGAGACTAGGATTGCAACCCCTGCCTTTTTTTGTTTTCCACTTGCTTGGTAGATCTTCCTCCATCCTTTTATTTTGAGCCTATGTGTGTCTCTGCACGTGAGATGGGTTTCCTGAATACAGCACACTGATGGGTCTTGACTCTTTATCCAACTTGCCAGTCTGTGTCTTTTAATTGGAGAATTTAGTCCATTTACATTTAAAGTTAATATTGTTATGTGTGAATTTGATCCTGTCATTATGATGTTAGCTGGTTATTTTGCTTGTTAGTTGATGCAGTTTCTTCCTAGTCTCGATGGTCTTTACATTTTGGCATGATTTTGCAGCGGCTGGTACCGGTTGTTCCTTTCCATGTTTAGTGCTTCCTTCAGGACCTCTTTTAGGGCAGGCCTGGTGGTGACAAAATCTCTCAGCATTTGCTTGTCTGTAAAGTATTTTATTTCTCCTTCACTTATGAAGCTTAGTTTGGCTGGATATGAAATTCTGGGTTGAAAATTCTTTTCTTTAAGAATGTTGAATATTGGCCCCCACTCTCTTCTGGCTTGTAGGGTTTCTGCCGAGAGATCCGCTGTTAGTCTGATGGGCTTCCCTTTGTGGGTAACCCGACCTTTCTCTCTGGCTGCCCTTAACATTTTTTCCTTCATTTCAACTTTGGTGAATCTGACAATTATGTGTCTTGGAGTTGCTCTTCTCGAGGAGTATCTTTGTGGTGTTCTCTGTATTTCCTGAATCTGAACGTTGGCCTGCCTTGCTAGATTGGGGAAGTTCTCCTGTATAATATCCTGCAGAGTGTTTTCCAACTTGGTTCCATTCTCCGCATCACTTTCAGGTACACCAATCAGACATAGATTTGGTCTTTTCACATAGTCCCATATTTCTTGGAGGCTTTGCTCATTTCTTTTTATTCTTTTTTCTCTAACCTTCCCTTCTCGCTTCATTTCATTCATTTCATCTTCCATTGCTGATACCCTTTCTTCCAGTTGATCGCATCGGCTCCTGAGGCTTCTGCATTCTTCACGTAGTTCTCGAGCCTTGGTTTTCAGCTCCATCAACTCCTTTAAGCACTTCTCTGTATTGCTTATTCTAGTTATACATTCTTCTAAATTTTTTCCAAGTTTTCAACTTCTTTGCCTTTGGTTTGAATGTCCTCCCGTAGCTCAGAGTAATTTGATCGTCTGAAGTCTTCTTCTCTCAGCTCGTCAAAATCATTCTCCATCCAGCTTTGTTCCGTTGCTGGTGAGGAACTGCGTTCCTTTGGAGGAGGAGAGGCGCTCTGCGTTTTAGAGTTTCCAGTTTTTCTGTTCTGTTTTTTCCCCATCTTTGTGGTTTTATCTACTTTTGGTCTTTGATGATGTTGATGTACAGATGGGTTTTCGGTGTGGATGTCCTTTCTGTTTGTTAGTTTTCCTTCTAACAGACAGGACCCTCAGCTGCAGGTCTGTTGGAATACCCTGCCGTGTGAGGTGTCAGTGTGCTCCTGCTGGGGGGTGCCTCCCAGTTAGGCTGCTCGGGGGTCAGGGGTCAGGGACCCACTTGAGGAGGCAGTCTGCCCGGTCTCAGATCTCCAGCTGCGTGCTGGGAGAACCACTGCTCTCTTCAAAGCTGTTAGACAGGGACATTTAAGTCTGCAGAGGTTACTGCTGTCTTTTTGTTTGTCTGTGCCCTGCCCCCAGAGGTGGAGCCTACAGAGGCAGGCAGGCCTCCTTGAGCTGTGGTGGGCTCCACCCAGTTCGAGCTTGCCGGCTGCTTTGTTTACCTAAGCAAGCCTGGGCAATGGCGGGCGCCCCTCCCCCAGCCTCGCTGCCGCCTTGCAGTTTGATCTCAGACTGCTGTGCTAGCAATCAGCGAGACTCCGTGGGCGTAGGACCCTCCGAGCCAGGTGTGGGATATAGTCTCGTGGTGTGCCGTTTTTTAAGCCGGTCTGAAAAGCGCAATATTCGGGTGGGAGTGACCCAATTTTCCAGGTGCGTCCGTCACCCCTTTCTTTGACTCGGAAAGGGAACTCCCTGACCCCTTGCACTTCCCAGGTGAGGCAATGCCTCGCCCTGCTTCGGCTCGCGCACAGTGCGCGCACCTACTGGCCTGCGCCCACTGTCTGGCACTCCCCAGTGAGATGAACCCGGTACCTCAGATGGAAATGCAGAAATCACCCGTCTTCCGCGTCGCTCACGCTGGGAGCTGTAGACCGGAGCTGTTCCTATTCGGCCATCTTGGCTCCTCTCTCCGTGCCACATTTTCTTAATCCAGTCTATCATTGTTGGACATGTGGGTTGGTTCCAAGTCTTTGCTATTGTGAATAGTGCCACAATAAACATACGTGTGCATGTGTCTTTATAGCAGCATGATTTATAATCCTTTGGGATATACCCAGTAATGGGATGGCTGGGTCAAATGGTATCTCTAGTTCTAGATCCCTGAGGAATTGCCACACTGACTTCCACAATGGTAGAACTAGTTTACAGTCCCACCAACAGGGTAAAAGTGTTCCTATTTCTCCACATCCTCTCCAGCACCTGTTATTTCCTGACTTTTTAATGATCACCATTCTAACTGGTGTGAGATGGTATCTCATTGTGGTTTTGGCTGCATAAATGTCTTCTTTTGAGATGTGGCTGTTCATGTCCTTTGCCCACTTTTTGATGGGGTTATTTGTTTTTTTCTTGTAAATTTGTTTGAGTTCATTGTAGATTCTGGATATTAGCCCTTTGTCAGATGAGTAGATTGCAAAAATTTTCTCCCATTCTGTAGGTTGCCTGTTCACTCCGATGATAGTTTCTTTTCCTGTGCAGAAGCTCTTTAGTTTAATTAGATCCCATTTGTCAATTTTGACTTTTGTTGCCATTGCCTTTGGTGTTTTAGACATGAAGTCCTTGCCCATACCTATGTCCTGAATGGTATTGTGTAGGTTTTCTTCTAGGGTTTTTATGGTTTTAGGTCTAACATTTAAATCTTTAATCCATCGTGAATTAATTTTAGTATAAGGTGTAAGGAAGGGATCCAGTTTCAGCTTTCTACATATGGCTAGCCAGTTTTCCCAGCACCATTTATTAAATAGGGAATCTTTTCCCCATTTCTTTTTTTTGTCAGGTTTGTCAAAGATCAGATGGTTCTAGATATGTGGCATTATTTCTGAGGGCTGTGTTCTGTTCCATTGGTCTATATCTCTGTTTTGGTACCAGTACCATGCTGTTTTGGTTACTGTAGCCTTGTAGTATAGTTTGAAGTCAGGTAGCTTGATGCCTCCAGCTTTGTTCTTTTGGCTTAGGATTGACTTGGCAAAGCAGGCTGTTTTTTGGTTCCATATGAACTTTAAAGTAGTTTTTTCCAATTCTGTGAAGAAGGTCATTGGTAGCTTGATGGGGATGGCATTGAATCTATAAATTACCTTGGGCAGTATGGCCATTTTCACGATATTGATTCTTCCTACCCATGAGCATGGAATGTTCTTCCATTTCTTTGTATCCTCTTTTATTTCCTTGAGCAGTGGTTTGTAGTTCTCCTTGAAGAGGTCCTTCACATCCCTTGTAAGTTGGATTCCTAGGTATTTTATTCTCTTTGAAGCAATTGTGAATGGGAGTTCACTCATGATTTGGCTCTCTGTTTGTCTGTTATTGGTGTATAGGAATGCTTGTGATTTTTGCACATTGATTTTGTATCCTGAGACTTTGCTAAAGTTGCTTATCAGCTTAAGGAGATTTTGGGCTGAGACGATGGGGTTTTCTAGATATACAATCATGTCATCTGCAAACAGGGACAATTTGACTACCTCTTTTCCTAATTGAATGCCCTTTATTTCTTTCTCGTGCCTGATTGCCCTGGCCAGAACTTCCAACACTATGTTGAATAGGAGTGGTGAGAGAGGGCATCCCTGTCTTGTGCCAGTTTTCAAAGGGAATGCTTCCAGTTTTTGTCCATTCAGTATGATATTGGCTGTGGGTTTGTCATAGATAGCTCTTATTATTTTGAGATACGTCCCATCAATACCTAATTTATAGAGAGTTTTTAGCATGAAGCGTTGTTGAATTTTGTCAAGGGCCTTTTCTGCATCTATTGAGATAATCATGTGGTTTTTGTCTTTGGCTCTGTTTATTTGATGGATTACATTTATTGATTTGCATATGGTGAACCAGCCTTGCATCCCAGGGATGAAGCCCACTTGATCATGGTAGATAAGCTTTTTGATGTGCTGCTGGATTCGGTTTGCCAGTATTTTATTGAGGATTTTTGCATCAATGTTCATTAGGGATATTGGTCTAAAATTCTCTTTTTTTCTGTTGTGTCTCTGCCCGGCTTTGGTATCAGGATGATGCTGGCCTCATAAAATGAGTTAGGGAGGATTCTCTCTTTTTCTATTGATTGGAATAGTTTCAGAAGGAATGATACCAGCTCCTCCTTGTACCTCTGGTAGAATTTTGCTATGAATCCATGTGGTCCTGGACTTTTTTTGGTTGGTAAGCTATTAATTATTGCCTCAATTTCAGAGCCTGTTATTGGTCTATTCAGAGATTCAACTTCTTCCTGGTTTAGTCTTGGGAGAGTGTATGTGTCGAGGAATTTATCCATTTCTTCCATATTTTCTAGTTTATTTGCATAGAGGTGGTTAAAGTATTCTCTGATGGTAGTTTGTATTTTTGTGGGATTGGTGGTGATATCCCCTTTATCATTTTTCATTGCATCTATTTGATTCTTCTTTCTTTTCTTCTTTATTCGTCTTGCTAGTGGTCTGTCAATTTTGTTGATCTTTTCAAAAAACCAGTTCCTGGATTCACTGATTTTTTGAAGGGTTTTTGTGTCTCTATTTCTTTCAGTTCTGCTCTGATTTTAGTTATTTCTTGCCTTCTGCTAGCTTTTGAATGTGTTTGCTCTTGCTTCTCTAGTTCTTTTAATTATGATGTTAGGGTGTCAATTTTAGACCTTTCCTGCTTTCTCTTGTGGGCATTTAGTGCTATAAATTTCCCTCTACACACTGCTTTGAATGTGTCCCAGAGATTCTGGTATGTTGTGTCTTTGTTCTCGTTGGTTTCAAAGAACTTCTTTATTTCTGCCTTCATTTTGTTATGTACCCAGTAGTCATTCAGGAGCAGGTTGTTCAGTTTCCATGTAGTTGAGTGGTTTTGAGTGAGTTTCTTAATCCTGAGTTCTAGTTTGATTGCACTGTGGTCTGAGAGACAGTTTGTTATAATTTCTGTTCTTTTCCATTTGCTGAGGAGTGCTTTACTTCCAACTATGTGGTCAATTTTGGAATAGGTGTGGTGTGGTGCTGAAAAAAATGTATATTCTGTTGATTTGGGGTGGAGAGTTCTGTAGATGTCTATTAGGTCTGCTTGGTGCAGAGCTGAGTTCAATTCCTGGATATCTTTGTTAACTTTCTGTCTCGTTGATCTGTCTAACGTTGACAGTGGGGCGTTAAAGTCTCCCATGATTATTTTGTGGGAGTCTAACTCTCTTTGTAGGTCACTCAGGACTTGCTTTATGAATCTAGGTGCTCCTGTATTGGGCGCATATATATTTAGGATAGTTAGCTCTTCTTGTTGAATTGATCCCTTTACCATTATGTAATGGCCTTCTTTGTCTCTTTTGATCTTTGTTGGTTTAAAGTCTGTTTTATCAGAGACTAGGATTGCAACCCCTGCCTTTTTTTGTTTTCCATTTGCTTGGTAGATCTTCCTCCATCTTTTTATTTTGAGCCTATGAGTGTCTCTGCACGTGAGATGGGTTTCCTGAATACAGCACACAGATGGGTCTTGACTCTTTATCCAATTTCCAATCTGTGTCTTTTAATTGGAGCATTTAGCCCATTTACATTTAAGGTTAATATTGTTATGTGTGAATTTCATCCTGTCATTATGATGTTAGCTGGTTATTTTGCTTGTTTATTGATGCAGTTTCTTCCTAGCCTCGATAGTCTTTAGAATTTGGCATGTTTTTGCAGTGGCTGGTACCAGTTGCTCCTTTCCATGTTTAGTGCTTCCTTCAGGAGCTCTTTTAGGGCAATCCTGGTGCTGACAAAATCTCTCAGCATTTGCTTGTCTGTAAAGTATTTTATTTCTCCTTCACTTATGAAGCTTAGTTTGGCTGGATATGAAATTCTGGGTTGAAAATTCTTTTCTTTAAGAATGTTGAATATTGGCCCCCACTCTCTTCTGGCTTGTAGGGTTTTGGCCGAGAGATCAGCTGTTAGTCTGATGGGCTTCCCTTTGTGGGTAACCCAACCTTTCTCTCTGGCTGCCCTTAACATTTTTTCCTTCATTTCAACTTTGGTGAATCTGACAATTATGTGTCTTGGAGTTGCTCTTCTCCAGGAGTATCTTTATGGCGTTCTCTGTATTTCCTGAATTTGAATGTTGGCCTGCCTTGCTAGATTGGGGAAGTTCTCCTGGATAATATCCTGCAGAGTGTTTTCCAACTTGGTTCCATTCTCCCGTCACTTTCAGGTACACCAATCAGAGGTAGATTTGGTCTTTTCACATAGTCCCATATTTCTTGGAGGCTTTGTTCGTTTCTTTTCATTCTCTTTTCTCTAAATTTCTCTTCTTGCTTCATTTCATTCATTTGATCTTCCATCACTGATACCCTTTCTTCCAGTTGATCGAATCGGCTACTGAGACTTGTGCATTCATCACGTATTTCTTGTGCCGTGGTTTTCAGCTCCATCAGGTCCTTTAAGGACTTCTCTGCATTGGTTATTCTAGTTAGCCATTCATCTAATCTCTTTTCAAGGTTTTTAACTTCTTTGCCATGGGTTCAAACTTCCTCCTTTAGCTCGGAGTAGTTTGATCATCTGAAGCCTTCTTCTGTCAACTCGTCAAAGTCATTCTCTGTCCAGCTTTGTTCTGTTGCTGGTGAGGAGCTGCATTCCTTTGGAGGAGGAGAGGTGCTTAGATTTTTAGAATTTTCAGTTTTTCTGCTGTTTTTTCCCCATCTTTGTGGTTTTATCTACCTTTGGTCTTTGATGATGGTGACATACAGATGGGGTTTTGGTGTGGATGTCCTTTCTGTTTGTTAGTTTTCCTTCCAACATTTGGGACCCTCAGCTGCAGGTCTGTTGGAGTCTGCTGGAGGTCCACTTCAGACCCTGTTTGCCTCGGTATTAGCAGCAGAGGCTCCAGAACAGTGGATATTGGTGAACAGCAAATGTTGCTGTCTGATCGTTCCTCTGGAAGTTTTGTCTCAGAGGAGTACCCGGCCATGTGAGGTGTCAGTCTGCCTCTACTGGAGGCTGCCTCCCAGTTAGGCTTCTCGGGGGTCAGAGACTTACTTGAGGAGGCAGTCTGTCCATTCTCAGATCTCCAGCTGCATGCTGGGAGAACCACTGCTCTCTTCAAAGCTGTCAGACAGGGACATTTAAGTCTGCAGAGGTTTCTGCTGCTTTTCATTTGGCTATGCCCTGCCCCCCCCCCAGAGGTGGAGTCTACAGAGGCAGGCTGGCCTCCTTGAGCTGCAGTGGGCTCCACCCAGTTTGAGCATCCCGGCCGCTTTGTTTACCTACTCAAGCCTCGGCAATGGCGGGCGCCCCTCCCCCAGCCTTGCTGCTGCCTTGCAGTTGGATCTTAGACTGCTGTGCTAGCAATGAGCAAGGCTCTGTGGGCGTAGGACCCTCAGAGCCAAGCACAGGATATAATCTCCTGGTGTGCCATTTGCTAAAACCATGGGAAAAGCGCAGTATTAGGGTGGGAGTGACCCGATTTTCCAGGTGCTGTCCATCATCCCTTTCCTTGGCTAGGAAAGGGAATTCCCTGACTGCTTGTGCTTCCTGGGTGAGGTGATGCCTTGCCCTGCTTTGGCTCAGGCTCGGTGCACTGTACCCACTGTCCTGCACCCACTGTCCAACAATCTCCAGTGAGATGCACCCGGTACCTCAGTTGGAAATGCAGAAATCATTCATCTCCTGTTTCGCTCATGCTGGGAGCTGTACACTGGAGCTGTTCCTATTCGGCCATCTTGGGGCCACCCTTTCCCCTTTCTCCTGTTTTGAAATGATGCAAGAGGCTAAATGCATGTTCTGCTCCCAGCTCTGGATTCATGTCCTTAAATCACCGTGATTAAAAACAAGCAATCTGACAGCCATAGCCAAAGAATTGAATCTGTTTCTAATCAACCTCAAGGCTGAATTGCACAAGTAAGATCTTAATGCTTTAGTTCCAGCAACCGTCCCACATTTTGGGCCAATGGCTATGGTTTAGAGGCTGCAGGTCTCTCATTGGCTGTGCTAGCGGAGACTGGGACTTGGGCTGTTATCATTGGGCAGTCCCACCATCCATGCATGATTGCACACCTTAAATTTTTATTCTAAACCTTGAAAGATTACAGGCTTGAAACGAGAAGAACTGGATAAACGTGAATGAAATGGAATAGTAATTTGAGACTCTAAAAGCATGAAAAAGAAATGGTTGCTTGAAACAGAAATTGTTTCTTGAAAACTCGATTTACCTATTTCTGTTTCCATCTTCCTGATAAATATAAACTATTACCCTAAGATAAGTCGACAAGTTTGATTGCTAATTTCATGATTCTCATATGTGCTTTTATACTTTATATTTTGCATACAATGCAAAAAAAATCCCTCTGGATAATGATACTGTGTAAGTGTGGAGGACTGACAGAGACTAAGGTGAATGACTTTATTATGAAAACAATTGTGACCTGACTGATCCTAATAAAGGGTGATTTAGAAATATAACTTACAGAAATGACCATGCATGTAGTAAAGAGATTAAATGAAAAATCACTAAATGGAATGAATTATTTTCCAAGGAAAAACTGCACCACATATATAGACTGAAGCAGAGTTGATAATGTTTAGTTCTCGGGGAAAGAATGCATGAAAAATCGTCAGGATGCCACAGGCCACCTGCCTCCTCGACAGTCCCCAAATCAAAAGGGTGCCACCCACCCCCACCCTCCAGCAGGTCCCTCCCTTGGTGGGCTACAGGTTTTTCAAGCCAAGTGCGGTGGCTCTGAAAAGAGCTTTTGGGTTTTGGTGCTCAGGCGCTCCTGAGGCAGCTCACTTGCTCCTGGTGTAGTGGAGCAGAGTCTTGGAGCCCCTGGATATGGCGTGCTTGCCCATCTGCCCCGGGAACATCAGGCGAATGGTGGTCTGCATCTCGCAGGAGGTGATGGTGGTGCACTTGGTATAGTGGGCCAAGTGGCCGGCCTTGGTGGCGATGTGCTCCAAGATGTCGTGAACGAAGGAATCTATGACATCCACTGCCTCGGGGGAAAGGCTGAGGCCCGCGTGAACCTGCTTCAGCACCCGGGGAAAATAGGTGGTGAAGCTGTCCCTGCAGCGGCTGGGGTGAGAGTGCCCATGCCTCTTCTGCTTGTGGGCCATCGTGGCATTGGCCGCTTTGGGCTCCTTGGTGCTCAGGCCTTTGTTGGAGGTCATCTCAGAGGAAGGCTCAGCCATCTTGGAGGCAGCTGCCAGTGGATAGGAGGAACAGATAAGCTGCTGATCACCAGTGGGAGGGCCTTTTGTAGTCACCACATGGCTGACATTGTGGGCCAACTTGAGGTCTGATTGGATGAAGTGACACACAGCGCAGCGTTCAAGGTGATTTGGATGGTCCTGTTGCTTGGCATCTTATCAACCAGTCACGGTGGGCGTTGGCCGACCTAAACACCTTGTCTCTTTGCCTCCCTCAGAAAAAGTTACACAGATAGATGCCCCACAGGGCAGAAAGCTCATCCGCCCCCCACCTCAGCTGATCCATGTCACACATGAGCACTTTGAAGGGTGTCACTGAAAACTCCCAAAGAGGCAATTTCATCTCGTGCTCCTTGAAGAGAGCCTGACCTCCAGAGCCCAAGTCCATTATGCCAGAGGAATGACTATGGCCCCATGTGAACCATTTCTCACCCATCTCAGAATCTACTCTTATCCTGGGCTAAGCCACCCTGGCTTGAGCAGGATCTCCCTGACACGGCAGCCAAGGGCTCCTGGGCATAAAAGAACCTGGCTGTTTGGCTCCTGTCCTCAGTTCTGATCAACCCCTTCAGTGAATGGGGATAAGGAACAATGACAAAGCCACAGTCTCCAAGCAGACAACACAAAAAGAAAAGAGCTTTGATTAAAAAAAATTAGAAATACTCAACATTTACCAAGACCAAAACTGCATTCTTTTTTTTTCAGGTAAGTATGCATTTATTGATTTATTTATTTATTTTATTATACTTTAAGTTTTAGGGTACTTGTGCACAACGTGCAGGTTTGTTACATATGTATACATGTGCCATGTTGGTGTGCTGCATCCATTAACTTGTCATTTAACATTAGGTATATGTCCTAATGCTATCCCTCCCCCCTCTCCCCACCCCAAAAGAGGCCCCGGTGTGTGATGTTCCTCTTCCTGTGTCCATGTGTTCTCATTTAAAACTGCATTCTTAACAATACTTAGATGCTTTTTTAAAAAGTGCTCTAAATGTTAGAATCCACAAATAGACATAACAGCTACAGTATTTTTAAAATTCCTAAATTCTTTAAAAAATTGATTCTCAAGGCAACCTTCTTAGGGAGGAAAAATGTATCGATAAAATGGAAACATTTCAACATTCAAAGGATTTATGATATTACATGCAAAACATTTCTCAAATATGTCTACCTCAGAATAAGTTGTAGCAATTGAACCAAAGACAGGACTTACGAACTTGAGTATTAAGTGTAATGGAAGTAATTGAGCATGCCAATGACGTGTCATTCAAAATGGCCAGTCTTGGCAAGGTTGCTCCCTGTCAGACCGTTCAGGTAAAGCAAATCCTCCTGGTAATACAATGAAGTTAGTAAAATGGTCCCAGATTACAATGGGGGAAAAAAGTCTTTTTTACCTAAAAAGGTATAACATGGCAAGAAAACCAGTGAGGTAAGCACACACACATAAACTTCTAAACAGTCCTTTCTACAAATTGGGGTACACAAATCCTACTTGAAATTGTAGCAATCAAATCCTGCTCTTCATTGGATGGAGGAGGCAAGGGTCATGTCCATATATTCCCTGAATTAATATTCTCAAATCGCCATCATTAAAACACGCAAGCAAACAAATAAATAGCACACAAACACACCAATTTCCTCCTCTATGCCCCAGCAGGAACAGCCCAGATAGGGTCTTCTTGGTTCATCCTGTGTCTTGAACCATTTTGTGTCACTATAACAGAATGTCCGAGGCTATGTAACTTATAAGGGAAAGCAGTTTATTTAGTGGATGGTTCTGTAGGCTGGGAAGCACAGGGAAATGGCCCTGGCTCCTGTGAGGGCTTCCGTGCTGCCTCATAATATAGCAGATAAGGTAAAACAGGAAGAGGACAGGTGTAAAGAGAACCCAAGAGATGTCCTGGCTTTGTAACACCCTCTCTAGAGGGGAGGAAACTAACGCATTCCCAAGAGAATGAATCCAGTTTCTCCAGAGTGAGAGCTAAGTCATTACTGGAAGAATGGCACCAAGCCAGTCATGAGAGATCTGCCCCTCATGATCTGCCCACATCAGCTGCATTGGGGATCACACTTCAACATGTTTTTGGGTGGGGACAAACAAATCATATCCAAACCGAGGCATCCTGGGTCACCTCTGTACACTTTTGGCCAGTGACTGTGGCTCAGAGACTGTAATTCCGTCATTGGCTGAGCCAGTGGAGACAGGAGTGTGAACAAAAGTTCTCTGAAAAGGAATTTGGAGGACAGAACACTTGTGCCAGTGAATACTTGGCAACCCTGGGAGAGGCTGTCTTGGGTGTGAAAACAATTGCATTGAAGGGAGTGGTAGGATTTAATAGTGAGTGGTAGGGTTTAAAGTTCATTCCCTCTGAACTCCCTAATAAAGCCCATTTATGCAAATGAAGGATTGAAATCACTGAGTTCTGATAGGCCTGCACAGCTGAGCTCTGATTGGTCAATGATGCTGATCCCTGATTTGTTGATAGAGCCTAGCTCTGATTGGCTGGTTCTGGTGTGCTCTGGAAGCCCCAAAGTTGAACAGAGGTGTGAGTTTTCTGGGAACTCAGAGTACATGTGTGACCTCTAGTCAGCAAATGGCCGCTTGGCTCCATTTGAATTTAGGTCCAGTTAGCCACTTGTGATCCATCTTAAAGGATTGGCTCTTTGACATTCAAATATGTTTCCAGGGGCGTGAGCTGCTGTCATTGGATTCTCCCATCATCTGAGTGATGCATAGTAGCTTTATTTAGTCTTATCTAGTTTCTTTAGTCACCAAAATAAGTTTTGTCAGTATGAGAACGGTTCTGCACATTCTCTGATTTTTTTGTTACTCCTGTTTGCTAATGTAGCCCATTACCATTCCTTCTTGCATCTCAGATTATCTTTTTGTGATCACTTTCCATCCGCCTAAAGTATGTTCTTCCTGCGTTCTTTGAAGGTGAAGTTCACTGGTGTAAATACTGCTACTTTACTAGTTAGAAATGTCTTTTCAGATTGGGATCCACAGGAAACAGACTCTGAGATGGATTTTAGTGTGCATGACATTTACTTAGAATTAACCCCTGAGGAATGGAAGGGAGGGAAGCAGGAGTGGGCACAGAGAGAAGTGCATCCATACTGCAGGCCCAACCAAAGCCTCTTCGGATCCCAAGGGGAGCTCTGAAGGTAAAAATGGCCCATCAGAATCATTCCACCTTGGGCAGAGCAAGCCAGATGTTTGTGCCTCCTCTTGGATCAGTCCTTGGATGTGGTCAGTCTCTGCAAGTGCGTGACCTTGGGCAAGGCAGCTCCTGCAGCTCGGGTCATACCTGAAGGAACTGATGGCTGATGACTGGCATCCAACTGCTGTCCCAGCAGCTGAAGCAGAAAATCTGTCCTTGAAGGGGGTTTGGGGCGATCTACCTGCATGTCTGTCACAGCTTACTTCTTAAATGATGTTTGGCTAGGAATGCAACTCTAGCATGACAGCTATTTTTTCCTTTTTGGCCTCCATTTGTTGATGTATAGATACCTGCTGTCTATTTTGTACTCGTTTATAGGCAATGTATCTATTTTATGCTATTATGATATTTGTTTATCATTATGCTGTAGCTTTACTATGATGTGTCCAGGTGTGCTTCCTAAGTTTAGTGAATCATTTATCTCCCTAATTTTGGATACTTACCAGCCATTCATTTATTTACAAGTTTCTTTTCTATATTTCAGGAATCCTACTTGGATACACTTTGAAACAAGAGCAAACCAAAACACAATATACTTCAAATAGTTTGTTGAATATACAAACTATGATAGTTCAAATCTGAAAACTGGTACTTTTCCTCTTAAACTTCAACTAAGTAAAAAAGAAAAGAAAGAAAACTCCAGGTATTAGAGCTACCTGACAAAAACTGATGCTGAACCTGATCTTCCAAGTGACAGTGGAACTGAAACTGATGTGTCTGCACAGATGCCAGGGCTACATGGGTGGCACAAGTATGTTATAGCAAAAGAACAGGAACCAACTGTTAATTTGTCCACAATTAGGGAGCTAGTTGACTTTACCATATAAAATGTTTCATATGAATTCTACAACAATACTGTGTTATGTACAAGATTTTAAAAATTTTTTTGTTTTAATGGAAAAGCTTTACACAAACAAGCCATTAGCTCATTTCAAGAAAAAAAAACCCTAAAAATTAGTTTAAGGCCTTTGTTTTAAATCAACTTAAGCCATATGATACATATTTTTTTTATTTGCAGTGGATCTTTTCTCCTTCTTTCTTTCTTTCTTTCTCTTTTGTGCTTTCCACTTTCTGAAGCTTTTGGATCCATTCTTCAATTCACATTCTAAAATACTTGTACTGGGTGAAAATGCATAGTACAAAAGTTGGTAATTTCCCCCATTATCTTTGTGGCCTATAAAACTAGAAATTGATGAAGAAAAAAAAAACCCTGCTGATCAAGTTTGAACCCTCCTACAGAAACGATCTGAACAACTGGGTGGCAGAAGAAATTCTAGCAATTAAGTATGTGGAACACCCTCAGTAGACAGCCTGGACCTGCATGGATGAGTGCATTACCCCAACCTCAGCTTTGAGATGATGGAGCTGGATTTTGGCTGCATCCTGAACAATACTGAGGTCATTCGCTAGGTTACCATCACCAACTGCAGCCCCTTGGTGGTGAAGTTCCGCTGGTTCTTCTTGGTGAATTATGAGGAAAATCAGATAATGTAGCACCGGCATAGAACTCCCACAGGACTCTGCTGTTCATTTATTTTCTCTTTCAGGCTTTTCACTAGGTTTTCTGTATTCTGTGTACTCATCATTCATGAATATTTTCATTTTTGACAACTAATTACTGAGAAAATTAATAGGGGGATTAAAATCATGACTCTTTCTAGATTTCCTAACAGGAAACCTAGATAAAGCATCTTTGAAAGTCCCAATCACCACCGAATTAAGAAAACAATATCCATAAGCCCATTTTAATTTTGAATCTAGTGATAAGATCATTAGAATTTCATCATTAAAAAATAAAGTCTTTGTAGAGTTTTTTAAAAAACACCTGTATTAGCAGAGCCTTCACATAGCACAAGTTAAGTGAGTAGTGTGAGAACACAGTAATACTTGCTAATATGCATATAAAATGCATTAAAAGTTGCTATGTGTAACAATGAGATCACCTATCCCAACCCCTCCCCACTGAAAACTGTATAACCTCTTGCAGAATGTCAGTGTTTCAAATCTTAGCATAACTTGAGATAGTAGTGTGCTGCCTGGTCCCTTTCAATCCTTTTTCTTATTGAAGGGTTCAGTTGTTTTCCTACTGTAAGAGGGAGGTTTCTGTCAGCATCTCAATGCATGTAGTTCATTTCTCATTGACACATGGGATAGATAACTTATTTCCGGTAAGTTTCATTGTTTTCTTATATGCATTAAAATGTTTTAAAGTCTTCTTTGACTTTTCTTGATGACTTCCCTTGCAAGTGTTTATGTCAGTACTACCACTCACAGTCTGAAATCTATGGTGGGCCTGTCATTTTATTTCTCACATGTCAATAGTATTTCTGTTCTTATAGTTAGTTACTCGAAAGGCAATAGCAGAAGTCTCACTGACAACCGCTACTTGGGTCACTGTCTTATTTCATCTGCTGGTTTCTCTTCTACCAGTTGCAGTCTCCACATCATCTTTCTACTGGTTTTCCATGGATTCTGATTCAACCTTTTATGACTGCACTGACAACTTCAAGAAGAGTCTGGCCAGATGCCTGTTGAGTAGGCAGTGATAGTCCCATTAAAGGTGTACCATGCACTATTGAAACAGTGGTAAGTGCTCTCACAGCCGGGGGTTTCCAACGATGTTAATGATTTAGTCAGACTTGACTTCGTCTGCTACTTACACTGTGCAGACTTGGATGTGTAGCAGGGATGGTAATGAGTTTGGCAGGCTGAATGGTGATTTTGTCTCCGTTTTCAGTAGAAGCTGGCATCCCAGTAGGGTTTGCCTGAATGAACCTTTGGTGAGGCTGCTGCTGTCGGACTAGTGGTAGTTATTAATGGTGCACCTACATTAACTGACTCAACCGCCATAGTTGAAATTTTCTGATGTCATGACAGCAGGTACTTGCATTGCCACACATACTGTCCTTGGAGCTGCTGCTGTTGCTGATACAGATTTGGTAGTAGTAGGAGACCTGGAGGAAACATGGTGACCAGGGGAAATGATATTCACAACTCCAGATACACCCTTCTCTGCTCTGGAGAAGTTTATAGGATATGAGTTATTTCCACCACGGACAGAAGTTGCTGCTTTTAGGACACTCTCTGCAGACGGTGACACTGGTTTTAATGACTTGCATCAGAAGCTGCTGCTAAACCTTCATTACAAGTCTGGCGTTTGTCATTATCTATGACCAATCTGTTTGAGGGCATATCCTTGCACTGATATACAAGCCTCTGTCCTTCAGCCTTTGCAAGAATTTCCCTATGGTAGTAGGATCTCAAAGCACATCCCCTGGCTTCATAATTCATGTCTGGCTTGTTCTTATACTTTTCCCAAAGCTTACAGATTAGTGTTTGAATACAGAGGCTTAAATATGCCTTTTTCTCCCTGAGCCCATGTAATATACCTGGACAAATATTTTTCAACATTGAGGCTTTGCCAGAGTACACCAGAACCAGACAGTCAGAGCTAGGCTCTATCAACCAATCAGGGCTCAGTGGCATTGGCCAATCAGAGCTCAGTTGTGCAGGCCAATCAGAGCTCAGCAATTTCAATCCTTCGTTTGCATAAATGGACTTTATTAGGAAGTTCGGAGGGACTGTTCACATTAAACCCTACCACTCCCTTCAGTGTCATTGGTTTCATAGCCAAAGCAGCCTCTCCAGGGATTGCCAAGTGTTCACTGGCACAACAAGAGCTCTGTCCTCGGCTGGGCGCGGTGGCTCACGCCTGTAATCCCAGCACTTTGGGAGGCCGAGGCGGGTGGATCATGAGGTCAGGAGATCGAGACCATCCTGGCTAACAAGGTGAAACCCCGTCTCTACTAAAAATACAAAAAATTAGCCGGGCGCGGTGGCGGGCGCCTGTAGTCCCAGCTACTCGGGAGGCTGAGGCAGGAGAATGGCGTGAACCCGGGAAGCGGAGCTTGCAGTGAGCCGAGATTGCGCCACTGCAGTCCGCAGTCCGGCCTGGGCGACAGAGCGAGACTCCGTCTCAAAAAAAAAAAAAAAAAAAAAAAAGAGCTCTGTCCTCCAAATTCCTTTTCAGAGAACTTTTGTTCACACTCCTGTCTCCTCTGGCTCAGCCAATGACCGAATTACAGTCTCTGAGCCACAGTCACTGGCCAAAAGTGACTTCCAGTTTGGAGCCGGGGGTGGGGGAAGGGGGCGTGTGGTGTCCTGCACATTTTTCGTGCATTCTTTTCCGTGAACCAAATATTGTCTGCTCTCATATATCTATAGCGCAGTTTGCTCCAAGAGAATGTGGTGGATTTTCCACAGTCGTGGAGCATTTCTTCAGTTTCCTAAATGGTCATTTTTATTAGTTATTTTTCTAGGTTCTCGTTCATGGGCATGTTTTCATTTTACTCATATTTTCCTTTTTCACTCTCATGCTCTCTCGCGTGTATGGTGGGATTTTCCCGACTTTCATTGTGTGTGATGTGGCAACAGATCACGTCCAGAAGCAGTTACAAGAATCCAGCTGACTTTTCCTAGGTGAGAAGTCTGGGGGATTTTCAATTATCTAAAAGAAAGTTGATCACCACTCTACGGCTTTAGAAAAAATATTTTTCATATGCGTTTGTAATTTATGTTAACACGATGTGATAGGTTTTTTTTTGTTGTTGTTTTTTGTTTGTTTGTTTGTTTGTTTGTTTTGAGACGGAGTCTCGCCCTGTTGCCCAGGCTGGAGTGCTGTGGCGCGATCTCGGCTCACTGCAACCTCCACCTCCCGGGTTCACGCCATTCTCCTGCCCCAGCCTCCCGAGTAGCTGGAACTACAGGCGCCCACCACAACGCCCGGCAAGTTTTTCGTGTTTTTAGTAGAGACGGGGTTTCACTGTGTTAGCCAGGATGGTCTCGATCTCCTCACCTCGTGATCCACCTGCTTCGGCCTCCCAAAGTGCTGGGATTACAGGCGTGAGCCACCGCGCCCGGCGGTGATAGATTTTTAAGTATTACTTTAAAGTGGATTTTAAAATAAATTCATCAAAATTTCTGTTATAATAATTTTGAAGTAAATATCGGCAGATATAACTTACAGAAAAGATTTTGGGGTTCCTACTAGTTTTTAGAAGTGTAAAGTTGTCTTGAGAAAAACTGTTCTAGCTATTTAATCATTTGCAAGAGAATCAGATCAATTGAAAACACTGAGCCCCCGTTTTAGTGGTTAAGCCTTTTTAAAAGTCCAATGCCCAATATTCATCAAGACTTTGAAATCATACCGCTGATAGAAAGCTTTTTTGTCACCTTCCTGACTCCCATATGAATGTCAGTAGCATTTCATCCTCAAACATGGTGTTGGGCTTTTGTTTGAGGTCAGTAGCATCTTTTCTTTTCTAGGCATTTTAGGTAAAGTAAGAGATACCAAATATTCACACATGCCATTTTAGCAACCTTTGAGATTTACATTTTTTAAAAAAATTTCTTGGTTTATTCATATAAATCATGTTTATAGATTTTCTAATATTAAATCATACTAGCTTTCTGGGAAAGAAATTCCTTCCTGTGGGTGGCTTCCCTGGATATTAATTAGGTTCCTTCCTATGCCTCATCATGATGAAATTCTTGACCGTGCACAATCACCCAGTGGTTAAGCTCGGGTTTCTCATGACTTTCACACCCTTGGCCACTTGCTTCCTTCAAAAGCCCCAAGGCCCCGCTGTGTCCTGGGGGACTTCAGGTTCGCAGAAGCAGCCTGGATCCTAGGCTCAGCTGGGCTCCCTCTGCAGCAAGAACCTGGGCTGTGGTGTGGGACAAAACAGGGGCTAGGGAAGTGCGTTGGACCCCTTGAAGAGCCTTTCCTTCACCTGTTTTTGTCTGAGTCTCCAGCTCTCCACACCGCTCACATTTCAGGCACAGTTGTGCTGAGAGAGCAGGCTGTACTCAACCCTGCCCACCCTCAGCTATGGCAAGCTATGCATTCCAGGAATTCTTCTACACCTAGAAGATAAAACCACATGTTTGTCCCGCTAACTTTTCTAAGGTTTTAGATTCTCAGCTATCTACACACAATGGCCAAAGAGCCTCATGTGCTCGTGCTCCCGTCGCAGATGGAAGACAGGAAATCAAAAGATATCCAAGGAAGGGAAAAGGGTCAATAAGAAATTGGTACTCTCCAAAAGTCACACAAACATTAAACCATGAAGGGATGGTTTCCTGATCAGGAATGCAACCCATGATGTCGAGGTGAAAGCGCAGAATTTGAACTCAAAGGCTGCAAGGTGAAGTGGCCTTTGTTTTTATTCCCACAGGGGCAGTTTGAGCAGACACAAGAGTTTAACTTTCTTTAGGTCAGATTTTTTGCTCTTTACTTTTATCAAGAAGAGTTTTAAGGCTAGCTGTCACACCATTATGTGTCTTTTTATACATTTAACCTTTCTATCAATCAGTTAGTATAAGAACTCTCTAAAATCCTTTTAATAAAATTGAGGAGGCTAATTTAAGGGATCGATCTTTTGGCCATTGACAATTATAATTCTTAATAGTGTACTGAATTTCAATAGTGACTGGATGCAATAGGCTTTTCAGAGAACAAGTAATCCCAAAGATTCCCCCTGTTCCCAGACATAGGCTAAAAGTAACAAATGACTCCTGGGATTGCTGTTTACCAGCACTCGCTAGCTAGACCAGCGGTCCCCAACCTTTCTGGCATTTTCTTGGAAGACAATTTTTCCATGGACTGGCATTGAGGGGATGGTATTGGGATGATTCAAGGGCATTACATTAATTGCACACTTTATTTCTATTATTATTACATTGTAATATATATTGAAATACTTATACAACTAACCATAATGTGGAATCAGTGGGAGCCCTGAGCTTGTTTTCTTCCAACTAGACGGTCCCATCTAAGAGTGATAGGAGAGGATGACATATTATCAGGCAATAGATTCCCATAAGGAGTGTGCAACTGAAGATCCCTCACATGTACAGTTCACCAAAGGGTTCTCGTTCCTATGAAACTCTAATGCTGCTGACCTGACAGGAGGCAGAGCTCAGGCGGTAATGCCAGTAGTGGTGAGTGGATGTAAATATAGATGAAACTTCTGCTGCTCGCTGATGCTCACCTGCTGCTGAAACGGCCCGGTTCCTAACAGGCCACGGACCTGTATCAATACCTGGATTATGGGTTGGTGATCCTTGCTCGAGACAATAAAGTTTGAGATGACAAAAGCCCCTTATGGATGAGACTTCTTATGACAAATCCTGCCGAGAGCTAGGCACATTCAGAACAAAATAAAATCTCTCCGCTTCCCAGCGAAGAGATTTGTTAGACCAGACACCTGCTTTGACCCAAAAATCACTTCCCCTGGATGGTGGCAAGCAAGAGAGAGTGCTTCCTCTTGCTCACAAATCAAGCTCTCAAGAACACAGATCAAGACAAGAGGGAACTTTATCCTGTAACCCTCTCTATGAACAACACAGAAAGACAAAGTCAAAGGAATACACTGTTTCTGGCATGAAAGGGATAAAAAATGTGAATATTCATACCACAAAGTAGTGTAAGGTGTACCAGAGTTGCTACACCTAGACCAGTCACACAACAATCTTTTTCTCCTAGGCATGAAACCTTGTAGAGGAGACAAACAGAGGGATTTGTTTTGTACCATCTGCCCAACTGGGTTGTACAGAGAGAGAAGCTGGGGGCCTGACTGGTAAGAAATTCTTGCCCTTTTGCCACCTTGTCAGATGACTGCATTCCCTTAACTTCAGGTTCCAGAAGAGTGGAGTGGCTTTGGTGACCCTTCTTGCTATACCAAATTGTGTGAAGGTTTGCTAAGAAATCAACTCACAAAAGGCAGATTAACAAGAGAAAAAGCATACAAGGCCGGGCGCAGTGGCTCACACCTGTAATCCCAGCACTATGGGAGGCTGAGGCAGGCGGATCACGAGGTTAGGAGATCGAGACCATCCTGGCTAACACGGTGAAACCCCGTCTCCACTAAAAATACAAAAAATTAGCCCGGCGTGGTGGCGGGCGCCTGTAGTCCCAGCTACTTGGGAGGCTGAGGCAGGAGAATGGTGTGAACCTGGGAGGGGGAGGTTGCAGTGAGCAGAGATTGCACCACTCCAGCCTGGGTGACAGAGCGAGACTCCGTCTCAAAAAAAAAAAAAGCATACAAATTTATTTAACATATATACACTGCAGCCTTCGGAGCAAAGGCAGAAAGGTACAGGGTAAATTGTCTATTTATATGCTCAGGTTCAACAAAGTATGGACAGCCCTGTAGAAATATGATGGGACAAAAAGGCTAAGACCTAATGCTAATCCAGCAGGGCTTGTTTGTCTAGACTGTGCTTGGCTTCTGTGAACACAGATTTCTTCCTCCTGGGTATGGGGCAGGACCCTCTCTGTAATGGGGTCTTGTGACCTGCAGTCAAACAAGGTCAGATCATTTCTTTATGACCAGTTTTACACAAAAAAGGTGGAGGAAAAATTAGAAAAGTATTTTTAGGCTTTGTGACTATCTTTAGAAAAAAAGGCTTCTGGTTTCTAGGACCCACCTTGGGGAAGAGGGATTCTGGTCTGTACAGTTAGCTCCCTGGGAAGAATGGGGCTGACAGACAGGAGGACCCAGGACCTCAGAGAACATCTTTTACATCCGAGACTACTTCTGGGGCCTTTATTTTGGGGTATCATGCTCTGAGCCCCAACAATAGAAGTCAGCTGCATGTGCAAGTTCATCACTTACAATTTTTACTTTCCTCAAAAACACTAAGAAAACAATACAGACCAAACCTTTGCCACTGTAAAACTAGGATTGCCTTTCCTCAAGCTTCCAGTAACATCTTCCTAGTTTCGGTCTCATAACTCACCACAAGCACCTTTAACACTCATAGCTCTAGCAACATATCGGTGATCATGATATATGTATTCTCTAAGTCAGAGATCCTTTGTCTGCAGCAAATAATTCTTTTCTTAACCCTCACTTGAATTGCATTTGGTGTCCATATTTCCCCCAGCCATCTCCTAAAGGCCCTCTAGGCTTCTTGTGCCATGCATGTCAAAATGCTTCCAGTCTCTATCCATTATCTAGTTCCAAAGCTGCTTCCACTCTTTCAGGTGTTAGCTATCAGATCTGTCTGGCAACAGAATCCCTATTGGTTTGCTCTGTTAGCCTGACAATGTACCACAGACCTGGGTGGCCTAAACAGCAGACATTAATTGTTCACAGTTCTGGAGGTTGGAAGTCCAAATCAAAGCGTCAGCTGGGTTGTTTCCTTCTGAGTAATAAGAGGGAAGGATCTCTTCCAGGGATTTTTCCTCAGCTTGTAGATGGCCCACTTCTCTGTATGCTACTTCACATTTTCTTCCCTGTACACATGTCTCTTTGTCTGAATTTCCCCTTTTGATAGGCACAATGCACGCTAGCCATTTCGAGTTAGAGCCCACCCTAATGAATGTAATTTAACTTCAGTATCCCACTAAAAAACCCATCTTCAAGTAGGAGAGAGACGAGGGGTCAGGAGTCCAATAGATGTATTTGGTGTTTTTTTTTGGGGGGGGGGACACAACTGAACCCATAGGACATAGGAATCCTGAGTTGTAGGTGGGAATACCTCCTGCCTCTTCCATTATGTTAAGAGAACACTGGTAACTGATGAAGGGAAAGAAGGTGACTCCTACCCATCTTTTTTCAAGACTACTTGAATGTTGAGTAATTTTATACACACACACACGCACACACACACACATTTATATATATATATATATATATATATATATATATATATAAAATCTGGTTTATTCCATTAAATTCTCTAGGTATAATGAGAGTGAAAAAGCTAAGGAACATTGTTAGAGATATAATGTTGATCTGACTAATCCTTATAAAGGGAAACCTAGGAATATAAGAGACAGAAATGACCATGTAGTAAAGGGATTAAATGGAAAATTATTAAATGAAAATTATTACTGTCCTTGAAGCAAGTTGCGCTATAGATATATTAGAGTTGACAATGTTTAGTTCTCGGAAAAAGAATGCATGAAAAATCTTCAGGACGCCACAGGCCACCTGCCCCTCCCCTTTACTACCTCCCCCCGCAAGAGGTAATAAGAACCCATTAATCTCATGACCTCAGGTCTCAATCACACACCCCTTTGTCAAAGTTTACCCCCGTTATTTCTCAGATTCTTACATGAGCTCGGAAACTAGCGTTCCCCTGTATTTTACTTGCAGCCTCTCAACAGGTGCCTGCCTTGAGAAAATTAGCCTCTGGGGTAGAGTCGACTTTTGTCCACTGGGGGTCGCAGATCCCAGTCCTCAGGGCCTCAAGACTGTGCCGCGAAGGAAGGAAAGGAAGGGTTGGGAGCAGCCTCTTCTGAAAACCTGATACCTCCCCTCCACCGCCTCCTCTGTCGCCAGGCGGAAAATTCCCTCTCCCATCTTCTGAACACAAGCCAAAGTGCCTCCTGCACTCCCGCCCCCCGTACATTTCCTGCGGGAAACCGTCGGCCTACCAGCTCTGCAATCAGCCGCACAGAATTCAAATTCGGATTCGGCTTTGATGACCTGCCGGAGAGAAAGGGACTAGAAGTTGGATGACCTCCCACCCCCATATTCCTTCCCAGGAAGAGATGAGGAGATGCAAAAGGGGTTCAAGACAGCTTGCGATCGTCTTCTCCCGCCCCTTGCCACCTCCCCGAACACCCGCCCCCGACGCCCGACAACACCCCCGCCCACTTCAATCCAGGCAAATCATAAATCCTACCCAGTCGGCAGCATCCAGATGAGCCACAACTCCTTTCTCAGCGCAACCAGGCCATGGGAGTGCTCCATCCCCTGCCTCGCAGTTACTGATTCTCCAAGCCGGGCGCCGCCCAGTCCTGGTGGGGCTTCCCCCACCCCTCTCCGCGCCGGGAAATCGCGCGCTCTTTCTTTACCTGCGCTCCACTGGTGGGCAGCGTATGCTCCCGCGTCGACAGCTCTGTTTCGCCTTCCGGTCCCCATAGCTCTGCAGGGGAACAGGATCGCTGGCGCCTCCTGGGCCGCTAAGCGACCCCGGGGCTGCCCGGCTTAGCGAGTGCTTCGCAGAGAGGTAGCCGAGTCGAGGCAGCGCGGTTCCCAAGGAAGTCACGGCTGCGGCCACCCTCCAGTTCGGACCTCCGGGCAGCCGCGGTTGCTTTCAGTCTCTGCCCATTGAGACAAAAGAGCGTGACAAGCCGCGCGACGCGGCCAATCAGCGGGGCGAGGAGGCGGCCTACCCAAGCAGCCTCTGGCCCTGAAGCTACTGCTAGCAAGACTCGGGAGCTGGCTGGCGGGGGCTGAGGCCGACAGGCACGGGAGCCGGCGCGGCGTCAAGTGGAGCTCGGACGCACGGACCAGGCCCATTTCCCTTTCATCTGTGAGTTTGCTGCTACCCCGTCGCTTCCCTTCTCCCCATCCCCTTCCGCCTCGGCTCTGCTCCGGGCTTTGAGACCGGATGCCTGAAACACGAGGTGGGACAGAAACCAAGTGAACAATGAGAGTTCCTTACCTTTGTATAGGGGGAAGGGGGGAAACAGCATTTACTGAGTGCTTTCTGTGTGCGGATGCGCCTGTCTCCTTTCTTCTCAGCAGCCCTGTGAAGGAGGTAGCAGTGTGCCCACTTAACAGGAAAGGACTGAAACACCCAGGCGGTACAGTTAGGAAGTGCAGAGCTAAGAGCTCACTCCCAAGTCAACATATCTGACTTCAAAGGCTACCCCTTGCCAACACTCCTCTATTCTGTTAGATTAAGGGATAGCGGAGAAAAACCAAAGCCAGGATGGGAGGACCAACTTGGGACTGCATAGAATTAGTGAGCAAGAACTGTTATCTCCATTTCACAGATGAAGAAACTGAGCCAAAGACAGAGAGGTTAAGCGTCTTGCACTGTATCCCGCAGCAAAGAAGTTACAGCATCCAACTTAGCACCTGTATGTTGCTCTCTAGATGCTAATTGTTTGCCCTGCAGCATTGTCTGAAGAGCACTTTTGCACAGGTAGTCTCAAACCATCTCAACAGCAGTCTCAATGTGATGATAGTGCTGAGGGAGGGGGTGAGGAGGTAGTAGGGAGAGGGCTGAGGGAAGATGAAGGCAACCTTTATGGTGCCCATTGTACAGAAGAGGAAACTCTTCTTGGCACTCTTCTTTCCTTCGTTTTTTTAAAAATACTTTTTTTTATACTACAAAAAGCTGCCCTTTTTATAAAAGCAACATAATTTCGACAGCCCTTTGTGACGCCAAGGGAGGCAAGGCTCAGAGAGGTAAAATGATTTGTCTGAAATTACAAGGTGAAGCCAAAATTTGGACCGAATCTCTGAATCCAGAACTCATACTATTAACTAAAGTGAGTAAAAAGTGGGCTGCCTCAGAATCATTTTGGAGAGCTTGTTATAAATGCAGATTCCTGGGCCTTACCCCTGGGGGATTTTGATGTACTAGGACTACAGGTAAAGAGTGTGATTTGTAGTTTTAAACAGCCCCATAGTTGATTCTGAGGTGTAGAGAGATTCGTGAACCACTGTTCTAAACACCACCACGTGATGCTGAAGGTTATAAGTAAATGGGCCTGTCATCAGTGTATTTGTCCATGGCATATCTGTTATGAAATGTAACTCCAGAGCACAGGTTCCTACCCGCGGTCCTTCCTGGAACTGTATGCAAAGAATCTGGACTCCGTACATTCTTCTGAGTCCACAGCTTTGCAGATTTTCAAATGGGTCTGTCATAATGTCTTCCTTCTTCAAGCCATGCTTGATGAAGAAGTGTGAGAAATCAAACCCCATTTAACCTAACCCCCAAACCACAGCTCTCTGTTGCTGATATGGCTCTTTCATTTCCTGGCTCAAGGACAGGTTGCTAGGTTGCCCTTCTGTGAGCTCTTCAGGGGACTTCTCCTTTGCTGGATTTGGCATCACTGGCCCCAGAGAAGGAGCAACTCCATGGAAACAGCATGCAGGGCTGTCCAAAGTGAATGGCCATGAAGGCAGTGGCTGGAAAACCTGCTCCATTTTTCCCTGACTTAGAGAGCAGGTATTACTTCCTTTATGTATAGTGTGGCTAGGAGGCTCCTGTGGGGCCTGTTCTTGACTCCTGATGCTTGGAAGCAAGTGAACAGTCTGAAGCCCTTCCACTGCCGTTGGCTTCATCTTCAGCCTGCCAAGGCACTTCACTCACTCATTTCCACCCTCTTATTTACAACCCCAAGATGTAGAGTTCCTTGGAGTAAACAATACAGATTTGGAGATGAAGCACTTTCCATCTCAGGATTGTGGCCTGTGGATGGAACAGTGGGGTAGTGGTGGTGGAAGGTGGAAAGTGTGGATGTATGGAGAAGGCAGGTTGCTCACCTCGCACACTTAGGGGTGATGGTGGCAGTAGCTCTTAGGTTTCCTTCAGACTTTTGCTTCTGCTCCCCTGTCCCGTGACATCTGACTCTTGCCTCCCAGAAGACTCTTGTTCAGTGTTTAAATTGGCTTTATCACCAAATTAGGTATTTGCAGCTGGACTTGGTAGGGATGGAATCACATAAGACCAAGAATAGGTGTCAGAGCTCGGACAAAAATAATGACAGGAAATGGATTGTGTAAAGGTGCCAGAGTTGGACTACTGGAACAAAGCGAGAGACATTTTGTGCAGGGATGGGGGGAGTATTTGCAACCTGGCTCCAATTGGATACAGGACATCCTATCTCTGGCCTCATGTGTGTGAGTCTGTTCCAACTGATGGCTCTAATGAGACCACATTTTGTAATTTTAACACATAAACCTTAGAAGCTTGAAGGTTTAGAGATAAAGCTTTCAGCTGAAACAATAATAGCTGCCTTTGGCTGCCTTCCTCCTTTGTACCAGGAACTTTCTATCTGTTATCTCATTTAAGCTTCCCAGCAACACTGTTGAGACAGCCATTGTATCCCATTTTGCAGAGAGGGAAACTGAATTTCAGGGATGTTAAGTAACTTGTGTAAGGCTTCACAACTTTTAAGTGCAGGCACTGGGATTGCAGGCCAGGGATGTCAAACTCCAAAGCCCATGAAAACTCTTCTTTGCTGCCTTCCAAACAAGCAGTCTAAAAGGCATTCTGCAGATAACCCAGTTCATTAGACCGATTGCAGCTTTTAGAACAATTTAGTTGTTATCTTGCCTTTATTCCTATTATCTCTCTCTCTCTCTCTTTTTTTTTTTTTTGAGACGGAGTCTCCCACTGTCACCCAGGCTGGGGTGCAGTGGTGCGATCTCAGCTCACTGCAAGCTCTGCCCTATTATCTCATTTTTATTTAATTTATTTATTTATTTATTTTTTATTAGTGCTATACTTTAAGTTCTAGGGTACATATGCACAACGTGCAGGTTTGTTACATATGTATACATGTACCATGTTGGTGTGCTGCACCCATTAACTCGTCATTTACATTAGGTATATCTCCTAATGCTAACCCTCCCCCCTCCCCCACCCCACGACAGGCCCCAGTGTGTGATGTTCCCCATCCTGTGTCCAAGTGTTCTCATTGTTCAATTCCCACCTATGAGTGAGAACATGCAGTGTTTTGTTTTCTGTCCTTGCGACAGTTTGCTCAGAATGATGGTTTCCAGCTTCATCCATGTCCCTACAAAGGACATGAACTCGTCCTTTTTTATGGCTTCATACTATTCCATGGTGTATATGTGCCACATTTTCTTAATCCAGTCTATTATTGACGGACATTTGGGTTGGTTCCAAGTCTTTGCTATCGTGAATAGTGCTGCAATAAACATGCATGTGCATGTGTCTTTATAGCAGCATGATTTATAATCCTTTGGGTATATACCCAGTAATGGGATGGCTGGGTCAAATGGTATTTCTAGTTCTAGATCCCTGAGGAATCGCCACACTGTCTTCCACAATGGTTGAACTAGTTCACAGTCCCACCAACAGTGTAAAAGTGTTCCTGTTTCTCCACATCCTCTCCAGCACCTGTTGTTTCCTGACTTGTTAATGATCACCATTCTAACTGGTGTGAGATGCTATCTCATTGTGGTTTTGATTTGCATTTTTCTGATGGCCAGTGATGATGAGCATTTTTTCATGTGTCTGTTGGCTGCATAAATGTCTTCTTTTGAGAAGTGTCCATATCCTTCACCCACTTTTTGATGGGGTTGTTTGATTTTTTCTTGTACATTTGTTTAGGTTCTTTGTAGATTCTGGATATTAGCCCTTTGTCAGATGGGTAGATTGCAAAAATTTTCTCCCATTCTGTAGGTTGCCTATTCACTCTGATGGTAGTTTCTTTTGCTGTGCAGAAGCTCTTTAGTTTAATTAGATCCCATTTGTCAATGGATCATTTGTTGCCATTGCCTTTGGTGTTTTAGACATGAAGTCCTTGCCCATGCCTATGTCCTGAATGGCATTGCCTAGGTTTTCTTCTAGGGTTTTTATGGTTTTAGGTCTAAAATTTAAGTCTTTAATCCATCTTGAATTAATTTTTGTATAAGGTGTAAGGAAGGGATCCAGTTTCAGCTTTCCTCATATGGCTAGCCAGTTTTCCGAGCACCATTTATTAAATAGGGAATCCTTTCCCCATTTCTTGTTTTTGTCAGGTTTGTCAAAGATCAGATGTTTGTAGATGTGTGGTATTATTTGTGAGGGCTGTGTTCTGTTCCATTGGTCTATATCTCTGTTTTGGTACCAGTACCATGCTGTTTTGGTTACTGTAGCCTTGTAGTATAGTTTGAAGTCAGGTAGCGTGATGCCTCCAGCTTTGTTCTTTTGGCTTAGGATTGTCTTGGCAATGCGGGCTCTTTTTTGGTTCCATATGAATTTTAAAGTAGTTTTTTCCAATTCTGTGAAGAAGGTCATTGGTAGCTTGATGGGGATGGCATTGAATCTATAAATTACCTTGGGCAGTATGGCCATTTTCAAGATATTGATTCTTCCTATCCATGAGCATGGAAGGTTCTTCCATTTCTTTGTATCCTCTTTTATTTCGTTGAGCAGTGCTTTGTAATTCTCCTTGAAGAGGTCCTTCACATCCCTTGTATGTTGGATTCCTAGTATTATCTGATTTTTAAAAATGAAATTACTAATATAACTTATGGAACAACTTATATACCAGTTGCTGTGCTAAGCACTTTCCATACTTTGTCTCATGCATCCTTCATGACAATCATTTTACATATATAGATACTGAGGATCAGAGAGATGCAGAAACTTGGCCAAGGTTATAAAGCTAGGAAGTGACAGAGTGAAATTCAAACCGAGGGCTGGCTGAATCCAGAGCCCATGTCTGTGCCCTACAACACAATGCAGTGGGGAAGACAAATGTGGTCCTCATTCTAAATGGGCTCCTCTCTGTCAACCACAGCTCTATTTCCTTCTCACCACATGGGGTAGGCCATCCCCATGCACAACTCACACTTTTAAGCCTATGTGCCTTAGGCTACTTTCTCAGCCTAGAATGCTTGCCCTCACTCCTCTACTTAACAAGATCCTATTCTACTCTACTCAGTTAAGGACTGTGTCATATGCCCCTTCTCAGAGAAATTTCTTGGTTGCTCCCCGTCCCAGGTGGAATAAATTGCTCTTGTCTTTTTGCTTCCACCTTCATTAGTGTACCCTTTATTTTGTCTTTCTGTAGAGTTTAGCTCATTGTTTACCCGTCTTCCCTACTAGGTTCCCAGGCACTTGAGGGCAGGCACCAAATTCTATTCACTCTAGCTCCATGGTGGTTTACCCCCAATGATTTAGTGGATGATCAATACATGTTTGTGAGCAGACCAAAGGACTGGGTGAGAGATGTCCCCAATGAACAGACAAATGCATTCATTTGTGGCTGGATCCTGGGGCAGTCACACAGGCTACCCATGTGGACTAGACTGGCTCGGACAGTCTGGAATCCCCTGGGCTCATTTTACTAGGCTGTAAACATAGGAGGCAGGTCAGGGTACAGGTGATATCTTCTCAAGGCCAACTCTAGGTCCATTCGGTGGTCTGTACTTTGAATTCATGTCAAGGGGCCAGGCTCTCCTAGATTATTTATGTTGCACCTTCCCATTCGTGGAAGAAAGGGCTTCCCTGCCTCCCTTAGGAACACAAAATGTGTTCCTACATGCCTCTTTATCTGCTTCTGGCTGTCCTGAGAGTGTCTGGAAGGAGCATGTGCTCTGTGGAGACATAGTGAGGTCCAGAAGCATCTTTTTTTTGGATATCTTTTATCGAGGCCACTATATTATGGATTCTCAACCACTTTATCTCATTTTATGTTACTAATCTCTGCCACAATGTTTTGAGGTGGGTCTTAATGTCCTGGTTTTGTATCTGAAGAACCTGAGACTGAATGAAATGTCTTGCCCAAGGTCACACAATTAAGTAAGTGGCAGAGGCAGTATTCAGTCTCGGGTCTGTCTGCCCTTTCCAAAGCCTGGCATCTTAATAGAAAATACTTTGGAGAAACTTGATCTTCACTCCCATAAAATGGAAAGGATTGGATTTATACAATGGATTACATATTTAAGGTGAGATGTTTCTCAATTATTGTTCACTTTTGGTCCCCCAAAATGATTTACAAAAATGGCAGAAGGAGTTGGGGATTGAAAAGTACAATTTCTCTATCAACTACTGGCCTGAATGCCCCCATGTCAACCCCCTCTGACAGATATAGTATGGAGATGACTACAAATTATTTTGCCCTTTCTGCTCCTTTTACAGCTCAGGTGGGTAAGGCTCCAAGATGTCATTGAATTTCTAAAGGTCACACATCAAGTTAATAACAAAACTCACTTAGAATGCTGGTATCTCATACTACCCCACTTGCTTCCTGGCCTTTCTGGGGTTGGTACAATAGTTGGGAGTCCTTGCACTGCCAAATCCTAGCCCAGTTTTCTTTCTGCTAAATCATCCTGCCTTATGGCATCAGTGAACACATGTTTATAAATGGCAGGGAGGAAGTGGAACATTATTGCGCTCTGAGGTAGAAGAGGGAACAAACATTTACCTCACTACCTGTACTTATTTAGGTGCAGGTAAGATTTGGGAAAGAAGACCTTTGGTAGGAGAGCTGAGGACTGTTGGGGGCTCCTGTGGATTTAGTGGCCTGGGTATCTGGGAGGAGTCCCCTTTGGCTCTGGAGAAATGGAAGTGGGGCTGCCAGGGGCTAGAGGTGCCCCAGAGGGATGCAAATAGTGGGCCTCTTGAGCTTTTACTCCTGCTCAGTTCTCAGCTAAAGGGTAAGAGGCAGAGGGACCCTCCCAGTGTACTGGCCATGAGCGTTAAGGAAGCTGAGGCTTAAGGCCATCATGGAATGCGGAGGAGGGGGAGGTGGTGATGGGCTGAGTACAGGAGGCTGAGCCTCCATGTCTCTCCACCAAGAGGTGAGTGTGGCTCCAGGGGAGGGGAGTGGTGGTACAGTGAGACTGTGGGAAAATGGATGGAGCAGGGTGGTATGAATGAGACTGTGGGGATATGGATGGAGTGGGGTGGGGTATGAATGAGATTGTGAGGATATGGATGGAGCAGGGGGGATAGAATGAGACTGAGGGGATATGGATAGAGTGGGGGGTATGAATGAGACTGTAGGGATATGGATGTAGTGGGGGGGATAGAATGAGATTGAGGGGATATGGATGGAGCAGGGGGGATAGGATGGGATTGTGGGGATATGGATGGAGCAGGGAGAAGGGGCTAGGGAAGAGCAGAGCTAATGGGAGTGATTCTGGAAGGAGTAGCACGCCAAGGCTGATTCTGGGCCTGGCAGCCCCGGGAAGGCTGCATTAGGCTTCTTGCAGTGTGTGGCTTCTACTCCTCCATGGGGACCTGATCCTGGACTCTGTGGTCCCCCATTGGCCTGCTAGCTTAATTAGAGTCCCAACCTTCATGCCCCCCATCACATAGCCCAGGGTTCGGTGGGAAACCTGTGGGTCTGCTGTTCCTGCCAGGCTTCCTGTCCCTGTCAGTGTAGATGGAAGCCCTCCAGCCTGGCCATCATGTCCCTCCCCCTCTCCCCTGTCTTCCTGCCCCACACCCACACAGCTCTGTGCTCTTTCCCTGAGGTTCCAGCTCTGGCTGCTGCACCCCCTGTCTCGTCATTCCAGGGACCCCCTCTTTCCTCCCCGGCAAACTCCCTCAGATCTGCTCTGAGCATTCATTTTTTTTCGATCCCAAAGTTCCTTCATATGTCCTGGCTTCCAAGTTGCTTCTCATACTAGCCATCTGCTTCCTGGCCTTTCTGGGGTAAGGAGCAATAGTTTGGAGTCCTTGCACTGCCTATTCTATCTAGTACAGTGGTGCTGAGCTGGGAACAGTTTTGCCTCCCTGGGGACGTTTGGCAAGGTCTCAAGATATTTTTGGGTCATCATACTGGGTATGTCACCACAGGTGCTACCAGCACGCACTCAGCCGAAGCCAGGAAGCCTCTGAATATCCTCCAATGCACAGGACAGGGACCAAGAATAAAAAATTATCCTGCCCAAAATGTCAATAGCACTGAATTTAAGAAACCCTGCTCTATTATATAGCTACAGGTCTACAGGGTTAGGTTTGGAAATTGCCAGGTGCTCATCCTTTAGGCACTGAACTTCCAGGAGTAGCTGCTCTTTCCCTTCCCCACTTGCTGGAGGGGGACTGGGCATAGCCATGAAACAGCTACAACTTGGGCAGGAATCTATGGAGAGAAAAGTGAGGGGAGATTCCCCTTACCCAAATTTAATACCAACTTTTAGAGAAAGCGTTGCACTTCAACTGTTAAATGCCTTTCTGCCTCTGCAAGATAGTGCCAGGTTTTTTTTTTTTTTTTTTGAAACAGAATAGCAACTTATTATTCTAGTAGTTTATAGAATGCACAGTTTTATGTCGTGAAAGTTGATGCATTAAGTTTTGGAGTCTTCCCCTCCTCTATTTCATGTTCTTCAAGTAATCCTTCTTTGAATATTGGAATATTTGCTGTGTCAGCAAAATACTGTAGTGGTGGCTCTGTCCAGAAAAACCGATTGCCTTTCTTTTAATTTAAGGTTAATGAATTCTGAATTTCTTAAGGGTGTGCTTATATATCAGAAACTGGCTCAAAGAGTTGCTTGTTTCTGTCGACCTGAGTTTCTTAGGGTTCATTTCCAATTAAGCAATGAGAATGCTTGCCAACGGAATTAATTGGTCGCTCTAATCTCTTTTTTTCCACCCTTGCCAGTTTCTTCCACCTGCACCCAGTTGTCTTCAGCATGGGGGAGCAGAACCACTCTCCCAGGAAGGAGCTTCAGCACAGAACACAAGCAGAGGCTCCAGGAAAGAAAAGCTGGCACTCCCAGGCCTATGCCCTTGGGGCTGTTTCCAACTCTATGTCTACTTTTCTGACCTTTCCTATCTATAAGGTTGTGTTTCGGCAACAGATCCATGCCATGGCAGTGTCAGAGGCTGTGAGACACTTTGGCACGAAGGTCCTCAATACTTCTACCGGGGAATCTACCCTCCTCTTCTCTCCAAGATGTTGCAAGGGACTCTTCTGTTTGGGACTTATGATAGCCTGCTGTGCTTTCTCTCTCCTGTTGGGCCACACACCCTGGGACGCCACTGGGCTGCAGGGATCATGTCTGGCCTGGTGGAGGCTGTGGCACTCAGCCCCTTTGAAAGGGTGCAAAATGTGCTCCAGGATGGTTGCAAGCAAGCTCGCTTACCCAGCACCTTCAGCATTCTTGAGGAATTCAATTCTTATGGGCTTTGGGGGCGGCTGTCACGGGGCTACTACCATGGTTTCTGGCCTGTCCTGGCCAGGAACAGCCTGGGGAGCACTCTATATTTTTCTTTCCAGGACCCCATGCAGGATGGCCTGGCAGAGCAAGGCCTGGCCCATTGGGTTCCTGCCTTGGTGTCTGGTAGTGTCAATGAAACAATCACCTGCCTAGTTCTGTATCCTCCGATTGTGCTGGCTGCTAATATGCAGTCCCATATTGGATGGCAGAACATGCCAAGCCTGTGGGCCTCTGCCCAGGATGTGTGGAACACTTGGGGCCAAAAGCTTCTCCTGATCTACCGTGGAGGCTCCCTGGTCATCCTAAGGTCCAGTGTGACATGGGGCCTCACTACGGCAATCCATGACTTCCTGCAGAGGAAGTCACACTCCAGGAAAGAGCTGAAGACTGACTAGCTGCAGAAAGTGTGGCCATGCCACCTTTGTTATTCTGAATCTTCCCTGGTTGGTTCTATATAGCTTACTTCTTTGGCTCGGTTGCCTAATACAGCCATCTTTTAGCATCTGTAAACTCATTGCATGGGAGAAGTTCCCAACTACCAACCTGTTGAGCAAGGACAAAGCCCAAAAGTATTCCTTAGTCAAAAAGAAACGTTCGCCCCAGTCTCTCCACAGCTTCAGTAGCCTCAGAGCCAGGAGGCCTTTAAATAACGTGTAACCCAGATTAAGTGTCATTCCTTTAAGGAATTCCTTGGCAATAAACAGAAACTTAAAAAGATAACCTTACTTAGGCACTCTGAGCTCTGGGACCCCTCTAGGTGTCCTCCAGACCAAACTGAGTGGAACTCCAATTTCAAAGAACTGTGCTTGACTCTTAGGATGGGAATTCCATAAAACTTCTCAGATGGCTACATTTTCATGATATTGTTCACTGCCTCTACCACCACCTCTCACTTCTCAAGGCTGTGGGTCCTACTTTCAGGGTAGCAGCTGTGGCTGGAAATCCTAAATTAGGCTTGCATGAACTCGTCAGGTGCCACAAGAACTAGTGGGGCTGGAGATGGGAATGGGAAGAAGTGTGACCCATGGATGGAAATGATAAAACTTTGAAAGAAGAGATTTAATTACATGCAAAATAGAAACATTTGCTATAGTCTGCTTGGTGTTATCTGTTAGGACATTTCTGAGAGCAAGGTGATAACATTGCCCAGAAACGATTTGAGTTTCCCCAAGAAACCTGGAAGTGAAGTGACCATATCTCTTCACAGATAATTGCATATTTTTAAAAATTATTTTATTTTATTTTATTTTATTATTATTATACTTTAAGTTTTAGGGTACATGTGCACAATGTGCAGGTTAGTTACATATGTATACATGTGCCATGCTGGTGTGCTGCACCAATTAACTCGTCATTTAGCATTAGGTATATCTCCTAATGCTATCCCTAATAATTGCATATTTTGTTGATGTGGTAAATGTAGTTAGTATGACATAAAGATCAGAAATCTTAGCCTGTCATTCAGAGCCATTCAAAATATGCTCCTTATATAACTTTCAACATATTTTCACTCCACTTACATAAACCCCAAACACTAGCCATAATGAACCTTGTTCTCTCCCCAAACATTCCATGAACTTTCCCATGGCCATACTTTGGCCCACACTATTCTTTCCACCTGCAGTGCTCCTTCTTCACATGCCAGTCTACCAAAATCCTTCCAGCTCCTCGAAGCCCAGCTCAGAGGTCACCTTCTCTTTGGAGCCTCTTGATTTCCCCCAAGTGAATGTGACATTAGTCTCTGTGATGCCCCTTTCTAACAGCACTTCATAGATGGTACTGATTCTGTTATGTCACTAATCTCATGTGACCCTGTGTTCTTGTATTCTTCAATACCTCCCACTAGACCGTAAAACTTATTGAAAGCAGGGATTCTTGTATGCATTTTAAAATCTTCCATTGTGCCTAGGTGCTCAATAACATTGGTCGAATTACTGAATTGATTATCAAGCTCTGATGTGGTATAGCCTCCGGTTGCTGTCCCTTGCACATGAAGATAAAGTTATTGACTCACTGTCAGTAAGACACATGCCTTGGAGCTGTGTTTTTATTTTCTTTTAATAGTGGATTTAGTTTTGTGCTAATGATAATGATGCTGTTGATAATAATAATAATAATAATAATAATAATAATAATAATAATAAATTACTTTCAACTGGAACATTTGATGGGTTTGTGTTACTGATGGCATATTTGCTATTAGCACCAGTTCAGGAACTGAAATTTCACAAACAGATTCACAATATATAACAGTCCCATTTGTTTCAACTCTGGGATTTTGAGGATTTCCAAGATGACATGTGTTATAGTTTCCCCCTACAGATATCTCAGTAATGCCCTCCACTTGCATCTCCTTACTGAACCAAATTTGTCCTGTATTTGTCTTACCAGGTTGTAGTTCTAGCAGTGAGAACTTCTCACTGAATGCCACAGAAATTAAAGACACAGTTGTTGGAGGTATGATGTCAGACAGCATTTGTCACCAAGGTTGGCAGAAAATGGCTAGTCCAGGAGAGTTGAAAATGAGCTTCCACATCTGCAAATCGGGATGTGTTGGAACAGTACTCAACTTGTGGATTCAAGGAAGTATGAACACAGAGTCTGCATAAGGAAAGGAAAAAGATGCATTTATCTCCTAATTACACTGGTGATTTCCACTTATGTCACTCTGTACATCCATGTCCCTTTCTTCATTTTAACTTCTTATTTAAAAATAATTTCAAACATTTAAAAATGTTGCAAGCATAAATAAAGCTTAAAGAACACCCATGTCCCCTTTACCCTAATTCCCCTATTATTAATGTTTCTCCCCATTTGCTTTATTATTTAAGTGTGCACTCTGTCTATACACACACAGGATATTTTTTCCCTGAACTGTGAATTGCATACATCAATTTTCAGTATTCCTCGATTCAATGTTTGCAAATCCAAATTCTTTTAAAAAAGACTGTGTTTTATCTCTATGACAATGGAACCGTTATTGCAGAATATTATAAAATGAAAAGTCACATGGTATATGTGATACTGTGAAATATATATTTGCTCTTCGATCCTGTTTCCTGGCATGCAACTCTTAAAATCCTTAGAATTTCCAAAGTGATATCTTTTTGTATGCTAATAATTGACTGATGGCTGGCAGCCTCTGGTTGCTTCAGGATGGGAACTAGTCACCAGAGAGACCAAGGCGCCATTAGAGGGTTGGGACTTAACAGCCTCATTCCCGACCTCCAGGGAGGGGAGAGGGGTGGAAGGTTAAGTCGATCACCAGTGGCCAATGATTTAATCAATCATACCTATGTAATGGAGCTTCCATAAAATCCCCAAGGAACTGGGTTTGGTTAGCTTCCAGATAGCTGAATATATGGAGGTTCCTGGAGGGTGGTGACCCAAGGAGGGCATGGAAGCTCTGAGCCCCTTCCCCAGTACCTCACCCTATGCATCTCTTCATCTCTATCCTTTGCAATATCCTTTATAATAAACTGGTCAACGTTAGGTATTTCCCTGAGTTCTGTGAGCCTTTCTGACAAATTAATCAAACCCAAAGAGGGGGTCATGTGAACCGAAACTTGAAGCCCATCTGTCAGAAGTTCTGGAGGACTGGATTTGCGACTGGTGTCTGAAGGGCCTGGGAACAGTCTTGTGAGACCTAGTCCTCAGCTTGTGGGATATGACGCTATCTCCAGGTAGATTTGTGTCAGAATTGAATTGGAGTACACCCAGCTGGTGTTTGCTGCAGAACTGATTGCTCACTTAGTGTGTGGGAAAACCCCACACATTTGAACATGGAAATATTCTTTGTTGATTGCCGTGATGTGAAAGCAAAGGAAAAAGTTTGTGTGTTTTCCCCTCAGAGCATATTTTAAAGCTAAGTTGCTAATAATTGCTTAAATTTACTATATTTGCCTTTATAAAAACTTTATGTATGTTTAAAGCTTGAAGCTATTCAATTATAATATAAACGTGGATTTACAACTGAAGCATGTTATAATTTAAATAATTGAGTTTTACAAATTGGTTCATATAAAATCCTAGGCAATACTGTAAAATTATACAGACTTGTCAACTTTTTCCACTTAAATCTTCTGAGCAAAATTTAAGGGTGTAGTAGTTTTCAAGTAATTTCAAATGTCAATATTAATATTTAGTTTTGTGATGTTTATGTGGGCATATTTTCTGATATAAAAAATGACTTTTAGGAGTTGAGATCAATAAAATAAGGAGGTAATAAATACCTACATCTGTTTAAAGACATAAAATATACAATTTAACACTAAAGCTACTTGGTATAAAAAGTCAAAAGAAAAAGAATAAAAAGCCATCACAAAACACAATATATGCATGATATATATTTTTGTCTAAATATAAGCTACATCAGCTTTTCTAGAGCTCAAGTTGAAATAATAAATAACTAATGTTTTATGACAAATCATTATATGGTTTATTTAGACAATTTTGCTTTTACAACTTATTTTTAAACATTAAATAGCATTATAATTTTACTGGGATAATGACATATAGTGTAGTACATTAAAGTTATATATAAAATAATGTTGCATATGAGAGAAAAAGCATAATAAATCAGAAACTATAAAAAGCTTTCATAAAATAATAGGATAAAAATACTGTATTTCTCTAGTCTGTTCACTCTCCAATGTCTCTGGTTCTTTCATATCATCTTTCTTCCCTCAAATCTTTTAATATACCCTCCCTCATCATTTCCAACTAGTGACCTTGCTTTCTATTTCTTTAAGAAAAGAGATACGCTCAGACGAGAATTGCCAGTTTAAAGAACATTTTTAAAGCTATCACCCATGTAATAACTAGCCCGGGCAAGAAATAGAGCCCTTTAATAACCTACTCCTCTCCCCCCGCCAATGATGATATCCCTTCTTCCATCTTAGGGTTAGCCCCCATGCTGACTTTTGTGATAATCATTTCTTTGCTTTTGTTTATAGGTTTTCTTCCTTATAAGCATCCCTAACCAACAGTTTTGTTTTACAGATGTTTGAACATTATATACTTTATAAACTTGGAATTGTGACTATCTTGTTTCACTCCACATTGCTTGTGATACTCATCGATATTGCAGATAGCTGTAGTTGATCCATTTTTATTGTTGTACAGTTTACCATTGTACCATAATTTATTCATGATAAGTTTGAGGGTCATTCTGGTTGTTTGCAGGGTTTTCTTTTCTTTCTTTTTCTCTCTTTTTTTTTTTTTTACAATTCATTCGTTTTATTGATGCATAATAATTGTATATGTTTCTGGGGTACATTTGATATTTTGATACATGCGTACAATATGTAATGGTCAAATCAAGGTAATTGGGATATCCGTCAGCTCAAATTTATCATTTCTTTGTGTGGGAAACATTCCAAATCTCTTCTAGCTATTTTGAAATACACAATAAATTGAATACTATGGTCACTCTGTTGTGCTATTGAACGCAGAACTTATTCCTTCTCTCTAACTCTATTTTTGCACCCATTAACCAATCTCTCTTCATTCGCCCCTCTGCAGGACCCTTCCCAGCCTCTGTTAACCACAGTTCTACTCTCCACCACCTTGAGATCAACTTTTTTAGCTCTCCCATATGAGTGAGGACATGTGATATTTGCCTTTCTGTGCCTGGATTATTTCACTTCACATTTCACTTCACATAATGTCCTCTGAGCACATCTATGTTGCCAGAAATGACAGGATTGCATTAGTTTTTTTTTTTTATTATTGTACTTTAAGTTCTGGGATACATGTGCAGAACCTGCAGGTTTGTAACGTAGGTGTACATGTGCCATAGTGGTTTGCTGCACACATCAATCCGTCATCTACATTAGGTATTTCTCCTAATGCTATCCCTCCCCTTGCCCCCCGCTCCCAGACAGGCCCCAGTGTGTGATGTTCCCCTCCCTGTGCCCATATGTTCTCATTGTTCAACTCCCACTTATGAGTGAGAGCGTGCAGTGTTTGGTTTTCTGTTCCTGTATTAGTTTGCTGAGAATGATGGTTTCCAGCTTCATCCATGTCCCTGCAAAAGACATTAACTCATTCTTTTTTATGGCTGCATATTATTCCATGGTGTATATATGCCACATTTTCTTTATCCAGTCTGTCATTGATGGGTATTTGGGTTGGTTCCGAGTCTTTGCTATTGTGAATAGTGCTGCAGTAAACATACGTGTGCATGTGTCTTTGAAGTAGAATGATGTATAATCCTTTGGGTATATACCCAGTAATGAGATTGCTGAGTCAAATGGTATTTCTAGTTCTAGATCCTTGAGGAATCACCATACTTTCTTCCACAATGGTTGAACTAATTTATACACCCACCAACAGTGTAAAAGCATTCCTATTTCTCCACATCCTGTCCAGCATCTGTTGTTTCTTGACTTTTTAATGTTCGCCACTCTAACTGGCGTGAGATGGTGTCTCATTGTGGTTTTGATTTGCATTTCTCTAATGACCAACGATGATGAGCTTTTTTGTGTGTGTGTTTGTTGGCCGCATAAATGTCTTCTTTTGAAAAGTGTCTGTTCATATCCTGTGCCCACTTTTTGATGGGGTTTTTGTTTTTTTCTTATACATTTGTTTAAGTTCCTTGTAGATTCTGGATATTAGCCCTTTGTCAAATGGATAGATGTCAAAAATTTCCCCCCATTCTGTAGGTTGCCTGTTCTCTTGGATGAGAGTTTCTTTTGCTGTGCGGAAGCTCTTTAGTTAGTTAGATCCCATTTGTCAATTTTGGCTTTTGTTTTAATTGCTTTTTGCATTTTAGTCATGAAGTCATTGCCCATGCCTATGTCCTGAGTGGTATTGCCTAGGTTTTCTTCTAGGGTTTTTATGGTTTTAGGTCTTACGTTTAAATCTTTAATCCAATTCGAGTTAATTTTTGTATAAGGTGTAAGGAAAGGGTCCAGTTTCAGTTTTCTGCATATGGCTAGCTTGTTTTCCCAACACCATTTATTAAATAGGGAATCCTTTCCCCATTGCTTTTGTCAGATTTGTCAAAGATCAGATGGTTGTAGGTGTGTGGTGTTATTTCTGAGGCCTCTGCTCTGTTCCATTGGTCTATATATCTGTTTTGGTACCAGTACCATGCTGTTTTGGTTACTGTGGCCTCGTAGTATATTTTGAAGTCAGATAGCATGCCTTCAGCTTTGTTCTTTTTGCTTAGGATTGTCTTGGCAATGCGGGCTCTTTTTTGGTTACATAGGAGTTGTTTTTTTTTTTTTTTTTTTTGAGATGGAGTTTCACTCTTGTTGCCCAGGCTGGACTGCAATGGCGTGATCTCAGCTCACCACGACCTCTGCCTCCCAGGTTCAAGTTATTCTCCTGCCTCAGCGTCCCAAGAAGCTGGGATTACAGGCATGCACCACCTTGCCCAGCTAATTTTGTATTTTTAGTAGAGATGGGGTTTCTCCATATTGGTCAGGCTGGTCTCGAACTCCCCACCTCAGGTAATCCACCTGCCTCGGCCTCCCAAAGTGCTGGGATTACAGGCATGAGTCACCGCGCCCAGCTTCCATATGAAATTTAAAGTAGTTGTTTTCTAATTCTGTGAAGAAAGTCAATGGTAGCTTGAAGGGAATAGCATTGAACCTATAAACTACTTTGGGCAGTATGGCCATTTTCATGATATTGACTCTTCCTATCCATGAGCATGGAATGTTTTTCCATTTGTTTGTGTCCTCTCTTATTTCCTTGAGCAGTGGTTTGTAGTTCTCCTTGAAGAGGTCCTTCACATCCCTTGTAAGTTGTATTCCTAGGTATTTTATTATCTTTGTAGCAATTGTGAATGGGAGTTTGCTCATGATTTGGCTCTCTGTCTATTATTTGTGTGTAGGAATGCTTATGATTTTTGCACATTGATTTTGTATCCTGAGACTTTGCTGAAGTTGCTTATCAGCTTAAGGAGTTTATGGGCTGAGACCATGGGGTTTCTAAATATACCATCATGTCATCTGCAAACAGAGAGAATTTGACTTCCTCTCTTCCTATTTGAATACGCTTTATTGGTTTCTCTTGCCTGATTGTCCTGGCCAGAACTTCCAATACTGTGTTGAATAGGAGTGGTGAGAGAGGGCATCCTTGTCTTGAGCCGGTTTTCAAAGGGAACACTTCCAGCTTTTGCCCATTCAGTATGATATTGACTGTGGGTTTGTCATAAATAGCTCTTATTATCTTGAGATATGTTCCATCAATTCCTTGTTTATTGAGTGTTTTTAGCATTAATGGGTGTTGAATTTTATCAAAGGCCTTTTCTGCATCTATTGACATAATCATATGGTTTTTGTCATTGGTTCTGTTTATGTGATGGTTCTGTTTATGTGATGGTTCTGTTTACGTTTATTGATTTGCGTGTGTTGAACCAGCCTTGCATCCCAGGGATGAAGCTGACTTGATTGTAGTGGATAAGCTTTTTGATGTGTTGCTGGATTCGGTTTGCCAGTATTTTATTGAGGATTTTCACATTGATGTTCACTAGGGATATTGGCCTGAAATTTTCTTTTTTTGTTGTGTCTCTGACAGGTTTTTGTATCAGGATGATGCTGGCCTCATAAAATGAGTTAGGGAGGAGTCCATCTGTTTCTATTGTTTGGAATAGTTTCAGAAGGAATGGTATAAGCTCCTCTTTGTACCTCTGGTAGAATTCGGCTGTGAATCCATCTGGTCCTGGGCTTTTAGGTTGGTAGGCTATTAATTACTGCCTCAATTTCAGAACTTGTTATTGGTCTATTCAGGGATTCGAGTTCTTCCTGGTTTAGACTTGGGAGGGTGTATGTGTCCAGGAATTTATCCATTTCTTATAGATTTTCTAGTTTATTTGCATAGAGGTATTTATAGTATTCTCTGATG
Source organism: Homo sapiens (assembly GCF_000001405.40). NCBI lineage: Eukaryota > Metazoa > Chordata > Mammalia > Primates > Hominidae > Homo > Homo sapiens. The sequence goes on from NC_000023.11 coordinate 103,937,481, forward strand.
GTAGTTTGTATTTCTGTGGGATCAGTGGTGATCTCCCCTTTGCCATTTTTTATTGTGTCTATTTGATTCTTCTCTCTTCTCTTCTTTATTAGTCTGGCTAGAGGTCTATCTATTTTATTAATCTTTTCAAAAAATCAGCTCCTGGATTCATTGATTTTTTGAAGGGTTTTTTTGTGTCTCTATCTCCTTCAGTTCTGCTCTGATCTTAGTTATTTCTTGTCTTCTGCTAGCTTTTGAATTTGTTTGCTCTTGCTTCTCTAGTTCTTTTAATTATGATGTTAGGGTGTCGATTTTAGATCTTTCCTGCTGTCTCCTGTGGGCATTTAGTGCTATAAAGTTCCCTCTACGCATTGCTTTAGCTGTGTCCTAGAGATTCTGGTACGTTTTGTCTTTGTTCTCATTGGTTTCAAAGAACTTATTTATGTCTGCCTTAATTTCATTATTTACCCAGTAGTCATTCAGGAGCAGGTTGTTCAGTTTCCATGTAGTTGTGCGGTTTTGAGTGAGTTTCTTATTCTTGAGTTCTAATTTGATTGCACTGTGGTCTGAGAGACGGTTTATGATTTCTGTTCTTTTGCATTTGCTGAGGAGTGTTTTACTTCCAATTATGTGGTCAATTTTAGAATAAGTGCTATGTGGTGCTGAGAAGAATGTGTATTCTGTTGATTTGGGTGGAATTCTGTAGATGTCTATTAGGTCCACTAGGTCCAGAACTGAGTTCAAGTTTTGAACATTCTTGTTAATTTTCTGTCTCGTTGATCTGTCTAATATTGAAAGTGGGTTGTTAAAGTCTCCCACTATTATTGTGTGGGAGTCTAAGTGTCTTTGTAGGTCTCTAAGAACTTGTTTTACCGGGTGCTCCTGTATTCGTTGCATATATATTTAAGATAGTTAGCCCTTCTTGTTGCATTGATCCCTTTACCATTATGTAATTCCCTTCTTTGTCTTTTTTGATCTTTGTTGGTTTAAAGTCTGTTTTATCAGAGACTAGGATTGCAACCCCTGCTTATTTTTGCTTTCCATTTGCTTGATCTTCATCCATCCCTTTATTTTGAGCCTATGTGTGTCTTTGCATGTGAGATGGGTCTCCTGAATACAGCGCACTGATGGGTCTTGGCTCTTTATCCAATTTGCCAGTCTATGCCTTTTAATTGGGGCATTTAGCCCATTTACATTTAAGGTTAATATTGTTATGTGTGAATTTGATCCTGTCATTAGGATGCTAGCTGGTTATTCTGCCCATTACTTAATGCAGTTTCTCATAGTGTCGATGGTCTTTACATTTTGGTTTGTTTTTGCAGTGGCTGGTACCAGTTTTTTCTTTCTGTATTTAGTTCTTCCTTCAGGAGGTGTTGTAAGGCAGGCCTGATGGTGACAAAATTCCTTAGCATTTGCTTGTCTATAAAGGATTTTATTTCTCCTTTGCTTATGAAGCTTAATTTGGCTGGATATGAAATTCTGGTTTGAAAATTATTTTCTTTAAGAATGTTGAATATTGGCCCTCACTCTCTTCTGGCTTGAAGGGTTTATGCTGAGAGATTTGTTGTTAGTCTAATGGGCTTCCCTTTGTGGGTAACTTGACCTTTCTCTCTGGCTTCCCTTAACATTTTTTCCTTCATTTCAACCTTGGTGAATCTGACAATTATGTGTCTTGGGATTGTTCTTCTCGAGGAGTATCTTTGTGGTGTTCTTTCTATTTCCTGAATTTGAATGTTGGCCTATCTTGCTATGTTGGGGAAGTTCTCCTGGATATTATCGTGAAGTGTGTTTTCCAACTTGGTTCCACTCTCCCCATCACTTTCAGGTCCACCGATCAAACATAGGTTTGTTCTTTTCACATAGTCCCATATTTCTTGGAGGCTTTTTTTTGTTCCTTTCATTCTTTTTTCTCTAATCTCATCTTCATGCTTCATTTCATTAAGCTGATCTTCAATCTCTGATATCCTTTCTTCCGCTTGATCGATTTGACTATTGATACTTGTATATAATTCATGAAGTTCTCATGCTGTGTTTTTAAGCTCCATCAGGTCATTTATGCTCTTCTCTAAAGTGGTTTATTCTAGTTGGCAATTCCTCAACCTTTTATCAAGGTTCTTAGCTTCCTTGGATTGGGTTAGAACATGCTCCTTTAGCTTGGAGGAATCTGTTATTACCGACCTTCTGAAGCCTACTTCTGTCAATTCGTCAAACTCATTCTCCATCCAGTTTTGTTCCCTTGCTGGGGAGAAGTTGTAATCCTTTGGAGGAGAAGAGGCATTCTGGTTTTTGGACTTTTTAGCCTTTTTGCGTTGTTTTTTCCTCATCTTCGTGGGTTTATCTACCTTTCGTCTTTGCTGTTGGTGACCTTCGAATTGAGTTTTTGCGTGTTCGTCCTTTTTGTTGCTGTTGATGGTATTGCTTTCTGTTTGTTGGTTTTCCTTCTATCAGGCCACTCTTCTACAGGTCTGCTGCAGTTTGCTGGGGGTCCACTCCAGACCCCGTTCATCTGGGTATCACTAGTGGAGGCTGTAGAACCACAAAGATTGCTTCCTGCTCCTTCCTCTGGAAGCTTTGTCCCAGAGGGGCACCAGCCAGATGCCAGCTGGAGCTGTCCTGTATGAGGTGTCTGTCGACCCCTGCTGGGAGGTGTCTCCATGTCAGGAGGCACGAGTGTCAGGGACCCACATGAGGAGGCAATCTGTCCCTTAGCAGAGCTAGAGCACTGTGCTGGGAGATCCACTGCTCTCTTCAGATCCAGCAGGCAGGAATGTTAAAGTCTGCTGAAACTGCGCCCACAGCCGCCCCTTCTCCCAGGTGCTCTGTCCCAAGGAGATGGGGGTTTTATCTATAAGTCCCTGACTGGGGCTGCTGCCTTTCTTTCAGAGATGCCCTGCCCAGAGAGGAGGAATCTAGAGAGGCAATCTGGCTACAGTGGCTTTGTGGCACTGCAGTGGGCTCCGCCCAGTTAGAACTTCCCAGAGGCTTTGTTTACACTGTGAGGGGAAAACCCGTCTACTCAAGCCTCAGTAATGGCAGATCCCCTCTCCCCCCACCAAGATCGAGCATCTCAGGTCAACTTCAGACTTTCGTGCTGGCAGCAAGAACTTCAAGCCAGTGGATGTTAGCTTGCTGGGCTCCATGAGGCTGGGATCCGCTGAGCAAGACCACTTGGCCCCCTGGCTTCAGTCCCCTTTCCAGAAGAATGAATGGTTCTGTCTCACTGGTGTTCCAGGCTTCACTGGGGTATGAAAAACAACAACAACAACAACAACAGCAACAACAACAACAACAGCAACAAAAACCCAAAACTCCTACGGCTAGCTTGGTGTCTGCCCAAACAGCCGCCCAGATTTGTGCTTGAAACCCAGGGCCCGTGTGGTGTAGGCACCTGAAGGAATTTCCTGGTCTTTGGGTTGCAAAGACCTTGGGAAAAGCTTAGTATCTGGGCCAGATAGCACAGTCCCTCATGGCACAGTCCTTCACGGCTTCCCTTGGCTAGGGGAGGTAGTTCCCCCACCCCTTGAGCTTCCTGGGTGAGGCGACACCCCACCCTGCTTCTGCTCGCCCTCCGTGGGCTGCACCCACTGTCTAACCAGTCCCAATGAGATGAACCTGGCACCTCAGTTGGAAATGCAGAAATCACCCACCTTCTGCATTGGTCTTGCTGAGAGCTGCACACTGGAGCTGTTCCTATTCAGCCATCTTGCCCAGGAGTCTCGCATTCCTTTGTTATAGCTCAATGCTATTAAAATGTGTACATATACAACATTTTCTTTATCCATTTATTGATTGATGGACACTTAGGTTGATTCCATAACTTGGATCTTGTGAATAGTGCTGCAATAAACATAGGAGTGCAGACATCTCTTCAATATACGGTTTAAAACATTTTTTTTTTGGAAACATACACAGCAGCAAGATTGCTGAATCATAATGACAGTGCTATTTTTAGTTTTTTGAAGAACACCCATACCGTTTTCCATAATGTCTGTACCAACTTACATTCTCACTAACAGTGTATGAGTGTTCCCCTTTCTCCACATCCTTGCCATCATCTGTCATTTTTTTGTCTTTTTGATAATGGTCATTTTAACTGGGGTGAGATGAAATCCAATTTTTGACTGTTACAAAACAGTGCTACCATGATTTTTCTTGGTAATGTACATAAACACAGATATCTCTAGGGGATTTATGTAGAATTTCTGGTTTATGGAATATGAGCACCTTCAATTTAATTGGATGATGCCTAACTTTTCCTAATGGCATGTACCAGTTCACACCCTTACTAGCCAGGTTTAACAGTTCCCATTTCTCCACCTGCTGGCCAACACTTGGTATTATCAGACTTCTTAATTTTTGCCTATCTAATGGGTGTAAATGGCATCTTATAATTTGATTTTCCTGATTACTAATAATGTTGAGCATCTTTTCACATGCCTATTGAACGTTAGTATTTCCTCTTTTGTGAAGCATTTATTCAAGACATTTGCCATTTTTTCCTGTTGAGTTGTGTAACTTTTTCAAATTAATTTGTAGAAGCTGTTTTAATTTTAGTTCTTTCTCCTTTATATGTGTTCCATATATCTCTCCCCACTTTGTCACTTATTTTTCCATTTTAATGATTTCTTTTGATAAACATAAATTCTAATTATAAGATAGATACCGAAGTTATCAATCCTTTTTTATGGTAAGTGCTTTTTGTGTCTTTTCAATGAAATCGTTCTATACCCCAATATCATGAAGATATTCCTTTATACTATAATAACATTTAAAATTTTTATGGTTTTGACTTTCACATCTATGTTTTTAATATACTTGGAATTGATTTTCATGTAGAATATGAGAATAGAGGTCCAATGTTTTCTTTATGAATATCCAATTGCCCCAATATCATTTGCTGAAAAGCCTTTTCTTCTCCCATTCAGTTACAATGCCAACTCTGTCAAATATCAAGTGTTCATATATTTTTGGGAAGATTTCTGACCTGTCTGTTCTATTCTACCAGTTTATTTATCTAATCATGTGCCAATACAGCATTGCCTTATTACCTGTAACAGTAATACTAATAAATGTCTTGATATCTGATAGGGGAAGTCTTCCCACCTCATTCTTATTCCTCAAGAGTTTCTTAACTATTCTTATCAATATGCACAGAAATAGATGCTGAAATTTTCTTTTCACAAAATTACTGTTGAGATTTTAATTTCAGCAAAACTTAACTGTTGAGTTTTAGTGTAAACAAAAATAATGGTTGAAATTCTAATTTTAACATTTCTCCAAGTTTCATAATATTCTTCATAGTGTTCAACATATCTTTTTTTGGGATTTTTATTTGTTGCTTAATTTTTAAACAATTACTAATAGTAAAGCAGATTATCATAAATGGGATTATAATGAGTTTCTTACATATAATGTCCTATTTTAAAAGAAAAACATATATCTCTTAAGAAATCAGTTTATATGTGTTGATGCCTCATGTTGACATATTCAGTATAACATATGTTGATTAATATAATATACTATGTTATTATCTATAAAGATGCTACTAATTCATTAGGTTTTCAGAAAGTAAACAGCAAACCTTAAAAAATTTATTATGATAATGGAGATGGAGTACAAATGGGACAACTCTGAGATAGAGTACATGAAAGCTCAAGACACCTGTATCCAACTGCCTACTTGATGTTTTCACTGACATATAGGCATTCCAAACTTAATATGTCAAAGATTAAACTATTTATTCTCCTTACCAATCTGTCCCTAGTCTTTCCACTTCCAATGGTATCATCATTTTCTGGTACTTTCAACACAAAGGATACTATCATATAGGGAACGTGACTCTCTCACTCATTACTCTATTTCCAGTGCCCAGATTGTCATGCACATAGTAAGTGCTCAATAGATATTTGTAGAATGAATGGATGAATTGGCCCTGCCCTCCAAACATGTTCGATTAAAAATCATTCAAGAATATACACAAAGTAGTATATGAAAAAATGACAGACTTCTGTCCTTTCTTTTCAATTATTAGACCCACAGCCTTAGTTCAGTCTTTCCTGATTTTATACCTGAAGAACTGCCACAACTCTTTTTATTGGCTCTTCTTGTCACCTTCCAATGTTAATAGCTTACAAGATAAAATCCAAACCACTTGGCGTGACATTCAAGGTCCTCCATAATCTGACACCAGCCTACCTTTTTCACCTCTTTTTCCTCTACTTAAATATTATGAATCTCGATGTCCCAACTACACAAGACTACTGGATGTTTCCCAAATGTGCCCTACATTTCTCTTTGTTCTTCTTTTCTCCTCTTCCTGGAATTCCATTGCCCCCATTTCTTCCTTCAACAAATGCTATCCATTTTTAAAGGCCCAATTCAAATGTCATTTCCTCTATGCAGGCTTCTTGGACTCTCTCAGATAGAATTAGGCTTCCCTCTTTTCCACTTTCCCCTGGTACTTATCAACCTTGATGTAACATTTAAAATCATAGATGTCTCAGAATTATAATATTAGATTTAGAAGTGGTCTTGTTGATCATGTGATCCGACTTCTTCATGTTATCGAGGGCAAGAGCTAGAAGAATCCAGGTCTTTTAATTTGCCTTGACTTGTGATTATGTATGTATGTATTTTTTATCCTCTACCTGACATCACTGGGCAGAAATAGGGTGTTATTCATCTTTGTGTTCTTATTCATGATACTTAATAAAATCTATTGCACATAGTGGATATACAATAAGTATGTTTCAATTGACTTAAGATCAGAGGGATGGATAAAATAGAGGTACCATTCATAGTATTGTACTCTGTACCAGGTACTATGCCAAAGTTTTACAAGAATTACCTGATTGATCAAACAATCCTATGAGATAAGCACCATTTGTAGCTTTATTTGCCCAAGACTTCATAGCCAGTAAGTTGTAGAATCTGGACAAAAATAAAATTCCTGTGGCTCCAGATTCTTTGTTCTTAGTCATTGTGCTATAGTGCAAAACAACAAGGTGGGAACTCAAACATTTTGGGTTTAGAATACGACTGATGGATGAATTTGGCATGAAAGACTAACTTTTATTTCCTGGAGGACATAGTAGCTGGGTTTGGGAAGATAGTTTGGGACAATATTGTAGAAGGCTCTGAATGCCAAGCATGGTATGAGAAGTTACCTCCCTTCCCTAGCTCTCCATCTGCACCAGTCTAGATCACCGTATGAGGCGCAACTCAAACAGTACTTATTGTTTGAAGACTTCCAGAATCTTCCAAGTCACAATGAATTTCCCCTTCTCCCACAGCACTTTGTTCATACCTTTGTTATAATACATAATATTACTTTCTTTCTTTTATGTTTTTTTGAGACGGAGCCTCTCTCTGTTACCCAGGCTGGAGCGCAGTGGTGTGATCTCACCTCCCCTGGGTTCAAGCGATTCTCCTGCCTCAGCTTCTGAGTAGCTGGGACTACAGGCATGCACCACCATGCCCCGCTGGCTTTTGTATTTTTAGTAAAAACGAGGTTTCACCATGTTGCCCAGGCTGGTCTCGAACTCCTGGCCTCAGGAGATCCACCAGCCTCGGCCTCCCAGAGTGATGGGATTACAGGCGTGAGCCACTGAGCCCGGCCAATATGACTTTCTTAACAGAAATATTTTGTGGCTGTATCTGTTTTCTTCACATTTTGTAAATTCCTTGAGAGCAGGCACTTTATTTACAATTGTATACCTCTTTTTATTTCACAACTGATGCATAGTAGATGCTTGTCTTCGTCCATTTTGTGTTGCTATAAGTGAATACCTGAAACTGGGCAATTTACAAAGAAAAGAGGTTTATTTAGCTCATGGTTCTGCAGGCTGGGAAGTTTAAGATTGGGCAGCTGCATCTGGTAGCTTCTGATGAGGGCCTTGTACTGTGGCAAAACATGGCAGAGAAATGGAAGGGGAACCAGGTCCCTGCAAAGAGAGTAAAACACCAAACACGAGATGCAACCTCACTTTACAACAACTTGCACTTGCATAACCAATTCAGTCCCACAAAGAGTAAGAACTGACTCACTCCCACCAGACTGCTTTAATCCCTTCATGAGAGTGAATCCTTAATGACCCAGAAGCCTGTTAAATATTCCACCCCCTCTCAACACTGTTACACTGGGGACCAAGTCTCAATATGAGTTTTGGTGGGCACAAACCATATTCAAATCATAACAATGCTCAATAAATATTAGTTGAATTAAATGTTTCCTTGGGAGAATATAGACATAAATAAGGCATGGTTTCTGCTCTCAAGAGAAGCCAACATTCTATCAAGGGAAACAGTACATTATTCCATATGAGAAGCTATACTAGTGACATGTATAAAGCACGAGGAATTCAGCGATCAATTAGAAAATGCAATAGGAAAAATAACCCATTCATGATTTTCCCAAAATCTATAAGGCAGCTAGGAAGATAGCTAACAGATGTATAAACCATTATACAGAAAAGTATGAGATTGTACTAAAGGAAATTTTATAAAAATCAGAAAGTGGAGGAATATTCTTGTCAAGAACTACAAAAGGTCTAGAATTTGACCCTATTTACAAACTTACAAATTAGCCTGACACACACAGTTTCATGTATTCTGTCAGAAGACATGAGAATCTTGGGTGAGAGGCAAAGGACTTTATTACTCAGAAAAAGCAGTAGCTAGAACTTCCTGTTGGCTTGTGTTCGTTCCCAATGCCCCCCAAATCCCACAAGGGCAATGCAAAGGACCAATGATGGATGGCTGCACAGTGGGTTGCATTACAGGAAAGAAACAATACATTTGGAGGATCCACTGCTTTTATAGAACATGGAAATAAACCTGCTGTTTGTGATGTTTTCCCATCCTTCAGGGTTTCTCACTGAAAACATGGTCCTGAGAATGGCCAAGGTGAAGAGTCATCAGTGCCTTACCTTTTTGGCATACTCAGCAAGAGTACGCATAAATGCTTAGGGACCATGATGGGTTGTCTTTCCCAACAATATTCCATTTGTATGTGTGGAAACTTTAAGTCAGCAAATTGGTAATTCTTCTCAAATTAGTCCATAAATCCAATATTATTCCAATCAAAATATTAACAGGCCAATTTTTTGTGGAATTTGAAACACTGATTACAAAACTGGAAAAGGCACATATAGTACATACAGTAAATTGTTATATGAAAGAAGTGACATTACATAGGAGTGAAAAATGGATGAATAATTTAATAAATGTGATTGGACAGTTGTTTCCCTTCTCGGAGAAAAATCTAGATCCATGCCTTATACAAAATAAAATCCAGATATATAAAAGACCAAAGTACACAACCAAAATCTTAAAACTAATAAAAAATCATGTCCTCAGAGTAGATAATTTCCTAAACAAAATCCAAAAACACAAGTTTTAAAGGAAAAGATTGATATATTTGATTCGACAAACATTGTATAATAAAAGACGTGAGAAGTAACCTTAGTGAGAAAAGACGAGCAAAGATTGGTACAGGCTTTTTGGAAAACTAGTTGGCTCTATCTACTGAAGCTGAACCTATGCATTCCCTATGACCAGCAACTCCACTTCTTGGTATATACCCAAGAAAAGTGCATATGTATATTCACTAAGGACATTATGAAAAGCATTATTTGTAATAGCCCCACACTGAAAAAAAAAACCAAGAGCCCACAAGCAGTAGAATGAATAAATAAATTGTAGTATATTCATACATTAAAATGTAGCACATAAAGGAGAATTAACTACAAATTCACGACAACATGGATGAATCTCACAAACCTAATGTTGAGCAAAAGAATCCAGACACAGAGGAGTATATACTGAAAGATCCCACTTATTTAAAGCAGAAAAGAGGCAAAACTAATAATCAGGAGAGTGGTTATCATCCTTGGGCATAGTGACTGGAAAGGAGCACAAAAGAAGCTTATGGCAGGGAGGGGAGAGGTTGATAATGTACTGTGTCTTGATCTGAGAGCTGGTTATATGGGTGTCTTTACTTTGTGAACATTTATCAAGATATACACCTAAGATATGTATGTATGTATATTGTACTAAAATAAAACATTTTGAAAATCTGCCTAACAGGATACCTTCTTATATATGGCTCTCACCAGTAGAGTTGCACGCATACTAAAAGTCATGTGTTTCCTCAAACAGGTTTAATTCAGTTACATTTGCTGTAAATGAACATAATATGTATGCAAAAAAGAAGACCAGCAACAGATTTAGAGAAACTTTTTGCAAAATATATTGCTGACCAATAATTAGATACAACATATGCAAAGAACCCCTAAGAAGCAATATTTGAAAAACAAACAACTTAAAGGATGAATAGGTAAATGACCTGAAAAGGTACTTCACAGAAAAGGAAATGTGTATAACCAGGAAACCTATAAAAAAATGCTTATCCTCGTTCATGTCCTTTGCAGGGACATGGATGAAGCTGGAAGCCATCATTCTCAGCAAACTAATACAGGAACAGAAAACCAAACACCGCATGTTCTCACCCATAAGTGAGAGTTGAACAATGAGAACATTTGGGGACAGGGAGGGGAACATCACACACTGGAGCCTGTCGGGGAGCGGGGGGCAAGGGGAGGGATAGCATTAGGAGAAATACCTAATGTAGATGACGGGTTGATGGGTGAAGCAAACCACCATGGCACATGTATACCTATGTAACAAACCTGCATGTTCTGCACATGTATCCCAGAACTTAAAGTCAATTTAAAAAAAGATGTTCATCCTCATGAAATAATCTGGGACATACAGATTCAAACACTAGGGAGATACTCACTTTCACCCATTAGATTGGCTAAACACGTCTGAAAATACTAAATATTGGCAAGAATGTGGGAAAATGGGACTCATACACTGCTGGTATGAATGTAAATTGATGCAATTACTGTGGAAACTTATTTGGCAGTGTGTAGTCAGGTTGAAGATGCATGTACTATGTCATCTAGTAATTTCAATTCCAGGAGACATGTTTATAGACTAAGAGGAGGCTATTGCAAGAACATGAACTGCCGCATTGCTTGTAATAGAAAAAATGGAAGCAACTTAAATGTCTATGAGGATGGAAATGCATTAGTGAGCTATGGAATATTCATATAACAGAATATTATACATCATTTAAATGCACCTCTATCAGTTACAGTATAAGCATAGGTAAAATGTTTAGAAATTCATAATGTTGGGTGAAAATTCACAATGTTGTGTAAAAGAAGAAGTTGTAGAAGATTACACACAGATGTGATCTAACTTGTCATAATGCAAAAAATCACCAGAAAATGATTCATTTAACAAATCTTTATTGTAGGCACAATTCTAGGTACTTGGGATCAGTGAACAAAGCAGAGATCCCTTCCCTTGTAGACATTACATTTCCATGTGGGAAGACTGAAATAAGATAATTAGCATAAGTAAATAAATTATATAGTGTGTTAGATGGCGATGAAGCAAAAGCAGAGGATGTTAAGGGGATAGAGAAAACAGGGTGGGCAGTTTGCAGCATTAAGTAGGATGGTTCAGGTAGGACTCATTGATACAGTGAGATTTGAGCCTTGAAAATGTGAGAGAATTTAAACGAGTAGCTCTATTGGAAAAGAGCCCTCCTTCCTGGAGGAACAGACATTGCTATGGTCCTATGGCAAGAGTGAGCCCGGGCTGTTTGTAGAATAGCAAGAAGGCCACAGCTGTGGCAGAATGAGGAGAGCAGATCAGAGATCAGAGATACAATGGAGAACCAGAAAATGTCAGGCTTCTGCAGGGACTTTGACTCTGACTCCAAGTGGAATACGGTGTCTTTGCAGGATTTTGAGCAGAGAAATGTCATGATTTGATTTATATTTTAAAATGATCTCTTTAATTTTTGTGTTGAGAATGTACCACTGTAGGCGAATGAGAGTGGAAGCAGAGAGGCATGTTAGAAAGCTGTTGTAGTTATCCAGATGAGAGATGATGGTGGATTCAACCTTACGTGTACCAATGGAGATGGTGAGAAGTGGTTGGATTTTGGATGCATTTTGAAGTAGAGCCAAAACGATTTCCTGATGGATTGGAGAGAAAGAAAGAAATTGAAGGTGATGTTAAGGTTTTTGACTCAAGCCAATGTACAGCTGGAGTTGCCATCAATTGAAGTGAGGAAGGCAGTAGGAGCAATAGGTTTTAAAGAACAGATCAGGAGTTCTGCCTATGACATTTTGAGTTTGAAATGCCCAATAGACATCTGAGTGGAAGTGCTGAGTAGGCAGTTGTATATATCAGACAGGAGTTTAGGATGAAGATCTGGCCTGCAGACATGAAGTTGGAAGTTAACCTAGAAATATTTTGTATTAGCTATTGGACTGGAAGAGATCACCAAGGGAGTATACATAGAAATGCAAAGGACAGGGATGGAGCCCTGGGGCATTCTCATTTTAAGAGGTTTGGAAGAAGAGGGGCCAGTAAAGGAAACTGAGAAGAAGCAGTCAGTGAGATGAGAGAGTGTGGTGTCCTGGGAGCCAAGGGAAGAAAGTGAACCAAAGAGGAGTGACTCATTAGCCGTGCCCAATGCTGCTGATAGGTTAAGTAAGGTGAGAACTTAGAATTGATCATTGTATTGAACAATGTGAAGTCACTCATGACCATAACCATGACAGGAGCAATTTCAACTGATTTGTGGAGGTGGACCCACAAATCAGGTGGACCCTGATTAGAATGTGTCCAAGAGAGAATGGGAGGAGGAAAATTGAGGACATTGAATAGAGACCACTATTACAAAGGGATGAGAGAGTAGTCAAAATAGGTATCTGGAGGAAGAACTTTCCTGATAGATGAAACAGACATTCCAAAGGCTCTAAGACAATAGTGAGTATGGCTTGTTTGAGGAACAGCAGGGAGGCTACAGCTGGGGCAGAGTGAGTGAGGAACAGAACAGGCAGAGCTAGTGGGAGATAGGAAAGGATGATCATCTGGGGCTCCCTCTTGGCCCCAAACTAATGTAGGTAGAAGGCCTAAGGGAATGTAGTCTTAGACAGGAACACTGGTTCCAACGAAGCCTTATATTGTGTATAGAAACATATTTCATATGTATCTGTAAAAGAGATTTGCATCAAAGGGGAGCAAAGAAATTGGGTCATGGCAGGTGGGAAAGTGGAGCCAAGAGAAAAATATATATATATATATATAAAACAATTTACTATATATGCTTTTTCCAATTTTGTAATCAATGCTTCAAATTCCACAAAAAATTGGCCTGTTTTTATATATATGTATACAGTGTACATATGATGAATATTTGTGTGTGTTATATAATAAAGATGAGAAATAACAGTATAATCGAATCCTGATTGAAATGACCCAATAGAGAGCACAACATTGATAATGCTGGAGTTGGGGGAGAGAAAGAAGGTAGTGATATCATTCAGTTGATGGGAGAAGAAGATATCTAGTGGGAAAGGAGAGTGGCTGGCTTTAGAGTGCAGTCTGGAAATATCATTATATTAATTTGCTAAGATTGCTATAACAAAATACCACACACTGAGTGGCTTAAACAACAGACATTTATTGTCTCACAGGGCTGGTTTCTTCCGAGGCTTCTCTCCTTAGCTTGCAGATGGCCATCTTCTCCCTGTGTCTTCACATGGCCAGCCCTCAGTCTGTATTATCTGTGTCCTTATCTCTTCTTATAAAGGCACCAGTAGTATTGGGTTAGGACCCATCTTAATGACCTCGCTTTGACTTAAGAGGTAATTATGTCACATTATGAGGTACTGGGTGTTAGGACTCCAACATATGAATTTTGGAGGGACACAATTCAGCCCACAATAATCATATATGATATCAACAGGAAGACCATGTGTATGGATGCGGGTGCAGATAGGTGAAATGATGTGGTGGTAGGAGTCTGTAGAAGTTCTCTTCTGATGGCTTCAATTTTCTAGTGAAACAGGAAGCAGTGGAAGAATTAGTTAGGATATGGAGGCAGTATTAGGAGTTTGAGGAGAAAGAAGTTGCAAAATAATAACTTGGAAAAGTCAGAAAGTTAAGGGACAGGAGACCTGTAGCATGATTGCCCAGCAGCATTAAAGTCTGGTTGGAGTTCATGGTCATGAAGTTAAATTAAGATTAGTCATGTGGTTGTGAATTTTCCCCTAGCCAGCTTTAGCTGTATGGGTGCAGGCTCATGGGGATGTAGCTGGATTTAGCCAGGGGTCGTGCTTTTGCCAAGCAACACAAAGTGCGAGAGGGGCAGGATAGTGGAGGGTATATGTAGACGAGTGGTTGTAAAGACTGAGCATGACATCTGAGCTAAGAAAGGAGAAGAGAGAGGACAATAAAGGGAAGAAGAGATAGTAAAAATCTGGTAAGATCAATGGATTGGAGATTCTGGTGAGGTTGAAAGAAAATAGGGTCCAAAGTGAGTGGGCTGAAAAGAGAGGAGCGTATGGTCAGAAAGAGGGATGTTTGAAATTGAGATCACAGAGGGGTCCCCAAAATTACAGTGACAAGAGCTAAGGTATGGCTACATGAGTGAGTACATGAGTGAGTAACTGAAGTGGAGTTGAGGACAATGTCATGGAGGAGAAATGTTCAAGGAACAGAAGGGGCTAGTTTGTCAGATTATCAGAATGATTTTGTTTTGAGATGGGGGTTTTGCTAGGTTGCCCAGGCTGACTCAAACTCCTGGGTAACCTTCCCAACTTAGTCTTCTGAGTAGGTAGGACTATGGTGAGTGCCACCATGCCTAGCTTTAGAATGATCGATATTGAACTCACTAACAATTAAGACAGGACAACTACCATTGAGAATGACCATGTTCTCAGAGACAAAATGCCTGAGAAATGAGGGGAGAATATTTCTGACAACAGCAATAAGAGCTGGTTGGTGACACTAGCTGTCAAAAGCTGGAAGTTTTTAGGGAGGTGGGAGAGGGATTGCTATCTAAAGGCAGCAATGAGGAGCAGTAAAGTCACTTACACAACTTTTAGGATCTGTGGTACAGTGGTGGTAGGAGAGAAAAATCATCTGCTCCTTGTGAGTGGGCTTCAGGGGATCCAGAGTCCTAAGGGAAGGGGGCATTCAGAGAAGAAGCTTAGACTATGGAGGATTAGCAAGGGTGCATTGTGTTTTATTAGTAGCGGAGGGGTGAGATACTGACCTAAAGAGGGGACGTGGACACAACCTTATGGAGGTTAGAATGTAGCAGTTGAGAGGTATCTTAGGATACTTGTGGTGACTGGCACAAATGGAGATAAATGTTATCATTAGTCGAGTTCTAATAGATTCAAAGGAGATCAGTGTGGGAGAATTTTGAGGTTTGGTCTATGGAGAGGTGGGTATCTGGAGCTTCTTGTCAACCCCAAGGGATGTGGGGGGTGTGGTCTTAGACTTGGATCACTGGTTCAAACAAGGCTTCATTTTGCTCCTTCGCTGTGCTCAGAAGTCACATTAATCTGTAATGACAGAAAAACAGGCCAGAGGGCCAAGATGGCCAACTAGAAGCAGCTAGTGTGCACGGCTGTCATGGAGTGGAATGGAAGGGGAGAGTAAATATAGCACTTTCAATGGAAGCATCCAGGTTCTCGCATTGAGATTAATCAAGGAAATAACTTGACCCATGGAGAATGGAGAAAAGCAAGGCAGGACGACGGCACACCCAGGTGCAACACAAAGCCAACGGAAGCTCCCCACCGAAAGAAGTGGTGAGTGAATGTGTGGTCCTGGGAACCCATGCTTCTTCCATGGATTTTTGCAACCCACAGGTCAGGAGATCCCGTCATGAGCCCACTCCATCAGGGCCTTCAGTCTCACACACAGAGCTATGTGGAGTGCCGGCAGGAGAGCGGACATGCATGGAGAACCAGGAACTTTAGAAACTCTGGCTATCCGGGCATCCTAGCAAAAGTAGCTGCAACTCCAGCAAAGCAGGATGTTAGACCCCTGTACCTACCCCAGGAAAGAGACTGAATCCAGTGGGCCAAGCAGCCATGGTCTGTGGGCCCCACTTCCACAACACCTCACAGGATAAGACCTACTGGCCTGGAATTACAGCTAGCCACCAGTAGCAGTGCTGCACCTACTTGGGACAGAGCTCCAAGGGGGAGGGGCGGGCCGCCATGTTTACTGTTTGGGTGACTTAGCCCTTCCAGCCTTTGGGATTTGGAAAGTCCAAACCAACTCGGGGCAGAAGGGATCCCCCAGCACAGCACAGCTGCTCTACCAAAACATGGCCAGACTGCTTCTCTAAGTGGGTCCTGATCCTATTCTTCCTTACTGGGAGGGACCTCCCAACCGGGGCCTCCAGCCACCCCTGTTGGTGATCTCTGGCTGACAGAGATTTGAAAATTCCCTGGGACAGATGTCCCAGAGAAAGGGCAGGCCACCATCTTTGCTTCTGCAGTGGAGCCGTCCTTGCTAACTTCGGGCTAACAAAGAAGCAGAGACCCTAAGTGCCTTCTCCACACCTCCAACAAACTACAGCCAACCCAAGGAGAAGATGCCAGTTTGTCTCTGAGGGGTCCGACACACCCTCCATTGCTTGTCACCACACAGGAAACCCCTGGATTGGGCTTACAGCACAAAAACTCTATCCTGGGCTAACTGTACTGAGCTATTGCTGACTCACATTTCTCTGGTGTGGAGCCCCCAGGAGACAAGCAAAGTGGTGAATTGGCAAGATAGCTGATGTGGAGCCTAGAGGTTTTGTTGCAGGAGTATCTGTAGTAGAGCATGGCCAGGCATGGCCACCCCTTTAAGCTCAACATGCCCCATAAGAGACTTTAGCACTATGGGAACTATCAGACCTGATCACTGCAGGGCAGTCTTGCACATCAGACGGGGCTGGTCAGACCTGAGCACTCCTTGGTCTGCTGTCCTCTCCCAGGGCCCCAGCCTGGCCACACCTGCTTACAGGGCAGTCTTGCGTGCTCTGGGGCCCACACCATAGCTTCTGTGCTGGTGGATCATGACTGACTTGTGGAGAGCTCCAGTGAGGCGGATCCTATGGCCGTGCACCAGCCTGCATGTTAACTCCCCATAATATAGCTTCCCTCAAGCCCACAGCAACTCCCCACATCACTCTGCGGGCACCTGTCTACATGGGTGGGTTTTGCTTTACTTGCCCTGCCAGCATGTGGGAGTGCAATAGGCCCCCAACCCCTGCCGATTACTGTTGGAGATGGAGCCTTGGTGGCCACAGAGCCAGCAAGTCTTGCCTCACCAGCGAACAGTGAACAGGGGATCTGCCCATACCGTGAGTGATCACTCCTGCTTGTGGGGCACAGAGAAGGCACCCAGATCTGAGCCAGCCAGAACTCTGCCCCAAGCCAACATTACCTCCGAAGTAACAGCCTACACAGTCTCCAGCAGTGGCCCCCTGCTCCCTGCTCCCCACAGCTGCTTTGCCTCTGCTGCAGTGGTGAATGCCCACAGGGAGGCAGGCACCTCTGCATCCACTAGCACTTGGCTGTAGCTGCTGCACCTTGATCCCCCCAGTACAGTAGACTCCAAACATCAAGGAGCCAGAGAACAAAGTTGGGGCCCAATACAAGTCCCCCAGAGATACAGCATGCAGTCCAGGGGTTGGGAGCTGAACATTGGCCCCCTAGTATCTTCCAGAAACGAAGCCAGATGGATGAATCCACCTTATACCACAATCAAACCCCCAAGGTCATCAAATAGGATAAAAGAAAAAAAACATCCAAAGGTCAGCAACCTCAAAAGTTGAAGGTAGGTAAGCCCACAAAGATGAGAAAGAATCAGTGCAAGAATGCTGAAAACTCAAAAAACCAGAGTACCTTCTTTCTTCCAAATGACTGCATCACCTGTCCAGCAAGGGTTTGGAACCAGGCTGAGGCTAAGATGGCTGAAATGACAGATGTATAGGAAAGAAGTTCACTGAGCTACAGGGGTACATTGTAACCCAATGCAAGGAAGTTAGAAATCATGATAAAATATCATAGGAGCTGACAGACAAAATAGCCAGTATAGAGAAGAATGTAACTGACCTGATAGAGCTGCAAAACACACTACAAGAATTTCATAATGCAATCACAAGTATTAATTGCAGAATAGACCAAGCAGAAGAAAGAATCTCAGAGCTTGAGGACTGCCTTTCTGAAGTAAGACGAGCAGATAAGAATATAGAAAAAAAGAATGAAAACGAATGAACAAAAACCTCCAAGAAATATGGGATTATGTAAAGAGACTGAATCTACGACTGCTTGGTGTACCTGAAAGAGATGGGAAGAATGGAATCAAATTGGAAAACATATTTCAGGATGTACTCCATGAGAAATTCCCCAACCTAACTACAGAGGCCAACATTCAAATTCAGCAAGTGCAGACCACCCCAGTAAGATACTCCACGAGAAGTTCATCCCTAACACACATAATCTTCAGCTTCTCTATAGTCAAAATGAAAGAAAAAATGTTAAAGGCAGCTGGAGAGAAAGGCCAGGTCACCTGCAAAGTGAAGCCCATCAGACTAACAGCAAAGGTCTCAGCAGAAACCCTAGAAGCCAGAAGAGATTAGGGGCCAATATTCAACATTCTTAAAGAAAAGAAATTCCAACACAGAATTTCACATCCAGCCAAACTAAGCTTCATAAGCAAAGGAAAAATAAGATCCCTTTCAGACAAGCAAATGCTGAGGGAATTTGTTACCACCAGATCTGCCTTACAAGAGCTCCTGAAGGAAGCCCTAAATATGGAAATGAAAGACTGTTACTAGCCACTACAACAGCACATTAAAGTACACAGACCAGTGACACTATAAAGCAATCACATAACCAAGCCTACAAAATAACCAGCTAACATCATGATGACAGGATCAAATCCACACAAATCAATACTAACCTTAAATGTAAATGGGCTAAGTGCCCCAATTAAAAGACACAGAGTGGCAAGCCAGATAAAGAACCAAGACCCATTGGTATGCTATCTTCAAGACACCCATCACACATGCAATGACAGACATAGACTCAACATAAGGGGATGGAGAAAAATCTACCAAGCAAATGGAAGACAGAAAAAAGCAGGTGATGCAATCCTAGTTTCTGACAAAACAGACTTTAAACCAACAGAGATAATAAAAGACAAAGAAGGACATTACTTAATGGTAAAGGGTTCAATTCAACAAGAAGATCTAACTATCCTAAACGTATATGCACCCAACACAGGAGCACCCAGATTCACAAAGCAAGCTCTTAGAGGCCTTCAAAGACACGTAGACTTCCACACAATAATAGTAGGAGACTTACTGACAGTATTAGACAGATCATCGAAGCAGAAAATTAACAAAGATATTTAGGACCTGAACTCTGCATTGGATCAAATGGACCTGATAGACATCTACAGAACTCTCTACTGCAAACAAAAGAATATACATTCTTCTCATCATCACATGGCACATACTCTAAAATTGATCACACAATTGGAAGTAAAACACTCCTCAGCAAATGCAGAACAACTGAAATAATAAACAGTCTCTTGGACCACAGTGCAATCAACTTAGAAATCAAGACTAAGAAATTCACTCAAAACGATACAATTACATGGAAATGGTAATTGTATTACAGTTCCATGAAAGACTCTCCTGAAAGATTTTAGGTTAAATAATGAAATTGAGGCAGAAATCAAGAAGTTCTTTGAAACTAATTAAAACAAAGATATAACATACCAGAATTTCTGAGACACAGCTAAAGTAGCGTTAAGGGAGAAATTTATAGCACTAAATGCCCACATCAAAAAATTAGAAAGATCTTGAGTTAACAACCTAACATCACAACCAAAAGAACTAGAGAATCAAGAGCAAACAAATCCCAAAGCTAGAAGAAGACAAGAAATAACCAAAATCAGAGCTGAACTGAAGGAGATAGAGACACGAAAAACCATTCAAAAGATCACTGAATCCAGGAGCTGATTTTTTGAAAAAAATTAATAAAATCAATAGACCACCAGCCAGACTAATGAAGAAGAAAAGAGAGAAGATTCAAATAAATACAACCAGAAACGGCAAGGGGGATATTACCACTGACCCCCCACGGAAATACAAAAAACTATCAGAGAATATTATGAACAACTGTATGCACATAAACTAGAAACCCTAGAAGAAATGGATACATTCCTGACACATACACACTCCTAGGACTGAACCAGGAAGAAATTGAATTCCTGAACGGACCAATAGTGAGCTCTGAAATGCAGGCAGTAATAGCCTAGCAACCGAAAAAAGCCCAGGACCAGGGGATTCACAGCTGAATTCTATCAGATGTACAAAGAAGAGTTGGTACCATTCTTACTGAAACTATTCCAAAAATTGAGGAGGAGGTACTCTGCCCTAACTCATTCTATGAGGCCAGCATCATCCTGACACCAAAATCTGGCAGAGATACAACAACAACAACAACAACAACAAAATCTTCAGGCCAATATCCTTGATGAACATCGATGCAAAAATCCTCAACAAAATACTGGCAAACTGAGTCCAACAGCACATCAAAAGGCTTATGCAAGACAATAAAGTAGGCTTTATACCTGGGATGCAAGGTTGGTTCAACATATGCAGATCAATAAATTTGATTAATCACATAAACAGAACTCAAGACAAAACCACATGATTATCTCAATAGATGCAGAAAAGGCTTTCAATAAAATTCGACATCCATTCATGTTAAAAATTCTCAATAAACTAGGTGTTGAAGGAACATACCTCAAAATAATAAGACCCATATATGACAAACCCACAGCCAGGATCATACTGAATGGGCAAAAGCTGGAAGCACTCCCCTTGAAAACAGGCAACAAGACAAGGATGACCTCTCTCACTACTCCTATTCAGTATAGTATTGTAAGTTCTAGCCAGGGCAATCAGGCAAGAGAAAGAAATAAAGGGCATCCAAATAGGAAGAGAGGAAGTCAACCTATTCCTATTTGCAGATAACATGCTCCCATATCTAGAAAAGGCCATCGTCTCAGCCCAAAAGCTTCTTAAGCTGATAAGCAACTTTTGCAAAGTCTCGGGATACAAAATCAATGTGCAAAAATCACTAGCATTCCTATACACCAACAACAGTCAAGCCAAGAGCCAAATCAGGAATGAACTCCCATTCACAATTGCACACAAAGAATAAAGTATCTAGGAATACAGCTAACTAGGGAAGTGAAAGAAAAAAAAAAGAACTACAAATAAAAAAGGAGAACTGCTCAAATAAATCAGAGATAACACAACCGTTCCACGCTCATGGCTAGGAAGCATCAATATCATTAAAATGATCATACTGCCCAAAGCAAATTATATTAATAGATTCAATGCTATGCCTATTAAACTAACACTGACATTCCTCACAGAACTAGAAAAAATATTTTAGAATTCACATGGAACCAAAAAATAGCCAAGGCAATCCTAAGCAGAATGAACAAAGTTGGAGGCAAACCATGCTACAGGGCTACAGTAACCAAAACCTCATGGTACTGATACAAAAACAGGGACATAGACCAATAGAGCAGACTAGAGAAGCCAGAAATAAGAACATATATCTACAATTATATGATCTTTGACAAACGTGACAAAAACAAGCAATGGAGGAAAGGATCCCTGTTCAACAAATTATGCTGGCATAACTGGCTAGCCATATGCAGAAGGTTAAATCTTGACTCTTTCCTTACATCATATAGAAAAATTAACTCAAGATAGATTGAAGACTTAAATGTAAAACCCAAAACTATAAAACCTTGGAAGACAACCTAGGCAATACCATTCAGGTACGAGCAAATATTTCATGAAAAAGATGCCAAAAGCAATTGCAACAAAAGCTTCTGCACAACAAAAGAAACTTGGTAGAGTAGACAGACAACCTACGGAATAGGAGAAAAGTTTTGCAAACCATGCATCTGAGAAAAGTCTAGTATCCAGCATCTATAAGGAACTTAAATAAATGTATAAAAGAAAAACAAACCCCATTAAAAAGTGGACAAAGGATGTTAACAGACACTTTTCAATAGAAGACATACATGTAGCCAATAATCATATAAAAAAAGCTCAACATCACTGATCATTAGAGAAATGCAAATCAAAATGATAAGGAGATACCATCTCACGTCAGACAGAATGGCTATTATTAAAATGTCAAAAAATAACAGATGCTGTCAAGGGTGTGGAGAAAAAGTATGCTTGTACACTGTTGGTGGAAGTATAAATTAGTTCAGCCATTGTGGAAGACAGTGTGGCGATTCCTCAAAGCCCTAAAGACAGAAATACCATTTGACTCAGCAATCCCATTACTGGGTATATACCCGAAGGAATAGAAATTGTTCAATTATAAAGACACATGCACAGGTATGTTCATTGCAACACTATTCACAATAGTAAAGACATGGAATCAACCTAAATGCCCATCAATTATAGACTGGATAAAAGAAAATATGGTATATATATGCAGCATGGAATAATATGCAGCCATAAAAAAGAAAAAGGTCATGTCCTTTGCAGGGACATGGATGGAGCTGGAGGCCATTATCCTTAGCAAACTAATGCAGGGACAGAAAACCAAATACTGCATGTTCTCACTTGTAAGTGGGGGCTAAATGATGAGAACACATGGATACAGAGAGGAACAACACACATTGGGACCTCTCAGGGGGTGGAGGGTGGGTGGATGGAGAGGATCAGGAAAAATATCTAATGGGTGTTAGGCTCAATATCTGGGTGATGAAATAATCTGTAGAAAATACCCATGACACAGTTTACCTATGTAACAAACCTGCACATGTACCCCCGAACTTAAAAAAAAATACGCTGGAAGCTACACATCACATTCAGGATAGGACTACCCCTAGGGAAGTGGGAAGGTGAATGGAAGTGGAGGGAAGGTCAAGGAAACCTCAATTATTTTTTCGGTAAAGTTTTCATTCCTTAAAAGAAAGACAAAGTAAATATACCTAATGTTAACAACATTGAAATCTGAGTAGTGGAAACACTGGTGTTTATTATATTTAATGCCAGGGACATTGTAGGTACTCAATTAATATTATTTGTTGAATGAGTATGCTTTTCTGTTTTGAAAGTTTCTCCAACAAACATACACAATTCTCAAATTAACAGAAAGTGCTACAAGAGCAAAGAAAAGGGAATGAAGTGAGGTGGGGAAGGCTTGAGAAATCCTTGTGGAAAGAATGATTTCTGATCTATATAGATCTATACCACCATACATGGGGTGCAAGTAAAAGACATAGTTCTACCTCCATCTTACCTTAAAGCGCTAAGGTTCTGGGTGAGTATCCAGAAAATGATCTTGAACGTTTAGTCCTTTTAAGTAACTACCGGATCCTCAATTTTCTCTTCCAACAGACACTGGGTGGTGCTAGTGTCCAAAAATTCCTCCCTATCACGGATTTATTACTTCAATCCACATACATCTCCACAACCAATGTGTCTTGTGGGCCAAAGTGCTAGGGATTGGGGATATAAAGGTGAATAGCAATAGCCTCAGTTGTTCTGTGATTATAAACTGACTGCTATCGTGTTCTGTGGCCGAGAAAGCTGCAAATGTGACTTTTACATTTCACAGGAGAGCACTACTGTCACAGAAATGTCCAGTTGTAGGGGTGAATGGCCCTGAACTACCCACCCTCACCATGAGCACTCGTACTCCACGACGTGGCCAAGGATTAGAGCAGACAACACCGAGCCCCACTTCCAACCTACTGTTAGGTTGTCCTTAGGCCCCAATGGCTATAAAAAGCCTAGAGAGCCTATATACCGGTCATTCAGCTTGGACCTCTGTGTTACAGATGTTCTAAGCTCACTGGGCAAAATGTGTCTGCTTATTGCAGAGGCTTCTGTTATTGTGAAAGAGTGAGTGTACTTTGTTTTTTTTTTTTAAAGGTACTCAAATGTCAACTTTATTGTTTCTATATAAACACCTTTTTGTACTGAAAACTGTAAAAATAACAAAGTTTGCTGTGATTGCAGTTCAAATTTTTGAAAGCCAGAAAATCTAATTATGCTATAGCCAAACTACCTAATGCTTTCTTTATCCACAAGTAACTTTGCTTCAATTTCTTGATGTTGGGTTTCATCTCACTGACTTTGGGCTTCTAAGACACATGGGAATACTTATATCGTCTTGGATTCTTTGGGTCAAATCAAACAGTAGAGCTAAAGTTATTCAAATACATTCAGATTACACAGATCCCTTATGAATTACTAGTATCATAGTAGGAAGAAAAAGATACAAGAAGAAAAATACATCCTAGAACTCATTATCAAAATTATTGGTGTATAGTCTGTTCTAGCATAGATTAGCTTTCTCAACCTGCTATATAAAATTACCAGCAAGAAAAAAAGGTGCAAGAATAAGATTTATGGCTGAAGTGGCTTGGTGTCTTGATTCTCTATTCTAGCATTCTCAGAAGGATCCCATCCGTTAGACACGCAGAAACTGCAGGGACATTTGAATGGTCTTGATTCCTTCTTAACTCCCTTAGGCTCCTCGTTTGTTGGTCTTCTTTCATGCATACGAACTCTGCCGAGTAACATGTATCTCGATCTTGCCATCTTTTCTCTCTGCACAGACAGCAATGTTCTTACTCCTCTCCTGCTGTAAAGCCACTCATCTTCGATTTCCCTGAGGACTTCTGCTCCTACAGACTCTCGACGGAGTAAAGCTTCCGATAGAGGGGAAACAGATTCGCTACTAGTGTTGATAGTCAAGTTACTAAGGTTCTTTATCAACGTCTCGGAGCAGATTTGAGAGGCCCCTGAATCGTCCCGGGAATTTTCTTCGGTGAGCATTTGTGGAGACTCTGGGATGTAGGTTGGATTAAACTTCTGTGATGGGTCCATCGGCGTCTTGACACAACACTAAGCTTCTCCTGGATCTTTGAAACGTAGCAGAAACTGATGACGGAGCCTCAAATTGCTACAAGGTAGCCCGGAAAGAGCAAGAGTGAGTGTACTTCGGATGAAGGGAATGTGGACCCTCAGGACTAAAGCAGTGGGAGAGGCCTGGGAGGTGGGGCCTGGGGAGGGCGAGGTCTGCTCTGAAGTCACCAAGCTCCTGATCTTAGAAGAGATGGTGGGCGCAGGCTCTGGAGGCTCAAGCGGAGGAGGGGAAGGAGGCGAGTCCGGAAACCCTCGGCCAATCAGAGAGGGCTGGGGCGGCGCCTGCTAGAAGGCTTAGCACTGCAGGGCTCTGGGCGGGAAGGCTAACCTGGTGCGGAGCCAGCCTGGGTCTCAGCCCCGCGTACGGCCTTTCACGAGTCTTCAAGCCTTCAGGTGAGTACCTGCGGCCTCGCAGGAGCCAGAGGACCATGGGGACGGGAAGGCGTGGGGGTCGCGAGGCGGGGGATGCCGCGCCTTCGGGAGCCAGAGGGGCTGGGGTTGGGGCTGGTGCTTGGTGTCTGCGCCGCCGCCAGGCCCGGCGAGTCCGAGCCTTTGTCTTTCTGGGGCGCCGCCTTCTGCGAGCGATGCCGAGCCCTCCCGGGGGCCGGTCCCTGGAAAGAAGGCCCCGGGGAGTCGGGGTGGGAGGCGGTGGTTGGAGGGGTAGGGGACCCTTAAAGCGGCCAGTCCGCGGTAGCTGCAGGTCAGAGGCTTCGAGGATGAAGAGTTTGGGGGCCGCCCGGAATGGGCCTTGTGGGGCTGGGCCCTGGTTCCTTTCCCTCCCGTGGCCGTTAGACTGGGCGTCTAACAACGCTAATAGTTATTTGAAAAAGTATGCAAACTGCTCCTGACAGACTGGCCTATGCGCCCGGCCCTGCTATTATTTATTGGTTAGTTCCAATTTCCCAGCTCCGAGCTTGGCGTCTGATCGCTTGGCAGAGGAGGGTCTTAGGGTAACCTCGACAGAATGGAGGCATGTTCGACACTTCTGACTGCTTGGGGGCCTCTGCATTCTACGCCAGGGACTAGACGAAGTGTCTTACTCCACCAGGGTGGGGCCGGGCTTGCTCATGAAAGC
The DNA here is from genome assembly GCF_000001405.40 of Homo sapiens. NCBI lineage: Eukaryota > Metazoa > Chordata > Mammalia > Primates > Hominidae > Homo > Homo sapiens. The sequence continues at coordinate 103,963,406 of NC_000023.11, forward strand.
TCTACCTGGTATATCCTATTGTCTCTTCTGAACAAACTCGAGACTTTCACAGGGCACCAGGCATTTCGTCAGGTCCACAGCTACGCACGTCTGAGCCTCATCTCCTCCCTCTCTGCAGTGAAAACGTGAAAGAAGACCCACTTCTATTTGGTTTATTCCGTTCTGCTGAAGTCCTGGGTCTGATCCTAGTTAGCTGTCCCTTCTTACAGCGTTTACAAACCAGTGCCACAAGGAGCTATTATGAGACGTGTATTGTAGTGCCTTAATGTACTGTCGTCTTTGGGGATTTAAAATAGATAGAAATTAATACAACTTATCTCATTCTTTTTTTGTGTGCTGCTCCCCATCTCCCAAGAAAAATGGCAAAACCAAAAGTAAATAGAAAGTGAAGATGCTCAAATGGTGCTATGTTCTGTTTCAAAATAATTACCTGGTTAAAACCAGTCTTTATTTTTTCTTCTATCCCTGTCTGGTCTTGTGCTTCTATCACCTCCATTTTATCCTTGCTGTGATTTTAAGAGTCAGACAAATGGCTCTGTGTTTCTAGAGCATCTTGGTTTCTGGTGCGTTATGATCCAATGACATTTACTGCCTATCAGAAACGGCAAATGATGTGGAGTTGAAATTATTCTAACAAAAATATAACTTTTCTAATATCTGTTGCTGTTTTTCTGTTGAAAATGAGCAGGTAGAATATACATTGATAGGAAATGTGAAAATTTTTGCTTGTGATCCCTTAGTCCGAAGATAGTTCTGCCAGGTAAGTTTTCTTAAAAATGTTTTTTTCTGTCCTGGCGCGGTGGCTCACGCCTGCAATCCCAGCACTTTGGGAGGCCGAGGCGGGCAGATCACTTGAGGCCAGGAGTTCCAGACCAGCCTGGCCAACATGGTAAGACCCCCGTCTCTACTGAAAATACAAAAATTAGCCGGGCATAGTGGCGTGTGCCTGTAATCCCAGTTTCTTGAGATGCTGAGGCAGAGGAATTGCTTGAACCCAGGAGGCGGAGGTTGCAGTGAGCCGGGATTGCGCCACTGCACTCCAGCCTGGGCGACAGAGCAAGACGCTGTTTCAAAAAAAGAAAAAAGTTTTTTCTTTTCAGGCTTTCTTCTAGTCAAGATGAGTGATAAACCAGACTTGTCGGAAGTGGAGAAGTTTGACAGGTCAAAACTGAAGAAAACTAATACTGAAGAAAAAAATACTCTTCCCTCAAAGGAAAGTAAGTCATGTGGGGTTCTACTGGAAACAAACAATAGAGGAAGTTAATAGGTTCAGTAAATAAACCTATCTTCTAGTAATTTTTTTTACACAAAGTAAGCAATAATTAGAGTACCATGGTATTTAATGCAACAGTTAAAACTATCAAATAGTTTTCTTCTGGTTCTCACATGATGGGCCCAGTAGTGATGGGGGAATAAAAAACTAGTTTTTTGTTGGAAAATTATTAAAAACCACATTAAAACCAATCTTGGAATATTGGATGTAGCACTAAAAAACACTTAGTTTTTGTCTACTTTTGGGTATTTGGCATTTTTCTACATTTAAAAATTTGAGTCCATAATATTATCCCTAACGAACCCTGTAGACTCTGCAGTTTTGACCTTCTATATCTGATGAAAAGATAAAGTGAGAACAAATTTAGATCTTAGTATGCTTAAAGCTCTCAGATTCAAGGGATTGATTGGTTCTGCCCTCTGGAGTTATAGCCTGCTGGAGAAACTCTAAGCATATTCACAAAAGCCAAGGGGCACCTTTTGTTATGTCAGTTTTATTTGAGAGTTGCAATATTAGTTAAAATTATCTGAAAGTGTATAATTTTCTAACTGTATAGTGATAGACAAATCTGAAGAAAGTACTTCACTTACTCCTCAGTCTTGAATAATCTGAAAAAATGACAACAGCATTTGGAAAAACAAACCCTACAGTTGATGTAGTTTCTAATTGGTAGTTCAGGTACTTAATGTGTGCACACATGCAGGCACACACCCCACTCTGAGTTTTGTGTTTAATGCCTTGGCATTCTAAATTTAAAGCATGTATGGCAGCCTTCAATGACTTACAAAGAGCTCTTTTGGAAGAAGCTGAACTTAGTCTTAGGAAAATACTTTTGTAATTTTTGGTTTCTTTTTCCCCAGCTATCCAGCAGGAGAAAGAGTGTGTTCAAACATCATAAAATGGGGATCTCCTCCAAAGAGCAGATTTCAGCATTGCCTGACAGTCTTGGTTTTAGGCTTGTTTTTTTGTAAACCTGTGTGTTTGTAGAGATTTCAGACATCTTCTGATTTCTTCTCACCTATATTCCCTGGTTAAGAGGTCAGGGGTAGTGAATGTTTCCTTAAGTTCCTTTTTAAACTTCCCATTGGTATGTAAATTCCAAATGGCAGATGCTGTCAATAACCTTGCCATGGATGACCTTTGTGTAGGTAGTCCTTGCACCTCATGCAGGATAAGCCAATTTTAACTTTCTACAATGGGTGCCTCAATAGTTTCATAATCTTCATGAAGTTGCATCCTTTGGCAGCTTCTTACAGTTTATTTTCACTTCCAATGTAGCAATAAAATAATAAATATAATCGTTGTTGTCTGACTCTGTGGTTCATTCTGGTGGTATTCTAAGGAATGAAAAGTACACAAAGGTACCTTTTACACTCAAACAAAATGGTTGAAGGAAAACTTTTAGCAGATTAGTCCTGGGGGAAAATACTAAATTCTGTCCAAGTCCAGTGGTTCCTGACTTGGGGATGGTAGGTGCTTTTTCTTTATAGTTGGAATCACAGAGTTAGAGAACCTTGGGAGAGAAGGTCATGTGGACTAACCTCCTTATCTCAGAATGAGGAAATGAAAACACAGGGTCTGAAGTAATCTGCTCAATTTGAATAAGGGTTGGAATTCAAGCTGGGTTCTCTTGCCTTCTGAAAGTCTTTTTCAGCTTAGTGGGAGTTAACATCCAAGACTGAAGTTGGATGGAGAAAGGGGCAGGAGGCACTTGCTACCAAACACCATATTAAGCACATCACATCTTCTAATGACCTGTAGCACTGAACTTCTGGTACGGTTTTTCTACTGAACAGAATTTGCTGTTTTATGAACTAAACATTTCTGGTGTTCATGGTGAGCATAAATGTTATGGTCTGAATTTTGTCACCTGTGACCTCCTGATTAATATGCTGAAGCCCTAATCCCTAGCATGATTGTATCTGGAGATAGGTTGTTTCAGAAGTAATTTACGTTATGAAGTGATAACAGTCAGGGCCTAATCTAATAGGACTGTGGCCTTATAAGGAGAGAGAGACCAGTCTCTAACATGCGAGGACACAGCAAGAAGGTGCCTGTCTACAAGCCAGGAAGAGAGCCCCCACCAGAATCTGACCCTGCTGGACGTCGACTTGAGATTTCTTGAATCTAGAACTGTGAGCAAGTAAATTTATGTTGTTTAAGTCATTCAGTCTACAGTATTTTGTTACAGCAGCCTGAGCTAATACAGTAAGGAATATGTATAATTGCATGCATTTTAATTCCTGCCTTTAAACAATACTTTTATCTCTTTTTAAAAATTATTATTTTATTTTTATGAGACAGGGTCTTGCTCTGTTGCCCACGCTGGAGTGCAGTGGTACAATCATGGCTCACTGCAGCCTTGACCTCCTGTGCTCAAGCAATCCTCCCACCTCAGCCTCCCTAGCACCTGGGACTACAGGCACGTGCCACCACAGCCAGCTAATATTTTTGATTATTAGTAGAGATCAGGTCTCGCTATGTTGTCCAGGCTGGTCTTGAACTCTTGGGCTCAAGCAATCTGTCTGCCTCAGCCTCCCAAAGTGCTGGGATTACAGGCATGAGCTACCATGCTAAGCCTACTTTAATCATGTGTATAAAAACAAATAACCTATAATCCCACCAATTAGAAGTATTAGCCATCCAGACTTGTGATCTATTAATGTACATATCTTCCTACAAAGACGGATTATACCATTCATACCTATTTTCAACCTCAAGTATTAACTTACCTCCTCCTTTCTCTTTCTTTCTTTCTTTCTTTCTTTCTTTCTTTCTTTCTTTCTTTCTTTCTCTTTCTTTCTTTCTTTTCTTTCTTTTCTTTCTTGAGATGGAGTCTCATTCTGTTGCCCAGGCTGGAGTGCAGTGCTGCAATCTCGGCTTACCATAACCTCTGCTTCCCGGGTTCAAGCTATTCTCTTGCCTCAGCCTCCCGAGTAGCTGGGACTACAGGTGTGTGCCACCATGCCTGGCTAATTTTTGTATTTTTAGTAGAGATGGAGTTTCACTATGCTGGCCGGGCTGGTCTCGAACTCCTGAGCTCGTGATCTGCCCTCCTCAGCCTCCCGAAGTGCTGGGATTATAGGCGTGAGCCACCATGCCCTGCCTTACCTCACCCTTTCTAAGGGCTCACATTCTTAAATAATCAGTGGGATTACATGAAGTGAAAGCTGTTTTCTCTGCTGCAGCTTAAAGTTTCAAAAGCAAAACAGTAGGTAGGTCAACTTCAATCAAGTGCCAATGAGGTGACACAGTCACGGGGCTTAGTGTGTAGCCAGAGGATTTGAGCCTTGGAAGTAACCATGTTAGTCACCAGTACCTTATCTCCTGCCTGAGGCAATTGTCCAGTAAAGTCACTCAGCTCCTTGCAGTGATATGCTTCTTACATTGTGCCCAAACGTGCCTCCCTGTAGCTTCTATTCAATAGTCCTGGGATTATGTGCTGGAGGCCTAGAGACAGTAGTTAATCCATCCTCCAGAATTTGAAGTCAGCTGTTGTGTCCTGTCCCTCTACCTCCAAGTCTTCTGCAACTGACACTTCTCAGATCCTTCAGACCCAAGTTACACAGATGGGAAACCATCCTGGTTGCAGATATGCTCAGATTTGCTCATTACCGGGTCTGTGAATCCTGGTTCAATCATCCAACACAGTTGCTCCCCTTTCTGTGTTGTCATTTGCAAATTTGATAAAGATGCTATTCATCTATGATAGATTCAGCAACCTCTTCATTTGTACATTAATGCAGCTCAAAGGAAAGCATGAATGTTGTCAGGTGACCTAGGATTGAACAATAACTCCTAGTTAGTTGCATCTGGTAGCCATCCTTTTCATTAAAGTCTTGATTTGTACCCTGGGTAGTGTAAGTGTTAAACTGAGTGGGAGCAGATTAGAAGTGCATGGCGGGAGGTGAAAGACATGTAATTACTAAGTGAATACTCATACAGGAATGAGATGGGAAAAACTGCAGTTGCTCATCTGCAGTAGTTTTGCCCCACGTTTCTCAAGTATTTAATGTTGGGCTACTCTTTTAGTCACTAGCTTTACTTGTTTTTTGAATCAGGGGTATATATTTTTTTTTTCCAAATAAGCAAGGATTGAGATTTATGTCCCTGAATCCATCTATTATCTGCAAAACTGGCAGTACCAGGGCTTTGTTATAGCAGTTGTATTTATAGGGAAAGGAAAAGGCTGGAGTTAAATGATTGTCTTCTTTTATGCATTAACATCCCTTGAAAATCACTGGTCAGTGGCTTTACACTTTTATTCTGTCAGTGTACATAGGCAGAGATGACTTTAATTACTAAGAACAGAAAATGAAATATCAGAAAGAAAAAATATACTGAAAGTTAAAAGAGAAAAATCAGCCAAATAAAATTTCATGCCTAATTCATCTCTGCAAAGAATAAAAAAAGTCTCATTTAGTATTACGACTTACAATTCCCATGAAACTCTGCAGGCCAGTGAGTTTTATAAACACTCCTAGAATTTAACCAATGCATGTTCATACCTAATGAGAATGCCTTGCCTTTGGAGTCTTTTTAAATTTTTTTTTTAAATTTACATTAAGTTCTGGGATACATGTGCTGAACATGCAGGTGTGTTATACAGGTATTCATGTGCTATGGTGGTTTGCTGCACATATCAACCCATCATCTAGGTTTTAAGCTCTGCATGCATTCAGTATTTATTGTAATGCTCTCCCTCCCCTTTGCCCCTAACCCCTGACAGGCCCAGGTGGGTGATGTTCCCCTCCCTGTGTCCACGTGTTCTCATTGTTCAGTTCCCACTTATGAATGAGAACATGTGGCATTCGGTTTTTTGTTCCTGTGTTAGTTTGCTGAAGATAATGGTTTTCAGCTTCATCCATGTCCCTGCAAAGGACATGAACTCATTCTTTTTATATGGCTGCATAGTATTCCATGGTGTATATGTGGCACATTATCTTTATCCAGTCTATCATTGATGGGCATTTGCATTGGATCCAAGTCTTTGCTATTGTAAATAATGCTGCAATAAACATACGTATGCATGTGTCTTTACAGTAGAATGATTTATAATCCTTTAGGTATATATCCAGTAATGGGATTGCTGGGTCAAATGGTATTTCTGGTTCTATATCGTTGAGGAATGGCCACACTGTCTTCCACAATGGTCGAATTAATTTACACTCCAACCAACAGTGTAAATGTGTTCCTATTTCTCTGCATCCTCTCCAGCATCTGTTGTTTCCAGACTTTTAGTGATCACCATTCTAACAGGCGTGAGATGGTATCACATTGTGGTTTTGATTTGCATTTCTCTAATGAGCAGTCATGATGAGCTTTTATTTTCATATGTTTGTTGGCCACATAAATGTCTTCTTTTGAGAAGTGTCTGTTCATATCCTTTGCCCACTTTTTGATTTTGTATTTTTTTCTTGTAAATTTGTTTAAGTTTCTTGTAGATTCTGGATATTAGCCCTTTGTCAGATGGAAAGATTGCAAAAATTTTCTCCCATTCTGTAGGTTGCCTGTTCACTCTGATGATATTTTCTTTTCTGGGCAGAAGCTTAAATGTGTAGAAATATGTTTGATTCTTGCCTTGGTAATCTTCTACCTGTTTGATCTTGGGCAAGTGACAATCTTTTGTGGTTCAGTTTCTTCATCCACAAAACGGAGGAAATAACACTACTTCACAGAGATCTTGTGAAAGGCAATTAAAGTGTTCCCTGTAAAGCACTTAGAACAATGCCTGGAATAGTCGCCACTCAGTCCGTGGTGACTCTTTTTATTACTATAGCAATGCCTAGTTTAATTGACACCAACCAAAATGAGTGTCGGTTATATGGGTGGTAATGAAAGGGAGTGCAATTAACTGGCAAGGTCAGAAGTAGGGTAAGTTAATTCAATCTTCTGGTTAATAGGTGCCATGTGGAATCTACCTATGTTCTAGGGATTGTTATTTTCAGTAATAATAATTGCAATTAAGTCCTCAACTTTACCATTGAACTGAATATGTTGTTGTCCCCAGTCATATCAAATGGTGAAGAAACATCTCTAAAGAGCCAGGAAAAACTACTGACATAACTGTGTGGTCACTAATTAAAGGCAAAGATATTGATTAATGGAATAATGAAAATGTCTGATATATAACTGGATACTTTATGTGTGGAAACAACACTGAGATCTCTGCAGCAAAGTTTTGGTGCAGAAAGCTTGTATTAGGGATTTCCAGAGTTATAAAACCAATAGGATATCTATCTATCTATCTATCTATCTATCTATCTATCTATCTATCTATCATCTATCTATCTATCTAGATAGATAGACAGATAGATTTATTTTAAGAAATTGATTCATGTGATTATGGAGGCTGGCAAGTCCAAAATCTGCAGGATGGGCTGGCAGCCTGGAGTCCCAGGTAAAAGCTGAGATTACAGTTTAAGTCTAAAGACCATGAGGCTGAAGACCCACGGGAGAGCCGATATTGCAGTTCAAGTGTGAAGGCTGTTTGCTGCAGAATTTACTCTTGCTTGGGGGAAGTCAGTCTTTTTGTTCTATTCAGGCCATTATGGAGGGCAGTCTGTTGTACTCAGGTCCATTGATTTAAATGTTAATCCCAAACACACCTTCACAGAAACATTCAGAATAAAATTTGACCACATATCTAGATACTGTAACCCAACCAAGTCGGGTTACCTAAATCTCTATCCTTGTTTATTTGGGAAAAAAATCTCCCCCTGGTTGGAAAGACAAGACAAGGCATAAAATTGGCCATCACAGGGCTAAATGTGGGTTATCAAGTAATGACTGTATAATCCTAACCTGAAAACATTTCTCACTCCCTGATTCCCACCCTTTCTCTCACCAATTTGCAGCAGAATAAACATATGCTCCTCAACTTACAATGGAGTTCAGTCCGGTTAAACCTATCGTAAAGTCAAATAATTTTAAGTCGAACCATCCTAAGTTGGAGTCCGTCTGTATTGGACACAATTATGCAACGTGGAATGGCTACGCATGTGGTTTAGACATGTATTGAAACACAGAATTGAGCACGGGAATGGTTAAATTTCCTAACTGCTGCTTGAAAAAACTCCCGTGGTTTCAGGAGAAAATCAGGTTCCTTGTATACCTTTGCATGAAACCTAACTTGATGCTTTTGCTTTTATACCTCTGAACTGATCACATTGCCCTCAAGGAAAAATCAAGCTATGAAAAGACTTGCTCTAAAGGTGAGGCTCACCTCATCCTGTCTACCTAAGGTATCCATGCCTTGAAGGTGCCATCACTACAATATGAGATAGGATGGCAGAGGACAACGTTCAAGTGCTTGGGTTCTGGACTCAGACTGACGTGGATTTGAATCCCTGCTCTTCCATTTATCAGCTGTGTGATCATTGGACACATTACTTAGTTACTCTGTGTTTTGTCTGCAAAAAATTGAGGCTAAAATATGTACACCACAAAGGGCTATTAGGAGGAGTAAAGCTGATAAGCAAACCATGGAGGAAACACAATCTGACATTCACATGGGTTTAACACTGGGACTCAGACAGCTTTGTAGAGAAAGAATTTTTTTTAAAGTGCAGTACAGGAAAGGGGTCTGTGTCCAAGAGGTCCAGAAGGGTCGTGTGGACTAGCCACAGAATTCAGCAATGGTCTCATACGTTGTCAGGGGCCAGTCTCTTATCTAATGTAGGTTCATTCATTTATCTGTTCATTTAACAAAGATCTGAGAGCTACTACACTCACAACTTCCTGCATGATCTAGTTACCCTGGGAAGTACAGAGTCGTAAATTTGGACATATTTCAGAGTGAAAGGGATGCTATTAAGAATTACTAAGGGACAACAGGCGAAATCAGGACATATGGTCACTATGCTAGGGAAAATGTCTGGGATAAGGAAAAAAAGTAAATAGTCACCCTTTAAAGCTTTTTCTGTGCCCCCACTCATGTCCACACTCATTCCCCCCTATTCCAGAGTGTCAGTCTATGATGAAATAAGAAGAGTATTATATTCCGTCAAGAATTAGGACCAATCACATTTTGGAGAAGGCATTGTACTGAAGTAAATGTTTTTATTGTCTCATATTACCATAGTGGGTTAATTTTGTCAGACACATGTGGTTGAAAGTGAAAAAGCCCCACAACAATCAAATTGAAAAAAAAAAAAAAGGAAGAGTCATCCTACTTTTTCTTTCTTTTTTTTTTTTTTAGAAGGAGTCTCGCTCTGTCGCCAGGCTGGAGTGCAGCGACACGATTTCGGCTCACTGCAAACTTCGCTTCCCGAGTTCAAGCAGTTCTCCTGCCTCAGCCTCCCGAGTAGCTGGGACCTCAGGCACATCACCAAGCCAGGCTAAATTTGGTATTTTTAGTAAAGATGGGGTTTCGCCATGTTGGCCAGGATGGTCTCGATCTCTTGACCTCCTGATCCGCCCACCTCGGCCTCCCAAAGTGCTGGGATTACAGGCGTGAGCCACCACGCCCGGCACCTAGTTTTCTTAATTGGTCACTGTCATTTTCTTAAACTTGTGAACAAATGAGAACCTAAAAGAGCCAATCTTTCAAGATGGATCCCAGTGGCTAACTGAGCTTAAATTTAAAATAGAGCCAAGCTGCCACGTGTTGACTAGAGCTAACACGTGTACTACAAATTCCCCGAAAACCCACACCTCTATCTAACTTTGGAACTTTCAGAGCTCACCTGAAGCAACCAACCAGAGCTCACCTGTCGCTGCCAATAAGGGCTCAGCTGTATTGACCAACCAGAGCTCAACTGAGTCAACCAATCAGAACTAAGTTTGAATTGTTTATTTGCATAAATTGACTGTACTGGGAACCTCGATAGGAACTTTCTCTATAAAAGCCATATCCTCTCTTTGTTCTCTGGAACTGCACTTTTGTTTTACACTGAAGTCTGCACCTCCCTGGTTTGCAAACTGTACACAGGAATAGCCTCTTTCCTCCAAATTCCTTTACAAAGAATTTTTCTTCACAATATGATGCGAGAGGTAGAAGACATGCTTACAGCTGTGGATTCATATCCTGAAATCACCACGATTACAATAAAACGAAAAATCAAACAAAGAAATAAAAAGTAGACAAAAACCTCAAACTAATTTTCTCTTCAATTTACAAGGCTGAACAGCTAGGAGGAGACTTATTGATTCAGGACAGTTCACCTGCTCACATTTTGAGCCAATGGCTGAGGCCCAGGACTGGAGATACTTCATTAGTTTAGCCAGTGGAGAGTGGGGTTTGGATGCTCTCATTGGATACTTCTATCATAAGTGATGCATACTCATAGGGGTTAAGCTTTGCATTAAAAAAGATTGTAGACTGGGAAATAATATAATTAGACAAATGTGAATGACTTAGAGCAGTTATTTCAGTTTCTAGGAAGCTTAAAAAGGGTTCATTGATTTATTTGACTCAGCTATTTCTGCACTGTGGGTTTTTGTTATGTGTTTAAATGAATTCTATAACAGAGGTAATGTTGAAAAAAGATTGTATGAGGTCTGCTTGTTCCATTAGTAATGTTTGTCCCAGTTCGATCCTTCTGAATTTTTATTTATAGCAGTAAACTGTTTCCCTGTGTGTGCGTGTGTGTGTGTGTGTGTGGGTGGGTGTGTGTAATGTAATTTAATTACTAGTATTTCAGGTATGAGTTTTGTAACCACATTTATAAATGAGCTGCTCATATATATACATATACATATATATATATGTATATATATATATATATATATTTAGTATGCTTCCTTCAATGGGTATCAACATCATATTATATTTTCTTGAAATAAGTTTTGTCGGCTGGGCGCAGTAGCTCATGCCTGTAATCCCAGCTCCTTGGGAGGCCGAGGCAGGAGGATCGCTTGAGTCCAGGAGTTCTACACCAGTCTGGGGAAACATGATGAAACCACATCTCTACAAAAAAAAAAATATGAAAACTAGCCGGGCGTGGTGGTGCGCGCTTCTAGTCCCAGCTACTCGGGAAGCTGAGGCAGGGAAATCACTTGAACCCAGGAGGCAGAGGTTGCAGTGAGCTGAGATCGCACCACTGCACTCCAGCCTGGGCGACAGAGCGAGACTCTGTCTCAAAAAAAGAAAAAGTTTTCTCTCTTTAAACCTGGAACCATCTTACTAGCAATAAATGACCTGATCTTAAAAGTCTGACAGGAAACAGCATTGGAATTTGGGATGGTACCTTCTTGGTGATTGCTATTTCTTTAATTCTTCTTAATCGCTAAATCCTTGTTTGGTTCAGTTTCTGGGATTTATGTTTTACATTCATATATTTAATAAATGTTTCTGAATGTATTATCATAGATTCTTGAAGGGTATTTTTTAACTTCAAAATATTTCCAATTTCATGGATTCAATTTTTCTCCATAAGGAGGTTTCTTAGAGAATTGGGGTAACATTTTTTCACCCAACATCACTTATTCACCAACACTAACATTCAGAGTATTTTGGGGATCAAAATACTGTTAAGAAAACAATTTTAAATTTCGCACATGTTTAAGGATTTGTAATATTTTTACAAGCATCTCAATTTCTGTTTGTGTTGTGTGCTTGGAGACTGTGGTTTGGCCATCGTTCCTTATCCACATTCACTGAAGGTGTCGATCATAACTGAGGACAGGAGCCGAACAGCCAGGTCCCTTTAATGCCCAGGACCCTTCGGCAGCCATGTCAGGGTGTTCCTGCTCAAGCCGGGGTGGCTTAGCCCTTGATAACAGAAGATTCTGAGATGGGTGAGAAGTGGTCCACACGTGGCCACTGTCATTCCTCTGGCATAATGGACTTGGGCTCAGGAGGTCAAGCCCTCTTCAAGGAGCATGAGCTGAAATTGCTAAACTTTGGGAGTTTTCCGTGACACCCTTCAAAGTGCTCACGGTGTGGCATGGATCAGCTGGGGAGGGTTGATGTGGTTTTGCCCTGTGGGGTATCTATCTGTGTACTTTTGTCTGAGGGAGGCAACTGGGGCCACTTAGGCCGGCAGGTGCCCACTGTGATTGGTTGACATGATACCAAGCAACAGGATCATCCAGTCACCTTCAATGCAGGGAGGATGGCTGACAGGCTCCCTGGGTGACACTTCATGCAATCAGATGTCGAGTTGGACTGTGACATAGAGCCATGTGGCCACACTAAATTCCCCCCCACCCTTCCCCTGTCCACAACCGTCATTGTCTGTTCTTGCCATCCAGTGGCCACTGCCTCCACCATGGCTGAGGCTTTCTCTAAGACAACCTCTGAGGAAGACCAGAGCATCCAGGAGCCCAAAGAGGCCAACTCCATGACGGCCCAGAAGCAGAAGAAGTGAGGGCTTCGAGGCTCCCGTAGGCGCCATGCCAACAGCGGTGGAGATATCTTCGGGGACAGCTTTGCCGCCTATTTCCCCCGGGTGCTGAAGCAGGTTCACCAGGCCCTCAGCCTTTCCCAGGAGGCCGTGAGTGTCATGGATTCTATGGTTCGTGACATACTGGACCGCATCGCCACCGAGGCTGGTCACCTGGCCCACTACTCCAAGTGCGTGACCATCACCTCCCGGGACATTCGGATGGCCGTGTGCCTGCTGCTGCCGGGGAAGATGGGCAAGCTCGCTGAGTCTCAGGGCACGAATGCCACCCTCAGGTACACCAAAAGCAAGTGAGCTATCTCAGGAGCGCCCGAGCACCCGGGAAAGCCAAATGCTCTGTTCAGAACCACCACACGTGGCCCTAAAGACCAGTGGCCTGCCAAGGAGGGGACCCCACTGGAGATTGGGGTGGGTGGCACCGTTCTGGCTTGGGGAGCATGTGGCGTGTGGCCTTCTGCGGTTTTTCAAGCATTTTTCCCACAGTGCAAAACACTGTCAACTCCAATACATCTGTAGTGCAATATGCTCCAAGGAAAAGTAGGGGGTGTTTCCGTAATCGTGTTTCATGTCCTCAGTTTCCTAAATGGCCGTTTTTATCAGTTATCTTTCTAGGTTATCTTTGTGGTGATATTATCAATGTACTGATGTTTACCCTTTTCACTCTCATTCTCCTACAACTGGATGGTGGAATTTTCCAGAACTTCATTATGTGCGATATGGCAAGAGAGAAAGTGAATACGCTGATATAAGAAGCAAGGTAACCCTGCTAAAAGTGTTCAGCATCTTTCTCCCCATGAATCCATGTAAATAAGCAAACGAGGCACAGTTACAGTGTACATATAGCTAAATAAATTTTCAAGAATCCATTCGTTTTCCAGCTTCCCTGACTCTGAGATCACTATTGCAATTCATTCTCTTTTTGCACTGACAATAATCATTTCGTTTCTTTTTGAACAGAAACCTTCCTTCCTTCCAGATGTGTGTCAGTAGAATTACAGAGTGTCCACGGAAACAGCTCATGCCCTAGTGTACAGTGGTGCAGCCAATGAGTGACCTGAAGTCTATGAGCAACACTCATTGTCCCAATGTGGGACGAGTGACCGAAGCTGAACCCACAACAGCCTTCCTGTGATATTCCACGTGGTGGTTAAAGGCATGGCGATGTGATTCTTTACCTGATGTTTTTGTTTGCAGTGTTTGTAATCATGGTCTTTTAGGGATATGAATCCAAAGCTAAGATTAATATACGTTCCTTGACCCTAACATCAAGTTATACAGAGCATTGTCAGCCATTAGAAGAAGTCAGATAACGCTTATTTCCTCAAAAGATTGGCATATTAATATTCACGTTAATATTAATACAGGCTACCTTTCATTGTGCTCTCTTCTGGGTCCCAAGTCTTGGTATTTTTAGAATTTTTTTTTTCTATAAGTGTATTGCTGAATTTCAGAGCAGGTGCTGACTTACCCATTGCTTTCCTTTTCCATTGATTTCCAGTCGCCCGAGTATGTGGACAAGAGGACATACTCTGGGATTGCAACCCACAGGAATTTATTATGTTGTGCCTTGAAGCTCAATATGTGGCCATTTTTGTTAAATGTTTCCCGTAAATTTTGAAACATCTCATAAACAACCCTTCTCCTTCATATGTAGAAACCAGTAAAGGATGGCACTCTCAGTCAAACCACGAAGCAAAAGCTGGATAAATGACAAAAATCAAAATTTTCTTGAGCCCGTCAGAAGTGGGAAAGAACCACCCCAGAGGGACCCAACACATAGCCACATAGATTATTTCACCATTTAAAGAGGACCCCTTGGTCAAGAGGGAAAAGGGTTCGGGGCAGGATAGTAGCCAGAGCTTCCCTGAGTAGTGCAGATGGGAAGAGGGGAAGGTCACCTCCAGAGCTCCACTTGGGATCCATAGAGAAATGATATAGAACCAAGAAGTCCACTCACTGGGATTTGTTACTTTCTGTTTTTCCAGAATATTAGAAAAATATTATGAAAATAGTTGAAGAGAAATGTTATGAAAATAGTTGAAGCTGTACTTACTGCACAAGGAGACCAAGAAAAACTCCCACAAAATCAGCTGCAAGTAAATCCCTCTGGATGGTGCCGCCACATGTTCCTACAAGTCCAGAACAACCCTTGCCAAACCAAAGACACTTGGCAGAACCCTGTTCCTTTCTAGAGACAGAGCTGTATACCTGTTCCAAAACACCACATCTCACTCAGTGACTTATTTCTCATTATGCTAATTGTTTTGCTGTAAAGTGCCAATGTTTCTGTGAATTAAGACATACGAATAAATTTCTGAAGTTACCCTTGCATATGTGTGTAATTAGACAAGTCCTTTTGAGAAACCAGATCCATTGGGATATTTTACCCTGGAATATGTGTTTTCCCTTTGTAAATTCAGAAATCAAAGAGGAGGATTAGTAAAACAGGGTTAACAATGAAATCTGATTTGTTTGTGGGGAGTGAAGAATGAGGTGGCAAGGGGACTGATGTTGGTGAATTATAGGAAGAAAGAGGAAGGGGGTGGATTGATGCGAAGATCGGAAGAGGAAGCTCGCACATTTGATATAGCATTTCAGTGAGTGATTGAGCAGAAGGGAAACGTAGCGAGCAATCATGATGTCATGTTGCGACTTATAGGAAACACAAACTAAGGGAAAGAGCTTTGCTACCTAAACAACAAATAAGAAGTATCAATGTAGGGAAAATAGCATGAGTGGGATAAACATAGTCCAGTCAAACATTTTATCAGCTTTCCCTGTAAGCTGGAGTCCATTTGAAAACATAAGCAAGGACCCGAACGCAGCACAGAGAAAACTACATCAAAAAGTTTAAGGAACAATACCTATTCTAGGCTCCCTCGTAATGAAATCTCACTTGTTTAGATTTATCTGATTCTGCTCTTCTTCAGGATAGAATCTTTTGTTTTTGAAAATCTTCATGACTGGCCTCTACGTGTCATGGGGATCATGGAATGCTGTCCGATGGCGCAGCACAAGCTCCACTCGGATCCATGTCAGCCAGTGAGGCAACTGCAGCCGAGGGGCCACAGCCCAAAGTGTGATCAGGTCTCCCGGTCTGAACTAGGAAGAGTTAGTTGTCCAGGGATGTTCAATGGGAGTTGAAGGGGAAACCTGTGATTAGAGGGGTGTACTTCTTTGATTCCTCGATGGGTTGTATGATTTTAATGCTGTTGATGGAGGTGTATTCTATTAGTTTTCGAGGGCCGCTTCAAAAACATTCCAGGGACTGGCTAACTTAAACACTATTTATTTTTAATCTCACAGTTCTGGATACCAATTTTCACCTTTTGGTAAGGAGACCAATCCTGTTGGGTAGGGTCAAACCTCACAACTTCACCTTAACCAGATGGCCTGTGTAGAGACTCTCTCCGAATAAGGTCACATTCTAAAACACTAGGGGCCAGGACTTCTACCTGTGACTTTTAGGGAGACAGAACTCCATACATACTAGTACATATTCTGCATCCATTCCGCGGCACAAATTAACGTCCACACATAGAAAATATATTCATTTCATCACAACATCCCCAAAGTCTTAACTCACTCCAAAATCAGTTCTCCAGTATCTCACCTGATAATCTTCTATGTCTGGAATGGGTGAGTCTCCAGGTGTGACTCATGCTGAGGTGGGAATTCTCTCCACCACTGCACCTGCGAAGCTAGACGAGTTATCTGTTTCTGAAAGACAGTGTGGGACTGGTACCAGATAGGGCTTATCATACCAAAAGTAGGAAATCTGAAAAACTACTGGAGTTCGTGGACCTTAAGCACCTTTGAAACCTAGTGGGGGCAAATTCCATTAGATTCTAAGGATGGAAAAGATTCTACTTGGCCTCAATGCTCTGTCCTTCAGGCCCAGTGGGGTAACAGCTTTACACCCTAAGCCCTGGGCAGCGGGGTGGGGGATCTCCCCCCAGCCTGGGCTGCTGCAGCCCATCCCTCTGAAACCGAGGAAGTGGGACAAATGCCTGGAACTTGGGAGGTGACCTCTGTTTCTGGGACGAAGAGAGAGATGGCCCAGTCCCCTAGTAATGTGCCCCTGGTTCTTGGAGGCAGTGACGGCCATGCCAACCTCTGACCCAACTTTCTAGTCCTTCTTCACTGTCTCAAAAATGAAGAAACGGTCACAGCTGGGTACCTCAGTCAGTCCCTTTCTTGCCGGTACAGTCCAGGAACTCTAACAGCCTCCTTGCATTTCATCCCATCTTTTTCTGGTTCAGTCCATTCCGGCAACATTTTTTTGGTATAAAATTCTCAAAAATTTTTTGGCTTCCCATGGAATTCACATGAGTCCAGGCCATCAGGCAAGAAGTTGTCTAAAGATCTTTCTTGAATACCCATATCTCCCTTATCTCAATTCCTAACTTCTGCAGAGATGGTTGATTGGATCTGAGCCACATGTCTCTCCTCTTAGGCTAATGGTTTTCCGGGCACACCCTTGCACCTATTTCCAGAGCAAGGTGTCTGCATACTTTGAGTACCTTCTGAACCATCCAATGCTGGCTTCCTTTTCCTTAGTGCTTCCTTGGCTAATTTCTCTCTCTTCTCTCCCATTTAATATACAGATCTAGGAGAAACCAGATTAAATCCTAAAAACTTTTCTCAGTTTGCCAGTGTAGTGACCAAGGTTCCCCCTGCTCCTCTTAAGTTTCGCTGAAAACTGAAGTCACAAAAGGCAGATCCATAGGACATAAGGCATACCAACTTATACAACGTGTATCCCCGGGAGCCTTTAGTGTTAATAGCCAAAGACACATGGGAAATTATCTGTTTTTATGCCTTGGCTCAAAGGAATACAGACAGCCGTGTAGAAATATGATGGGACAAAAAGGCTATGATCTAATGCCAATAGACAGAGTGGGGGAAACCCGACAAGGCCTGTGTGTCTAGACTCCGCTTGGCCTGTCTGAGCACACAGTACTTCCTCCCGGATACGGGGCAGGACCCTCTCTGGAATGGCGATCTTGTGACTTCCTTTCAAACGAGATAGGTTAGATGATTTTTTCACAGACAGTTTTTACATGAAAATGTGGAAAATGTTACAATACATTTCTAGGTTTTGTGACTACCTTTAGAAAAAAGAGCTTCTGATTTCTTGGACCCACCTTCGGGAAGAGGGATTCTGGTCTTTATGTTTAGCCCCTGGGGTAGAATGGGACTGACAGACAGGAGGACCAAGAATGTCAGAGAAAATCTTTTTCATCTGAGACTACTTCTGAAGCCCTCATTTTGGGGTATTGTGCCCTGAGCTCCAACAATAGAAATCAGCTACATGTGCATGTTCATCACTTACAATTTCTACTTTCCTCAAAGACACTAGGAACACAATACAGCCCAAGCCTTTGCCACTGTAAAACTAGGATGGCCTTTCCTCATGCTTCCAATAACCTCTTCCTAGTCTCCATCTGAAAACACACCAGAAGCACCTTTAATACACATAGTTCTAGCAACATTTCGGTGGTCATGATATATGTATTCTCTAAGTCAGAGATCCTTTCTCTACAGCAAAGAAC
Source organism: Homo sapiens (assembly GCF_000001405.40). Lineage (NCBI taxonomy): Eukaryota > Metazoa > Chordata > Mammalia > Primates > Hominidae > Homo > Homo sapiens. The sequence goes on from NC_000023.11 coordinate 103,981,582, forward strand.
TCTTTCTTAACCCTCGTTTCAATGTCATTTGGTGTTCATATTTTCCCCCGCCATTTCCTAAAGGCACTCTAGGCTTCTTGTGTCGTGCATATCAAAACACTTCTGGCCTGTATGCATTACTTACTTCCAAGGCCTCTTCCAGTCTTTCGGATGTTCCTTATCACATCATCCCACTGCTTGGCAACAGAACCTCTAGTAGTTTGCTAGGGTCATTCTGACAAAGTACCACAAACCTGGTGGGATAAACAGCAGAAATTTATTGTCGTGGTTCGGCAGGCTGGAAGTCCAAATCAAAGCGTCAGCTGGGTTGGTTACTTCTGAGTAGTAAGAGGGAAGGATCTCTTCCAGGGATCTTTCCTTGGCTTGTAGGTGGCCCAGTTCTCGCCATGCCACTTCACATTTTCTTCCCTGAACACATGTCTCTGTGTCTGAATTTCCCCTTTTGGTATGCAAAATGCATACTAGTCATTTTGGATAGAGCGCACCCTAATGAATGTAATTTAACTTGAGTACCCCAGTAAAGGTCCTACCTGCAAGTAGGAGAGAGATGAGGGGTCAGGAGTCTAATAGTTACATTGGAGATAGAGGGATCTTAGCTTGCACACTCCTTATGGGAACCTAATGAACGACGATCTGTCACTGTCCCCATCACCCCCATATGGGAACATCTAGTTGCAGGAAAACAAGTTCAGGGCTCCCACTGATTCTACATTATGGTGAGTCGTAATATTATTTCATTACACATTACAATATAATAATAATAATAGAGATAAAGTGCACAATAAGTGTAATGCACTTGAGTCATCCCAAAACCATCCCCTCAATGACGTTCTGTGGAAAAATTGTCTTCCCTGAAACCGGTTATTGGTGCCAGAAAGGTTGGGGACCGCTGGTCTAGCTATCTCATGTTGGCAAACTGCAATCCCACGAATCATTTCTTATCTTAGCCTATGTCTGGGAATAGGGGCAATCTTTGGAATTACTTCTTCTCTGAAGAGGGTATGGCATCCAGTCGCTATTGAACTTCAGTACACTATTGAGAAGTCTAATTGTCAATGGCCAATAGATTGATCCTCTAAATTAACCCACTAAATTATGTTAAAAGGATTTTAGAGATTTGTCATTCTAACCGATTGATAAAAATGTTAAATATATAAAAAGATACATCATGGTGTGGCAGCTAGCCTTAAAACTTGGCTTGACAAAAGTGAAGAGCAAAAATCAGACCAAAACAAAGATAACCTCCTGTGTCTGCTCAAACTGCCCCATGTGGGAATAACAACAAAGGCCACTCCACCTTGTGACCTTCGAGTCCAAATTCTGCACTTTCGCCTCAACGCCGTGGGTTGCATTGCTAGTCAGGAAACCCGCCCTTCTTGGTTGGATATTGGTGTGACTTTTGGGGAGTATCTATTTCTTATTGACCCTTTTCCCTTCCTTGGATTGCTTTTGATTTCCTGTCTTCCTTCACCTGCGATGCGGGCACATGAGGCCCTTTGGCCTTCTTGTGGAGATAGCTGAGAATCTAAGATCCTAGAAAATTTGGTAGGACAAATATGTGGGTTGTATCCTGTGAAAGGCTAGCAAAACTTTCTTTTCTCTTTGAGCCGTCTGGGGTTTGGGGCAATTCTGGACCTTGTGAAATCTACTTTCCGCCCCTTTGAAGACACCTCAGGCATCCTTGGTTGTGTCATAATCTTGGTGAAACTTACTGGAACGATACCTTTACTTTACAGAAAACAAAACAAACAAGAAAAGGTCAAAACCCAGAAATATCAGCTGCTTGTCTTCTGCTGCTGCTTGTGGGCCATAGTGGCATCGGCCGCTTTCCGCTCCTTCGTGCTCAGGCCTTTGTCAGAGGTCGTCTCAGAGGAAGGCTTAACCATCTCAGAGGCAACTGCCAGTGGATGTGAGGAACAGACAATGATGGTTGACCACAGGCGGGAGGGCCTTTTATAGTCACCACATGGTTACGTCACAGGCCACCAACTCCACATCTGACTGAATGAAGTGCCAAGCAGGGAGCCTACCAGCAATCCTCCCGGCCTCAGAGGCAACTCGATGGTCCTGTTGCTTGGCAATCACAGTGGGTGTCTGTCGACATGCTCCCCGCCTCTCACCTGCCACGGAGCAGGTGCTCAACCCCGCCCACTCTCAACTAGGGCGAGCTCTGCATTCCACGCATTCTTCCACTCCTGTTCTGCGACCACTCCAGTTCCAAAAAAGCTCGGTGGTACTACGAATCCTCTCTAAATCATACTCCTCATCTGTTTATTCCTTATTTCTTCCTCCAGGAGCCCACTTTCTCTTGAGAAAGCTGCAGATCCTCGTTCAGCATGGTGCACCAGGGTTCCCAAAGACCTGATGTGTGAGGCTTCTTTGCCTTTTCATAGGTAAGGTGAGCACATAATTTCTTGTTGAATACATATGGGGGCAGCTTTCAGAGTAAATGCAGCACTATGAATCATCGGGCTGGGACAACAGGCAAAATCAGGACGCGTGGCCACCCTTCTAGGGGAAAGATCTGGGGATAGAATAAGGGCATCCTTTGGGGTTTGAAACACTAAAGTTCTTGGGTAATGAGACCAATTTACTTTTAATAGCTTTTTTTTTGTCTTCTCTTTGAAGTTCTGGTGACTTTATTTCCTGGAGGCAACTAGTGTGGCTAGGCTGCATTAACATGGGAAAATGACACAACATCGTGAGAACGTCTGTTTGGGTCTTAGGACTCATGTGAGCTAGTGGGACCAGACTCGACTGCAAGAGTGATTGAGGGCACGGGTTTGGGAGTCAGAGGAGATCTGGGTTCAGACCTCAGCTGTGCCTCTTACTGGCTGTATTGCCTTGCGCAAGTGGCTTGACTTCTCTGAATCTCAGTTTCCTCCTCTGTGGAATACAGATCTAGAAGGTGGTTGTCAAGATCCAGGGTGATGATGCAGATGGGGTGCCAGATACATAGTCTGCAACCAATGAATGTCGGCTGTACGTGGTTCCAATACCGAGATTCGTGTCCTCGGGCAATCACAGGTGGTGGGGGTGGGATCCAGTGCCAGACAGCTGTATGAACACGCTCTCCTGGCTACCTGGGCCCCATCTGTTTGCTTCGGGCTGACAGTGAGATAAGGGACAATGACTTTTCCCTCCTGAGCCACATGTTAGTGAAGCGGTGGAGATAATTCTGCTCTGAGTCCTGACGGGAAGTTGCTGGGGAGCAACTTTACAGTGCTCCTGGCTTGGGGCACTACCCACTCGGGGCTTTGTGGCAAGCTATTCCCCCTCACGGCCAAGGAACCTGGCTTCCCATACCACCTCCTTTCCTCCACCCACCGTCTCCCTATCTGAATCCTATTCACTTTTCAGGTCTTGGCTCAAATCCTGACTCCCCTGTGAAGATGTCCTGACCCTCCCAGCCTAGAGCCACTACTCCCTCCTTGAATCTCAGGATCTCCAACTGTGACATGGCCATACTATTTGCCACATCCCCACAGACGGATTGTGATGAGGAAGGAAAGAGAGAGTCCATGTAGCATGCTAGATGCGGTGTCTGGTGCAGGCCTGTGGTGAGTTCCCTGCCTCTTCCTCTTCCTCCCCTCTGACCCCCAGCATGCAGGCATGGCGGCCTTGATCACCTGCTGCCTTCTCTAGATAATCCTTGGGGATCATTCCTGTGCTAGTTGTCCCCTCAGTTGCAATGTCACAGACCATGGGGCCACATCTCATCCTTCCTCACCTTCCAGCATCCAGCACTACAATAAACACCATCGTAACCATTTTTCATTGGGCATCTTAGGGTACCATGTGGCAGGCACTCGGCTGTGTAGGTAATGCACACAAGTGTAGTCCTCACTCATTCCCCTCCTAGCTCTCTTCCAGGATGTGCAGGCATTGATTCTCCTTTGAGTTATATCAGACAGATTGTGTCAACCGCTACCAAGGTCGCATCATGAGTAAGTAGCCCTGACAGGCATCAAGTACTATGCTAGATTAAGTTTCTAATGAATGCCTGCGAAAGGGTGGTTGGCAGGAGGGACAGATGTAGAGCCCAGAGTACGACTGCCTGCCCCGTGCTTTTACCCGGCAGAGGCAGGCCTGCTTGAGAGAAAGCTGTACGCAATAAAGACATAGGATTCAGCGGGTCCTCGAGCTTAGGAAAGGGGATATAGTCGCTCCAGGACAGGGGGAGAAATGGAGAGGGGATGAGTCACGCTAAACCTCAAGGCAACTGTCCCAGGGAATTCCACAGTGGCTCCAGTATCCCCCAAAATAGTAGCTGATGACCTACCCACAGGCCATCCTCGAGATGAACTGTAGAACAAGCCCGGGTCAAGCGAGCCTCCTTGGAAGACATTTGTTAGCCTAGAAGATGTTGAATCCCTTGGGAGCCCACGATGGGCATTTCACTCCTACAGATCCGTGAGTGAGAACCAGGCCACAAGATCACCCATGTGACCTATGATGCAATGAGGAGACAGGCTCCACTGTGCTTAAGTGTCCCTTGCAAATAGAAGCCAGAGGAGCCGCACTCAGTGCTATTTATTCACCCTATGCCTAAGGTCATTGGGGAAGGTCCCAGACACCTTGTACTGGCATACTTGATGCCTTGGAGGGGCTGGCTGGAGGGCTGAGCTCAGCTGGGCCTCTGCACCTCTCCAAGGCCCCTCAGAGCATATCACTGTGGTGTCTCCAGCAGGAGAGGTGGGCTTCTTTCGTGGCAGCTCAGAGCTCTCAGACAGCCAGGCAGAGGCCATTCTAGTCCTCTGAAAGGTTACCTCTGGGACAGGCTAACGTCCACCATTCTCCATGTGTCAAAGCCATCACAGGCTTGTCGGGAGCCCAGAGGGAGGGGCAAACAGATGCGACCAATGGGCCAACGGGAAGAGCATTCAGGAATGAGCAGTCTTTCTGAGATGCGGCCTATTCAGCATACAATTCTTGAGATGCTGCTGGGTGGTACACATGGAGCATGTGCATAAAAGAAGAGGTGCTTTACTCTCTGGGTCAAAGCGGTAGGCTCTCTAATGGTTTTAGGTTGGACCTATCACTATAGGGTGACCTCTCCCATTTAGTGGATCCTCCTTCTCCATGCCGCAGTGATTGCCCTTAAGTGGCATGGAGTTTCTAACCATTATAGATGCTCTTTCTCCCTTCTGGGGCCCTGGCCATACATAAACAGACACACAGAACAACATTAAGGAGAATATGGGAAATCAGTACTTGTTAATAGTAGCTTGACTAGAACCTGGTCTCAATATCTGAGCCTCCAGATTAGGGGCCCCCGAGTGTTCCAAATTCCCTCATCAACCTCCTCTTTCAGGGCTCCCCTAAAATGTGGCACTCCAATGACAATCCATCCCTCTCTATGGAGCCTACGACAGCACACACCTCAGCGTTCTAGAGAGGACAGGTTTCAGGCCACCGGAGGAATTTAGGGAGTGACTACAGGAGCGACCTTATCCCACACTGTTTGAACAAGCACTGTGGGCCAATGGCCATGGACTGAGCCAGTGGAAAGTGGGGCTTGGACCCCTCTGATTGGACGTTTCCATCATCCCAACGATGCGTTAGTTCCAAGTCATGAAGGTGGGTATTTCCAGAAATAAAACAATATAACCTGGAAAAGAACAGACAGAATCAGATACATTAGAAGTAGTTGGAGTAATAACTTCAGTTTCTAGGGAGCTTGGAGAGGTATTGATTCTTGAACTTTATGATGTACTTGTGTCATCAAAAACACATACATTTTGTGGATGGGTGATACTAAGATATTTATTTATTCTTTTTATATAGTTTATATATATATATATATATGTTACATATATGTATTTTACATTATATATCTTTTTTAGTTTTTTCTTATGACTGGGTCTCACTTTGTCACCCGGGCTGCAGAGCAATGACGCCATCTCGGCTCAGTGTAGACTGGACAATCTGGGTTCAAGCGATTCTCCTACCTCAGCCCCATAAGAAGCTGAGACTGCAGGCATGTGTCACTGCGCCTGGCTAATTTGTGTGTGTGTGTGTGTGTGTGTGTGTGTATTTTTGTATTTTTGGTAGAGATGGGTTTCCCCATGTTGCCCTGGCTGATCTCGAATTCCTGAACTCAATTGATTCACCCGCCTTGGACTCCTGAAGTGGTAGGATTACAGGCACTGTGCCGGGCCCTAGATATTTAAATGATGTCCATAATATGGGTCCTGTTGTAAGAAACAACCTGGTTGGTTACGTCTGTCGTATTAATACATCTGTTTTCTAGGTTGACAGTTATACTTTGTCACAGAAGCAGTAAAACCATTTCCTTTTAGATTGTCCTTTCCGTAAACCTCACCATCAGATCACGAAGCCTCCCTAGGCGTCCTTTTTCCTCCTGCATCCGCTGAAGTCAACAATCAGATGTCCTCAACTCCCCTTGGATCTTCCACATCAAACCCCATTTCCCTCAACTCCTTCCTAAATTTCATTAGTGTCAGTCAGCTTTGAGCTTCCGGGCTTCAAGTCTACAGCCCGCTTCTGATGCATTTTTGAATGCTGTATGGACAAATACTGGCATTTTGAAGCAGTAGCAATGAGTATGACAGAAATTAAGTGATTTGTAGAGAAATTATGGTTTTTTTTTCCCTCTGATGTGCAGAGTTCTGTTTTGGAAAGTGTGCACATGCCCGCAGAGATCCTTTGGTTTCCAATAGTTTAAGACAAATTCAAGGCACCACCCAGAGGGATTGACTTGCAGTTGAATTGTGGTAGTTTCTCCTGGTCTGCTTAGGAAAAAAAAAAGTTTTTCCAAGTCGTTTCATGATACTTGCTTAATTTCCCAGAATAAAAATAAGTAATGATTCTTCTGAGGTGGCTCTGTATCCTAAATCTTCACCCTCATGATCCCAAGGAGAGTCCTGAAGGTATCCTGTCCCACCAGAATTCTTGTGATTTAGGTCTTAAAAATATAGACATGTATTCCCACTCCTTGATCAAACATTGCGCCCTTCATGCCTGGGCTACTCAGGGATGCTTCCCCTAGTATCCTCCCTTACCCCCATTCATTTACCTGACATCACAGGAGTCTACCAAAGTTAAAGCACCTTTGTGTTTTGTCTCTCCTGGAGGGTGCTAAGCTCCTTCTGATGGACTACAGAAAGGCGTTCATTTTTGAGGACTATCCAACGTTAGTCGCATGGTTTCTCTGACAGTGAAGTCCCTTAAAAGTTTGTACATGCTACTGAATGGTGGGGTTTACAAGTTATTATAAAAGTGCAAATGAAACACTTAACAAAATTACCCAAATCTAGGACTTTAAAGCAAATAGTCATACATTTCTGAGGATTGAAATCACAGAGTATCTTCTCTCCCTTTTGAGCTGGAGAAGGACAAATATATATATATATATATTGTATATGCATATATATATATTGTATATGCATATATATAATATATACAATAAAATTACTCAAAATTCAAGTGGACTTTTAAAAACATGCGTAGGGATCACCTTATTTCCCTTCATCAGTCACCATTGTTCTCTTAACATACTGGAGGAGGCTGGAGATATCCACATCTACAACTCAGGATTCCTTTGTTCTATTTGTTCAGTTGTGCCCCCCGCTGCCTCTGCCACACCAAATACGTGAATCCGACTCCTAACCTCTCATCTCTATTCTACTTAAAGATGGTTTCTTTACTGGGATACTCAAGTTAAATTACATTCATTAGGGGATATCACCACTGATTTCACAGAAATACAAACTACCATCAGAGAATACTATAAACACTTCTATGCAGGTAAATTAGAAAATCTAGAAGAAATGGATAAATTCCTGGACACTTATACCCTCCCAAGTCTAAACCAGGAAGAACTCAAATCCTTGAATAAACCAATAATAAGTTCTGAAATTGAGGCAGTAATTAATAGCCTACCAACCTAAAGAAGTCCAGGACCAGATGGATTCACAGCCGAATTCTACCAGAGGTACAAAGAGGAGCTTGTACCATTCCTTCTGAAACTATCCCAACAATAGAAAAAGAGGGACTCCTCCCTAACTCATTTTTATGAGGCCAGCATCATCCTGATACCAAAACCTGGCAGAGACACAACAAAAAAAAATGGAAAATTTCAGACCAATATCCCTGATGAACATCGATGCGAAAATCCTCAATAAAATACTGACAAACCGAATCCAGCAGCACATCAAAAAGCTTATTTATCACAATCAAGTCAGCTTCATACCTGGGATGCAAGGCTGGTGTAACATACACAAATCAATAAACGTAATCCATCACATAAACAGAACCAATGATAAAAAACACATGATTATCTCAGTAGATGCATAAAAGGCCTTCAACAAAATTCAACCCCCCATCAGGCTAAAAACTCTCAATAAAGTAGGTATTGATGGAATGTATCTGAAAATAATAAGAGCTAGTTATGTCAAACCCACAGCCAATATCATACTGAATGGATAAAAACTGGAAGCCTTCCCTCTGAAAACCGGCACAAGACAAGGATGCTCTCTCTCACCACTCCTATTCAACATAGTAATGGAAGTTCTGGTCAGGGAAATCAGGCAAGAGAAGGAAATAAAGGGCATTCAATTAGGAAGAGAGGAAGTCAAATTGTTTCTGTTTACAGATGACATGATTATATATTTAGAAAACCCCATCGTCTCAGCCCCAAATCTCCTTAAGCTAATAAGCAACTTCAGCAAAGTCTCAGGATACAAAATCAATGTGCAAAAATCACAAGCATTCCTATACACCAATAACAGACAAACAGAGAGCCAAATCATGAGTGAACTCCCATTCACAATTGCTTCAAAGAGAATAAAATATCTAGGAATCCAACTTACAAGGGATGTGGAGGACCTCTTCAAGGAGAACTACAAACCACTGCTGAAGGAAATAAGAGAGGACACAAACAAATGGAAAAACACTCCATGCTCATGGATAGGAAGAATCAATATCGTGAAAATTGCCATACTGCCCAAAGTAATTTATAGATTCAATGCTGTCCACATCAAGCTACCATTGACTTTCTTCACAGAATTGGAAAAAACTACTTTAATGTTCATATGGAACCAAAAAAGAGCCCATATAGCCAAGACAATTCTAAGCAAAAAGAACAAAGCTGGAGGCATCATGCCTATACTACAAGGCTATGGTAACCAAACAGCATGGTACTGGTACCAAAACAGATACATAGACCAATGAAACAGAACAGAGGCCTCAGAAATAACACCATACATCTACAACCATCTGATCTTTGACAAACCTGACACAAACAAACGATGGGGAAAAGATTCCCTATTTAATAAATAGTGTTGGGAAAACTGGCTAGCCATATGCAGAACACTTAAACTGGGTCCCTGACTTACATCTTATACAAAAAGAGTTTCTGCACAGCAAAAGAAACTACCATCAGAGTGAACAGGAAACCTACAGAATGGGGGAAAATGTTTGCAATCTATCCATCTGACAAATGGCTAATATCCAGAATCTACAAAGAACTTAAACGAATTTACAAGAAAAAAACAAACAACCCCATCAAAAAGTGGGCACAGGATATGAACAGACACTTCTCAAAAGAAGACATTTATGCAGCCAACAAACATGCAAAAATGCTCATCATCACTTGTCATTACAGAAATGCGTATCAAATCCACAGTGAGATACCATCTCATGCTAGTTAGAATGGCGATCAGTAAAAAGTCAGGAAACCACAGATGCTGGAGAGGATGTTGAGAAATAGGAACGCTTTTACACTGTTGGTGGGAGTGTAAATTAGTACAACCATTGTGGAAGACACTGTGGCAATTCTTCAACGATGTAGAACTAGAAATACCATTTGACCCAACAATCCCATTACTGGATATATACCCAAAAGATTATAAATCATTCTACTGTAAAGACACATGTACACATATGTGTATAGCGGCACTATTCACAATAGCAAAGACTTGGAACCAACCCAAACGTCCATCAGTGATAGACTGGATAAAGAAAATGTGGCACATATACTCCATGGAATACTATGCAGCCATAAAAAAGGATGTGTTCATGTCCTTTGTAGGGACATGGAAGAAGCTGGAAACCATCATTCTCCACAAACTAACACAGGACGAGAAAATGAAACGCTGCAAGTTCTCACTCATAAGTGGGAGCTGAACAATGAGAACACATGGACACAGAGAGGGGAACGTCACACACCAGGGCCTGTTGGGGGTTGGGGGGCTAGGGGAGGGATAGCATTAGGAGAAATACCTAATGTAGGTGACAGGCTGATGGGTCCAGCAAACCACCATGGCACGTGTATCCCTGTGTAACAAAACTGCAAGTTCTGCACAAGTACCCCAGAACTTGAAGTGTAAAAAAAAAAAGATACACACAAACACACACACACAGAGAGAGAGAGAGAGAGAGAGAGAGAGAGAGAGACAGAGACAGAGACAGAGACAGAGAGACAGAGTTTTAAAGCCTCTGTTCTCTGTAAAAAATTCTCAGCCAATTAAATTCCTCTCTTCTTGCACCCCTGCTAAGCATATGTGCTCCCTTTGTCGATTTCTCCATTTACTCCTGTCTGTCCCTCCTTTCTCTTGCCAATCCCGATGCCACGTGAGAGGACCAAAAACCTTTTTTTTTTTTTTTCCTTTGCAACAGCCTGAGATCCCTTAAGGAAAACAGATAAGGCTCCAGACACTCCTTTTGGGGGATACAACTTTGGTGTTTCCTCACAGAACCCCAAAAGCAGCAAGTGGACAGATTCCTCTGAAGTCTAAAGCTCTGCTCTCTTTTAGATGATACCCCTTGACCTCTTCGGCTTTCAGATACACACACGTGTGCATGTAAATTTTATATATTATGCCTACATATATGTATATGTCTATGCATATGTCTATATATTGGCTACCCTTGGTACCAAACGAACTTAAACATTAATGAGTACTCATAAATTAAATAACTAGACCAAATACTTTTCAAGTTCACGAGACCTCAATAAACTATGGTAAATTCAAATACTTGTAAAAGTATTGTTAAATTAAATGAAAAATGTCTGTGAAACTTAAATTAGACAGTTTGAGTCTGCTGGTCAGATACTGTCTCTATCAGATGTTTTAAGGTCATTAAACAGTTACTTCTGTAATACTTTTGATACCTGCTTGTCTGGGAACTTATGTCTTTAAATTTAAACCTTTAGAGGTCCATGGGGAGGCCTGAATCCAGGCATTGCCCTTTGTCCTGGGCTCTACATCTGATACATATGTAAAATTACTTACCTCCTGGGTTATTCAATAATAATCAGGGCTACTGAGAGTTAACACTGTAGTAAACATGCACAATTAAAACTTCTGGGTATAAGAGAAACGATATGTACAAGGCATATTTAAAAAGCAACATGAGTTTTTGGAATTTACAAAAGGTCATAAAAATAAATGCGAATGTAGGTTTTGTGAAGAAATGTACTGTTGCCTAGTTTAAAAGCTATTAAGAACTGTTTTAAATTTAAAAATATAATGAAATAACTAAGAAAAAGTGAAAAAGAGAATAAAAACTTACAAAGCTTTATTAAAAATCTTTCCTTGTCAAACGAGCTAAAATTGAATGTATTTATTTAAAAGATTCTAGGAAAATTAGCTTTGGTGTTAAGAATACACTAATGTGAAGGTAAAATTTGGGAATAGGTAGTAAAAGATTTTTGTTTACCTTTTGCATAAACACAAGAAAACAGAAGAGGGAGGGAGAGAGAGAGACAGATTCAGTTGACCTTGTGCCATCCTTATCAGTTTGGATGATTGTTTGGGAAACCAAGCCTCGTCTCCATCAAAGAGTAAAGGTTTTTGCTTTTTAAAATCTTTAATTCATCACTTTACGTAAACAAATGACCGTTATTTTACCGTGACCTGGGCTCCTGTTGTAAGCAAGAGTTTGAAACCTTTGAAATTAAAAAAACTTCCCCAAATCCATTCAAATTTGGAATTCACTCTTTTGACCTCATAGCAGCTTTTTGGATATTATGGGCCCTGGAAGTCTGAGAGAGACATATTAGGCTTATTTGGTCTATTAACATCACACAGGTAACATTGAAAAATATGAAATTGTGCTTAAACTTCTTTGGGTTATATCTGTATAACAGTGTTATGAATACAGGTCCCAAAATTGTATGAGATTCCTAAAATTCTAGCCTGTCTTGAGATATGTTATTCATAATAATTATGATTATTATGTTAAATTGTTGTATGCCACAGAAATAACCAAATCTCCTTGTCAATTGTGCCTTTCACCATGGCTATTCAAACACGTTTGTCATGAACTGACAATTCTTGTTTTACTTTGATTTTTCTCAAAAAGTAGTTTATAAGCAGTGATGGTCCAAAATTTTCTTCTTTAAAAAATTCATGGTAAGGACGCTGGCAGGCACTTTTTTTTGTTTTTTTTTGTTTCTTTGTTGTTTGTTTTTTGAGACAGAGTCTCACTCTGTTGCCCAGGCTGCAGTGCAGTGGCGTGATCTTGGCTCACTGCAACCTCCGCCTCCCAGGTTCAAGCAATTCTCCTGCCTCAGCCTCCTGAGTAGCTGGGATTGCAGGCGGACACCATCATGCCCAGCTAATTTTTGTATTTTTAGTGGAGACAGGGTTTCACCATGATGGTCCGACTGGTCTCAAACTCCTGACCTCGTGATATGCCTGCCTTGGCCCCTCGAAGTGCTGGGTTTACAAGCATGAGCCAGCATGCCCAGCCACAAGTACTCTTAAATAAAGGTTTTTCATAATTTTTGCGATCATACTATTAGAGTAGGAAAAACCATTTCAGGGCTCCAATTGAAAAGCAAATGTGGGCATGAGGGTTGCTAACCCAACATCAAGCAGAACAACAAACAGTTAATTATGTGGGACTGAACTGACACCAAACTAAAGATTTTTTCAAGACCTTTTTGTTTTGTTTTGAAACACTACTGATTCCTTTTATGTTTTCCATTCCAGAGTCAAGAAACATTTCTTTGTTTTGTTTTGAGCTATATATAGCTAACAAAACATTGGATAAAGTATACTTCTGTTAGCCAAATCTGAAGAATTTCTATTTCTCTCTGCCTCATTCCTCCAAAATTGAGAAACTATTTGTGGGTATTCTTAACTCATGGCAATACAGTTATTTGCATAAGTTGGGTAAGAATTTGTTCTCTTTAGTAATAGGACATAATTTGAAACACTTCTGATTTTACCAAGGCTTTGCTAGAAAGGCATATTTTCCGATATGACCAGACTGCTTTGCAAAATTTAGGTTGACTTTATAGAGCTGATAAGAAGTACTTTAAAAAGACTGGACTGGTACTTTGGCTAGCAGTTCCTTTACAATATTCCTTTCCTGTGGTAAGTCAAGAATGTCACTCTCTGACAGGCCCAGGAACCTCAGGTAATTTGGGGACTTTGAGAAGAGAGGAATTCTCACAATTCATACAGATATCTGCATATACAGATAAATCCTCAGATTGCCCTTATAAACTTGAGATGCTTCTAAAAGGCCAATCTAAAATTTCTTATAAAAATTATTTCCACAAAGCCCACTGAAAAGAGCCTATACAACCAATCACTATTCTTGCTACAGTTTACGCAAATAATCAGGCAAGGTATAATAAGAGTGAAATTTGTTTTGCAAACAATTTGGCCCTACAGTGATTCATCTTTAATAAAAATGGGAAACTGGAGAGAAGAAATTTATGTTTCAAAAAAAATCTATAAAATACCTATTACAAGATTCTGGCTATGTGCACTGTTTTTCAGTTCAGATTCTTTCCCTACCATTTGGAATGAATCCTGAATTCTTTTCTGGCTACAAGTCTCCACACTAATGATTCAAACTTTTCCCCCATTTTTACTGACTTAAGCATCCCTAAAACTAAAAGTGCTTTTCTCCAAGGCCCTGCAAGCTGAAACTAGAAAATCTGACATACACTTTGAGAGAAATGACTATAGCAAGTTTGATATGAACAGCTTTCAGGCTTGTTGAGGTACAGACTCGTGAAAAGGTTCACTGGAACACCTGATGCAAACTCCACACCAAGAACAATCTGTCCAATCGTCACTATCTGCTCTCACTTTAGCCAAAGATGCTTCAAGCAGAACATCTAATAATCTCAACTGACTGCCCTCTAAACTTGAAAGCTGAGTTTATACTCTGTTCTAACCATTAACTTGTGTTTGTTGTTGTTCCCATAGAAATGTCTCCTGATAAATATCTGATTGCTTGAATCATACATAGGACTAACTCTGGTAGAAGCCCCTCTAAAAATTTACTGCCTAAAATGAGAAACAACAGTTAGCTGTCTGACTCGACCGGCCTATTCTCAGTCCTGAGAGACTGGTTCAAGCCTTGTATAAGACAATCCAACAACCCAGTTTCTGCACTGTGAAACTACTCCTTGGGGAAGATTCATACTGAGGAATTCTGTTGCAGCTCAGAAAACAGTAGCCCAAAATGAAGGCCTCAGAAGTAGCCTCAGAAGCACAAGTTTCTCTCTGACCTTCTTCTGCCCTCCTTTCTCTCATTCCCATTCTCCCCTGAGGCTGGCCATAGAAAGCAGAATCCCTCATCCCCAAGGAAAGTCTTCAAAACCAGAGCCCCTTTCCCACACAGCCAGTTCATAAAAACTGAAAACATTAATCTGATTCTCCACCTCCCAAGTCTTTCTATGTAAAACCCTGGTGGTAAAGAAATTATCTGACCTAGCTCATTTGACTGTTGGTCATGAGACCCCCATTCCAGAGAGGGTCCTGCCCCATACCCAGGAGGAAGGACTGTACTCAGAGAGGCCAAGCCGAGTCTAAACAGACAGTCCTTGCCAGTTTTCCCTCACTCAGTCTATTAGCATTTGATCATAGCCTTTTTCCCCTATCATGTCTATACACAGCTGTCCATGCTCTTTTGAGCCTAGGCATAAAAATAGATAATTTCCCATGTGTCTTCCGCTATTAACACTAAAGGCTCCTGGGGATACACGTTAAATAATTAGGTATGCCTTATGTCCTAATCATCTGCCTTTTGCGAGCTCAGTTTTCAATGAAATTATGAAGGCCAGGGTGACCCTTGGCCGCTACACTGGCAAATTGAGAAAAGTACTTAGGATTTAATCTGGTTTTTCCTAGATCCTTATAGTAAAGGGGAGAGAAAAGAGACAAATTAGCCAAGGAAGCACTGAGGAAAAGAAAGCCAGGATTGGATGATTCAGAAGGTACTCAAAGGATGCAGATACCTTGCTCTGGGAACAGGTGCAAGGGTGTGCCTAGAAAACCATTAGCTAAAGATGTGAGGCATGGGGCTCATGGATCCAATCAACCATCTCTGCAGAAGTTAGGAATTGACATATGGGAGATATGGGTATTCAAGAACAATCTGTAAACAACTTCTTGTCTGACGGCTCGGACCCATGTGAATTCCAGGGCAAGCCAAGAAGTATTTGAGAATTTTATACTAGAAAAAATGTTGCCTGACTGGACTGAACAGGGCAAAGATGGGAAGAAATGAAAGGAGGCTTTTGTTAGAGTTCCTGAACTGTACAGACAAGAGTGGGACTGACTGAGGTACCCAGCTGTGACCATTTCTTCATTTTTAAGAAAGGGAAGGACTCCAAAGTTGGCTCTGAGGTTGGCATGGCTGTCACTGCCCCCAAGAACCGGGGGCACGGTACTAGGGGACTGGGCCATCTCTCTCTTGGTCCCAGAAATGGAGGTCATCTCTGAGTTCCAGGCATTTGTCCCACCTCCTCGGTTTCAGAGGGATGGGCTGCAGCAGCCCAGGCTTGGGGGAGAGCCCCCATCCCTCTGCCCGGGGCTTAGGGTATGAAGCTGTTACTGCCTTGGGCCTGAAAGACAAAGCATTGAGCCCAAGTAGAATCTTTTCCACCCATAGAATTTAACAGAATTTGCCCCACTAGGTTTCAAAGGTGCTTAGGACCCACGAACTCCAGTAGTTTTTCGGATTTCCTGCTTTTGGTATGATAAACCGTATCCCATACCAGACCCACAACTGTCTTTCGGAAGCAGATAACTTGTCTAGCTTCACAGGTGCAGTGGTGGAGAGAATTTCTGCCTCAGCATGAGTCATACCTGGAGACTCACCCATTCCAGATATAGAAGACTTTCAGATGAGATGTTGGAGAGTTGATTTCAGAGTGGGTTAAGACTCTGGGAATGTTGTGATGAAATGAATGCATTTTTTATGTGAGGACATTAATTTGGGCAGGGGAGTGGATGCCGAAGGTATACTATTATGAATGGAGTTGTGTCTCCATACAATGCACACGTAGAAGTCCTGGCCCCCAGTGTTTTAGAATGTGACCTTATTTGGAGAGAGTCTCTACACAGGTCATCTGGTTAAAGTGAAGTTATGAGGGTTGACCCTACCCAATAGGATTGGTCTCCTCATAAAAAGGTGACAATTAGCATCCAGAACTATGAGATAAAAAATAAGCAGTGTTGAAGTCAGCCAGTCTGTGGAATACTTTTGCAGATATGCCCTGCCCAGAGAGTAGAAATCTGACAGTCTGGCCACAGTGGCTTGCTAAGCTGCAGTGGGCTATGCCCAGTTCAAACTTCCTGGCGGCTTTGTTTACACTGTGAGGATGAAGCTGCCTACTCAAGCCTCAGCAATAGTGGACACCCCTCCACCCACCAAGCTTGAGCATCCCAGGTCGATCTCAGGGTGTGGCTGTGCTGGCAGTGAGAATTTCAAGCCAGTGGATCTTAGTTTGCTGGGCTTCGTAGGGGTAGAACCTGCTTAGCCACACCACTTGGCTCCCTGGCTTCAGCACCCCTTTCCAGAGGAGTGAATTGTTCTGTCTCATTGACGTTCCAGGCGCCACTGGGGTATGGCAAACAAACAAACCAACAAACAACAAACAAACAGACAAACAAAAAACTCCTGCAGCTAGTTCGGTGTCTGCCCAAATGACCGCCCAGTTTTGTGTTTGAAACCCAGGGCCCTGGTGGGGTAGGCACCGGGGGAAATTCCTGGTGTGTGGGTTGCAAAAACCGTGGGAAAAGCACGGTATCTGGGCCAGAGTCCATGGTTCTTCAGGCTCAGTCCCTCACAGCTTCCCCTGGGTAGGGGAGAAAATTCCCAAACCCCTTGCACTTCCCGGGTGAGGTGGTGCCCCACCCTGCTTCGGCTTGCCCTCTGTGGGCTGCACCCACTTTCCAACCAGTCCCAATGATATGAACAGGGTACCTCAGTTGGAAATGCAGAAATTGCCGCCTTCTATGTCGATCTTCCTGGGAGCTGCAGACTGCAGCTGTTCCTATTCAGTCATCACGCCAGCAAATCAACATGTGTGTGTATCATAAGTATTAACATATATTGAGTTGATTTTTCACTATCGAGCTCTTTAAAAATCCTTTGAAATTTCTTCTCATTAGATTTTAACCAGGGCAAACAGCTGATATTTCTGGCTTTTGACCTTTGTTGTTTGCTTTGTTATCTGTAAAATAAAGTTATCTTTTCAGTTAAGTTTATCCAAGATTGTGACTTAAGCAATGATGCAGAAGGTGTCTCCAAAGAGGGGAAATTAGTTTCACAAGATCCAGAACTGACCCAAACCCCAGAGACAGCTCAAAGAGAAAAGGAAGTTTTGCTAGGCATTAACAGGATACAGCCCACATGTTTGTCTCATCAAATTTTCTAGGGTCTTAGATTCTCAGCTATCTACACACAATAACCAAAGGGACTCATGTGCCCTTGTCACAGATGGAAAAAGACAGGAAATCAAAAGCAATCCAACGAAGGGAAAAAGATCAATATGAAATAGGTACTTCCCCAAAGTCACACAAATATTAAACCGAGAGGGGCTGGTTTCCTGTCCAGGAATGCAAACCATGGCATCGAGGTGAAAGCACAGAATTTGAATTAAAAGACCACAAGGTGGAGACGCCTTTGTTGTTATGCTCACAGGGGCAGTTTGAGCAGACACAGGAGTTTAACTTTCTTTAGGTTGGACTTTTTGCTCTCTTTTTGTCAAGGAAAGTTTTAAGGATAGCGGTCATACCATTATGTGTCCTTTTATAGACTTTACCTTTCTATCAATTGGTTAGAATAAGAAATCTCTAAAATTTAATAAAATTGAGGAGGCTAATTTAAAGGATCGATCTTTTGGCCATTGACAAATAGGATTCTCAATAGTGCACTGAATTTCAATACTGACTGGATGCAGTAGCCTCTTCAGAGAAGAAGTAATCCCGAAGATTCCCCATTTTCAGAGATAGCCTATGACAGCAAATGACTCCTGAGACGGCAGTTTGCCAGCACTTGCTAGCTAGACCAGTGGTCCCCAGCCTTCCTGGCACCAGGGACCGGTTTCATGGAAGACAATTTTTCCATGGACATTGGGGCATTTGGGGGATGGTTTTGGGATGATTCAAGGCCATTAAATTTATTGTGCACTTTATTACTATTATTATTACATTGTAATATATAATGAAGTAATTATACAACTCATCATAATGTAGAATCAGTGGGAGGCCTGAGCTTGTTTTACTGCAACTAGATGTTCTCACCTGGGGGTGATGGGGAAGGGTGACATATCATCAGGCATTAGATTCCCATAAGGAGTGTGCCACCCAACCTAAGATCCCTCTTATGTGCAGTTCACCAGAGTCTTCATGCTTTTATGAGACACTACTGCTGCTGATCTGACAGGAGGTAGAGCTCAGGCGGTAATTCCAGCAGTGGGTAGTGGTTGTAAACACAGATGAAGCTTCCCTTGCTTGCTGGTGCTCACCTCCTGCTGTATGGTCTGGTTCCTAACAGACCAAGGCCCTATACCATTCCCTGGATTATGGGTTGGTGATCCCTGCCCTAGGCAATAAAGTTAGAGATGACAAAGCCCCTTCTGGACGGGACTTCTTGTGACAAACCCTGCTGAGAGCTTGGCACACTCGGAACAAAACAAAATCTCTCCACTTCCCAGCGAAGAGATTTCCTACACCAGACGCCTGCTGTGACTCAAAAATCACTTCCCCTGCATGGTGGAGAGCAAGAGAGAGTGTTTCCTCTTGCTCACAAATCAAGCTCTCAAGAACACAGATCAAGATGAGAGTGAACTTTCTCCCTGTAACCCTCTCTATGAACAACACAGAAAGACAAAGACAAAGGAATGCACCATTTCTGGCAGGAAAGAGATCAAACAATATGAATGTTCATACCACAAAGTGGTGTAAAGTATACAAGAGTCAGTATATCCAGACTTGTCACACACAGATTTTTGCCTCCCAGGCATGAAACCTTGTAGAGAAGGCAAACAGAGAGATTTGTTTTCTACCATCTGCCCAACTGGGTTGCACCAAGAGAGAACCTGGGAGCCTGACTGGTAAGAAATTCTCACCCTTTGCCAGTTTGCCAGTTTCCTGCATTCCCTTAACTGCAGGTTCCAGAAGAGCAGACTGGCTTTGGTGACCCTGCTCTCTATGCCAAACTGTCTGAAGGTTTGCTGAGAAATCCACTGGCGAAAGGCAGATTCACAGGAGAAAAGGAATACAAATTTAACATATATACATGGCAGCCTTTGGAATAAGGTCAGAAAGATACAGAGGAAATTGCCTGTTTGTATGCTCAGGTTCAACAAAGTATAGGCAGCCCTGTGGAAATATGAGGGGACGAAAAGACTATGATCTAATGCCAATAGGCTGAGTGGGGAAACCTGGCAGGGCCTGTCTGTCTAGACTGTGCTTGGCCTCTCTGAGCACACGTGTCTTTCTCCTGGGTATGGGGCAGGATCCTCTCTGTAATGGCCGTCTTGTGACCTGCAGTCAAACAAGGTAGGTCAGATTATCTCCATATGGCCAGTTTTACACAAGAAAAGTTGGAAAAAAAATTGAATACCACTTTTAGGTTTTGCGACTATCTTTAGAAAAAAAGGGCTTCTTGGTGAAGAGGGATTCTGGCCTGTATGCTCTGGGGACAGAATGGGACTGAGAGACAGGAGGACTGAGAAAGTCATAGAAAATCTGTTACATCTGACACTACTTCTGAGGCCGTCATTTTGGGGTATGGTGCTCTGAGCTCCAACACTAGAAGTCAGCTGCATGTGCAAGTTCATCACTTACAGTTTCTACCTTCCTCAAAAACATTGAGAACACAATACAGGCCAATTCTTGGCCACTGTAAATCCAGGATCACTTTTCCTCAAGCTTCCAATAACATCTTCTGCGTTTCTGTCTGATAACTCACCACAAGCACCTTTAACACTCATAGTTCTAGCAACATATCAATGATCATAACATATATATTCTCTAAGTCAGAGATCCTTTCTCTACAGCAAATAATTCTTTCTAAACCCTCATTTGAAATGCATTTGGCCTCCGTATTTCCCCAGGCTGTCTCCTTAAGGCGCTCTAGGTTCATTGTGTCATGCATATCAAAACGTTTCCATCCTCAATCCTTAACCTAGTTCCAAAGCCGCTTCCACTCTTTCAGGTGTTGGTTATTGAATCGCCCCACTGCATGGCAATGGAATCCCTATTAGTTTTGTCTGTTATCCTGTAAATATACCGAACACCTGGTGGCTTAAACAGCAGGAATTTATTGTTCACAGTTATGGAAGACGGAAGTCCAAATGAAAGTGTCAGCTGGGTTGGTTCCTTTTGAGTAGAAAGAGGGAAAGATCTCTTCCAGGTATCTCTTCTTAGCTTGTAGATGGCCCACTTCTCCCTATGGCACTTCACATTTTCTTCCCTGTAGGTATGTCTCCATTTCTGAATTTCCCCTTTAGATAGGCACAATGCAGGATAGCCTTTTTGGGTTAGAGACCATCTTAATGAATGTAATTTCACTTGAGTACCCCGGTAAAGAAACAATCTTTAAGTGGAAGAGAGATGAGAGGTTAGGAGACCAATTCATGTATTTGGTGGGGCAGGGGCAAAAGGGGACACACAGAACGCATAGGACATAGGAATCATGAGTTGTAGGTGTGAATATCTCCTGCCTTTTCCAGTATGTTAAGAGAACACTGGTGACTGATGAAGGGAAACAAGGTGATCCCTCCCCATGTTTTTACAAGTCTACATGAATGTTGAGTAATTTTATTATATATATTATATATTTGCATATATCATGAGGGTGAAGATTTAGGATACAGAGCCACCTCAGAAGAATCATTACTTATTTTTATTCTGGGAAATTAAGCAAGTATCATGAAACGACTTGGAAAAACTTTTTTTTTTCCTAAACAGACCAGGAGAAACTACCACAATTCAACTGCAAGTCAATCCCTCTGGGTGGTGCCTTGAATTTGTCTTAAACTATTGGAAACCAAAGGATCTCTGCGGGCATGTGCACACTTTCCAAAACAGAACTCTGCACATCAGAGGGAAAAAAAAACCATAATTTCTCTACAAATCACTTAATTTCTGTCATAATCATTGCTACTGCTTCAAAATGCCCGTGTTTGTCCATACAGCATTCAAAAATGCATCAGAAGCGGGCTGTAGACTTGAAGCCCGGAAGCTCAAAGCTGACTGACACTAATGAAATTTAGGAAGGAGTTGAGGGAAATGGGGTTTGATGTGGAAGATCCAAGGGGAGTTGAGGACATCTGATTGTTGACTTCAGCGGATGCAGGAGGAAAAAGGACGCCTAGGGAGGCTTCGTGATCTGATGGTGAGGTTTACGGAAAGGACAATCTAAAAGGAAATGGTTTTACTGCTTCTGTGACAAAGTATAACCGTCAACCTAGAAAACAGATGTATTAATACGACAGACGTAACCAACCAGGTTGTTTCTTACAACAGGACCCATATTATGGACATCATTTAAATATCTAGGGCCCGGCACAGTGCCTGTAATCCTACCGCTTCAGGAGTCCAAGGAGGGTGAATCAATTGAGTTCAGGAATTCGAGATCAGCCAGGGCAACATGGGGAAACCCGTCTCTACCAAAAATACAAAAATACACACACACACACACACACACACACACACACACACACACACACACACACAAATTAGCCAGGCGCAGTGACACATGCCTGCAGTCTCAGCTTCTTATGGGGCTGAGGTGGGAGAATCGCTTGAACCCAGATTGTCCAGTCTACACTGAGCCGAGATGGCGTCATTGCTCTGCAGCCCGGGTGACAAAGTGAGACCCAGTCATAAGAAAAAACTAAAAAAGATATATAATGTAAAATACATATATGTAACATATATATATATATATAAACTATATAAAAAGAATAAATAAATATCTTAGTATCACCCATCCACAAAATGTATTTGTTTTTGATGACATAAGTACATCATAAAGTTCAAGAATCAATACCTCTCCAAGCTCCTTGGAAACTGAAGTTATTACTCCAACTACTTCTAATGTATCTGATTCTGTCTGTTCTTTTCCAGGTTATATTGTTTTATTTCTGGAAATACCCACCTTCATGACTTGGAACTAACGCATCGTTCGGATGATGGAAACATCCAGTCAGAGGGGTCCAAGCCCCACTCTCCACTGGCTCAGTCCATGAAGGCCCTGCGGCTCCTGGGCCATGGCCATTGGCCCACAGTGCTTGTTCAAACAGCGAGGGATAAGATCGCTCCTGCAGTTCTCACTCCTAAATTCCTCCGGTGGCCTGAAACCTGTCCTCTGAGATGCGTGCTGAGATGTGTGCTGTTGTAGGCTCCATAGAGAGGGACGGATTGTCATTGGAGTGTCAGATTCTGGAGAGCCATGAAAGAAGAGGTTGATGAGGGAATTGGGAACACTTGGGGGCCCCAAATCTGGAGGATCAGATATTGAGACCAGGTTCTAGTCAACCTCCTATTAAGAAGTACTGACTCCCCATATTCTTCTTACTGTTATTCTGTGTGTCTTTTTATGTATGGCCAGGGCCACAGAAGGGAGAAAGAGTGTCTATAATGGTTAGAAACTTCATGTCACTTAAGGGCAATCAATCACTATGGCATGGAGAAGGAGGATCCACTAAATGGGAGATGTCACCCTGCTAGTGATAGGTCCAGTGTAAAACCATTTGAGAGCCTACCCCTTCGACCCAGAGAGTTAAAGGACCACTTCTTATGCACATGCTCTGTGTGTGCCACCCAGCAGCATCTCAAGAAGCGTGTGCTGAATAGGCTGCATCTCAGAAAGGCTGCCCATTCCTGAATGCTCTTCGTATTGGCACATTGGTTGCGTCTGCTTGCCCCTCCCTCTGGGCTCCCGACAGGCCCGTTGATGGCTTTGACACATGGAGAATGGCGGACTTTAGCCTGTCCCAGAGGTAACCTTTCAGAGGACTAGAGTGGCCTCTGTCTGGCTGTCTGAGAGCTCTGAGCTGCCCCCTAAGAAGTCCACCTCTCCTGCTGGAGACACCACAGTGATATGCTCTGAGGGGCCTTGGAGAGGTGCAGAGGCCCGGTTGAGCTCAGGCCTCCAGCCAGCCCCTCCAAGGCATCAGGCGTGCTGGTACAAGCTGTCTGGGACCTTCCCCAATGACCTTAGGCATCGGGTGAATAAATAGCACTGAGTGCAGCTCCTCTGGCTTCTACTTGTAAGGGACACTTAAGCACAGTGGAGCCTGTCTCCTCATTGCATCATAGGTCACACGGGTGATCTTGTGGCCTGGTTCTCTCCCAAGGATCTGTGGGAGTGAAATGCCCATTGTGGACTCCCAAGGGATTCAACATCTTCTAGGCTAACAGACCTTTTCCAAGGAGGCTTTCTTGACCCGGGCTTGTTCTACAGTTCACCTTGAGGATGGCCAGTGGGTGGGTCATCTGCTACTATTTTGGGGGATCCTGGAGCCACTGTGGAATTCCCTGGGACAGCTGCCTTGAGGTTTAGCTTGAACCATCCCCTCTCCATTTCTCCCCCTGTCCTGGAGGGACTATATCCCCTTACCTGAGCTCGAGGACCCACTGAGTCCTATGTCTTTATTGCCTACAGCTTTCTCTCAAGCAGGCCTGCCTCTGCCTGGTAAAAGTACAAGGCAGGCACTGCTATATTGGGCTCTACATCTTTCCCTCCTGCCCACCACCCATTCACAGGCATTCACTAGAACTTAATCTAGCATAGGACTAGATGCCTGTCAGGGCCACTTACTCATGATGCGACCTTGGTAGCGGTTGACCAAATCTGTCTGGTATAACTCAAAGGAGAATCAGTGCCTGCACATCCTGGAAGAGAGCTAGGAGGGGAATGAGTGAGGACTACACTTATGTGCATTACCTACATAGCCGAGTGCCTGCCACATTGTACCCTAAGGTGCCCAATGAAAAATGGTTACGATGGCGTTTATTGTAGTGCTGGATGCTGGAAGGTGAGGAAGGATGAGATGTGGCCCCCGTGGTCTGTGACATTGCAACTGAGGGGACAACTAGCACAGACATGATCTCCAATGACTATCAAGAGAAGGCAGCATGTGATCAAGGCCGCCATGCCAGCATGCTGTGGGTTCAGAAGGGAGGAAGAAGAAGAGTCAGGGAACTCACCACAGGCCTGCACCAGACACTGCACCTAGCACGCTACATCGACTCTCTCTTTCCTTCCTCATCACAATCCGTCTGTGAGGATGTTGCAAACAGTGTGCCCATGTCACGGTTGGAGATCCTGTGACTCAAGGAGGGAGCAGTCTCTCTAGGCTGGGAGGGTCAGGACATCTTCATAGGGGAGTCAGGATTTGAGCCAAGACCTGAAAAGTGAATAGGATTCAGATAGTGAGACGGTGGGCAGGGGCAAGGAGGTGGTATGGGAAGCGAGGTTCCTTGGCCGTGAGGGGGAATAGCTTGCCACAAAGCCCCGAGTGGTTAGTGCCCGAAGCCAGGAGCACTTTAAAGTTGCTCCCCAGCAACTTCCCGTCAGGACTCAGAGCAGCGTTATCTCTACTGCTTCACTAACATGTGGCTCAGGGGGGAAAAATCATCCTCCCTTATCTCACTGTCAGCCCGAAGCAAACAGATGTGTCCCAGGTAGCCAGGAGGGTGTGCTCATACAGCTGTCTGGCACTGGATCCCACCCCCACCACCTGTGATTTCCGGAGGGCAGGAATCTCGAAATTGGGACCAGGTACAGCCGACATTCATTGGTTGCTGACTATGTATCTGGCACCCCGTCTGCATCATCACCCTGGATCTTCACAACCACCTTCTAGAGCCCTATTCCACAGAGGAGGAAACTGAGGCTCAGAGAGGTCAAGCCACTTGCCCAACACGGTACAGCCTCTAAGAGGCACAGCTGGGGTCTGAGCCCAGGTCTCCTCTCACCCCCAATCCCATGCTCTCAATGACTCTTGCTGTCGAGTCCAGTCCCACTAGCTCACATGAGTCCTAAGACCCAAACAGACGCTCTAATGGTGTTGTGTCTCTTTCCCATGTTAATGCAGCCTAGCCACACCAGTTGTCTCCAGGAAACAAAAGCACAGGAATGTCAAAGAGAAGAAATCATGAAAAACATGCTATTAAAAGTAAATCGCTCTCATTGCCCACCAAACTTTGTGTTCGAAACCCCAATGGATGTTCTTATTCTATCCCCAGATCTTTCCACAGAGGGGTGGCCACACGTACAGGTTTTGCCTATTGTCCCACCCAATGATTCGTAGTGCCCCATTCACTCTGAAAGCTGCCCCCACATTTATTAGACAAGAACTTATGTGCTCACTTGCCTATGAAAAAGGCAAAGAAGCCTCACACATCAGGTCTTTGGCAACCCTGACACACAACGCTGAGCGAGGATCCGCAGCTCTCCCAAGAGAGAGTGGGCTCCTGAAGGAAGAAATAAGGAATAACCAGATGACGAATATGATTTAGAGAGGATTCCTAGTACAACGCAGCTTGTTTGGAACTGGAGAGGTCGCAGAACAGGAGTGGAAGAATGCGTGGAACGCAGAGCTCGCCCTAGTTGAGAGTCGGAAGGGTTGAGCACTTGCTCTGCGGCATACCAAAAGGGGAAATTCAGACACAGAGACATGCATCCAGGGAAGAAAATGTGAAGTGGCATGCGCAAGAGTGGACCATTTACAAGTCAAGGAAAGATCCCTGGAAGAGATCCTTCCCTCTTACTACTCAGAAGGAACCAACCCAGCTGGCGCTTTGATTTGGACTTCCAGCCTGCCTAAATGTAACCAATAAATTTCTGCTGTTTATGCCGCCATGTTTGTGGTACTTTGTCAGAATAGCCCTATCAAACTACTGGAGATTCTGTTGCCAAGCAGTGGGATGATGTGATAAGGAACATCCGGAAGATTGGAAGAGGCCTTGGAACTAGGTAATGCATACAGGCTGGAAGCGTTGTGACAGGCATGACACAAGAAGCCTAGAGTGCCTTCAGGAAACGGCGGGGGGGATATGAACACCAAATGACATTGAAACGAGGGTTAAGAAAGAATTCTTTGCTGTAGAGAAAGGATCTCTGACTTAGAGAATACATATATCATGATCACCAAAATGTTGCTAGAACTATGTGTGTTAAAGGTGCCTGTGGTGTGTTTTCAGACGGAGACTAGGAAGAGGTTATTGGAAGCACGAGGAAAGGCCATCCTAGTTTTACAGTGGCAAAGGTTTGGGCTGTATTGTCTTCATAGTGTCTTTGAGGAAAGTAGAATTTGTAAGTGATGAACTTGCACATGTAGCTGATTTCTAGTGTTGGAGCTCAGGGCACACTATCCCAAAATGAGGGCTTCAGAAGTAGTCTCAGATGAAAACGATTTTCTCTGACATTCTTGGTCCTCTGGTCTCTCAGTCCCATTCAGCCCCGGGGGCTAAACTTAGAGACCAGAATCCCTCTTCCGGAAGGTGGGTCCTAGAAACCAGAAGCTCTTTTTTCTAAAGATAGTCACAAAACCTAGAAACGGTATTGTAATGTTTTCCACATTTTCATGTAAAAACTGTCCATGAAGAAATGATCGAACCTATGTTGTTTGGAGTCACCAGACCCCCATTCCAGAGAGGGTCCTGCCCCATATCCGGGAGGAAGGACTGTGTGCTCAGATAGGCCAAGCAGAGTCTAGACAGACAGGCCTTGCTGGGTTCCCCCACTCCACCTGTTAGCATTAGATCATAGCCTTTTTGTCCCATCGTATTTCTACACAGCTGTTTATACTCCTTTGAGCCCAGGCATAAAAATGGATAATTTCCCATGTATCTTTGGCTATTAACACTAAAGCCTCTGGGGATACACTTCGAATAAGTTGGTATGCCTTATGTCCTATGGCTCTGCGTTTTGTGACTTGAGCTTTCAGCAAAACTTAAGAAGACCAGGGGGAACCTTGGCCACTACACTGACAAACTGAGAAAAGTATTTAGATTTAATCTGGTTACTCCTAGATGCCTACAGTAAATGGGAGAGAAGTGAGAGAAATTAGCCAAGGAAGCACTGAGGAGAAGGAAGCCAGCACTGGATGATTCAGAAGGTACTCAAAGTATGCAGATACCTTGCTCTGGAAACAGGTGCAAGGGTGTGCCTGGAAAACCATTGGCCTAAGAGGAGAGGCATGTGCCTCACGGATCCAATCAACCATCTCTGCAGAAGTTAGGAATTGAGATATGGGAGATATGGGTATTCAAGGAAGATCTGTAGACAACTTCTTGTCTGATGGCCTGGACTCATGTGAATTCCGTGGGAAGCCAACAAATTTTTGAGAATTTTATACGAGAAAAATGTTGCCAGACTGGACTGAACGGGACAAAGATGGGACGAAATGAAAGGAGGCTGTTAGAGTTCCTGGACTGTACCGGCAAGAAAGGGACTGACTGAGGTACCCAGCTGTGACCATTTCTTCATTTTCGAGACAGGGAAGAAGGACTCCAAAGTTGGGTCAGAGGTTGGCATGGCCGTCACTGCCCCCAAGAACCAGGGGCACGGTACTAGGGGACTGGGCCATCTCTCTCTTGGTCCCAGAAACGGAGGTCACCTCCTGAGTTCCAGGCATTTGTCCCACCTCCTCGGTTTCAGAGGGATGGGCTGCAGCAGCCCAGGCTGGGGGGAGAGCCCCCACCCCGCTGCCCAGGGCTTAGGGTGTGAAGCTGTTACCCCATTGGGCCTGAAGGACAGAGCACTGAGCCCAGGCAGAATCTTTTCCATCCTTGGAATGTAACGGAATTTGCCCCCATTAGGTTTCAAAAGTGCTTAGAGCCCACGTACTCCAGTAGTTTTTCAGATTTCCTGCTTTTGGTAGGATAAGCCCTATCCGGCACCAGTCCCACAACTGTCTTTCAGAAGCAGACAACGTGTCTAGCTTCACAGGTGCAGTGGTGGAGAGAATTCCCGCCTCAGCATGAGTCATACCTGGAGGCTCACCCATTCCAGATATAGATTATCAGGTGAGATATTAGAGAATTGACGTTGGAGGGCGTTAAGTCTTTGGGGATGTTGTGATGAAATGAATGTATTTCCTATGTGAGGACATTAATTTGTGCCGCGGAGTGGATGCAGAAGGTGTACTAGTATGGATGGAGTTGTGTCTCCCTACAATTCAGAGGTAGAAGTCCTGGCCCCCAGTGTTTTAGAATGTGACCTTATTTGGAGAGAGTCTCTAGTCAGGTCATGTGGTTAAAGTGAAGTTATGAGGGTTGACCCTACCCAACAGGATTGGTCTCCTTACAAAAAGGTGACAATAGGTATCCAGAACTGTGGGATGAAAAATACATAGTGTTTAAGTCAGCCAGTCTCTGGAATATTTTTGCAGCGGCCCTAGAAAACTAATATAATAAAATACACCTCCAACAGCAGCATTAAAAGCATACAACCCATCGAAGAACCAAAGAAGCACACCCATGTAATCACAGGTTTCCCCTTCAACTCCCATTGAACATCCCTGGACAAGTAACTCTTCCTAGTTCAGACCGGGAAACCTCATCACACATTGGGCTGTGGCTCCTCGGCTGCAGGTGCCTCACTGGCTGACAAGGATCTGAGTGGAGCTTGTGCTGCTCCATCGGACAGCATTCCATCATCCCCATGATGAACAGAGGCCAGGCATAAAGGTCTCCAAAAACAAAAGATTCTAGTCTGAAGAAGAGCAGAATCAGACAAATCTAAGCAAGTGGGATTCCATTTCTAGGGAGCCTAGAATAGGTATTGTTCCTTAAAATTTTTTATATCATTTTCTCTGTACTGTCTTTGGGTCCTTGCTCATGTTTACGAATGAACTCCATGGTACAGGGAATGCTGATGAAAAGATTGATTGGACTATGTTTGTCCTATTCATCCTACTTTCCATACATTGATACTTCTTATTTGTTGTTTAAGCCGTAAAGCTATTTCCCTTACTTTGTGTTTTCAGTAAGCCACAGCTTGACATCACGATTGCTCACTAGGTTCCCCTTCTCCTCAATCACCCACTGAAATGCTATAGCAGATGTGTGAGCTCCTCTGCCCATCTTCACATCAAAGCAGCCTTTTTCTCTTTCTTCCTATAACTCACCGGCATCAGTCCCCTTGAACTCTCACTCTTCACTCCCCACAGCCCAATCAGAGTTCATTGTTAACGCTGTTTTACTAATGCTCCTCATTCATTTCTGAATTTACAAATGGAAAACACACACTCCAGGGTAAAATATCCCAATGGATACGGTTTCTGAAAAAGACATGTCAAATTACCCAGTAGACATGCAAGGATAATTTTAGAAATTTATTTGTATGTCCCATTTGACAGAAAGACTGGCGCTTTAAAGCGAAAACAATTAGCATAATGAGAAATAAGTCACTGAGTGAGATGCGGTGTTTTAGACAAGGTACACAGCTCTGTCTCTGGAAAGGAACAGGGTTCTGCCAAGCGTCTTTGGTTTTCAAAGTGTTGCTCCGGACATGTAGGGTCACCTGGCGGCACCGTCCAGAGCGATTTAGTTGTGGCTGATTTCGTGGGGGGTTTTTCTTGGTCTCCTTGTGCAGTGAGCATTTCTCTTCAACTATTTTCATGACATTTTTCTAATATTCTGCAAAAACAGAAAGTAGCAAATCCCAATGAGGGGACTTCTTGGCCCTACATCCTTTCTCTACGGAGCCCAAGTGGAGCTCTGGAGGTGAACTGCCCACGCTGCCCAAATGCACTACTCAGGGAAGCTCTGGCTACTATCCTGCCATGCCCCCATTTCCCTCTTGACCAAACGGTCCTCTGCCAAAGGTGGAATAATCTATGTGGCTATGTGTTGGGCCATCTGGTGTGGTTCTTTCCCACTTCTGATGGGCTCAAGAAAATTTTGATTTTTGTCATTTTCCCAGCTTTTGTTTCATGGTTTGACTGAGAGTGTCACCCTTTACTGGTTTCTACATATGAAGGAGAAAGGTTGTTTATGAGATGTTTCAAAATTCACGGGAAACATTTGACAAAAATGGCCACATATTGAGCTTCAAGGCACAATACAATAAATTCCTATGGGTCGCAATCCCAGAGTATGTTCTCTGGTCCACATACTCGGGCGGCTGGAGATCCTCTGAAAAGAAAAGCAATGGGAAAGTCAGCAGCTGCTCTGAAATTCAACAATACACTCATAGGAAAAAGTGCTAAAAATACAAAGACTTGGGACCCAGAAGAAAGCACAATGAAAGCTAACCTATATTAACATTAACATGAATATTAATATGCAAATCTCTTGAGGAAATAAGCGTTATCTGACTTCTCCTAAAGGCTGACCATCCTCTGCATAACTTGATGCTAGGGGCAAGGAACATATACTACTCCTAGCACTGGATTCATATCCTTAAATGACCATGATTACAAACACTGAAAACAAAAACATCAGGTAAAGAATCACAACCCTGTCCCCCCAAACACCAGACTGCATATCAGTGCAAGGCTGTTGTGGGTTCAGCCTGGTTCACTGCCCCCACACTGGGACAATGACTGTTGCTCATAGACTGCAAGTCACTCATTGGCTACACCACTGAACACTAGGGCATGAGCCATTTCTGTGGACACTCCCTAAGCCTACTGACACAAACCTGGAAGTAACGAAGGTTTCTGTTTAAAAAGAAACGAAAAGATTATCGTCATGGCAAAAAAAGAATGAACTGCAATAGTGATCTCAGAGTCGAGGAAGCTGGAAAATGAACGGATTCTTGAAAATTTTATTTAGCTGTATGTACACTGTAACTTGGCCTCATTTGCTTATTTACATGGATTCGTGATGGGAGCGGTGTTGAAAACATTTAGGAGGGTTACCTTGCTTCTTGTATCAGCGTATTCACTTTCTCTGTTGCTGTATGGCATACAGTGAAGTTCTGGAAAATTCCACCATCCAGTCACAGGAGAATGAGACAGAAAAAGGTAAAGATCAGTGCAGTAATAATATCACCATATAGATAGCCTAGAAACATAACTAACAAAAATGACCGTTTACGAAACTGAGGAAATGAAACACGATCACGGAAACACCCACTATTTTTCCTTGGAGCAAACTGCACTACAGATATATTGGAGCTGACAATGTTTAGTACTGAGGGGAAAATGCTTGAAACATTGCAGGATGCCACACGCCACATGCCCCCCAAGTCGGAAGGGCACCACCCACCCCAGCCTCCGGTGGTGTCCCCCTTGGCGAGCCACTGGTCTTTCAGGCCACATTCAGTGGCTCTGAAAAGACCCTTTGGGTTCCCGTGGTGCTCGGGTGCTCCTGAGGGAGCGCACTTGCTCCTGGTGTACCTGAGGACAGCCTTCGTGCCTTCGGACTCGGCGAGCTTGCCCATCTGCCCCGGCAGCAGCAGGCGCACAGCCATCCGGGTCTCCCAGGCAGTGATGGTCTGGCGCTTGGTGGAGCGGGCCAGGTGACCAGCCTCGGTGGCGATGCGGTCCAATATGTCATGAACCAAAGAATCCATGACACTCACGGCCTCCCGGGAAAGGCTGAGGCCCTGGTGAACCTGCTTCAGCACCCGGCGGAAATAGGTGGCGAAGCTGTCCCCGCGGCAGTTGGAGTGGCACCTGCGGGGCCCATGGCGCCCTCGCTTCCTCTGCTTGCTCTGCTTCTGGGACGTAGTGGAGTTGGCCTCTTTGGGCTCCTGGGTGATCAGCTGTTCCTCAGAGGTCGTCTCAGAGGAAGGTCCAGCCATGGCGGAGGCAGTGGCCATTAGATGGCACGACCAGACAATGGCGGTTGTGGACCGGGGAAGCCGGGGCACTTCGGTACGCAGCATGGCTCCACGTCTCGGGCCAGCTTCACGTCTGATTGGATGAAGTGTCACGCAGGGAGCCTCTCAGCAAACCTACCTGCGTTGAAGGTGACTGGATGGTCCCGTTGCGTGGCATCTCGTCAACCAATCACAGTGGGCGTCTGCGGGCCTAAGCGCCCCTTGTGGCCCAGCTCGGAGAAAGTTACACAGATAGATGCCTCACGGGGCAAAAGCGCATCCGCCCTTCTCAGCTGATCCATGCCACACTGTGAGCACTTTGAAGGGTGTCACTGAAAACTCCCAAAGTTTAGCAATTTCAGCTCATGATCCCTGAGGAGAGACAGACCTCCTGAGCCCAAGTCCATTATGCCGGAAGAATGACTGTGGCCACGTGTGGAACAATTGTCACCCATCTCAGAAGCTACTGTTATCCTGGGCTAAGCCACCCTGGCTTGAGCAGGAACTCCCTGACATGGCCGCCTGGGCATCAAAGGACCTAGCGGTCTGGCTCCGGGCTTCAGTACTGATCAACATCTTCCGTGAATCAGGAGAATGAGAAATGGCCATACCCCAGCCTCCAAGCAGACAATAGAAACAGAAAGGCACTTTTATTAAAAACATATGACAACACTCGACATCGACCAGGTTTAAAAAAATAATTAAAAAAAAAAAAAGGAAAGCAAAACAACAACCACAAATCACAACTCAAAAGCTGGAAATGGCTAATAAGTTTAAGAGATATTGGGTTAAAAAATATCGCCTTAAATCTCCTAGGAAGCCCCTGAGGGAGAGAAAGGGATTCCAGAAATGGAAATTATGTTCAAGTTAGAAAGAGAGCTTTCAAGAGTCTCTGATAATATACGCAAAGGCATTCCTTAAATGCATTTAAGTAACATTAAGTTGCAGGAATTGAACAAGAAAGATTCTTAAGAAATGCTGAAGAAATAAAGGTCATCGATGAACTGTCATTTCAAAGGTCAGGCTTTCAAGTGTATTTCCTGTCATGTCTTTAGCAAACAACTTATTCTACTCCTAATAAATTGGTTCACGATTAAGAAGGACAAAAAGGCTCATTTTTGTTGTTAGATAAGATCGTATATGGTAAGCTCTGTGACTGAACTCTAGTACACCATTTCTGAACAGTCCCCTTTACAAATGATGATCTTATAAATCTACTTAAACGTTTAGCAAGACAATCCTTCTCGTAGTTTGGTACAAGGCACAAGAGACCTGTCCACAACAATCTCTGTATTCATATCAGTAAGTCAGCATGATATTTTTCTTAAAAAAAAAAAAGCAAACAAAAAACAGGGAAAGAGCCACATCGTTTTTCTTCACAATCTGCAAGGTTAAACCTCCCAGGGAGGCTCTCACTGGTTCATTTCCGGGTCACCTCCCCACACTTTCAGCCATGGCTTGTGGTGCCTCAAGGGCTGGAAAGCCTTTATTGCCTGAGCCAGTGGTGACTATGGCATGAGCTGCTCTCACAGGATGTTCCCATCATCTACGTGATGCAAAATTGTAATATATAGTCCTTATTTTGTTTCTCTAATTCTTTTTTTTTCTTTTTTTTGAGACAACAATCTGTCACCCAGGCTGGAGTGCATTGGTGCGATCTCAGCTCACTGCCACCTCCACCTGCTGGGTTCAAGAGGTTCTCCTGCCTCAGGCTCCCCAGTAGCTAAGACTACAGGGATGCGCCACCACACCCGGCTAATTTTTGTACTTTTAGTGGAGACGGGGTTTTATCATGTTGGCCACGCTGGCCTTGAACTCCTGGCCTAAAGTGATCCATCCACCTCAGCCTCCCAAAGTGCTGGGATTACAGGCATCAGCCACTGCGCCCTGCCTGTTTCCTTAATTTTTAATATAGTCATAATCTTTATTGCATCAGGGTGTTTTCCATTTTATTTTAAGTTCGGGGGTACATGTACAGAATGTACAGGTATTTTAGAGAGGTAAACGTGTGTCATGGGGCTTTTCTGTGCCGATTATTTCATCACCCAGGCATTAAGCCTAGTAACCATTAGTTATTTTTCCTGATCCTGTCCCTCCTCCCACTCTCCACCCTCCGATAGGCCCCAGTGTGTGTTGTTCCTCTCTATGTGTCCATGTGTTCTCATCATTTAGCTCCTACTTACAAGTGAGAACATGCACTATTTGGTTTGCTGCTTGTATTAGTCTGTTCTCACGCTGCTATGAAGAAATAGCCGAGACTGGGTTATTTATAAAGGAGGGAGATTTAATTGACTCACAGTTCCACAGGGCTGGCGAGGCCTCACAAAACTTACAATTATGGTGGAAGGAAATGCAAGCACGTCCTTTTTCACGTGGTGGCAGGAAGGAGAAGAAGTGCAGAGCGAAGGGGTAAGCCCCTTCTAAAACCATCAGATCCTGTGAGAACTCACTCACTATCATGAGAACAGCATGGGGGAAAGCACCCCCACAGTTCAGTCACCTCCATGTGGTCCCACCCTTGACACAGGGAGAGTATGGAAATTACAATTCAAGGTGAGATTTGGGTGGGGGACACAGAGCCAAACCATATCACTGTTCTTACAGTAGTTTGCTAAGGATAATGGCCTCCAGCTCCATCCAAGTCCCTGCAAAGGACATGGTGTCGTTCTATTTTATAGAGGCATAGTATTCCACGGTGTATATGTACCACAGTTTCCTTATCCAGCCTATCATTGATGGGCATTTGGGTTGATTTCATGTCCTTGCTATCGTGAACAGTGCTGCAATGAACATACGCATGCACACGTCTGTATAATAGAACGATTTCTATTTCTTTGCGTATATGCCCAGTAATGGCATTGCTGGGTCGAATTGTATTTCAGACCTCAGGTCTTTCAGGTATTGCCACACTGTCTTCCACAATGGTTGAAATAATTTACGCTCCCCCAAAGACCGTGCATAAGCGTCCCTTTCTCTCTGCAAACTTGCCAGCATGTGTTATTTTTGGACTTCATCATAGTAGCCATTCTGACTGATATGAGACAGTATCTCATTGTGGTTTTGATTTGCATTTCTCTAACATCAGTGATGTTGACGTTTTTTTTTATTTGCTTGTTGGCCCTATGTAGGTCTTCCTTTGAGAAATGTCTGTTCATGTCCTTTGCCCATTTTTTAATGGGGTTGTTGGTTTATTTCTTGTAAATGTGGTTAAGTTCCTTACAGATGCTGGATATTAGACCTTTGTCAGATGCATCGTTTGCAAAAATGTTCTCCCATTCGGTAGGTTGTGTGTTTACTGTGTTGAGAGTTTCTTTTGCTGTGCAGAAGCTCTTTAATTTAGTTAGATACCATTTGTCAATTTTTGCTTTTGTTGGAATTTCTTTTGGCATCTTAGTCATGAAATCTTTGCCTGGTACTGGTGTCCATGTCCCGAATGGTGTAGCCTAAGTTGTCATCTAGAGTTTTTATAGTTTTGGATTTTACTTTTAGGTTTTTAATTCATCTCATGTTCATTTTTGTATACGGTGTAAGGAAGGGGGTCCAGGTTCAATCTTCAGCATATGGCTAGCCAGCACCTCCAGCACTATTTATTCCATAGGGAATCCTCTCCACATTGCTTGCTTTTTTTCAGGTTTGTCGAAGATCATATAGTTGTAGGCGTGCAGTCTTAATTTCTGGGTTTGTCTCAAAATAATAATAACAACAACAACAATAATAATAATTTCTGCATTCTCTATTCTGTTCCATTGGTCTGTGTGTCTGTTCTTGTACCTGTACTGTAGCCCTGGAGTATAGTTTGAAGTCAGGTAGTGTGATGCCTCCAGCTTTCTTCCTTTTGCTTAAGATTGTGTTGGTCTATTCGGGCTCTTTTGTTGGTTTCACGTGAATTTCAGGATATTATTTCCAGTTCTGGGGAGAATGTCAACGGTAGTTTAATGGGAATAACATTGAATCTGTAAAGTGCTTTGGGAAGTATGGTCATTTTAACGATACTGATTCTTCCTATGCATAAGTATGGAATGTTTTTCCATTTGTTTGTGTCACCTCTGATTTCTTTAAGTAGTGGTTTGTAGTTCTCCTTGTAGAGATCTTTCACTTTCTTGGCTAGCTGTCTTCCTAGGCATTTTATTCTTTTTGTGGCAAGTGTGAATGGGAGTTCATTCGTGATTTGGCTCTCGGGTTCATTGTTGTGGATGTACAAGAGTGCTGGTGATTTTTGCACAATGATTTTGTATCCTGAGGATTTGCTGAAGTTGTTTATTAGCTTGAGAAGCTTTGGGGCTGAGACGATGGGGCTTTCTAGATATAGGATCATGTCGTCTGAAAACAGGGACATGATTTTGACTTCCTCTCTTCCTATTTGAATGCTCTTTATTCCTTTCTCTTGCCTGGTTGCCCAGGCTGGAACTTCCAAGACTATGTTGAATCGCAGTGGTGAGAGGGCATCCTTGTCTTGGGCCAGTTTCCAAGGGGAGTGCTTCCAGCTCTTGCCCATTCAGTATGATGTTGGCTGTGGGTCTGTCATAGATGCCTCTTATTATTTTGAGGTGCGTTCCTTCAGTACATAGTTTACTGAGAGTTTTTAACATGAAGTGGTGTTGAATTTTATCAAAAGCCTTTTCTGCAGCTATTGAGATAAACATGTGGTTTTTCTCTTTCGTGCTGTTTATGTGATGAATCACAACTGTTGCTTTGCGTATGTTGAACTGACCTTGCATCACGGGGGTCCCAGGGGTGAAGCCCACGTGATGGTGGCGGATACGCTTTTTGGTGTGCTGCTGGATTCGGTTTGCCAGTAGTTTGTTGAGGATGTTTGCATCGATGTTCATCAAGGATATCAGACTGAAGGGTTTTCTTTTTCTGTTGTTGTATTTCTCCTGCGTCAGTTTTATACAATCATCGTTTTACTCCTCTTGTTAATTTATTCTATTACCCTTCCTTCTTGGCACCTCCAGTCATCTTCTTGTGATCACTTTACATCTCTTTAAATGACATTCTTCAGAAATTTCTTTAACAAAGTTTTTGTTGGTATCCACACTAAGAGTTTTCCATTTCTCTCAAATATCATCATTTCTGACTTTGGTCCTGGAAGAAATTGGCTCTGAAATAAAGTTTAGTGTGTGGGAAACTTATTCAGGGTCAATAGCTGAGGAAGGGTCTGGAGGCAGGCAGGAGTGGGCATAGGGAGAAGTTCACCTCGAGTGCAAGGCCAGTGGAATCCTATTCTGATCCCAGGGTGAGATCTGAAGATAAAGGGGCCCATCAGGGTATTCGCCATTGTGCCAAAATACCAGACCGTTCGACTTCTCCTGGATCAGGCAGTGTGTATGGGCAAGGCAGCTAAGAGTAGCTATGGTAATACTGGAAAGGACTAATGGCTCAGGACTGGCACCTGCTTGCATTCCCAACACCCGAAACAGCAAATCCATCCTTAAAGGGGACGCTGGCTCGTCCACGCCTACCACAGCCTCGTTCTCAAATAATACTTTAGCTAGCAATGACATTCTGTGTTAACACACATCTCCTCTGATTTTGGCTTTTATTTATTGATAGAAGGAGGTTGGCTGTCAAACTATTTGTTATTCCTTTATAGGCCTTGTAGTTGTCTTTTTTTCTTTTCTCAGCTATTGTGATTTCTGTTTTTACTTTTCTTAAGCTTTAGAAGGATGGGTACAGGTGTGCTCCCTGAAGGTAGGATATCATGTCTTCCTTCAATTCTGTAAAATTACCAGCTATTTTCCCTTTGATTAGAATTCTTCCCAACTTGCCCAGTATTACTTATAAGATATACTTTGTGCTTTTTAGTCAAACCCTTAAGGTTTATCAGTTCTCCTCACTCCTTTCTCACATGTTATGTCCCTATGAAATTTTCACAGTTACTTTACATCTGTCTTCTCATTCTCCAATTCTCTGTCCAACTGTGCCTAATCTGCTGTTTAAAATGTCTTTAATTTTGTGTTATAGCCATTCAACTTTCATACTTTGGCGAAGCTCCATGACATAGGCCTGGGCAATGATTTTTTGGATATGACCCTGAAAGCCCAGCAACAGAAGCAAAAAGTAGACAAATGTGATAGTGTCAAATTAAAGACGTTTTTACAGAAAAAGAATAAATAATAGAGTGAGGAGACGACCTGTTACCCAATGTAATGCCTACACGACCTAGATAAATTTCTACCCTGCCTTAACTCTGCTTGTCTTTAGGAAACAGGATGCCTGACATCAGAATTTCCCCATCATGACCAAGCCGGCTGAGACTGATGGGATGTAATGCGGCAGCTCAATTGATCTTAGAGGAACCTGGAACTTCATTACAATCTAATTCTTATACGAACTGACACGCCCACCAGCGCCATGACTGTTGACAATCACCGTGACAACGACTGAAAGAAACCATGAATGGGCAATAAAGTAGGTGGCATTCTGTTTTCGAGAATTTCTGCACTTATTCAGACAAAAGACATGAGTATTCCTCCCCTTGCTTTCAATGCCCGATCCCTTCGTTAAAGATCCCCTATATCTGTGACGTTCCGCCTCTCCCAAGGTGAGAAGTTGATTTCTGAGCCAACCTCCTGCTTGTAAAGTCCATGGCCAGGGAATAAAGCCTGCACTGCCTGACACTCACTTGCAATTTCTCATATTGGCTTCACAACACCGAACAGGGAAAGAAAGATACCACCTTTCGGGGGACCCATTTTTTCGGTAACAAGCCCACAGAACTCCAGAAAATACTGCCAACTGTACATCTAATAAGAGGTTAATATCCAAAATATGGAAGGAATATGAACAATGCAATAGCAAGAAAACAAATAATTCAATTTTAAAATCAGTAAAAGGACCTCAATAGACATTTCTGAAAAGAAGCAGCACAAATGGCCAGTGGTACATTAAAAATGCTCAGCATCATTAATCACGAGGGCGATGCAATTTTTTTTTTTCAGGCTGAGTCTCTCTGTTTCCCAGGCTAGAGTGCAGTGGCACGATCTCGGCTCACTGCAACCTCTGCCTCCCGGCTTCAAGCAATTCTCCTGCCTCGGCCTCCTAAGTAGCTGGGATTACAGGTGCCCGCCACCATGTCCGGCCAATTTTTGTATTTTCAGTTGAGACAGGGTTTCACCATCTTGGCCAGGCTGCTCTTGAACTTCTGACCTCATGATCCACCCGAATCGGCCCCCCAAAGTGCTGGGATTACAGGTGTGAGCTGCTGTGCCTGGCCTGGCAATGCAAATTTAATCCACAGTGAGATGTCACCTCACACACCTGTTTGAATAGCTTTTACCAGAAAAGATGAAAGTCGTAACAGTGTTGTCGAGAATGCAGAGAAAAGGGCACTCTTGTACACGCTTGGTGGAAATGTGAAGTAACAGAGCCATCACGGAAAACAGTGTGGAAATTCCTCAAAAAACGGAATTATACAAATGCCATATGGTCCGGAAATCCCACATACACGCTCTGGGTCTATAGTCAAAGGGAGTGAAATCAGTGCCATGAAGAGACATCTGCACTCCCATGTTCACGGCAGCATTATACAGCACAGTGAAGATGTGGAATCTAACTAAGAGTTCATCATTGGGTACATGGATAATGGAAACATGGTATGTAGATACAACAGAATACTCCTCAACCTTGACAAAAGCAGCATACATCATTTGGCACACTACGGATAAAGCTGGGGGACGTTATGCTAAGTTATGAAATAAGCCAGGCACAGAAAGACAAATACCAAATGTCTTACTTATAGGTAGAATCTTAAAAAGCTGAACTCATAGAAGTAGAGAGTAGAATGACGGCTCCCCAGGGTCTGGGACGTGGGTGGAGAGGGGTGGGAGGAAGAAAATGGGGAGTTGCCGGTCAAAGGGGGCCACGTTCTAGATACACAGGATGAGTACATTTTGAGATCTATTGCACAGCAGGATGGCTACAGTCAGTAGTAATGGATTGTGTAAATCAGGACAACGAAGAAAGTAAATTTCATATCTCTCAGCATAAAAGTGATAGGTAAATGAGGGGATGGACATCAGCTTGGTGTAGTCTTACCACACTGAATACATATTTCAAAATATCACATTGTACCCCACACATGCATACAGTTAAGATTTGTGCATTAAAAAATAACATTAATAGAAATATAAAAAGACTGAGCATATCAAGTGTTTGCAGAAATGTGGAACAACTGGAATTCTCATGCATTGACTGTGCTCATGGAGAATGGTACAGCCCTTCAGAAACTATATGTCAGCTCCCTGGAAATTAAATGGGCACTTACCGTGTGACCTGGCAATCCTATTCCTGCATATTGCCTCAAGAGTAATGAAAGCGTATAAAAAGAAAACAAGACATTTGCAAATTAAAACAATTCATTGAGTGTAATAGCAAGAGGCAACCCTTTCTGTCAGATATCCCACTCTGTTGAAGTTTGGTTAGGCGAAACACTTGTTTATGCAATTTCATCTGAATTCATGCTCAAATGGAGACCGAGTAAGGTGAAGCAAATCAATGATGCATTTCCTTACAGTTTGAGGTATTTCCTGTGAGGTACATTAACCTGAAGAAGCATTACTTCGACTAACTTCTGGCAGGCTGACAAACTCAAAGGATAATACCATGTCGGGTGGACCAGGCACTGGAGTGACATTTGGGAGATCAACCTGGGTGCTGATGTCAGATCTAACACAGTAGCTGTGGAACTCTGGGTAAGGAAGGCCCTTGATGTATTTGTGAAGGGATACCGAGTTCCTGGAAGGGATAGAATTCACTCTGCCAGTCCGAGGATTATAGCAAGCACAGTAATTATGTACCTTATTCCTCCTTAACACAAAATTCCCTCTGGTGCATGACAAAGTACCTCAACAAGCATCTGGTCCACCAGATAGTCCTTGCCTAACATCAATCCCCCAAGCACATGTTGTTCACAAGTGCCTCTGTGTAGATCTTGGGAGCAGAGTTAGTTAAATGATGCACATATTTCAGGATTTCAGAAGAATCATGGAAGCAGTAGCGAGCCCATGAGGTGCAGGACCGGCCTGTCACACACATCAGATAGATGCTGCATGGCAGGGACTGGATTGATGACGCGAGTGAAGAGGAGTCAAGGCGCTTTTGTGCTCCACTAATGCCCTATTCAGGTGCCGGCCCATTTGGCCTGTGACCCCAGATGTTTGACCATGGTCCTTCATAATAAGGTGAAAGAATATATCCCACTCTTTCAAGCTTTGTACTCCCGACCATGCATTTGTTCCCTGCTTATCCAGGAGTGAGGGCCACAATCAAAGAGGAGAAAGGCTGTGATGGGTCAAGAATGAGGACCAACCCCATTGTACCGGCCACTACACTGGGGTGGGATTCTTATCCCGCCAAATAAATGTGGTGGGTTGTTTTTTTTTGTCAGGCCCATGTGCTTGGAGGTGAAAAAAACATTTTATTACCTGAACATTCAAGTAGCTTGGGGACAAAATTGCGGATGGGAAAAGAGAGAATCATTTTTGTCTCTCGATTTCCATTTGATTCCCTTTGTCCTCTTATTGATGGAGTAGGCAGGAGACATTTCCACTCATACCTATTAATTCATATCTTTCAACCACCAAGACTGTGACCAAACGATCAGAAAAAGAAGCTTGTCCAAAAATTAATTCAAGATGGATTAAAGACTTAAATGTTAGACCTAAAACCATAAAAACCCTAGAAGTAAACCTAGGCAATACCATTGAGGACATAGGCATGGGCAAGGACTTCATGATTAAAACACCAAAAGCAATGGCAACAAAAGCCAAAATTGACAAATGGGATCTAATTAAACTAAAGAGCTTCTGCACAGCAAAAGAAACTACCATCAGAGTGAACAGGCAGCCTACAGAATGGGAGAAAATTTTTGCAATCTACCCATCTGACAATGGACTAATATCCAGAATCTACAAAGACCATAAACAAATTTACGAGAAAAAAATCAAATAACTCCATCAAAAAGTGGGCGAAGTATGTGAACAGACACTTCTCAAAAGAAGACATTTATGCAGCCAACAGACACATGAAAAAATGCTCATCATCACTGGCCATCAGAGAAATGCAAATCAAAACCACAATGAGATACCATCTCACACCAGTTAGAATGGCGATCATTAAAAAGTCAGGAAACAACAAGTGCTGGAGAGGATGTGGAGAAATAGGAACACTTTTACGCTGTTGGTGGGACTGTAAACTAGTTCAACCATTGTAGAAGATAGTGTGGCGATTCCTCAAGGATCTAGAACTAGAAATACCATTTGACCCAGCGATTCCATTACTGGGTATATACCCAAAGGATAATAAATCGTGCTACTATAAGGACACATGCACACGTATGTTTATTGTGGCACTATTCACAATAGCAAAGACTTGGAACCAACCCAAATGTCTGTCAATGATAAACTGGATTAAGAAAACGTGGCACACATACACCATGGAATACTATGCAGCCATTAAAAAGGATGAGTTCATGTCCTTTGTAGGGACATGGATGAAGCTGGAAACCATCATTCTGAGCAAACTATCGCAAAGACAGAAAACCGAACACCACATGTTCTCACTAATAGGTGGGAATTGAACAATGAGAACACTTGGACACAGGGTGGGGAACATCACACACCGGGGCCTGGTGTGGGGTGGGGGCATGGGGGAGGGTTAGCATTAGGAGAAATACCTCATGTAAATGACGAGTTAATGGGTACAGCACACCAACATGGCACGTGTATACATATGTAACAAACCTGCACGTTGTGCACATGTACCCTAGGACTTAAAGTATAATAAAAAAAAAAAGAAAGAAAGAAAGAGAAAAAGAAACTCACGACAAGAATGCAAACACAAAT
Organism: Homo sapiens; assembly: GCF_000001405.40. Lineage (NCBI taxonomy): Eukaryota > Metazoa > Chordata > Mammalia > Primates > Hominidae > Homo > Homo sapiens. Next base: position 104,024,439 of record NC_000023.11, read on the forward strand.
TTCCTCCTCCGTCTTCAAGGACGAACACCCAGAAAGACACTTTTTTTGGCTGGGTCCCTTAGCACACGGGGAACCAATGGCTGTGGCTCAGTGGCTGCGTCCCTCCAGTGATACAGTGTGGAGTGGGATTTCAGCTCCTCTCATTGGACGCTCCCATCTTCTCAGTGATGTACAGTTGAAGGTCACGAAGTTTTATTTTTATTTTTTAACAAAAGATTATAACTTGGAAAACAGTTGACCCAGATGAATCCAAATGAGTTGGAATAGTATCTTTAGCTGGGATATTTGAAAGGGGTGTATTTTATTTAAAAAAATTTTGATCTCGGTATTTCTACAATACGTTTGAATCCTCAGTCATGTATTTCAATGGGAATTCCTTCGTACGGGTCATGTTGATAAAACTTAATGAGGGTATCCTTGATGTGCTACTACTATTTTTCTTGGTATGATGCTTATAATTTGTTATTTATATGATGCACGCCAATTCCTTTAGTTCCTTCTTTCAGTAAAACACACCATTAGATCACCGATGCTCACTTATTGCCCTTTACCCGCTTTCAGCCACAGAGATGAATAATTAGATGTATTCATTTTCCATTCCAGTCTTCAATATCAAGACCCATTTCTCCTCTCCCTTGCCTATAATTTGTCTATGTCAGTCACCCTTACACTCCCAGTCAGCATTACACAGCCGGGTTATGGTGCATTTTTAACATTATTTCACTAACGCTCCTGTATACTTTCTGAATTTACAAATGCAACACACAACAAGAAAATCCTAATCATTCAATGTATACAAAAATGACTATTCACGACACTAAGTGCTTAGGAACAGTATGCAAGAATTAACATTCTTTGGTAGAACATTTTTATGTCCTATGGAAAACTTCTGGCAAGTTCATGCAGCACCAATGAGGCTGATAGAAATAAAGTGACTGAAGAGGAATACAGTGTTTTTCAAACAACTCCGCAGTTATTTTTTTATCCCCACAAAGGCAAACAGCTCTGAAAAGAGGCTTCAGCTTTCATAATCTTGTTAGGGATGTGTAAGACAGTCTCAAAGCACCACACAGGGATATTTATTGCAGTTAATTTTGTGATAGATTTTTTTCAGTCACTTTTGGAAGCAAACTTTTTTATTCTTTTTGAAATACTTTTACGAGATTTTCTTCAAATTCAAAAATAAGTACTAATCCTGATAAGGTGGGTCAATGGCCCAAAATCCTTAGTTTGTCTATTTGAAGGAGAGGTGTGGAGGTATTATGGCCCAGCACAGTTAGTCAGCATTGGGCCTAAGATGAAAAACAGATTTCTCCATGACCTCCTTGATCAGCCATCAGCCCCCTCTTTCCACGTGCACTATTCAGGGAAGCTCTCTGGAGCATCTTGCGTTGACCAAGATTGCCTTCTTTCTCTTGAGCACTTGCGTTTCTGCCACAGGTGAAATCCTCTGTGGTTGGTCTCTCCTGCGAGGGTTTTATCGAGTTATTATGGGCTGCAGAAGGATTTTGTTTTTATAGATTATCCAGGGTTCGTTTTATCATTTGCTTGAATTGACATCCTAATCAGGTGTTGGCATCCTACTCCAAAGGGGAATTTACAACATATTTTGAAAGTACTAATAACAGCAATACAACAGAAAAATACGGGGCTTTAAAGCAACTCCACATACATCTCCAAGGATTGAAATCCCAGAATATGTTCTCTCTCCACAGAAGTGAGTGCTAGATATAAATAATACTTTTTAAAAAGTAACTGGAAAGTCACAACTGTTTTGAACCTCAGCAATATAGATATAGAAAAACAAACACACACCCATTGGGCCAAGAAGACAACACGATGTAAGTTATATTGCATTAACATTCACATTAATATTAACATTGACATCCCAGGAGGAGAAAGGAGGGATCATCTTAGTCCTGTTAGTGCCTCATCTTTTTCTTAGTTATATTGCAAGGAGCAAGAGACATGCCCCACTACCAGCTACAGATTTATATCTCCAAATCACCACATTTGAAAGCAAGTGAGCAAAAATTCCCAGAGCAAGCAAAAATCATTCTCTGCTCCTCTTCCATGTAATAGGGCAACACCAAGGAACGCACATAGTGTTTCAGTCCCAGTCATCTTCCACGCTTGTGCCAATGGCTGTGGCTCATGGGCTGCAGGTTCCTCTGTGGTGAAATGAGTGGAGACTGGGGCTTGGCATTCTCTTTGGACGCTCCCATCATCCAATGATGCACAATTGCAACTGATAAAAGTTTGTGTTTTTAAAAAACAGGAGCTTATGGACAAGAAAGGAATAGAATTGGATAAGTCTGAAGCAATCAGAACAGTAATTTCAGTGCTCAAGGACCTGGAATAGTGAGATGCTTCCTGAAAATTCTACTTGGCGATGTCTATTTCCTGTACTCTCTTTGGGTCCAAATTTTTTTTTCTTTTTTTTTTTATTATACTTTAAGTTTTAGGGTACATGTGCACATTGTGCAGGTTAGTTACATATGTATACATGTGCCATGCTGGTGCGCTGCACCCATTAACTCATCATCTAGCCTTAGGTATATCTCCCAATGCTATCCCTCCCCGCTCCCCCCACCCCACCACAGTCCCCAGAGTGTGATATTCCCCTTCATGTGTCCATGTGATCTCATTGTTCAATTCCCACCTATGAGTGAGAATATGCGGTGTTTGGTTTTTTGTTCTTGCGATAGTTTACTGAGAATGATGATTTCCAATTTCATCCATGTCCCTACAAAGGACATGAACTCATCATTTTTTATGGCTGCATAGTATTCCATGGTGTATATGTGCCACATTTTCTTAATCCAGTCTATCATTGTTGGACATTTGGGTTGATTCCAAGTCTTTGCTATTGTGAATAATGCCACAATAAACATACGTGTGCATGTGTCTTTATAGCAGCATGATTTATAGTCATTTGAGTATATACTCAGTAATGGGATGGCTGGGTCAAATGGTATTTCTAGTTCTAGATCCCTGAGGAATCGCCACACTGACTTCCACAATGGTTGAACTAGTTTACAGTCCCACCAACAGTGTAAAAGTGTTCCTATTTCTCCACATCCTCTCCAGCACCTGTTGTTTCCTGACTTTTTAATGATTGCCATTCTAACTGGTGTGAGATGATATCTCATAGTGGTTTTGATTTGCATTTCTCTGATGGCCAGTGACGATGAGCATTTTTTCATGTGTTTTTTGGCTGCATAAATGTCTTCTTTTGAGAAGTGTCTGTTCATGTCCTTCGCCCACTTTTTGATGGGGTTGTTTGTTTTTTTCTTGTAAATTTGTTTGAGTTCATTGTAGATTCTGGATATTAGCCCTTTGTCAGATGAGTAGGTTGCGAAAATTTTCTCCCATTTTGTAGGTTGCCTGTTCACTCTGATGGTAGTTTCTTTTGCTGTGCAGAAGCTCTTTAGTTTAATTAGATCCCATTTGTCAATTTTGGCTTATGTTGCCATTGCTTTTGGTGTTTTGGACATGAAGTCCTTGCCCATGCCTATGTCCTGAATGGTAATGCCTAGGTTTTCTTCTAGGGTTTTTATGGTTTTAGGTCTAACTTTTAAATCTTTAATCCATCTTGAATTGATTTTTGTATAAGGTGTAAGGAAGGGATCCAGTTTCAGCTTTCTACATATGGCTAGCCAGTTTTCCCAGCACCATTTATTAAATAGGGAATCCTTTCCCCATTGCTTGTTTTTCTCAGGTTTGTCAAAGATCAGATAGTTGTAGATATGCGGCGTTATTTCTGAGGGCTGTGTTCTGTTCCATTGATCTATATCTCTGTTTTGGTACCAGTACCATGCTGTTTTGGTTACTGTAGCTTTGTAGTATAGTTTGAAGTCAGGTAGTGTGATGCCTCCAGCTTTGTTCTTTTGGCTTAGGATTGACTTGGCAATGCAGGCTCTTTTTTGGTTCCATATGAACTTTAAAGTAGTTTTTTCCAGTTCTGTGAAGAAAGTCATTGGTAGCTTGATGGGGATGGCATTGAATCTGTAAATTACCTTGGGCAGTATGGCCATTTTCACGATATTGATTCTTCCTACCCATGAGCATGGAATGTTCTTCCATTTGTTTGTATCCTCTTTTATTTCCTTGAGCAGTGGTTTGTAGTTCTCCTTCAAGAGGTCCTTCACATCCCTTGTAAGTTGGATTCCTAGGTATTTTATTCTCTTTGAAGCAATTGTGAATGGGAGTTCACTCATGATTTGGCTCTCTGTTTGTCTGTTGTTGGTGTATAAGAATGCTTGTGATTTTTGTACATTGATTTTGTATCCTGAGACTTTGCTGAAGTTGCTTATCAGCTTAAGGAGATTTTGGGCTGAGATGATGGGGTTTTCTAGATAAACAATCATGTCGTCTGCAAACAGGGACAATTTGACTTCCTCTTTTCCTAATTGAATACCCTTTATTTCCTTCTCCTGCCTGATTGCCCTGGCCAGAACTTCCAACACTATGTTGAATAGGAGCGGTGAGAGAGGGCATCCCTGTCTTGTGCCAGTTTTCAAAGGGAATGCTTCCAGTTTTTGCCCATTCAGTATGATATTGGCTGTGGGTTTGTCATAGATAGCTCTTATTATTTTGAAATACGTCCCTTCAATACCTAATTTATTGAGAGTTTTTAGCATGAAGGGTTGTTGAATTTTGTCAAAGGCTTTTTCTGCATCTATTGAGATAATCATATGGTTTTTGTCTTTGGCTCTGTTTATATGCTGGATTACATTTATTGATTTGCGTATATTGAACCAGCCTTGCATCCCAGGGATGAAGCCCACTTGATCATGGTGGATAAGCTTTTTGATGTGCTGCTGGATTCGGTTTGCCAGTATTTTATTGAGGATTTTTGCATCAATGTTCATCAAGGATATTGGTCTAAAATTCTCTTTTTTGGTTGTGTCTCTGCCCAGCTTTGGTATCAGGATGATGCTGGCCTCATAAAATGAGTTAGGGAGGATTCTCTCTTTTTCTATTGATTGAAATAGTTTCAGAAGGAATGGTACCAGTTCCTCCTTGTACCTCTGGTAGAATTCGGCTGTGAATCCATCTGGTCCTGGACTCTTTTTGGTTGGTAAACTATTGATTATTGCCCCAATTTCAGCTCCTGTTATTGGTCTATTCAGAGATTCAACTTCTTCCTGGTTTAGTCTTGGGAGAGTGTATGTGTCGAGGAATGTATCCATTTCTTCTAGATTTTCTAGTTTATTTGCATAGAGGTGTTTGTAGTATTCTCTGATGGTAGTTTGTATTTCTGTGGGATCAGTGGTGATATCCCCTTTATCATTTTTTATTGTGTCTATTTGATTCTTCTCTCTTTTTTTCTTTATTAGTCTTGCTAGCGGTCTATCAATTTTGTTGATCCTTTCAAAAAACCAGCTCCTGGATTCATTGATTTTTTGAAGGGTTTTTTGTGTCTCTATTTCCTTCAGTTCTGCTCTGATTTTAGTTATTTCTTGCCTTCTGCTAGCTTTTGAATGTGTTTGCTCTTGCTTTTCTAGTTCTTTTAATTGTGATGTTAGGGTGTCAATTTTGGATCTTTCCTGCTTTCTCTTGTGGGCATTTAGTGCTATAAATTTCCCTCTACACACTGCTTTGAATGTGTCCCAGAGATTCTGGTATGTTGTGTCTTTGTTCTCGTTGGTTTCAAAGAACATCTTTATTTCTGCCTTCATTTCATTATGTACCCAGTAGTCATTCAGGAGCAGGTTGTTCAGTTTCCATGTAGTTGAGCGGCTTTGAGTGAGATTCTTAATCCTGAATTCTAGTTTGATTGCACTGTGGTCTGAGAGATAGTTTGTTATAATTTCTGTTCTTTTACATTTGCTGAGGAGAGCTTTACTTCCAACTATGTGGTCAATTTTGGAATAGGTGTGGTGTGGTGCTGAAAAAAATGTATATTCTGTTGATTTGGGGTGGAGAGTTCTGTAGATGTCTATTAGGTCCGCTTGGTACAGAGCTGAGTTCAATTCCTGGGTATCCTTGTTGACTTTCTGTCTCGTTGATCTGTCTAATGTTGACAGTGGGGTGTTAAAGTCTCCCATTATTAATGTGTGGGAGTCTAAGTCTCTTTGTAGGTCACTCAGGACTTGCTTTATGAATCTGGGTGCTCCTGTATTGGGTGCATATATATTTAGGATGGTTAGCTCCTCTTGTTGAATTGATCCCTTTACCATTATGTAATGGCCTTCTTTGTCTCTTTTGATCTTTGTTGGTTTAAAGTCTGTTTTATCAGAGACTAGGATTGCAACCCCTGCCTTTTTTTGTTTTCCATTTGCTTGGTAGATCTTCCTCCATCCTTTTATTTTGAGCCTATGTGTGTCTCTGCACGTGAGATGGGTTTCCTGAATACAGCACACTGATGGGTCTTAACTCTTTATCCAACTTGCCAGTCTGTGTCTTTTAATTGGAGCATTTAGTCCATTTACATTTAAAGTTAATATTGTTATGTGTGAATTTGATCCTGTCATTATGATGTTAGCTGGTGATTTTGCTTGTTAGTTGATGCAGTTTCTTCCTAGTCTCGATGGTCTTTACATTTTGGCGTGATTTTGCAGCGGCTGGTACCGGTTGTTCCTTTCCATGTTTAGCGCTTCCTTCAGGACCTCTTTTAGGGCAGGCCTGGTGGTGACAAAATCTCTCAGCATTTGCTTGTCTGTAAAGTATTTTATTTCTCCTTCACTTATGAAGCTTAGTTTGTCTGGATATGAAATTCTGGGTTGAAAATTCTTTTCTTTAAGAATGTTGAATATTGGCCCCCACTCTCTTCTGGCTTGTAGGGTTTCTGCCGAGAGATCCGCTGTTAGTCTGATGGGCTTCCCTTTGAGGGTAACCCGACCTTTCTCTCTGGCTACCCTTAACATTTTTTCCTTCATTTCCACTTTGGTGAATCTGACAATTATGTGTCTTGGAGTTCCTCTTCTCGAGGAGTATCTTTGTGGCGTTCTCTGTATTTCCTGAATCTGAACGTTGGCCTGCCTTGCTAGATTGGGGAAGTTCTCCTGGATAATATCCTGCAGAGTGTTTTCCAACTTGGTTCCATTCTCCGCATCACTTTCAGGTACACCAATCAGACGTAGATTTGGTCTTTTCACATAGTCCCATATTTCTTGGAGGCTTTGCTTATTTCTTTTTATTCTTTTTTCTCTAACCTTCCCTTCTCGCTTCATTTCATTCATTTCATCTTCCATTGCTGATACCCTTTCTTCCAGTTGATCGCATCGGCTCCTGAGGCTTCTGCATTCTTCACGTAGTTCTCGAGCCTTGGTTTTCAGCTCCATCAGCTCCTTTAAGCACTTCTCTGTATTGCTTATTCTAGTTATACATTCTTCTAAATTTTTTTCAAAGTTTTCAACTTCTTTGCCTTTGGTTTGAATGTCCTCCCGTAGCTCAGAGTAATTTGATTGTCTGAAGCCTTCTTCTCTCAGCTCGTCAAAGTCATTCTCCGTCCAGCTTTGTTCCGTTGCTGGTGAGGAACTGCGTTCCTTTGGAGGAGGAGAGGCGCTCTGCGTTTTAGAGTTTCCAGTTTTTCTGTTCTGTTTTTTCCCCATCTTTGTGGTTTTACCTACTTTTGGTCTTTGATGATGGTGATGTACAGATGGGTTTTCGGTGTGGATGTCCTTTCTGTTTGTTAGTTTTCCTTCTAACAGACAGGACCCTCAGCTGCAGGTCTGTTGGAATACCCTGCCGTGTGAGGTGTCAGTGTGCCCCTGCTGGGGGGTGCCTCCCAGTTAGGCTGCTCGGGGGTCAGGGGTCAGGGACCCACTTGAGGAGGCAGTCTGCCCGGTCTCAGATCTCCAGCTGCGTGCTGGGAGAACCACTGCTCTCTTCAAAGCTGTTAGACAGGGACATTTAAGTCTGCAGAGGTTACTGCTGTCTTTTTGTTTGTCTGTGCCCTGCCCCCAGAGGTGGAGCCTACAGAGGCAGGCAGGCCTCCTTGAGCTGTGGTGGGCTCCACCCAGTTCGAGCTTGCCGGCTGCTTTGTTTACCTAAGCAAGCCTGGGCAATGGCGGGCGCCCCTCCCCCAGCCTCGCTGCCGCCTTGCAGTTTGATCTCAGACTGCTGTGCTAGCAATCAGCGAGACTCCGTGGGCGTAGGACCCTCCGAGCCAGGTGTGGGATATAGTCTCGTGGTGCGCCGTTTTTTAAGCCGGTCTGAAAAGCGCAATATTCGGGTGGGAGTGACCCGATTTTCCAGGTGCGTCCGTCACCCCTTTCTTTGACTCGGAAAGGGAACTCCCTGACCCCTTGTGCTTCCCAGGTGAGGCAATGCCTCGCCCTGCTTCGGCTCGCGCATGGTGCGCGCACCCACTGACCTGCGCCCACTGTCTGGCACTCCCTAGTGAGATGAACCCCGTACCTCAGATGGAAATGCAGAAATCACCCGTCTTCTGCGTCGCTCACGCTGGGAGCTGTAGACCGGAGCTGTTCCTATTCGGCCATCTTGGCTCCTCCTCTCTTTGGGTCCAAATTTGTGTATTGAAAAGAATTCCGTATATGAGATGTGTTCGAAAAATGGGATTAAATAGGTAAGATGTTTATATCAAGAATTTCATTTTATATGTTGCCAAATCAAACATAACAGACGTGGACTATTCCACCAAATTCTCTAGGGAGAATAAGAGTGAAAATATTAAGGGACTTTGCTACAAAAATAACGTTGATCTGACAAATCCTTAAAAAGGGAGACCTGTGAATCGAACTGACAGATATGACCGTGTAACGAAGTGATTACCTGCAAAATTATCAAATGAAATCAATTATTTCCCGTGGAACAAACTGCACCACAGATACAGATTGAAGCAGAGTTGACAATGTTTAGTTCTTGGGGAAAGAATGTGTGAAAAATCGGTGGGATGCCACAGGTCACGTGCCCCTTACTTAAATCGCAAGGATGCCACCCTTGCGCACATGATGCATAATTATAATAGGTAGTTCTTTCTTGTTTCATTGATTGTTCAATGTCTTCGTAGTCTTCACCGCATCCGTTTCGTAAGTCATTGTTTTTCATTCACCCTTATTTGTCAGTGTATTGCATTACTATTCCCTGTTGGCACCTCCAATTGTGCTCTTTTGGTCAGTTTACATCTCTTTACATGACATTCTTCAGAAATTTCTTTAACAAGGTTTCTGTTGGTGTCAACACTAAGAGTTTTCAATTTCTCTCCCGTATCATTGTTTCTGGGTTAGGTTCTGCAGGAAGCTGACACCGTGATGGAGTTTAGTGTGCAGGACACTTATCCTGGATCGGCAGCTGAGGAAGGGGCAGGAAGGAGGCAGGAGTGGGCAGAGGAAGAAGTTCATGCTTACTTCAGGCCAAACAAAAGCCTCTTGTGATACCTAAAGAAGCTCTGAAGGTAAAACGGCCCATCATAGTTATTCAGCTTTGGGAATAGTTAGCTAGATCTTTATACCCCTTCCTGGATTTGTCCTTGCATGTGGTCCACCTCGGGAAGGGCATGAGCTAGAGCAAGGCAGCTCAGATAGTGTCCTCAGGGACAAGTGGCTGTTGACTGGCACCTGCCTGCACTCCCAGCCTCACAAACATCAAATCCGTCCTTGACAGGGATTCTGGGTGGTTCTCCTGCATGTCTATCACAGCCTCCTTATTATTTCATGATACTTTAGCTAGGAATGCAACTCTAGGTTGACAGTATTTTCTCTCAGACTTTGCTTTTGGCTTCCGTTCATTGACAGACAGAGGTCTGCTGACAAACTCTTCATTATTCCCCGGAAGGCAATGCGTTTTTTCTCAGCTATTATGATCTCTATGTTTTCACTTTTCTGTAGCTTTAGTATGGTGTGTACAAGTGTGTTTCCTGAATCGCAAATCATGTGTTTCCTTTATTCTGGAAAATTACCAGCCATTTCTCTCTGAATATTATTTTCGCAAAATTCACTCTTATTTCCATTTCTGTAATGCCCATATGATGTTCATCCTACCTTCTTTGACCACACCTTTAGTCTCCTTGCCTCTCTTTAATCTTTTCTTTCTTCGTTCCCTGTATGCAGTATCGTGTATAATTATTTTTATCTACCTTGTGATTCACTAAATCTCTATTCCACTATCTCTAAACTGGTGTTTAAAATGCTTTCATCTTTTCTTCCCGGGGTTACTATGTTTGTTTCTTTTCTTTTCTTTTTATTTTACTTTAAGATCTGGGATACACGTGCTGTACGTGCAGGTTTGTTACATAGGTACACATGTGCCATGGTGATTTGCTGCACCTCTCAACCCGTCATCTAGGTTTTAAGCCCCGCATGCATTAGGTATTTGTCCTGATGCTCTCCCTCCCCTTGTCCCCCAGCCCTGACAGGCCCCAGCATGTGATGTTGCCCTCCCTGTGTCCATGTGTTCTCATTGTTCGACTCCCACTTATGAGTGAGAACATACAGTGTTTGGTTTTCTCTTCCTGTGTTAGTTTGTGGAGAATGATGGCTTCCAGCTTCATCCATGTCCCTGCAGAGGACATGAACTCATTCTTTTTTTATGGCTGCATAGTATTCCATGGTGTATATGTGCCACTTTTCTTTGTCCAGTCTATCATTGATGGGCATTTGGGTTGGTTCCAAGTCTGTGCTATTGTACATAATGCTGCAATAAACATACGTGTGCTTGTGTCTTCATAATAGAATAATTTATACGCCTTTGTGTGTATACCCAGTAATGGGATTGCTGGACCAAATGGAATTTCCGGTTCTAGATCCTTGAGGACTCCCCACACTGTCTTCCACAATGGTTGCACTAATTTACACTCCCACCAAGAGTGTAAAAGTGTTCCTATTTCTCCACAGCCTCGCCAGCATATGTAGTTTCTTGACTTTTTACTGATCGCCATTCTAAGTGGCACGAGATGGTATCTCATTGTGGTTTTGATTTGCATTTCTCTAACGACCAGTGATGATGAGCTTTTTTTCATGTTTGTTGGCCACATGAATGTCTTCTTCTGAGAAGTATCTGCTCATATCCTTTGCCCACATTTGATGGGGTTGTTTGTTTTTTCTTGTAAATTTCTTTAAGTTTCTTTTAGATTCTGGGTATCAGACCTTTGTCAGATGGACAGATTGCAAAAATTTTCTCCCATTCCGTATGTTGCCTGTTCACTCTGATGATATCTTCTTTTTCTGAGCAGAAGCTTAAATGTGTAGAAATTTGTTTGATTATTCCCTCGGTAATATTCTACCTGTTTTATCTTGGGCAAGTGACACTCTTACGTGGTTCAGTTTCTTTATCCATAAGCATGGAGATAATAACACTACTTCACGGAGATCTTGTGAAAGGTAATTGAAGCAATTACCTGTAAAGCACTTAGAAAAATGCCTGGCACAGTCACCATTCAGTCAGTGGTGCCTCTTTTTATTACTATAGCAATGCCTGGCTTAATTGACACCAACCCATATGAGTATCAGCTATATGGGTGGTAATGAAAGGGAGTGCAATTAACTGGCAAGGTCAGAAGTAGGGTAAGTTCATTCACTCTTCTGGTTAGCACGTGCCACCTGGACTCTACCAATGTTCAAGGGATTGTTATTTTCAGTGATAATAATTTTAATTAAGTCATCAACTTTACCATTGAACTGAATACGTTGTTGTCCCCAGTCATATCAAATGATGAAGAAACATCTCTTAAGATCCAGGAAAAACTACTGACTTAACAGTGTAGTCACTAATCAAAGGCAAAGGTATTGATTAATGGAATCACGAAAACGTCTCATATTTAAGTGGATATTTTACATGTGGGAAAAACACACAGATCTCTGCAGCAATGTTTTGGTGCAGAAAGCTTGTATTAGGGGATTTCCAGACAAATAAAACCAATAGGATATTTATCCATCTATCTGTCGAGAGAGATTTATTGTAAGAAACTGATTCATGTGATTATGGAGGCTGGCAAGTCCTAAATCTGCAGGGTGGGCTGGCAGCCTAGAGTCCCAGGTACAAGCTGAGGTGACAGTTTAAGTCTAAAGACCATGAGGCTGAAGACCCATGGGAGAGCCGATGTTGCAGTTCAAGTGTGAAGGCTGTCTGTTGCAGAATTTACTCTTGCTTGGGGGAAGTCAGTCTTTTTGGTCTATTCAGGCCAATATGGAGGGCAGTCTGTTGTACTCAGATCCATTGATTTCAATGTTAATCTTACCGAAAAGGACATTCACACAAACATTGAGAATAAAATTTGACCACATATCTAGGTACTGTAACCCAACCAAGCCGAGTTACCTAGATCTCTATCTTTGCTTATTTGGGAAAAAAATCTCCCCCTGGTTGGAAAGACAAGACGAGACAAGACATGAAATTGGCCATCACAGAGCTAAATGTTGATCATCGGGTAATGACTGTATAACCCTAACCTGAAAATTTTCCCCACTCACTGCTTCCCACCCTGTCTCTCACCAATCTGCAACAGACTAAACACATGCTCCCCAACTTACAATGGAGTTAAGTCCAGTTAAACCTATCACAAAGGTAAATAATTTTAAGTTGAACCATGCTAAGTTGGAGTCCATCTGCATTGGACACAATTGTGCAACATGGAATGGCTATGCATTTGTTTCAGACAGCTATTGAAACACACAATTGAGCTCAGGCATGGTTGAATTTGCTAACTGCTGCTTGAAGAAACTCCCGTGGCTGCACGAGAAAATCAGGTTTCTTGTATACATTTGCAGGAAGGCTAACTTGATGCTTTTGCTTTTACACCTCTGAATTTATCACGTTGCCTTCAGGGAAAGATCAAACTACGTAAAGACTTGTTGTGAAGGGGAGGCTCACCTCAGACTGTCTACCTACGTATTCATGCGTTGAAGGTGCCATCACCGCAGTATGAGAGAGGATGGCAGGAGACAACGTTCAAGTGCTTGGGTTCTGGACTCAGACTGACGTGGATTTGAATTTCTGCTCTTCCATTTATCAGCTGTGTGATCACTGGACACGTTTGTTAGTTACTGTGTTTCTTGTCTGCCAAAAAGTTGAGGCTAAAATATCTACACCATAAAGAGTTATTGGGAGGAGTCAATGTGATATGCAGATCATGGAGGAAACAAAATCTGACATTCTCATGGGTTTAACACGGGGACTCAGACAGCTTTGTAGAGAAATAATTCCTTTTAAGTGCAGAACAGGAAAGGGGACTGTACCCAAGAGGTCCCGATGGGTCGTGTGGACTAGCCACAGAATTCAGCAATGGTCTCATAGGTTGTCATGGGCCAGTCTCTTATCTAACATAGGTTCATTTATTTATCTGTTCATTCAACAAAGATCTGAGATCTACTACACTCACAACTTCCTGCATGTTCTAGTTACATTGGGAAGTACAGATTTGTAAATTTGGACATGTTTCAGAGTGAAAGGGGATGCTGTTAAGAATTACTAAGGGACAACAGGTGAAATCAGGACACATGGTCACTATACTAGGGAAAATGTCTGGGATAAGGAAAAAGAGGAAATAGCCACCCTTTACAGCTTCTTCTGTGCCCCCACTCACTTCCACACTCCTTCCCCCTTATTGCAGAGTGACAGTCTAATGAAAGGGGAAGACTATTATATTGCATCAAGAATCAGGGCCAATCATATTTTGGAGAAAGCTTTGTACTGAAGTAAGTGTTTTTATTGTCTCAAATTACCATAGTGGGTTAATTTTGTCAGACACATGTGCCTGAAAGTGAAAAAGCCCCACAACAATCAAATTGAAAAAAAAAGGAGAGTCGTCCTAGTTTTTTTAATTGGTCACTATCATTTTATTAAACTTGTGGACAAATGTAAACCTAAAAGAGCCAGTCTTTCCAGATGGATCCCAGTGACTGAGCCTAAATCTAAACTAGAGCCAAGCAAGCTGCCACGTGCAGACTAGAGCTCACACATGTACTAGGAATTCCCCAAAAGCCCATACCTCTATCTAACTCTGCAACTTTCAGAGGTCACCTGAACCAACCAGCCAGAGCTCACCTGCCCCTGCCAATCAGGGCTCAGTCGTGTTGACCAATCAGAGATCAACTGAGTCAACCAATCAGAACTAATTTTGAATCCTTTATTTGCATGAATGGACTGTACTGAGAACCTCGATGGGAACTTTCTCTATAAAAGCCATATCCTCTTTTAGTTCTCTGGAACTTCGCCTTTGTTTTACACTGAAGTCTGCCCCTCCCTGGTGTGCAAGCTGTTCACAGGAATAGTCTCTTTCCTCCAAATTCCTTTTCAGAGAACTTGCCTTCATAATATGATGCCAGAGGTAGGAGACATGCTTACTCACAGCTTTGGATTCAAATCTTTAATTCACCACAATTACAATAAAACGAAAAATCAAACAAAGAAATAAAAAGTGGACAAAAACCTCAAACTAATTTTCTCCTCAATTTACAAGGCTGAACAGCTAGGAGGGCATTTATTGGTTCAGGACTGGTCACCTGCTCACATTCTGAGCCAGTGGCTCAGGCCCAGGGCTGAAGACACTTCATTAGTTGAGCCAGTGGAGAGTGGGGTTTGGGTGCTCTCATTGGATACTTCCATCGTAAGTGATGCATACTCACAGGACATTAAGCTTTGCATTAAAAAAGATTGTAGACTGGGAAACAATAGAATTAGACAAATGTGAATGAGTTAGAGTCCTTACTTTATTTTCTCGGAAGCTTGAAAGGGGTGCTGTTCATTGAATTTTTGATTTAGCTATTTCTGCACTGTGGGTTTTTGTTATGTATTTAAATGAATTGTATAATAGAGGTAATGTTGAAAAAAGATTATATGAGGTCTGCTTGTTCCATTAGTAATGTTTGCCCCGTTTGATGCTTCTAAATTGTTATTTACAGCAGTAAACTGTTTCCCTTTGTGTGTGTGTGTGTGTGTGTGTGTGTGTGTGTAATGTGATTTAATTTATAATATTTCAGGTATGAGTTTTGTAACCAAGTTTATAAATGTTCTCAGATTTTTGTAGTGTGCATCCTTCAATGGGTATCAACATCATGTTTTATTTTCTTGAAATAAGTTTTCTCTGCCAGGCACAATAGCTCATGCCTGTAATCCCAGCAGCTTGGGAGGCCAAGGCAGGAGAATCACTGGAGTCCAGGAGTTGGGACCAGCCTGAGGAAACATAAAGAAACCATGTTTCTCACACACACACACATACACACACACAAAATACAAAACTTAGCCAGGTGTGGTGGTACGCGCCTCTACTCCCAGCTACTTGGGAGGCTGAAGAGGGAGCATCACTTGAAACCAGGAGGCAGGGGTTGCAGTGAGCTGAGACCGCACCACTGCACTGCAGGTGTGCCACAGAGCAAGACTCTGTGTACCTTTGTCTGAGGTAGGCAACCCGGCCACTTAGGCGGGCAGACGCCCTCTGTGATTGGCTGACATGATTCCAAGCAACAGGATCATCCGATCACCTTCAATGGAGGGAAGATTGCTGAGAGGCGCCCTTGGTGACACTTCATCCAATCAGATGTCGAGTTGGAATGTGACGTAGAGCCATGCGACCATACCAAAGTGCCCCCCACTTCCCTGGTCCCCAACCGTCACTCTCTGTTCTTGCTATCTAATGGCCGCTGCTTCCGCCATGGCTGAGGCTTCCTCTGAGACAACCTCGGAGGAAGGCCAGAGCATCCAGGAGCCCAAAGAGGCCAACTCCACGAAGGCCCAGAAGCAGAAGAGGCGAGGGTGCCGAGGCTCCCGCAGGCGCCACGCCAACCGCCGTGGGGACAGCTTCGGGGACAGCTTCACCCCCTATTTCCCCCGGGTGCTGAAGCAGGTTCACCAGGGCCTCAGCCTTTCCCAGGAGGCCGTGAGTGTCATGGATTCTATGATCCATGACATATTGGACCGCATCGCCACCGAGGCTGGTCAGCTGGCCCATTACACCAAGCGCGTGACCATCACCTCCCGGGACATCCAGATGGCCGTGCGACTGCTGCTGCCGGGGAAGATGGGCAAGCTCGCCGAGGCCCAGGGCACGAATGCCGCCCTCAGGTACACCAAAAGCAAGTGAGCTGTCTCAGGAGCGCCTGAGCACCTGGGAAACCCAAAGGCTCTATTCAGAACCACCGCCCGTGGCCCTATAGGCCAGTGGCCCGCCAAGGGGGGGACCCCACCGGAGGTTGGTGTGGGTGGCACCGTTCCAGCTTGGGGGGCATGTGCCGTGTGGCCTCCTGCGGTTTTTCAAGCATTTTTCCCACAGTGCAAAACACTGTCAACTCCAATATATCTGTAGTGCAATATGCTCCAAGGAAAAGTAGGGGGTGTTTCCGTAATCGTGTTTCGTGTCCTCAGTTTCCCAAATGGCCGTTTTTCTTAGTTATCTTTCTAGGTTATCTTTATGATGATGTTATCAATGTACTGATGTTTACCTTTTTCACTCTCATTCTCCTACGACTGGATGGTGGGATTTTCCAGAACTTCATTATGTGCGATATGGCAACAGAGAAAGTGAATATGCTGATACAAGAAGCAAGGTAACCCTCCTAAATGTGTTCAGCATCTCTCTCATCATGAATCCATGTAAATAAGCAAACGAGGCCCAGTTACAGTATATATATGGCTAAATAAAATTTTCAAGAATCCATTCGTTTTCCAGCTTCCCCGACTCTGAGACCACTATTGTAATTCATTCTCTTTTTGTACTGACAGTAATTTTTTCATTTCTTTTTGAACAGAAACCTTCCTTACTTCCAGGTGTGTGTCAGTAGGATTACGGAGTGTCCACGGAAACAGCTCATGCCCTAGTGTACAGTGGTACAGCCAATGAGTGACCTGCAGTCTATGAGCAACAGTCATTGACCCAATGTGGGGGGAGTGACCCAAGCTGAACCCACAGCAGCCTTCCTGTTATATTCAACCTGGTGTTTAAAGGAACGGCAGTGTGATTCTTTACCTGATGTTTTTGTTTGCATTGCTTGTAATCATGATCTTTTAGGGATATGAATCCAAAGCTAAGATTAGAATATGTACCTTGTCCCTAACATCAAGTTATACAGAACATTGGCAACCATTAGTAGAAGTCAGATAAGGCTTATTTCCTCAAAAGATTAGCATATTTATATTCATGTTAATATTAATATAGGCTACCTTTCATTGTGCTCTCTTCTGGGTCCCAAGTCTTGGCATTTTAAGCATTTTTTTCTATAAGTGTATTGCTGAATTTCAGAGCAGGTGCTCACTTTCCCATTGCTTTCCTTTTCCATTGATTTCCAGTCGCCCGAGTATGTGGACAAGAGAACATACTCTGGGACTGCAACCCACAGGAATTTATTATGTTGTGCCTTGAAGCTCAACATGTGGCCATTTTTGTTAAATGTTTCCCGTAAATTTTGAAACATCTCATAAACAACCCTTCTCCTTCATATGTAGAAACCAGTAAAGGATGGCACTCTCAGTCAAACCATGAAACAAAAGCTGGATAAATGACAAAAATCAAAATTTTCTTGAGCCCATCAGAAGTGGGAAAGAACCACCCCAGAGGGCCCAACACATAGCCACATAGATTATTCCACCATTTAAAGAGGACCCCTTGGTCAAGAGGGAAACAGGGTCAGGGCAAGATGGTAGCCAGAGCTTCCCTGAGTAGTGCAGATGGGAAGAGGGGAAGGTCACCTCCAGAGCTCCACTTGGGATCCATAGAGAAATGATATAGAACCAAGAAGTCCACTCATTGGGATCTGTTACTTTCTGTTTTTCCAGATTATTAGAAAAATATTACAGAAATAGCTGAAGAGAAATGTTATGAAAATAGTTGAAGTTGTGCTTATTGCACGAGGAGACCAAGAAAAACCCCACAAAATCAGCTGCAAGTAAATCCTTCTGGATGGTGCCACCAAATGTTCCTACAAGTCCGGAACAACCCTTGCCAAACCAAAGACCCTTGCCAGAACCCTGCTTCTTCCCAGAGACAGAGCTGTGTACCTGACAAAACACCACATCTCACTCAGTGACTTATTTCTCATTATGCTAATTGTTTTGCTGTAAAATGCCAATGTTTCTGTGAATTAAGACATACGAATAAATTTCTGAAGTTACCCTTGCATATGTGTGTAATTAGACAAGTCCTTTTGAGAAACCAAATCCACTGAGATATTTTACCTTGGAATATGTGTTTTCCCTTTGTAAATTCAGAAATCAAAGAGGGCCATTAGTAAAACAGGGTTAACAATGAAATCTGATTTGGTTGTGGGGAGTGAAGAGTGAGGGGGCAAGGGGACTGATGCCGGTGAATTACAGGAAGAAAGAGGAAAGGGGTGGATTGATGTGAAGATCGGAGGAGGAAGCTCACACATTTGATATGGTATTTCTTTGGGTCATTGAGCAGAAGCGGAACCTATTAGGCAATCATGATGTCATGCTGTGACTTAAAGAAACGCAAACTACGGGAAAGACCTTTACTGCTTAAACAACAAATAAGAAGTATCAATGTAGGGAAAACAGCATGAATGGGATAAAGAGAGTCCAGTCAAACATTTGATCAGCCTTCCCTGTAACCTGGAGTTCATTTGAAAATATAAGCAAGGACACAAACACGGCAGAGAAAACTACATCAAAAAGTCTAAGGAACAATACCTATTCTAGGCTCCTTCGTAATGAAATCTCACTTGTTTAGATTTACCTGATTCTGCTCTTCTTCAGGCTAGAATCTTTTGTTTAAGAAAACCTTCATGACTGGCCTCAGTGCATCATGGGGATGATGGAATGCCGTCCAATGGAGCAGCACAAGCTCCACTCAGATCCGTGTCAGCCAGTGAGGCAACTGCAGCCAAGGGGCCATGGCCCAATGTGTGATCAGGTTTCCCGGTCTGAAATAGGTAGAGTTAGTTGTCCAGGGATGTTCAATGGGAGTTGAAGGGGAAACCTGTGATTACATGGGTGTGCTTCTTTGGCTCTTCGATGGGTTGTATGCTTTCAATGCTTCTGATGGAGGTGTATTCTATCAGTTTTCTAGGGCCGCTGAAAAATATTCCAGAGACTGGCTGACTTAAACACTATGTATTTTTTATCTCACAGTTCTGGATTACAATTGTCACCATTTTGTAAGGAGACCAATCCTGTTGGATAAGGTCAACCCTCATAACTTCACTTTAACCAGATGACCTGACTAAAGACTCTCTCCAAATAAGGTCACATTCTAAAACACTGGGGGCCAGGACTTCTACCTCTGAATTGTAGGGAGACACAACTCCATACATACTAGTACACCTTCTGCACCACTCCGTGACACAAATTAACAACCTCACATAGAAAATACATTCATTTCATCACAACATCCCTGAAGACTTAACTCACTCCAACGTCAATTCTCTAATATCTCACCTGATAATCTTCTATATCTGGAATGGGTGAGCCTCCAGGTATGATTCATGCTGAGGCGGGAATTCTCTCCACCACTGCATCTGTGAAGCTAGACAAGTTATCTCCTTCTGAAAGACAGTTGTGAGACTGATACCAGATAGGGCTTATCATACCAAAAGCAGGAAATCCGAAAAACTACTGGAGTACGTGGGCCCTAAGCACTTTTGAAACCTAATGGGGGCAAATTCCGTTACATTCTAAAGATGGAAAAGATTCTGCTTGGGCTCAGTGCTCTGTCCTTCAGGCCCAATGGGGTAACAGCTTCACACCCTAAGCCCTGGGCAGCCGGGTGGGGGCTCTCCCCCCAGCCTGGGCTGCTGCAGCCCATCCCTCTGAAACCGAGGAGGTGGGACAAATGCCTGGAACTCAGGAGGTGACCTCCATTTCTGGGACCAAGAGAGAGATGGCCCAGTCCCCTAGTACCGTGCCCCTGGTTCTTGGGGGCAGTGACGGCCATGCCAACCTCTGACCCAACTTTGGAGTCCTTCCTCCCTGTCTCGAAAATGAAGAAATGGTCACAGCTGGGTGCCTCAGTCAGTCCCTTTCTTGCCGGTACAGTCCAGGAACTCTAACAGCCTCCTTGAATTTCGTCCCATCTTTGTCCCGTTCAGTCCAGTCTGGCAATGTTTTTCTGCTGTAAAATTCTCAAAAAATTCTTGGCTTCCCACGGAATTCACATGCGTCCAGGCCATCAGACAAGAAGTTGTCTAAAGATCTTTCGTGAATACCAATATCTTCCATATTTCAATTCCTAACTTCTGCAGAGACAGTTGATTGGATCTGTGAGACACATACCTCCCCTCTTTAGCTAACGGTCTTCCAGGCACACCCTTGCACCTATTTCCAGAGCAAGGTATCTGCATCTTTTGAGTACCTTCTGAGTCATCCAATGCTGACTTCCTTTTACTCAGTTCTTCCTTTGCTAATTTCTCTCTCTTCTCTCCCATTCACTATACAGATCTAGGAGAAACCAGATTAAATCCTAAATACTTTTCTCAGTTTGTCAGTGTAGTGGCCAAGATTCCCCCCTTGTCCTCTTAAGTTTCACTGAAAACTCAAGTCACAAAAGGCAGATCCATAGGACATAAGGCATACCAACTTATACAATGTGTCTCCCTGGGAGTCTTTAGTGTTAATAGCCAAAGATACATGGGAAATTATTATCCATTTTTATGCCTTGGCTTAAAGGAATATGGACATCTGTGTAGAAATATGATGGGACAAAAAGACTATGATCTAATGCGAATAGGCTGAGTGGGGGAAACCTGGCAAGGCCTGTGTGTCTAGACTCTGCTTGGCCTATCTGAGCACACAGTCCTTCCTCCCGGATACGGGGCAGGACCCTCTCTGGAATGGGGGTCTTCTGACTTCCATTCAAAGAAGATAGGTTAGATCATTTCTTCATGGACAGTTTTTACATGAAAATGTGGAAGATATTACAATATCATTTCTTGGTTTTGTGACTATAAAAAAGAGCTTCTGGTTTCTAGAACCCACCTTCGGGAAGAAGGATTCTGGTTCCTGGGTTTAGCCCCTGAGGTTGAATGGGACTGAGAGACAGGAGGACCAAGAATGTCAGAGAAAATCTTTTTTATCTGAAAATACTTCTGAAGCCCCCATTTTTTGGTATTGTGCCCTGAACTCCAAAACTAGAAATCAGCTACATGTGCAAGTTCATCACTTACAAATTCTGCTTTCCTCAAAGACACTAAGAACACAATACAGCCCAAATCTTTGCCACTGTAAAACTAGGATGGCCTTTCCTCATGCTTCCAATAACCTCTTCGTAGTCTCCGTCTGCAAACACGCCACAAGCACCTTTAACACACATAGTTCTAGCAACATTTCGGTGATCATGATACATGTATTCTCTAAGTCAGAGATCCTTTCTCTACAGCAAATAATTCTTCTTAGCCCTCGTTTCAATTGCATTTGGTGTTCATATTTCCCTCCGCTGTTTCCTAAAGTCACTCTAGGCTTCTTGTGTCATGCATGTCAAAACACTTCCAGCCTGTATGCATTACCTAGTTCCGAGGCCTCGTCCAATCTTTGGAGGTTCCTTATTGCATCATCCCACTGCTTGGCAACAGAGTCTCTAGTAGTTTGCTAGGGCTATTCTGAAAAAGTACCACAGATCTGATGGCATAAACAGCAGAAATTTATTGTTCACGGTTCAGCAGGTTGGAAGTCCAAATCAAAGTGCCAGCTGTGTTGGTTCCTTCTGAGTAGTAAGAGGGAAGGATCTCTTCCAGGGATCTTTCCTTGGCTTGTAAGTGGCCCATTTATCCCCATGCCACTTCACGTTTTCTTCCCTGGACGCATGTCTCTGTGTCTGAATTTCCCCTTATGGTATGCAGAATGCATTCTAGTCATTTTGGTTAGAGCACACCTTAATGAATGTAATTTAACTTGAGTACCCCAGTTAAGGACCTACTTCAAGTAGGAGAGAGATGAGGGGTCAGGAGTCTAATATATATATTGGGGACTGAGGGATCTTAGGCTGCAGACTCCTTATGGAAATCTAATGACTGATGATCTGTCACTGTCCCCCATCACCCCCATATCGGACCGTCTAGTGGCAGGAAAACAAGCTCAGGGTTACCACTGATTCTACAATATGG
Source organism: Homo sapiens (assembly GCF_000001405.40). Classification (NCBI taxonomy): domain Eukaryota; kingdom Metazoa; phylum Chordata; class Mammalia; order Primates; family Hominidae; genus Homo; species Homo sapiens. The sequence goes on from NC_000023.11 coordinate 104,046,392, forward strand.
TGAGTCGTAAAATTATTTCATTACACATTAAAATATAATAATAATAGAAATAAAGTGTACAATAAGTGTAATGCACTTGAGTCATCCCAAAACCATCACCCCCAATGCCATTCCATGGAAAAAATTGTCTTCCCTGAAACTAGTCACTGGTGTCAAAAAGGTTGGGGACCGCTGGTCTACCCAGCGTGTGCTGGCAAACTGCTATCCCCCGAGTCATTTGTTATCTTAGCCTATGTCTGGGAACAAGAGGAAACTCTGGGATTGCTTCTTCTCTGAAGAGGATATGGCATCCAGTCGCTATTGAACTTCAGTACAATATTGAGAATTCTAATTGTCAATAACCAATAGATTGATCCTCTAAATTAACCCGCTAAATTATATTAAAAGGATTTTAGAGATTTCTCATTCTAACCAGTTGATAAAAAGGTTAAACATATAAAAAGACACATCATGGTGTGACAGTTAGCCTTAAAATTTGGCTTGACAAAAGTGACGAGCAAAAAATCTGACCAAAACAAAGATAACCTCCTGTGTCTGCTCAAACTGCCCCATGTGGGAATAACAACAAAGGCCACTCCACCTTGTGAAATCTATTTTCCTCCTCTTTGGAGACACCTCATGCATCCTTGGTTGTGTCATAATCTTGGTGAAACTTACCTGAAAAGGTACCTTTACTTTAACGAAAACAAAACAAACAAGAAAAGGTGAAAACCCAGAAATATCAGCTGCTTGTCTTCTGCTGCTTGTGGGCCATAGTGGCCTCGGCTGCTGTGGGATCTTTCATGTTCAGGCATTCATTGGAGGTTGTCTCAGAGGAAGGCTCAGCCATCTTGGAGGCAACTGCCAGTGGATGTGAGGAACGGACAATGATGGCTGACCACCAGCGGGATGGCCTTTTGTAGTCACCCCATGGCTTATGTCACGGGCCAGCAACTCCACATCTGACTGAATGAAGTGCCACGCAGGGAGCCTATCAGCAAGCCTCCTGGCCTTGGAGGCGATTCGATGGTCTCGTTGCTTGGCAATCACTGTGGGTGTCGGTCGACCTGCTCCCCAACACTCACCTGCCGCAGAGCAAGTGCTCAACCCTGCCAACTCTCAACTAGAGCGAGGTCTGCGTTCCACGCATTCTTCCACCCTTGTTCTCTGACTACTCCAGTTCCAGACAAGTTGGGTTGTACTAGGATCCTCTCTAAATCATATTCCTCATCTGTTTATTCCTTATTTCTTCCTCCAGGAGCCCACTCTCTCTTGGAAGAGCTGAGGATCCTCGCTCAACATGGTGTGTCAGGGTTGCCAAAGACCTGATGTGTGAGGCTTCTTTGCCTTTTCATAGGTAGGGTGAGCAAGCAATTTCCTGTTGAATATATGTGAGGGCAGCATTTGGAGGGAATGGGGAACTACGAATAATTGGGCTGGCACAATAGGCAAAATCAGGATGTGTGGCCACCCTTCTGGGGAAAGATCTGGCAATAGAATAAGAACGTCCCTTGTGTTTTGGGACAAAAAGATTCGTGGGCAATGAGACTGATTTACTTTTAATAGCATCTTTTTCATGATTTCTTCTCTTTGACATTCTGGTGCTTTTGTTTTCTGGAGGCAACTGGTGTGGCTAGGCTGCATTAACATGGGAAAGCGACACAACACCTTGAGAACGTCTGTTTGGGTCATAGGACTCATGTAAGCTAGTGGGACCGGACTCGACAGAAAGAGTGATTGAGGGCATCGATTTGGGAGTCAGAGGAGACCTGGGCTGAGACCCCAGCTGTATCTCTTACTAGCTGTACTGCGATTGGCAAGTGGCTTGACCTCTCTGAGCCTCAGTTTCCTCCTCTGTGGAACAGGGGTCTAGAAGGTGGTTGTGAAGATCCAGGGTGATGATGCAGACACGGTGCCAGATACATAGTCAGCAACCAATGAATGCCGGCTGTACCTGGTCCCAATTCCGAGATTTGTGCCCTCAGGCAATGGCAGGTGGTGGGGGTGGGATCCAGTGCCAGACAGCTGAATGAACACGCTCTCCTGGCTACCTGGGCCCCATCTGTTTGCTTCGAGCTGACAGTGAGATAAGGGACAATGACTTTCCCGTCCTGAGCCACATGTTAGTGAAGCGGTAGAGATAATGCTGCTCTGAGTCCTGACGGGAAGTTGCTGGGGAGCAACTTTACAGTGCTCCCGGCTTGGGGCACTACCCACTCGGGGCTTTGTGACAAGTTATTTCCACTCACTGCCACAGAACCTGGCTTCCCATACCACCTCCTTGCCCCCACCCACCGTCTCCCTAACTGAATTTTATTCACTTTTCAGGTCTTGGCTCAAATCCTGACTCCCCTGTGAAGATGTCCTGACCCTCCCAGCCTAGAGCCACTGCTCGTTTCATGAGTCTCCAGATCTCCAACTGTGACATGGGCATACTTGTTTGCCACATCCCCACAGACGGATTGTGATGAGGAAGGAAAGAGAGAGTCGATATAGCATGCTAAGTGCAGTGTCTGGTGCGGGCCTGTGGTGAGTTCCCCGCCTACACTTCTTCCTCCCCTCCGAACCCCCAGCATGCAGGCATGGCGGCCTTGATCACATGCTGCCTTCTCTTGATAATCATTGGGGATCATTCCTGTGCTAGTTGCCCCTCAGTTGCAATGTCACAGACCATGGGGGCCACATCTCATCCTTTCTCACCTTCCAGCATCCAGCACTACAATAAAAGCCATCATAACCATTTTTCATTGGGCACCTTAGGGTAACATGTGGCAGGCACTCGGCTATGTGTGTAATGCACATGAGTGTAGTCCTCACTCTTTCCCCTCCTAGCCCTCTTCCAGGATGTGCAGGCATTGATTCTCCTTTGAATTATATTAGACAAATTGTGTCAACCGCTACCAAGGTCGCTTCATGAGTAAGTGGCCTCGACAGACATAAAGTCCTATGCTAGATTAAGTTTCTAGTGAGTGCCTGAGAATGGGTGGTTGGCAGGAAGGACAGACGTAGAGCCCAGAATACAAGTGCCTTCCCCATGACTTTTACCCGGCAGAGGCAGGGATTCGAGTTCTTCCTGGTTTAGACTTGGGAGGGTATATGTGTCCAGGAATTTATCCATTTCTTCTAGATTTTCTAGTTTACCTGCATAGAAGTGTTTATAGTATTCTCTGACGGTAGTTTGTATTTCTGTGAAATCAGTGGTGATATCTCCTAATGAATGTAATTTAACTTGAGTATCCCAGTAAAGAAACCATCTTTAAGTAGAATAGAGATGAGAGGTTAGGAGTCAAACTCACGTATTTGGTGTGGCAGAGGCAGCGGGGAGCACAACTGAACAAACAGAACATAGGAATCCTGAGTTGTAGATGTGGATATCTCCAGCCTCTTCCAGTATGTTAAGAGAACACTGGTGACTGATGAAGGGAAATAAGGTGATCCCTACCCATGTTTTTTAAAGTCTACTTGAAAGTTGAGTAATTGTATTGTATATATAATATATATGCATATACATATACATATATATATATATATGTATATATATATATATATATTTGTCCTTTTCCAGCTCAAAAGGGAGAGAAGATACTCTGTGATTTCAATCCTCAGAAATGTATGACTATTTGCTTTAAAGTCCTAGATTTGGCTAATTTTGTTAAGTGTTCCATTTGCACTTTTATGATAACTTGTAAACTCCACCATTCAGTAGTAGGTACAAACCTATAAGGGTCATCACTTTCAGCGAAACCATGTGACCAATGTTGGATAGTGTCCAAAAATGAACGCTTTTCTGTAGCCCATCAGAAGGAGCTTACAACCCTCCAGGAGAGATAAAACACAAAGTTTCTTTAACTTCGGTAGACCCCTGTGACCTCAAGTAAATGAATGGGGGTAAGGGAGGATACTAGGGGAAGCATCCTTGAGTAGCCCAGGCAAGAAGGGCACAATGCTAGATTGAGGAGTGGGAATAAATGTCTGTGTTTTCAAGGCCTAAATCACAAGAATTCTGGTGGGAAATGATATCTTCAAGACTCTTCTTTGGATCATGAGGGTGAAAATTTAGGACAAAGAGCCACCTCAGAAAATTCATTACTTATTTTTATTCTGGAGAAGTAAATGAACATCATGAAAAGACTTGGAAAAACATTTTTTTCCTAAGCAGACTAGGAGAAACTACTACAATTCAACTGCAAGCCAATCCCTCTGGGTGGTGCCTTGAGTTTGTCTTAAACTATTGGAAAACAAAGGATCTCTGCGGGCATGTGCACACTTTCCAAAACAGAACTCTATGCATCAGAGGAAAAAAATATATAATTTCTCTACACATCACTTAATTTCCGTCATGCTCATTGCTACTGCTTCAAAATGCCAGTGTTTGTCCATACGACATTCAAAAATGCATCAGAAGCGGGCTGCAGACTTGAAGCCCAGAAGCTCAAAGTTGACTGACACTAATGAAATTTAGGAAGGAGTTGAGGGAAATGGGGTTTGATGTGGAAGATCCAAGGGGAGGTGAGGACATCTGATTGTTGACTTCAGCGGGTGCAGGAGGAAAAAGGACGCCTAGGGAGGCTTCGTGATCTGATGGTGAGGTTTACGGAAAGGACAATCTAAAAGGAAATGGTTTTACTGCTTCTGTGACAAAGTATAACTGTCAACCTAGAAAACAGATGTATTAATACGACAGACGTAACCAACCAGGTTGTTTCTTACAACAGGACCCATATTATGGACATCATTTAAATATCTAGGGCCCGGCACAGTGCCTGTAATCCTACCACTTCAGGAGTCCAAGGCGGGTGAATCAACTGAGTTCAGGAATTCGAGATCAGCCAGGGCAACATGGGGAAACCCATCTCTACCAAAAATACAAAAATACACACACACACACACACACACACACACAAATTAGCCAGGCGCAGTGACACATGCCTGCAGTCTCAGCTTCTTATGGGGCTGAGGTAGGAGAATCGCTTGAACCCAGATTGTCCAGTCTACACTGAGCCGAGATGGCGTCATTGCTCTGCAGCCCGGGTGACAAAGTGAGACCCAGTCATAAGAAAAAACTAAAAAAGATATATAATGTAAAATACATATATGTAACATATATATATATATATATAAACTATATAAAAAGAATAAATAAATATCTTAGTATCACCCATCCACAAAATGTATGTGTTTTTGATGACATAAGTACATCATAAAGTTCAAGAATCAATACCTCTCCAAGCTCCCTAGAAACTGAAGTTATTACTCCAACTACTTCTAATGTATCTGATTCTGTCTGTTCTTTTCCAGGTTATATTGTTTTATTTCTGGAAATACCCACCTTCATGACTTGGAACTAACGCATCGTTGGGATGATGGAAACGTCCAATCAGAGGGGTCCAAGCCCCACTTTCCACTGGCTCAGTCCATGGCCATTGGCCCACAGTGCTTGTTCAAACAGTGTGGGATAAGGTCGCTCCTGTAGTCACTCCCTAAATTCCTCCGGTGGCCTGAAACCTGTCCTCTCTAGAACGCTGAGGTGTGTGCTGTCGTAGGCTCCATAGAGAGGGATGGATTGTCATTGGAGTGCCACATTTTAGGGGAGCCCTGAAAGAGGAGGTTGATGAGGGAATTTGGAACACTCGGGGGCCCCTAATCTGGAGGCTCAGATATTGAGACCAGGTTCTAGTCAAGCTACTATTAACAAGTACTGATTTCCCATATTCTCCTTAATGTTGTTCTGTGTGTCTGTTTATGTATGGCCAGGGCCCCAGAAGGGAGAAAGAGCATCTATAATGCTTAGAAACTCCATGCCACTTAAGGGCAATCACTGCGGCATGGAGAAGGAGGATCCACTAAATGGGAGAGGTCACCCTATAGTGATAGGTCCAACCTAAAACCATTAGAGAGCCTACCGCTTTGACCCAGAGAGTAAAGCACCTCTTCTTTTATGCACATGCTCCATGTGTACCACCCAGCAGCATCTCAAGAATTGTATGCTGAATAGGCCGCATCTCAGAAAGACTGCTCATTCCTGAATGCTCTTCCCGTTGGCCCATTGGTCGCATCTGTTTGCCCCTCCCTCTGGGCTCCCGACAAGCCTGTGATGGCTTTGACACATGGAGAATGGTGGACGTTAGCCTGTCCCAGAGGTAACCTTTCAGAGGACTAGAATGGCCTCTGCCTGGCTGTCTGAGAGCTCTGAGCTGCCACGAAAGAAGCCCACCTCTCCTGCTGGAGACACCACAGTGATATGCTCTGAGGGGCCTTGGAGAGGTGCAGAGGCCCAGCTGAGCTCAGCCCTCCAGCCAGCCCCTCCAAGGCATCAAGTATGCCAGTACAAGGTGTCTGGGACCTTCCCCAATGACCTTAGGCATAGGGTGAATAAATAGCACTGAGTGCGGCTCCTCTGGCTTCTATTTGCAAGGGACACTTAAGCACAGTGGAGCCTGTCTCCTCATTGCATCATAGGTCACATGGGTGATCTTGTGGCCTGGTTCTCACTCACGGATCTGTAGGAGTGAAATGCCCATCGTGGGCTCCCAAGGGATTCAACATCTTCTAGGCTAACAAATGTCTTCCAAGGAGGCTCGCTTGACCCGGGCTTGTTCTACAGTTCATCTCGAGGATGGCCTGTGGGTAGGTCATCAGCTACTATTTTGGGGGATACTGGAGCCACTGTGGAATTCCCTGGGACAGTTGCCTTGAGGTTTAGCGTGACTCATCCCCTCTCCATTTCTCCCCCTGTCCTGGAGCGACTATATCCCCTTTCCTAAGCTCGAGGACCCGCTGAATCCTATGTCTTTATTGCGTACAGCTTTCTCTCAAGCAGGCCTGCCTCTGCCGGGTAAAAGCACGGGGCAGGCAGTCGTACTCTGGGCTCTACATCTGTCCCTCCTGCCAACCACCCTTTCGCAGGCATTCATTAGAAACTTAATCTAGCATAGTACTTGATGCCTGTCAGGGCTACTTACTCATGATGCGACCTTGGTAGCGGTTGACACAATCTGTCTGATATAACTCAAAGGAGAATCAATGCCTGCACATCCTGGAAGAGAGCTAGGAGGGGAATGAGTGAGGACTACACTTGTGTGCATTACCTACACAGCCGAGTGCCTGCCACATGGTACCCTAAGATGCCCAATGAAAAATGGTTACGATGGTGTTTATTGTAGTGCTGGATGCTGGAAGGTGAGGAAGGATGAGATGTGGCCCCATGGTCTGTGACATTGCAACTGAGGGGACAACTAGCACAGGAATGATCCCCAAGGATTATCTAGAGAAGGCAGCAGGTGATCAAGGCCGCCATGCCTGCATGCTGGGGGTCAGAGGGGAGGAAGAGGAAGAGGCAGGGAACTCACCACAGGCCTGCACCAGACACCGCATCTAGCATGCTACATGGACTCTCTCTTTCCTTCCTCATCACAATCCGTCTGTGGGGATGTGGCAAATAGTATGGCCATGTCACAGTTGGAGATCCTGAGATTCAAGGAGGGAGTAGTGGCTCTAGGCTGGGAGGGTCAGGACATCTTCACAGGGGAGTCAGGATTTGAGCCAAGACCTGAAAAGTGAATAGGATTCAGATAGGGAGACGGTGGGTGGAGGAAAGGAGGTGGTATGGGAAGCCAGGTTCCTTGGCCGTGAGGGGGAATAGCTTGCCACAAAGCCCCGAGTGGGTAGTGCCCCAAGCCAGGAGCACTGTAAAGTTGCTCCCCAGCAACTTCCCGTCAGGACTCAGAGCAGAATTATCTCCACCGCTTCACTAACATGTGGCTCAGGAGGGAAAAGTCATTGTCCCTTATCTCACTGTCAGCCCGAAGCAAACAGATGGGGCCCAGGTAGCCAGGAGAGCGTGTTCATACAGCTGTCTGGCACTGGATCCCACCCCCACCACCTGTGATTGCCCGAGGACACGAATCTCGGTATTGGAACCACGTACAGCCGACATTCATTGGTTGCAGACTATGTATCTGGCACCCCATCTGCATCATCACCCTGGATCTTGACAACCACCTTCTAGATCTGTATTCCACAGAGGAGGAAACTGAGATTCAGAGAAGTCAAGCCACTTGCGCAAGGCAATACAGCCAGTAAGAGGCACAGCTGAGGTCTGAACCCAGATCTCCTCTGACTCCCAAACCCGTGCCCTCAATCACTCTTGCAGTCGAGTCTGGTCCCACTAGCTCACATGAGTCCTAAGACCCAAACAGACGTTCTCACGATGTTGTGTCATTTTCCCATGTTAATGCAGCCTAGCCACACTAGTTGCCTCCAGGAAATAAAGTCACCAGAACTTCAAAGAGAAGACAAAAAAAAAGCTATTAAAAGTAAATTGGTCTCATTACCCAAGAACTTTAGTGTTTCAAACCCCAAAGGATGCCCTTATTCTATCCCCAGATCTTTCCCCTAGAAGGGTGGCCACGCGTCCTGATTTTGCCTGTTGTCCCAGCCCGATGATTCATAGTGCTGCATTTACTCTGAAAGCTGCCCCCATATGTATTCAACAAGAAATTATGTGCTCACCTTACCTATGAAAAGGCAAAGAAGCCTCACACATCAGGTCTTTGGGAACCCTGGTGCACCATGCTGAACGAGGATCTGCAGCTTTCTCAAGAGAAAGTGGGCTCCTGGAGGAAGAAATAAGGAATAAACAGATGAGGAGTATGATTTAGAGAGGATTCGTAGTACCACCGAGCTTTTTTGGAACTGGAGTGGTCGCAGAACAGGAGTGGAAGAATGCGTGGAATGCAGAGCTCGCCCTAGTTGAGAGTGGGCGGGGTTGAGCACCTGCTCCGTGGCAGGTGAGAGGCGGGGAGCATGTCGACAGACACCCACTGTGATTGCCAAGCAACAGGACCATCGAGTTGCCTCTGAGGCCGGGAGGATTGCTGGTAGGCTCCCTGCTTGGCACTTCATTCAGTCAGATGTGGAGTTGGTGGCCTGTGACGTAACCATGTGGTGACTATAAAAGGCCCTCCCGCCTGTGGTCAACCATCATTGTCTGTTCCTCACATCCACTGGCAGTTGCCTCTGAGATGGTTAAGCCTTCCTCTGAGACGACCTCTGACAAAGGCCTGAGCACGAAGGAGCGGAAAGCGGCCGATGCCACTATGGCCCACAAGCAGCAGCAGAAGACAAGCAGCTGATATTTCTGGGTTTTGACCTTTTCTTGTTTGTTTTGTTTTCTGTAAAGTAAAGGTATCGTTCCAGTAAGTTTCACCAAGATTATGACACAACCAAGGATGCCTGAGGTGTCTTCAAAGGGGCGGAAAGTAGATTTCACAAGGTCCAGAATTGCCCCAAACCCCAGACGGCTCAAAGAGAAAAGAAAGTTTTGCTAGCCTTTCACAGGATACAACCCACATATTTGTCCTACCAAATTTTCTAGGATCTTAGATTCTCAGCTATCTCCACAAGAAGGCCAAAGGGCCTCATGTGCCCGCATCGCAGGTGAAGGAAGACAGGAAATCAAAAGCAATCCAAGGAAGGGAAAAGGGTCAATAAGAAATAGATACTCCCCAAAAGTCACACCAATATCCAACCAAGAAGGGCGGGTTTCCTGACTAGCAATGCAACCCACGGCGTTGAGGCGAAAGTGCAGAATTTGGACTCGAAGGTCACAAGGTGGAGTGGCCTTTGTTGTTATTCCCACATGGGGCAGTTTGAGCAGACACAGGAGGTTATCTTTGTTTTGGTCTGATTTTTGCTCTTCACTTTTGTCAAGCCAAGTTTTAAGGCTAGCTGCCACACCATGATGTATCTTTTTATATATTTAACATTTTTATCAATCGGTTAGAATGACAAATCTCTAAAATCCTTTTAACATAATTTAGTGGGTTAATTTAGAGGATCAATCTATTGGCCATTGACAATTAGACTTCTCAATAGTGTACTGAAGTTCAATAGCGACTGGATGCCATACCCTCTTCAGAGAAGAAGTAATTCCAAAGATTGCCCCTATTCCCAGACATAGGCTAAGATAAGAAATGATTCGTGGGATTGCAGTTTGCCAACATGAGATAGCTAGACCAGCGGTCCCCAACCTTTCTGGCACCAATAACCGGTTTCAGGGAAGACAATTTTTCCACAGAACGTCATTGAGGGGATGGTTTTGGGATGACTCAAGTGCATTACACTTATTGTGCACTTTATCTCTATTATTATTATTATATTGTAATGTGTAATGAAATAATATTACGACTCACCATAATGTAGAATCAGTGGGAGCCCTGAACTTGTTTTCCTGCAACTAGATGTTCCCATATGGGGGTGATGGGGACAGTGACAGATCGTCGTTCATTAGGTTCCCATAAGGAGTGTGCAAGCTAAGATCCCTCTATCTCCAATGTAACTATTAGACTCCTGACCCCTCATCTCTCTCCTACTTGCAGGTAGGACCTTTACTGGGGTACTCAAGTTAAATTACATTCATTAGGGTGCGCTCTATCCAAAATGACTAGTATGCATTTTGCATACCAAAAGGGGAAATTCAGACACAGAGACATGTGTTCAGGGAAGAAAATGTGAAGTGGCATGGCGAGAACTGGGCCACCTACAAGCCAAGGAAAGATCCCTGGAAGAGATCCTTCCCTCTTACTACTCAGAAGTAACCAACCCAGCTGACGCTTTGATTTGGACTTCCAGCCTGCCGAACCACGACAATAAATTTCTGCTGTTTATCCCACCAGGTTTGTGGTACTTTGTCAGAATGACCCTAGCAAACTACTAGAGGTTCTGTTGCCAAGCAGTGGGATGATGTGATAAGGAACATCCGAAAGACTGGAAGAGGCCTTGGAAGTAAGTAATGCATACAGGCCAGAAGTGTTTTGATATGCACGACACAAGAAGCCTAGAGTGCCTTTAGGAAATGGCGGGGGAAAATATGAACACCAAATGACATTGAAACGAGGGTTAAGAAAGAGTTCTTTGCTGTAGAGAAAGGATCTCTGACTTAGAGAATACATATATCATGACCACCGAAATGTTGCTAGAACTATGTGTATTAAAGGTGCTTCTGGTGTGTTTTCAGATGGAGACTAGGAAGAGGTTATTGGAAGCATGAGGAAAGGCCATCCTAGTTTTACAGTGGCAAAGGCTTGGGCTGTATTGTGTTCCTAGTGTCTTTGAGGAAAGTAGAAATTGTAAGTGATGAACATGCACATGTAGCTGATTTCTATTGTTGGAGCTCAGGGCACAATACCCCAAAATGAGGGCTTCAGAAGTAGTCTCAGATGAAAAAGATTTTCTCTGACATTCTTGGTCCTCCTGTCTGTCAGTCCCATTCTACCCCAGGGGCTAAACATAAAGACCAGAATCCCTCTTCCCGAAGGTGGGTCCAAGAAATCAGAAGCTCTTTTTTCTAAAGGTAGTCACAAAACCTAGAAATGTATTGTAACATTTTCCACATTTTCATGTAAAAACTGTCTGTGAAAAAATCATCTAACCTATCTCGTTTGAAAGGAAGTCACAAGATCGCCATTCCAGAGAGGGTCCTGCCCCGTATCCGGGAGGAAGTACTGTGTGCTCAGACAGGCCAAGCGGAGTCTAGACACACAGGCCTTGTCGGGTTTCCCCCACTCTGTCTATTGGCATTAGATCATAGCCTTTTTGTCCCATCATATTTCTACACGGCTGTCTGTATTCCTTTGAGCCAAGGCATAAAAACAGATAATTTCCCATGTGTCTTTGGCTATTAACACTAAAGGCTCCCGGGGATACACGTTGTATAAGTTGGTATGCCTTATGTCCTATGGATCTGCCTTTTGTGACTTCAGTTTTCAGCGAAACTTAAGAGGAGCAGGGGGAACCTTGGTCACTACACTGGCAAACTGAGAAAAGTTTTTAGGATTTAATCTGGTTTCTCCTAGATCTGTATATTAAATGGGAGAGAAGAGAGAGAAATTAGCCAAGGAAGCACTAAGGAAAAGGAAGCCAGCATTGGATGGTTCAGAAGGTACTCAAAGTATGCAGACACCTTGCTCTGGAAATAGGTGCAAGGGTGTGCCCGGAAAACCATTAGCCTAAGAGGAGAGACATGTGGCTCAGATCCAATCAACCATCTCTGCAGAAGTTAGGAATTGAGATAAGGGAGATATGGGTATTCAAGAAAGATCTTTAGACAACTTCTTGCCTGATGGCCTGGACTCATGTGAATTCCATGGGAAGCCAAAAAATTTTTGAGAATTTTATACCAAAAAAATGTTGCCGGAATGGACTGAACCAGAAAAAGATGGGATGAAATGCAAGGAGGCTGTTAGAGTTCCTGGACTGTACCGGCAAGAAAGGGACTGACTGAGGTACCCAGCTGTGACCGTTTCTTCATTTTTGAGACAGTGAAGAAGGACTAGAAAGTTGGGTCAGAGGTTGGCATGGCCGTCACTGCCTCCAAGAACCAGGGGCACATTACTAGGGGACTGGGCCATCTCTCTCTTCGTCCCAGAAACAGAGGTCACCTCCCAAGTTCCAGGCATTTGTCCCACTTCCTCGGTTTCAGAGGGATGGGCTGCAGCAGCCCAGGCTGGGGGGAGATCCCCCACCCCGCTGCCCAGGGCTTAGGGTGTAAAGCTGTTACCCCACTGGGCCTGAAGGACAGAGCATTGAGGCCAAGTAGAATCTTTTCCATCCTTAGAATCTAATGGAATTTGCCCCCACTAGGTTTCAAAGGTGCTTAAGGTCCACGAACTCCAGTAGTTTTTCAGATTTCCTACTTTTGGTATGATAAGCCCTATCTGGTACCAGTCCCACACTGTCTTTCAGAAACAGATAACTCGTCTAGCTTCGCAGGTGCAGTGGTGGAGAGAATTCCCACCTCAGCATGAGTCACACCTGGAGACTCACCCATTCCAGACATAGAAGATTATCAGGTGAGATACTGGAGAACTGATTTTGGAGTGAGTTAAGACTTTGGGGATGTTGTGATGAAATGAATATATTTTCTATGTGTGGACGTTAATTTGTGCCGCGGAATGGATGCAGAATATGTACTAGTATGTATGGAGTTCTGTCTCCCTAAAAGTCACAGGTAGAAGTCCTGGCCCCTAGTGTTTTAGAATGTGACCTTATTCGGAGAGAGTCTCTACACAGGCCATCTGGTTAAGGTGAAGTTGTGAGGTTTGACCCTACCCAACAGGATTGGTCTCCTTACCAAAAGGTGAAAATTGGTATCCAGAACTGTGAGATTAAAAATAAATAGTGTTTAAGTTAGCCAGTCCCTGGAATGTTTTTGAAGCGGCCCTCGAAAACTAATAGAATACACCTCCATCAACAGCATTAAAATCATACAACCCATCGAGGAATCAAAGAAGTACACCCCTCTAATCACAGGTTTCCCCTTCAACTCCCATTGAACATCCCTGGACAACTAACTCTTCCTAGTTCAGACCGGGAGACCTGATCACACTTTGGGCTGTGGCCCCTCGGCTGCAGTTGCCTCACTGGCTGACATGGATCCGAGTGGAGCTTGTGCTGCGCCATCGGACAGCATTCCATGATCCCCATGACACGTAGAGGCCAGTCATGAAGATTTTCAAAAACAAAAGATTCTATCCTGAAGAAGAGCAGAATCAGATAAATCTAAACAAGTGAGATTTCATTACGAGGGAGCCTAGAATAGGTATTGTTCCTTAAACTTTTTGATGTAGTTTTCTCTGTGCTGCGTTCGGGTCCTTGCTTATGTTTTCAAATGGACTCCAGCTTACAGGGAAAGCTGATAAAATGTTTGACTGGACTATGTTTATCCCACTCATGCTATTTTCCCTACATTGATACTTCTTATTTGTTGTTTAGGTAGCAAAGCTCTTTCCCTTAGTTTGTGTTTCCTATAAGTCGCAACATGACATCATGATTGCTCGCTACGTTTCCCTTCTGCTCAATCACTCACTGAAATGCTATATCAAATGTGCGAGCTTCCTCTTCCGATCTTCGCATCAATCCACCCCCTTCCTCTTTCTTCCTATAATTCACCAACATCAGTCCCCTTGCCACCTCATTCTTCACTCCCCACAAACAAATCAGATTTCATTGTTAACCCTGTTTTACTAATCCTCCTCTTTGATTTCTGAATTTACAAAGGGAAAACACATATTCCAGGGTAAAATATCCCAATGGATCTGGTTTCTCAAAAGGACTTGTCTAATTACACACATATGCAAGGGTAACTTCAGAAATTTATTCGTATGTCTTAATTCACAGAAACATTGGCACTTTACAGCAAAACAATTAGCATAATGAGAAATAAGTCACTGAGTGAGATGTGGTGTTTTGGAACAGGTATACAGCTCTGTCTCTAGAAAGGAACAGGGTTCTGCCAAGTGTCTTTGGTTTGGCAAGGGTTGTTCTGGACTTGTAGGAACATGTGGCGGCACCATCCAGAGGGATTTACTTGCAGCTGATTTTGTGGGAGTTTTTCTTGGTCTCCTTGTGCAGTAAGTACAGCTTCAACTATTTTCATAACATTTCTCTTCAACTATTTTCATAATATTTTTCTAATATTCTGGAAAAACAGAAAGTAACAAATCCCAGTGAGTGGACTTCTTGGTTCTATATCATTTCTCTATGGATCCCAAGTGGAGCTCTGGAGGTGACCTTCCCCTCTTCCCATCTGCACTACTCAGGGAAGCTCTGGCTACTATCCTGCCCCGAACCCTTTTCCCTCTTGACCAAGGGGTCCTCTTTAAATGGTGAAATAATCTATGTGGCTATGTGTTGGGTCCCTCTGGGGTGGTTCTTTCCCACTTCTGACGGGCTCAAGAAAATTTTGATTTTTGTCATTTATCCAGCTTTTGCTTCGTGGTTTGACTGAGAGTGCCATCCTTTACTGGTTTCTACATATGAAGGAGAAGGGTTGTTTATGAGATGTTTCAAAATTTACGGGAAACATTTAACAAAAATGGCCACATATTGAGCTTCAAGGCACAACATAATAAATTCCTGTGGGTTGCAATCCCAGAGTATGTTCTCTTGTCCACATACTCGGGCGACTGGAAATCAATGGAAAAGGAAAGCAATGGGTAAGTCAGCACCTGCTCTGAAATTCAGCAATACACTTATAGAAAAAAAAAAATTCTAAAAATACCAAGACTTGGGACCCAGAAGAGAGCACAATGAAAGGTAGCCTGTATTAATATTAACGTGAATATTAATATGCCAATCTTTTGAGGAAATAAGCGTTATCTGACTTCTTCTAATGGCTGACAATGCTCTGTATAACTTGATGTTAGGGTCAAGGAACGTATATTAATCTTAGCTTTGGATTCATATCCCTAAAAGACCATGATTACAAACACTGCAAACAAAAACATCAGGTAAAGAATCACATCGCCATGCCTTTAACCACCACGTGGAATATCACAGGAAGGCTGTTGTGGGTTCAGCTTCGGTCACTCGTCCCACATTGGGACAATGAGTGTTGCTCATAGACTTCAGGTCACTCATTGGCTGCACCACTGTACACTAGGGCATGAGCTGTTTCCGTGGACACTCTGTAATTCTACTGACACACATCTGGAAGGAAGGAAGGTTTCTGTTCAAAAAGAAACGAAATGATTATTGTCAGTGCAAAAAGAGAATGAATTGCAATAGTGATCTCAGAGTCAGGGAAGCTGGAAAACGAATGGATTCTTGAAAATTTATTTAGCTATATGTACACTGTAACTGTGCCTCGTTTGCTTATTTACATGGATTCATGGGGAGAAAGATGCTGAACACTTTTAGCAGGGTTACCTTGCTTCTTATATCAGCGTATTCACTTTCTCTCTTGCCATATCGCACATAATGAAGTTCTGGAAAATTCCACCATCCAGTTGTAGGAGAATGAGAGTGAAAAGGGTAAACATCAGTACATTGATAATATCACCACAAAGATAACCTAGAAAGATAACTGATAAAAACGGCCATTTAGGAAACTGAGGACATGAAACACGATTACGGAAACACCCCCTACTTTTCCTTGGAGCATATTGCACTACAGATGTATTGGAGTTGACAGTGTTTTGCACTGTGGGAAAAATGCTTGAAAAACCGCAGAAGGCCACACGCCACATGCTCCCCAAGCCAGAACGGTGCCACCCACCCCAATCTCCAGTGGGGTCCCCTCCTTGGCAGGCCACTGGTCTTTAGGGCCACGTGTGGTGGTTCTGAACAGAGCATTTGGCTTTCCCGGGTGCTCGGGCGCTCCTGAGATAGCTCACTTGCTTTTGGTGTACCTGAGGGTGGCATTCGTGCCCTGAGACTCAGCGAGCTTGCCCATCTTCCCCGGCAGCAGCAGGCACACGGCCATCCGAATGTCCCGGGAGGTGATGGTCACGCACTTGGAGTAGTGGGCCAGGTGACCAGCCTCGGTGGCGATGCGGTCCAGTATGTCACGAACCATAGAATCCATGACACTCACGGCCTCCTGGGAAAGGCTGAGGGCCTGGTGAACCTGCTTCAGCACCCGGGGGAAATAGGCGGCAAAGCTGTCCCCGAAGATATCTCCGCCGCTGTTGGCATGGCGCCTACGGGAGCCTCGAAGCCCTCACTTCTTCTGCTTCTGGGCCGTCATGGAGTTGGCCTCTTTGGGCTCCTGGATGCTCTGGTCTTCCTCAGAGGTTGTCTTAGAGAAAGCCTCAGCCATGGTGGAGGCAGTGGCCACTGGATGGCAAGAACAGACAATGACGGTTGTGGACAGGGGAAGGGTGGGGGGGAATTTAGTGTGGCCACATGGCTCTATGTCACAGTCCAACTCGACATCTGATTGCATGAAGTGTCACCCAGGGAGCCTGTCAGCCATCCTCCCTGCATTGAAGGTGACTGGATGATCCTGTTGCTTGGTATCATGTCAACCAATCACAGTGGGCACCTGCCGGCCTAAGTGGCCCCAGTTGCCTCCCTCAGACAAAAGTACACAGATAGATACCCCACAGGGCAAAACCACATCAACCCTCCCCAGCTGATCCATGCCACACCGTGAGCACTTTGAAGGGTGTCACGGAAAACTCCCAAAGTTTAGCAATTTCAGCTCATGCTCCTTGAAGAGGGCTTGACCTCCTGAGCCCAAGTCCATTATGCCAGAGGAATGACAGTGGCCACGTGTGGACCACTTCTCACCCATCTCAGAATCTTCTGTTATCAAGGGCTAAGCCACCCCGGCTTGAGCAGGAACACCCTGACATGGCTGCCGAAGGGTCCTGGGCATTAAAGGGACCTGGCTGTTCGGCTCCTGTCCTCAGTTATGATCGACACCTTCAGTGAATGTGGATAAGGAACGATGGCCAAACCACAGTCTCCAAGCACACAACACAAACAGAAATTGAGATGCTTGTAAAAATATTACAAATCCTTAAACATGTGCGAAATTTAAAATTGTTTTCTTAACAGTATTTTGATCCCCAAAATACTCTGAATGTTAGTGTTGGTGAATAAGTGATGTTGGGTGAAAAAATGTTACCCCAATTCTCTAAGAAACCTCCTTATGGAGAAAAATTGAATCCATGAAATTGGAAATATTTTGAAGTTAAAAAATACCCTTCAAGAATCTATGATAATACATTCAGAAACATTTATTAAATATATGAATGTAAAACATAAATCCCAGAAACTGAACCAAACAAGGATTTAGCGATTAAGAAGAATTAAAGAAATAGCAATCACCAAGAAGGTACCATCCCAAATTCCAATGCTGTTTCCTGTCAGACTTTTAAGATCAGGTCATTTATTGCTAGTAAGATGGTTCCAGGTTTAAAGAGAGAAAACTTTTTCTTTTTTTGAGACAGAGTCTCGCTCTGTCGCCCAGGCTGGAGTGCAGTGGTGCGATCTCAGCTCACTGCAACCTCTGCCTCCTGGGTTCAAGTGATTTCCCTGCCTCAGCTTCCCGAGTAGCTGGGACTAGAAGCGCGCACCACCACGCCCGGCTAGTTTTCATATTTTTTTTTTGTAGAGATGTGGTTTCATCATGTTTCCCCAGACTGGTGTAGAACTCCTGGACTCAAGCGATCCTCCTGCCTCGGCCTCCCAAGGAGCTGGGATTACAGGCATGAGCTACTGCGCCCAGCCGACAAAACTTATTTCAAGAAAATATAATATGATGTTGATACCCATTGAAGGAAGCATACTAAATATATATATATATATATATATACATATATATATATGTATATGTATATATATGAGCAGCTCATTTATAAATGTGGTTACAAAACTCATACCTGAAATACTAGTAATTAAATTACATTACACACACCCACCCACACACACACACACACACGCACACACAGGGAAACAGTTTACTGCTATAAATAAAAATTCAGAAGGATCGAACTGGGACAAACATTACTAATGGAACAAGCAGACCTCATACAATCTTTTTTCAACATTACCTCTGTTATAGAATTCATTTAAACACATAACAAAAACCCACAGTGCAGAAATAGCTGAGTCAAATAAATCAATGAACCCTTTTTAAGCTTCCTAGAAACTGAAATAACTGCTCTAAGTCATTCACATTTGTCTAATTATATTATTTCCCAGTCTACAATCTTTTTTAATGCAAAGCTTAACCCCTATGAGTATGCATCACTTATGATAGAAGTATCCAATGAGAGCATCCAAACCCCACTCTCCACTGGCTAAACTAATGAAGTATCTCCAGTCCTGGGCCTCAGCCATTGGCTCAAAATGTGAGCAGGTGAACTGTCCTGAATCAATAAGTCTCCTCCTAGCTGTTCAGCCTTGTAAATTGAAGAGAAAATTAGTTTGAGGTTTTTGTCTACTTTTTATTTCTTTGTTTGATTTTTCGTTTTATTGTAATCGTGGTGATTTCAGGATATGAATCCACAGCTGTAAGCATGTCTTCTACCTCTCGCATCATATTGTGAAGAAAAATTCTTTGTAAAGGAATTTGGAGGAAAGAGGCTATTCCTGTGTACAGTTTGCAAACCAGGGAGGTGCAGACTTCAGTGTAAAACAAAAGTGCAGTTCCAGAGAACAAAGAGAGGATATGGCTTTTATAGAGAAAGTTCCTATCGAGGTTCCCAGTACAGTCAATTTATGCAAATAAACAATTCAAACTTAGTTCTGATTGGTTGACTCAGTTGAGCTCTGGTTGGTCAATACAGCTGAGCCCTTATTGGCAGCGACAGGTGAGCTCTGGTTGGTTGCTTCAGGTGAGCTCTGAAAGTTCCAAAGTTAGATAGAGGTGTGGGTTTTCGGGGAATTTGTAGTACACGTGTTAGCTCTAGTCAACACGTGGCAGCTTGGCTCTATTTTAAATTTAAGCTCAGTTAGCCACTGGGATCCATCTTGAAAGATTGGCTCTTTTAGGTTCTCATTTGTTCACAAGTTTAAGAAAATGACAGTGACCAATTAAGAAAACTAGGTGCCGGGCGTGGTGGCTCACGCCTGTAATCCCAGCACTTTGGGAGGCCGAGGTGGGCGGATCAGGAGGTCAAGAGATCGAGACCATCCTGGCCAACATGGCGAAACCCCATCTTTACTAAAAATACCAAATTTAGCCTGGCTTGGTGATGTGCCTGAGGTCCCAGCTACTCGGGAGGCTGAGGCAGGAGAACTGCTTGAACTCGGGAAGCGAAGTTTGCAGTGAGCCGAAATCGTGTCGCTGCACTCCAGCCTGGCGACAGAGCGAGACTCCTTCTAAAAAAAAAAAAAAGAAAGAAAAAGTAGGATGACTCTTCCTTTTTTTTTTTTTTCAATTTGATTGTTGTGGGGCTTTTTCACTTTCAACCACATGTGTCTGACAAAATTAACCCACTATGGTAATATGAGACAATAAAAACATTTACTTCAGTACAATGCCTTCTCCAAAATGTGATTGGTCCTAATTCTTGACGGAATATAATACTCTTCTTATTTCATCATAGACTGACACTCTGGAATAGGGGGGAATGAGTGTGGACATGAGTGGGGGCACAGAAAAAGCTTTAAAGGGTGACTATTTACTTTTTTTCCTTATCCCAGACATTTTCCCTAGCATAGTGACCATATGTCCTGATTTCGCCTGTTGTCCCTTAGTAATTCTTAATAGCATCCCTTTCACTCTGAAATATGTCCAAATTTACGACTCTGTACTTCCCAGGGTAACTAGATCATGCAGGAAGTTGTGAGTGTAGTAGCTCTCAGATCTTTGTTAAATGAACAGATAAATGAATGAACCTACATTAGATAAGAGACTGGCCCCTGACAACGTATGAGACCATTGCTGAATTCTGTGGCTAGTCCACACGACCCTTCTGGACCTCTTGGACACAGACCCCTTTCCTGTACTGCACTTTAAAAAAAATTCTTTCTCTACAAAGCTGTCTGAGTCCCAGTGTTAAACCCATGTGAATGTCAGATTGTGTTTCCTCCATGGTTTGCTTATCAGCTTTACTCCTCCTAATAGCCCTTTGTGGTGTACATATTTTAGCCTCAATTTTTTGCAGACAAAACACAGAGTAACTAAGTAATGTGTCCAATGATCACACAGCTGATAAATGGAAGAGCAGGGATTCAAATCCACGTCAGTCTGAGTCCAGAACCCAAGCACTTGAACGTTGTCCTCTGCCATCCTATCTCATATTGTAGTGATGGCACCTTCAAGGCATGGATACCTTAGGTAGACAGGATGAGGTGAGCCTCACCTTTAGAGCAAGTCTTTTCATAGCTTGATTTTTCCTTGAGGGCAATGTGATCAGTTCAGAGGTATAAAAGCAAAAGCATCAAGTTAGGTTTCATGCAAAGGTATACAAGGAACCTGATTTTCTCCTGAAACCACGGGAGTTTTTTCAAGCAGCAGTTAGGAAATTTAACCATTCCCGTGCTCAATTCTGTGTTTCAATACATGTCTAAACCACATGCGTAGCCATTCCACGTTGCATAATTGTGTCCAATACAGACGGACTCCAACTTAGGATGGTTCGACTTAAAATTATTTGACTTTACGATAGGTTTAACCGGACTGAACTCCATTGTAAGTTGAGGAGCATATGTTTATTCTGCTGCAAATTGGTGAGAGAAAGGGTGGGAATCAGGGAGTGAGAAATGTTTTCAGGTTAGGATTATACAGTCATTACTTGATAACCCACATTTAGCCCTGTGATGGCCAATTTTATGCCTTGTCTTGTCTTTCCAACCAGGGGGAGATTTTTTTCCCAAATAAACAAGGATAGAGATTTAGGTAACCCGACTTGGTTGGGTTACAGTATCTAGATATGTGGTCAAATTTTATTCTGAATGTTTCTGTGAAGGTGTGTTTGGGATTAACATTTAAATCAATGGACCTGAGTACAACAGACTGCCCTCCATAATGGCCTGAATAGAACAAAAAGACTGACTTCCCCCAAGCAAGAGTAAATTCTGCAGCAAACAGCCTTCACACTTGAACTGCAATATCGGCTCTCCCGTGGGTCTTCAGCCTCATGGTCTTTAGACTTAAACTGTAATCTCAGCTTTTACCTGGGACTCCAGGCTGCCAGCCCATCCTGCAGATTTTGGACTTGCCAGCCTCCATAATCACATGAATCAATTTCTTAAAATAAATCTATCTGTCTATCTATCTAGATAGATAGATAGATGATAGATAGATAGATAGATAGATAGATAGATAGATAGATAGATAGATATCCTATTGGTTTTATAACTCTGGAAATCCCTAATACAAGCTTTCTGCACCAAAACTTTGCTGCAGAGATCTCAGTGTTGTTTCCACACATAAAGTATCCAGTTATATATCAGACATTTTCATTATTCCATTAATCAATATCTTTGCCTTTAATTAGTGACCACACAGTTATGTCAGTAGTTTTTCCTGGCTCTTTAGAGATGTTTCTTCACCATTTGATATGACTGGGGACAACAACATATTCAGTTCAATGGTAAAGTTGAGGACTTAATTGCAATTATTATTACTGAAAATAACAATCCCTAGAACATAGGTAGATTCCACATGGCACCTATTAACCAGAAGATTGAATTAACTTACCCTACTTCTGACCTTGCCAGTTAATTGCACTCCCTTTCATTACCACCCATATAACCGACACTCATTTTGGTTGGTGTCAATTAAACTAGGCATTGCTATAGTAATAAAAAGAGTCACCACGGACTGAGTGGCGACTATTCCAGGCATTGTTCTAAGTGCTTTACAGGGAACACTTTAATTGCCTTTCACAAGATCTCTGTGAAGTAGTGTTATTTCCTCCGTTTTGTGGATGAAGAAACTGAACCACAAAAGATTGTCACTTGCCCAAGATCAAACAGGTAGAAGATTACCAAGGCAAGAATCAAACATATTTCTACACATTTAAGCTTCTGCCCAGAAAAGAAAATATCATCAGAGTGAACAGGCAACCTACAGAATGGGAGAAAATTTTTGCAATCTTTCCATCTGACAAAGGGCTAATATCCAGAATCTACAAGAAACTTAAACAAATTTACAAGAAAAAAATACAAAATCAAAAAGTGGGCAAAGGATATGAACAGACACTTCTCAAAAGAAGACATTTATGTGGCCAACAAACATATGAAAATAAAAGCTCATCATGACTGCTCATTAGAGAAATGCAAATCAAAACCACAATGTGATACCATCTCACGCCTGTTAGAATGGTGATCACTAAAAGTCTGGAAACAACAGATGCTGGAGAGGATGCAGAGAAATAGGAACACATTTACACTGTTGGTTGGAGTGTAAATTAATTCGACCATTGTGGAAGACAGTGTGGCCATTCCTCAACGATATAGAACCAGAAATACCATTTGACCCAGCAATCCCATTACTGGATATATACCTAAAGGATTATAAATCATTCTACTGTAAAGACACATGCATACGTATGTTTATTGCAGCATTATTTACAATAGCAAAGACTTGGATCCAATGCAAATGCCCATCAATGATAGACTGGATAAAGATAATGTGCCACATATACACCATGGAATACTATGCAGCCATATAAAAAGAATGAGTTCATGTCCTTTGCAGGGACATGGATGAAGCTGAAAACCATTATCTTCAGCAAACTAACACAGGAACAAAAAACCGAATGCCACATGTTCTCATTCATAAGTGGGAACTGAACAATGAGAACACGTGGACACAGGGAGGGGAACATCACCCACCTGGGCCTGTCAGGGGTTAGGGGCAAAGGGGAGGGAGAGCATTACAATAAATACTGAATGCATGCAGAGCTTAAAACCTAGATGATGGGTTGATATGTGCAGCAAACCACCATAGCACATGAATACCTGTATAACACACCTGCATGTTCAGCACATGTATCCCAGAACTTAATGTAAATTTAAAAAAAAAATTTAAAAAGACTCCAAAGGCAAGGCATTCTCATTAGGTATGAACATGCATTGGTTAAATTCTAGGAGTGTTTATAAAACTCACTGGCCTGCAGAGTTTCATGGGAATTGTAAGTCGTAATACTAAATGAGACTTTTTTTATTCTTTGCAGAGATGAATTAGGCATGAAATTTTATTTGGCTGATTTTTCTCTTTTAACTTTCAGTATATTTTTTCTTTCTGATATTTCATTTTCTGTTCTTAGTAATTAAAGTCATCTCTGCCTATGTACACTGACAGAATAAAAGTGTAAAGCCACTGACCAGTGATTTTCAAGGGATGTTAATGCATAAAAGAAGACAATCATTTAACTCCAGCCTTTTCCTTTCCCTATAAATACAACTGCTATAACAAAGCCCTGGTACTGCCAGTTTTGCAGATAATAGATGGATTCAGGGACATAAATCTCAATCCTTGCTTATTTGGAAAAAAAAAATATATACCCCTGATTCAAAAAACAAGTAAAGCTAGTGACTAAAAGAGTAGCCCAACATTAAATACTTGAGAAACGTGGGGCAAAACTACTGCAGATGAGCAACTGCAGTTTTTCCCATCTCATTCCTGTATGAGTATTCACTTAGTAATTACATGTCTTTCACCTCCCGCCATGCACTTCTAATCTGCTCCCACTCAGTTTAACACTTACACTACCCAGGGTACAAATCAAGACTTTAATGAAAAGGATGGCTACCAGATGCAACTAACTAGGAGTTATTGTTCAATCCTAGGTCACCTGACAACATTCATGCTTTCCTTTGAGCTGCATTAATGTACAAATGAAGAGGTTGCTGAATCTATCATAGATGAATAGCATCTTTATCAAATTTGCAAATGACAACACAGAAAGGGGAGCAACTGTGTTGGATGATTGAACCAGGATTCACAGACCCGGTAATGAGCAAATCTGAGCATATCTGCAACCAGGATGGTTTCCCATCTGTGTAACTTGGGTCTGAAGGATCTGAGAAGTGTCAGTTGCAGAAGACTTGGAGGTAGAGGGACAGGACACAACAGCTGACTTCAAATTCTGGAGGATGGATTAACTACTGTCTCTAGGCCTCCAGCACATAATCCCAGGACTATTGAATAGAAGCTACAGGGAGGCACGTTTGGGCACAATGTAAGAAGCATATCACTGCAAGGAGCTGAGTGACTTTACTGGACAATTGCCTCAGGCAGGAGATAAGGTACTGGTGACTAACATGGTTACTTCCAAGGCTCAAATCCTCTGGCTACACACTAAGCCCCGTGACTGTGTCACCTCATTGGCACTTGATTGAAGTTGACCTACCTACTGTTTTGCTTTTGAAACTTTAAGCTGCAGCAGAGAAAACAGCTTTCACTTCATGTAATCCCACTGATTATTTAAGAATGTGAGCCCTTAGAAAGGGTGAGGTAAGGCAGGGCATGGTGGCTCACGCCTATAATCCCAGCACTTCGGGAGGCTGAGGAGGGCAGATCACGAGCTCAGGAGTTCGAGACCAGCCCGGCCAGCATAGTGAAACTCCATCTCTACTAAAAATACAAAAATTAGCCAGGCATGGTGGCACACACCTGTAGTCCCAGCTACTCGGGAGGCTGAGGCAAGAGAATAGCTTGAACCCGGGAAGCAGAGGTTATGGTAAGCCGAGATTGCAGCACTGCACTCCAGCCTGGGCAACAGAATGAGACTCCATCTCAAGAAAGAAAAGAAAGAAAAGAAAGAAAGAAAGAGAAAGAAAGAAAGAAAGAAAGAAAGAAAGAAAGAAAGAAAGAAAGAAAGAGAAAGGAGGAGGTAAGTTAATACTTGAGGTTGAAAATAGGTATGAATGGTATAATCCGTCTTTGTAGGAAGATATGTACATTAATAGATCACAAGTCTGGATGGCTAATACTTCTAATTGGTGGGATTATAGGTTATTTGTTTTTATACACATGATTAAAGTAGGCTTAGCATGGTAGCTCATGCCTGTAATCCCAGCACTTTGGGAGGCTGAGGCAGACAGATTGCTTGAGCCCAAGAGTTCAAGACCAGCCTGGACAACATAGCGAGACCTGATCTCTACTAATAATCAAAAATATTAGCTGGCTGTGGTGGCACGTGCCTGTAGTCCCAGGTGCTAGGGAGGCTGAGGTGGGAGGATTGCTTGAGCACAGGAGGTCAAGGCTGCAGTGAGCCATGATTGTACCACTGCACTCCAGCGTGGGCAACAGAGCAAGACCCTGTCTCATAAAAATAAAATAATAATTTTTAAAAAGAGATAAAAGTATTGTTTAAAGGCAGGAATTAAAATGCATGCAATTATACATATTCCTTACTGTATTAGCTCAGGCTGCTGTAACAAAATACTGTAGACTGAATGACTTAAACAACATAAATTTACTTGCTCACAGTTCTAGATTCAAGAAATCTCAAGTCGACGTCCAGCAGGGTCAGATTCTGGTGGGGGCTCTCTTCCTGGCTTGTAGACAGGCACCTTCTTGCTGTGTCCTCGCATGTTAGAGACTGGTCTCTCTCTCCTTATAAGGCCACAGTCCTATTAGATTAGGCCCTGACTGTTATCACTTCATAACGTAAATTACTTCTGAAACAACCTATCTCCAGATACAATCATGCTAGGGATTAGGGCTTCAGCATATTAATCAGGAGGTCACAGGTGACAAAATTCAGACCATAACATTTATGCTCACCATGAACACCAGAAATGTTTAGTTCATAAAACAGCAAATTCTGTTCAGTAGAAAAACCGTACCAGAAGTTCAGTGCTACAGGTCATTAGAAGATGTGATGTGCTTAATATGGTGTTTGGTAGCAAGTGCCTCCTGCCCCTTTCTCCATCCAACTTCAGTCTTGGATGTTAACTCCCACTAAGCTGAAAAAGACTTTCAGAAGGCAAGAGAACCCAGCTTGAATTCCAACCCTTATTCAAATTGAGCAGATTACTTCAGACCCTGTGTTTTCATTTCCTCATTCTGAGATAAGGAGGTTAGTCCACATGACCTTCTCTCCCAAGGTTCTCTAACTCTGTGATTCCAACTATAAAGAAAAAGCACCTACCATCCCCAAGTCAGGAACCACTGGACTTGGACAGAATTTAGTATTTTCCCCCAGGACTAATCTGCTAAAAGTTTTCCTTCAACCATTTTGTTTGAGTGTAAAAGGTACCTTTGTGTACTTTTCATTCCTTAGAATACCACCAGAATGAACCACAGAGTCAGACAACAACGATTATATTTATTATTTTATTGCTACATTGGAAGTGAAAATAAACTGTAAGAAGCTGCCAAAGGATGCAACTTCATGAAGATTATGAAACTATTGAGGCACCCATTGTAGAAAGTTAAAATTGGCTTATCCTGCATGAGGTGCAAGGACTACCTACACAAAGGTCATCCATGGCAAGGTTATTGACAGCATCTGCCATTTGGAATTTACATACCAATGGGAAGTTTAAAAAGGAACTTAAGGAAACATTCACTACCCCTGACCTCTTAACCAGGGAATATAGGTGAGAAGAAATCAGAAGATGTCTGAAATCTCTACAAACACACAGGTTTACAAAAAAACAAGCCTAAAACCAAGACTGTCAGGCAATGCTGAAATCTGCTCTTTGGAGGAGATCCCCATTTTATGATGTTTGAACACACTCTTTCTCCTGCTGGATAGCTGGGGAAAAAGAAACCAAAAATTACAAAAGTATTTTCCTAAGACTAAGTTCAGCTTCTTCCAAAAGAGCTCTTTGTAAGTCATTGAAGGCTGCCATACATGCTTTAAATTTAGAATGCCAAGGCATTAAACACAAAACTCAGAGTGGGGTGTGTGCCTGCATGTGTGCACACATTAAGTACCTGAACTACCAATTAGAAACTACATCAACTGTAGGGTTTGTTTTTCCAAATGCTGTTGTCATTTTTTCAGATTATTCAAGACTGAGGAGTAAGTGAAGTACTTTCTTCAGATTTGTCTATCACTATACAGTTAGAAAATTATACACTTTCAGATAATTTTAACTAATATTGCAACTCTCAAATAAAACTGACATAACAAAAGGTGCCCCTTGGCTTTTGTGAATATGCTTAGAGTTTCTCCAGCAGGCTATAACTCCAGAGGGCAGAACCAATCAATCCCTTGAATCTGAGAGCTTTAAGCATACTAAGATCTAAATTTGTTCTCACTTTATCTTTTCATCAGATATAGAAGGTCAAAACTGCAGAGTCTACAGGGTTCGTTAGGGATAATATTATGGACTCAAATTTTTAAATGTAGAAAAATGCCAAATACCCAAAAGTAGACAAAAACTAAGTGTTTTTTAGTGCTACATCCAATATTCCAAGATTGGTTTTAATGTGGTTTTTAATAATTTTCCAACAAAAAACTAGTTTTTTATTCCCCCATCACTACTGGGCCCATCATGTGAGAACCAGAAGAAAACTATTTGATAGTTTTAACTGTTGCATTAAATACCATGGTACTCTAATTATTGCTTACTTTGTGTAAAAAAAATTACTAGAAGATAGGTTTATTTACTGAACCTATTAACTTCCTCTATTGTTTGTTTCCAGTAGAACCCCACATGACTTACTTTCCTTTGAGGGAAGAGTATTTTTTTCTTCAGTATTAGTTTTCTTCAGTTTTGACCTGTCAAACTTCTCCACTTCCGACAAGTCTGGTTTATCACTCATCTTGACTAGAAGAAAGCCTGAAAAGAAAAAACTTTTTTCTTTTTTTGAAACAGCGTCTTGCTCTGTCGCCCAGGCTGGAGTGCAGTGGCGCAATCCCGGCTCACTGCAACCTCCGCCTCCTGGGTTCAAGCAATTCCTCTGCCTCAGCATCTCAAGAAACTGGGATTACAGGCACACGCCACTATGCCCGGCTAATTTTTGTATTTTCAGTAGAGACGGGGGTCTTACCATGTTGGCCAGGCTGGTCTGGAACTCCTGGCCTCAAGTGATCTGCCCGCCTCGGCCTCCCAAAGTGCTGGGATTGCAGGCGTGAGCCACCGCGCCAGGACAGAAAAAAACATTTTTAAGAAAACTTACCTGGCAGAACTATCTTCGGACTAAGGGATCACAAGCAAAAATTTTCACATTTCCTATCAATGTATATTCTACCTGCTCATTTTCAACAGAAAAACAGCAACAGATATTAGAAAAGTTATATTTTTGTTAGAATAATTTCAACTCCACATCATTTGCCGTTTCTGATAGGCAGTAAATGTCATTGGATCATAACGCACCAGAAACCAAGATGCTCTAGAAACACAGAGCCATTTGTCTGACTCTTAAAATCACAGCAAGGATAAAATGGAGGTGATAGAAGCACAAGACCAGACAGGGATAGAAGAAAAAATAAAGACTGGTTTTAACCAGGTAATTATTTTGAAACAGAACATAGCACCATTTGAGCATCTTCACTTTCTATTTACTTTTGGTTTTGCCATTTTTCTTGGGAGATGGGGAGCAGCACACAAAAAAAGAATGAGATAAGTTGTATTAATTTCTATCTATTTTAAATCCCCAAAGACGACAGTACATTAAGGCACTACAATACACGTCTCATAATAGCTCCTTGTGGCACTGGTTTGTAAACGCTGTAAGAAGGGACAGCTAACTAGGATCAGACCCAGGACTTCAGCAGAACGGAATAAACCAAATAGAAGTGGGTCTTCTTTCACGTTTTCACTGCAGAGAGGGAGGAGATGAGGCTCAGACGTGCGTAGCTGTGGACCTGACGAAATGCCTGGTGCCCTGTGAAAGTCTCGAGTTTGTTCAGAAGAGACAATAGGATATACCAGGTAGAGCTTTCATGAGCAAGCCCGGCCCCACCCTGGTGGAGTAAGACACTTCGTCTAGTCCCTGGCGTAGAATGCAGAGGCCCCCAAGCAGTCAGAAGTGTCGAACATGCCTCCATTCTGTCGAGGTTACCCTAAGACCCTCCTCTGCCAAGCGATCAGACGCCAAGCTCGGAGCTGGGAAATTGGAACTAACCAATAAATAATAGCAGGGCCGGGCGCATAGGCCAGTCTGTCAGGAGCAGTTTGCATACTTTTTCAAATAACTATTAGCGTTGTTAGACGCCCAGTCTAACGGCCACGGGAGGGAAAGGAACCAGGGCCCAGCCCCACAAGGCCCATTCCGGGCGGCCCCCAAACTCTTCATCCTCGAAGCCTCTGACCTGCAGCTACCGCGGACTGGCCGCTTTAAGGGTCCCCTACCCCTCCAACCACCGCCTCCCACCCCGACTCCCCGGGGCCTTCTTTCCAGGGACCGGCCCCCGGGAGGGCTCGGCATCGCTCGCAGAAGGCGGCGCCCCAGAAAGACAAAGGCTCGGACTCGCCGGGCCTGGCGGCGGCGCAGACACCAAGCACCAGCCCCAACCCCAGCCCCTCTGGCTCCCGAAGGCGCGGCATCCCCCGCCTCGCGACCCCCACGCCTTCCCGTCCCCATGGTCCTCTGGCTCCTGCGAGGCCGCAGGTACTCACCTGAAGGCTTGAAGACTCGTGAAAGGCCGTACGCGGGGCTGAGACCCAGGCTGGCTCCGCACCAGGTTAGCCTTCCCGCCCAGAGCCCTGCAGTGCTAAGCCTTCTAGCAGGCGCCGCCCCAGCCCTCTCTGATTGGCCGAGGGTTTCCGGACTCGCCTCCTTCCCCTCCTCCGCTTGAGCCTCCAGAGCCTGCGCCCACCATCTCTTCTAAGATCAGGAGCTTGGTGACTTCAGAGCAGACCTCGCCCTCCCCAGGCCCCACCTCCCAGGCCTCTCCCACTGCTTTAGTCCTGAGGGTCCACATTCCCTTCATCCGAAGTACACTCACTCTTGCTCTTTCCGGGCTACCTTGTAGCAATTTGAGGCTCCGTCATCAGTTTCTGCTACGTTTCAAAGATCCAGGAGAAGCTTAGTGTTGTGTCAAGACGCCGATGGACCCATCACAGAAGTTTAATCCAACCTACATCCCAGAGTCTCCACAAATGCTCACCGAAGAAAATTCCCGGGACGATTCAGGGGCCTCTCAAATCTGCTCCGAGACGTTGATAAAGAACCTTAGTAACTTGACTATCAACACTAGTAGCGAATCTGTTTCCCCTCTATCGGAAGCTTTACTCCGTCGAGAGTCTGTAGGAGCAGAAGTCCTCAGGGAAATCGAAGATGAGTGGCTTTACAGCAGGAGAGGAGTAAGAACATTGCTGTCTGTGCAGAGAGAAAAGATGGCAAGATCGAGATACATGTTACTCGGCAGAGTTCGTATGCATGAAAGAAGACCAACAAACGAGGAGCCTAAGGGAGTTAAGAAGGAATCAAGACCATTCAAATGTCCCTGCAGTTTCTGCGTGTCTAACGGATGGGATCCTTCTGAGAATGCTAGAATAGAGAATCAAGACACCAAGCCACTTCAGCCATAAATCTTATTCTTGCACCTTTTTTTCTTGCTGGTAATTTTATATAGCAGGTTGAGAAAGCTAATCTATGCTAGAACAGACTATACACCAATAATTTTGATAATGAGTTCTAGGATGTATTTTTCTTCTTGTATCTTTTTCTTCCTACTATGATACTAGTAATTCATAAGGGATCTGTGTAATCTGAATGTATTTGAATAACTTTAGCTCTACTGTTTGATTTGACCCAAAGAATCCAAGACGATATAAGTATTCCCATGTGTCTTAGAAGCCCAAAGTCAGTGAGATGAAACCCAACATCAAGAAATTGAAGCAAAGTTACTTGTGGATAAAGAAAGCATTAGGTAGTTTGGCTATAGCATAATTAGATTTTCTGGCTTTCAAAAATTTGAACTGCAATCACAGCAAACTTTGTTATTTTTACAGTTTTCAGTACAAAAAGGTGTTTATATAGAAACAATAAAGTTGACATTTGAGTACCTTTAAAAAAAAAAAACAAAGTACACTCACTCTTTCACAATAACAGAAGCCTCTGCAATAAGCAGACACATTTTGCCCAGTGAGCTTAGAACATCTGTAACACAGAGGTCCAAGCTGAATGACCGGTATATAGGCTCTCTAGGCTTTTTATAGCCATTGGGGCCTAAGGACAACCTAACAGTAGGTTGGAAGTGGGGCTCGGTGTTGTCTGCTCTAATCCTTGGCCACGTCGTGGAGTACGAGTGCTCATGGTGAGGGTGGGTAGTTCAGGGCCATTCACCCCTACAACTGGACATTTCTGTGACAGTAGTGCTCTCCTGTGAAATGTAAAAGTCACATTTGCAGCTTTCTCGGCCACAGAACACGATAGCAGTCAGTTTATAATCACAGAACAACTGAGGCTATTGCTATTCACCTTTATATCCCCAATCCCTAGCACTTTGGCCCACAAGACACATTGGTTGTGGAGATGTATGTGGATTGAAGTAATAAATCCGTGATAGGGAGGAATTTTTGGACACTAGCACCACCCAGTGTCTGTTGGAAGAGAAAATTGAGGATCCGGTAGTTACTTAAAAGGACTAAACGTTCAAGATCATTTTCTGGATACTCACCCAGAACCTTAGCGCTTTAAGGTAAGATGGAGGTAGAACTATGTCTTTTACTTGCACCCCATGTATGGTGGTATAGATCTATATAGATCAGAAATCATTCTTTCCACAAGGATTTCTCAAGCCTTCCCCACCTCACTTCATTCCCTTTTCTTTGCTCTTGTAGCACTTTCTGTTAATTTGAGAATTGTGTATGTTTGTTGGAGAAACTTTCAAAACAGAAAAGCATACTCATTCAACAAATAATATTAATTGAGTACCTACAATGTCCCTGGCATTAAATATAATAAACACCAGTGTTTCCACTACTCAGATTTCAATGTTGTTAACATTAGGTATATTTACTTTGTCTTTCTTTTAAGGAATGAAAACTTTACCGAAAAAATAATTGAGGTTTCCTTGACCTTCCCTCCACTTCCATTCACCTTCCCACTTCCCTAGGGGTAGTCCTATCCTGAATGTGATGTGTAGCTTCCAGCGTATTTTTTTTTAAGTTCGGGGGTACATGTGCAGGTTTGTTACATAGGTAAACTGTGTCATGGGTATTTTCTACAGATTATTTCATCACCCAGATATTGAGCCTAACACCCATTAGATATTTTTCCTGATCCTCTCCATCCACCCACCCTCCACCCCCTGAGAGGTCCCAATGTGTGTTGTTCCTCTCTGTATCCATGTGTTCTCATCATTTAGCCCCCACTTACAAGTGAGAACATGCAGTATTTGGTTTTCTGTCCCTGCATTAGTTTGCTAAGGATAATGGCCTCCAGCTCCATCCATGTCCCTGCAAAGGACATGACCTTTTTCTTTTTTATGGCTGCATATTATTCCATGCTGCATATATATACCATATTTTCTTTTATCCAGTCTATAATTGATGGGCATTTAGGTTGATTCCATGTCTTTACTATTGTGAATAGTGTTGCAATGAACATACCTGTGCATGTGTCTTTATAATTGAACAATTTCTATTCCTTCGGGTATATACCCAGTAATGGGATTGCTGAGTCAAATGGTATTTCTGTCTTTAGGGCTTTGAGGAATCGCCACACTGTCTTCCACAATGGCTGAACTAATTTATACTTCCACCAACAGTGTACAAGCATACTTTTTCTCCACACCCTTGACAGCATCTGTTATTTTTTGACATTTTAATAATAGCCATTCTGTCTGACGTGAGATGGTATCTCCTTATCATTTTGATTTGCATTTCTCTAATGATCAGTGATGTTGAGCTTTTTTTATATGATTATTGGCTACATGTATGTCTTCTATTGAAAAGTGTCTGTTAACATCCTTTGTCCACTTTTTAATGGGGTTTGTTTTTCTTTTATACATTTATTTAAGTTCCTTATAGATGCTGGATACTAGACTTTTCTCAGATGCATGGTTTGCAAAACTTTTCTCCTATTCCGTAGGTTGTCTGTCTACTCTACCAAGTTTCTTTTGTTGTGCAGAAGCTTTTGTTGCAATTGCTTTTGGCATCTTTTTCATGAAATATTTGCTCGTACCTGAATGGTATTGCCTAGGTTGTCTTCCAAGGTTTTATAGTTTTGGGTTTTACATTTAAGTCTTCAATCTATCTTGAGTTAATTTTTCTATATGATGTAAGGAAAGAGTCAAGATTTAACCTTCTGCATATGGCTAGCCAGTTATGCCAGCATAATTTGTTGAACAGGGATCCTTTCCTCCATTGCTTGTTTTTGTCACGTTTGTCAAAGATCATATAATTGTAGATATATGTTCTTATTTCTGGCTTCTCTAGTCTGCTCTATTGGTCTATGTCCCTGTTTTTGTATCAGTACCATGAGGTTTTGGTTACTGTAGCCCTGTAGCATGGTTTGCCTCCAACTTTGTTCATTCTGCTTAGGATTGCCTTGGCTATTTTTTGGTTCCATGTGAATTCTAAAATATTTTTTCTAGTTCTGTGAGGAATGTCAGTGTTAGTTTAATAGGCATAGCATTGAATCTATTAATATAATTTGCTTTGGGCAGTATGATCATTTTAATGATATTGATGCTTCCTAGCCATGAGCGTGGAACGGTTGTGTTATCTCTGATTTATTTGAGCAGTTCTCCTTTTTTATTTGTAGTTCTTTTTTTTTTCTTTCACTTCCCTAGTTAGCTGTATTCCTAGATACTTTATTCTTTGTGTGCAATTGTGAATGGGAGTTCATTCCTGATTTGGCTCTTGGCTTGACTGTTGTTGGTGTATAGGAATGCTAGTGATTTTTGCACATTGATTTTGTATCCCGAGACTTTGCAAAAGTTGCTTATCAGCTTAAGAAGCTTTTGGGCTGAGACGATGGCCTTTTCTAGATATGGGAGCATGTTATCTGCAAATAGGAATAGGTTGACTTCCTCTCTTCCTATTTGGATGCCCTTTATTTCTTTCTCTTGCCTGATTGCCCTGGCTAGAACTTACAATACTATACTGAATAGGAGTAGTGAGAGAGGTCATCCTTGTCTTGTTGCCTGTTTTCAAGGGGAGTGCTTCCAGCTTTTGCCCATTCAGTATGATCCTGGCTGTGGGTTTGTCATATATGGGTCTTATTATTTTGAGGTATGTTCCTTCAACACCTAGTTTATTGAGAATTTTTAACATGAATGGATGTCGAATTTTATTGAAAGCCTTTTCTGCATCTATTGAGATAATCATGTGGTTTTGTCTTGAGTTCTGTTTATGTGATTAATCAAATTTATTGATCTGCATATGTTGAACCAACCTTGCATCCCAGGTATAAAGCCTACTTTATTGTCTTGCATAAGCCTTTTGATGTGCTGTTGGACTCAGTTTGCCAGTATTTTGTTGAGGATTTTTGCATCGATGTTCATCAAGGATATTGGCCTGAAGATTTTGTTGTTGTTGTTGTTGTTGTTGTATCTCTGCCAGATTTTGGTGTCAGGATGATGCTGGCCTCATAGAATGAGTTAGGGCAGAGTACCTCCTCCTCAATTTTTGGAATAGTTTCAGTAAGAATGGTACCAACTCTTCTTTGTACATCTGATAGAATTCAGCTGTGAATCCCCTGGTCCTGGGCTTTTTTCGGTTGCTAGGCTATTACTGCCTGCATTTCAGAGCTCACTATTGGTCCGTTCAGGAATTCAATTTCTTCCTGGTTCAGTCCTAGGAGTGTGTATGTGTCAGGAATGTATCCATTTCTTCTAGGGTTTCTAGTTTATGTGCATACAGTTGTTCATAATATTCTCTGATAGTTTTTTGTATTTCCGTGGGGGGTCAGTGGTAATATCCCCCTTGCCGTTTCTGGTTGTATTTATTTGAATCTTCTCTCTTTTCTTCTTCATTAGTCTGGCTGGTGGTCTATTGATTTTATTAATTTTTTTCAAAAAATCAGCTCCTGGATTCAGTGATCTTTTGAATGGTTTTTCGTGTCTCTATCTCCTTCAGTTCAGCTCTGATTTTGGTTATTTCTTGTCTTCTTCTAGCTTTGGGATTTGTTTGCTCTTGATTCTCTAGTTCTTTTGGTTGTGATGTTAGGTTGTTAACTCAAGATCTTTCTAATTTTTTGATGTGGGCATTTAGTGCTATAAATTTCTCCCTTAACGCTACTTTAGCTGTGTCTCAGAAATTCTGGTATGTTATATCTTTGTTTTAATTAGTTTCAAAGAACTTCTTGATTTCTGCCTCAATTTCATTATTTAACCTAAAATCTTTCAGGAGAGTCTTTCATGGAACTGTAATACAATTACCATTTCCATGTAATTGTATCGTTTTGAGTGAATTTCTTAGTCTTGATTTCTAAGTTGATTGCACTGTGGTCCAAGAGACTGTTTATTATTTCAGTTGTTCTGCATTTGCTGAGGAGTGTTTTACTTCCAATTGTGTGATCAATTTTAGAGTATGTGCCATGTGATGATGAGAAGAATGTATATTCTTTTGTTTGCAGTAGAGAGTTCTGTAGATGTCTATCAGGTCCATTTGATCCAATGCAGAGTTCAGGTCCTAAATATCTTTGTTAATTTTCTGCTTCGATGATCTGTCTAATACTGTCAGTAAGTCTCCTACTATTATTGTGTGGAAGTCTACGTGTCTTTGAAGGCCTCTAAGAGCTTGCTTTGTGAATCTGGGTGCTCCTGTGTTGGGTGCATATACGTTTAGGATAGTTAGATCTTCTTGTTGAATTGAACCCTTTACCATTAAGTAATGTCCTTCTTTGTCTTTTATTATCTCTGTTGGTTTAAAGTCTGTTTTGTCAGAAACTAGGATTGCATCACCTGCTTTTTTCTGTCTTCCATTTGCTTGGTAGATTTTTCTCCATCCCCTTATGTTGAGTCTATGTCTGTCATTGCATGTGTGATGGGTGTCTTGAAGATAGCATACCAATGGGTCTTGGTTCTTTATCTGGCTTGCCACTCTGTGTCTTTTAATTGGGGCACTTAGCCCATTTACATTTAAGGTTAGTATTGATTTGTGTGGATTTGATCCTGTCATCATGATGTTAGCTGGTTATTTTGTAGGCTTGGTTATGTGATTGCTTTATAGTGTCACTGGTCTGTGTACTTTAATGTGCTGTTGTAGTGGCTAGTAACAGTCTTTCATTTCCATATTTAGGGCTTCCTTCAGGAGCTCTTGTAAGGCAGATCTGGTGGTAACAAATTCCCTCAGCATTTGCTTGTCTGAAAGGGATCTTATTTTTCCTTTGCTTATGAAGCTTAGTTTGGCTGGATGTGAAATTCTGTGTTGGAATTTCTTTTCTTTAAGAATGTTGAATATTGGCCCCTAATCTCTTCTGGCTTCTAGGGTTTCCGTGGAGAGGTCTGCTGTTAGTCTGATGGGCTTCCCTTTGTAGGTGACCTGGCCTTTCTCTCCAGCTGCCTTAAACATTTTTTTCTTCCATTTCGACCTTGGAGAAGCTGATGATTATGTGTTAGGGATGATCTTCTCATGCAGCATCTTACTGGGGTTGTCTGCATTTCCTGAATTTGAATGTTGACCCCTTTAGTTAGGTTAGGGAAGTTCTCATGGAGGATATCCTGAAATATGTTTTCCAAGTTGATTCCAT
This sequence comes from Homo sapiens, assembly GCF_000001405.40. NCBI lineage: Eukaryota > Metazoa > Chordata > Mammalia > Primates > Hominidae > Homo > Homo sapiens. The sequence goes on from NC_000023.11 coordinate 104,083,167, forward strand.
TCTTCCCATCTCTTTCAGGTACAACAAGCAGTCGTAGATTCAGTCTCTTTACATAATCGCATATTTCTTCATGGTTTTTTCATTCATTTTCATTCTTTTTTATATACTCTTATCTGCTTGTCTTACTTCAGAAAGTCAGCCCTCAGGTTCTGAGATTCTTTCCTCCTCTTGGTCTATTCTGCAGTTAATACTTGTGATTGCATTATGAAATTCTTGTAGTGTGTTTTGCAGCTCTATCAGGTCAGTTACATTCTCTATACTGGCTATTTTTTCTGTCAGCTCCTACCATGTTTTATCATGATTTCTAACTTCCTTGCATTGGGTTACAATGTACTCCTGTATCTCAGTGAACTTCTCTCCTATACTTCTGTCATTTCAGCCATCTTAGCCTCAGCCTGGTTCCAAACCCTTGCTGGACAGGTGATGAAGTCATTTGGAGGAAAGTAGGTACTCTGGCTTTTTGAGTTTTCAGCATTCTTGCACTGATTCTTTCTCATCTTTGTGGGCTTATCTACCTTCAACCTTTGAGGTTGCTGACCTTTGGATGGGTTTTTTTTTCTTTTATCCTGTTTGATGACCTTGAGGATTTGATTGTGGTATAAGGTGGATTCATCCATCTGGCTTCGTTTCTGGAAGATTTTAGGGGGCCAATGTTCAGCTCCCAACCCCTGGACTGCATGCTGTATCTCTGGGGGACTTGTATTGGGCCCCACCTTGCTCTCTGGCTCCTTGACATTTGGAGTCTACTGTACTGGGGGGATCAAGGTGCAGCAGCTGCAGCCAAGTGCTAGTGGATGCAGAGGTGCCTGCCTCCCTGTGGGCATTCACCACTGCAGCAGAGGCAAAGCAGCTGTGGGGAGCAGGGAGCAGGGAGCAGGGGGCCACTGCTGGAGACTGTGTAGGCTGTTACTTCGGAGGTAATGTTGGCTTGGGGCAGAGTGCTGGCTGGCTCAGGTCTGGGTGCCTTTTCTGTTCCCCACAAGCAGGAGTGATTGCTCAGGGTATGGGCAGATCCCCTGTTCGCTGTTCGCTGGTGAGGCAAGACTTGCTGGCTCTGTGCCCACCAAGGCTCCATCTCCAACAGTAATCGGCAGGGGTTGGGGGCCTACTGCACTCCCACTTGCTGGCAGAGCAAGTAAAGGAAAACCCACCTGTGCAGACAGGTGCCCACAGAGTGATGTAGGGAGTTGCTGTGGGCTTGGGGGTAGCTGCACAATGGGGAGTTAACATGCAGGCTGGTGCAAGGCCATAGGAGCTGCCACACTGGAGCTCTCTGCCAGTCAGGCATGATCCACCAGCACAGAAGCCATGGTGTGGGCCCCCAGGGCACGCAAGACTGCCCTGTAAGCAGGTGTGGCCAGGCTGGGGCCCTGGGAGAGGACAGAAGACCAAGGAGTGCTCAGGTCTGACCAGCCCTGTCTGATGTGCAAGACTGCCCAGCACAGATCAGGTCAGACAGTTACCATAGTGCTAAAGTCTCTTATGGGAGCATGTTGAGCTTGAAGGGGTGGCCATGCTTGGCCATGCTCTGCTACAGATGTTCCTGTGCCAAAACCTCTGGGCTCCACATCAGCTGGCTTGCTGCTTCACCACTTTGCTTGTCTCCTGGGGGCTCCACCCCAGAGAAATGTGAGTCAGCAGTAGCTCAGTGCAGTTAGCCCAGGATAGAGTTTCTGTGCTGTAAGCCCAAGCCAGGGGTTCCCTGTCTGGTGACAAGCAGTGGACGGTTTGTGGGACCCATGAGAGACAAACTGGCCTCCTCTCCTTGGGTTGAGTGTAGCTTGTTGGAGGTGTGGATAAACTTAGGGTCTCTGCTTCTTTGTTAGTCCGAAGTTGGCAAGGACGGTTCCACTGCCAAAGCAGAGGCAGAGAGGATTTCACTTGCCCCTGGGGACTCTGTCCAGGAAGTTGCTGAGTTGCTACTGGCGCAATAGCTCTGGCAGGGGTTAGTTAGAGTCCCAGGCCTGGAAGACCTGCCTAGTAAGGAGGGTATGGGAATGGGCACCCATGTAACAGTCTAGCCACTTTTCTACAGGGATGCTGTGGTATGCTGGGGGTCCACTCCAGTCCCTAGTCGCCTCAGATAGTCTAGTACCTGAAGGTATCACCAGTGAAGGCTGTGAAACAGCAAAGATCGCAGCCTGCCCCTCCCTCTGGGAGCTCCATCCCAAGGAGGTATGGGCCTGTTGCCAACCCGAATACAACTGTTGGAGGTGGCTGAAGACCTCCGTAGGGAGGTCTCACCCAGTCAGGGGGAATGTGATCGGGGACCTGCTTTAAAAAGTAGTCTGGCCACGTTCTCATAGAGCAGCTGTGCTGTGCCAGGGATCTGCTTCAGCCCCTGGTCACCTTGGACATTCCAAAGCCTTAAGGCTGGAACTGCTAAGTCACCCAAACAGCAAAGATGGTAGCCCGCCCCTCTTCCTGGGAGCTCCATCCCATGGACGCCTGAAACTTCAGAGACACACCAATGGGTATGGCCAGAGACCCTGGTTGGGAGGCCCCACCCAGTGATGAGGAAGGGGATCGGGCGCCCACTTAAAAAAGCAGTCTGGCCACGTTTTCATAAGGCAGCTGTACTGTGCTGGGGTACCGCTTCTGGCCCTGGTCAGTTTGGGCTCTCCAAAGCCTGAAGGCTAAAATGGCTAAGTCATCCGAACAACAAAGATGGTGGCCTGCCCTTTCTCTGGGAGATCTGTCCCAGGGAGTTTTCAAATCTCTGTCACCCACAGAACACCAGCAGGGGTGGCTGGAGTCTCCGGTTGGGAGGTCCCTCCCAGTGAGGAGGAAGGGCTAAGCCACCCAAGTAGCAAACATGGCGGCCTGCCCCTCCCCCTTGGAGCTCTGTCCCAGGTAGGTGCAGCACTGCTACCGGTGGCTAGTTGGAATTCCAGGCCAGTAGGTCTTATCCTGTGAAGTGTTGTGGAAGTGGGGCCCGCAGTCCATGGCTGCTTGGCCCCCTGGATTCGGCCTCTTTCCTAGGGGTATGTACAGGGGTCTAACCTCCTGCTTTGCTGGAGTTGCAGCTACTTTTGCTGGGATGCCCAGATAGCCAGAGTATCTAAAGTTCCTGGATCTCCACATATGCCTGCTGTACTGCCGGGACTCCATATAGCTCTGTGTGTGAGACTGAAGGCCCCGATGGAGTGGGCTCATGAGGGGATCCCCTGACCTGTGGGTTGAAAAAGTCCATGGCAGAAGCATGGGTTCCCAGGACCACATATTCACTTTCCACTTCTCTTGCCGGGGAGCTTCCCTTGGCTTTGTGTTGCTCCTGGGTGTGCCGTCGTCCTGTCTTGCTTTTCTCCGTTCTCCGTGGGTCAAGTTATTTCCTCGATTAATCCCAATGAGAGAACCTGGATGTTTCAGTTGAAGGCACTATATTTACTCTCCCCTTCCATTCCACTCCGTGAGAGCCGCGCACACTAGCTGCTTCCAGTCAGCCATCTTGGCCCTCTGGCCTGTTTTTCTGTCATTACAGATTAATTTGATTTCTGAGCACAATGAAGGAGCAAAATGAAGCCTTGTTTGAACCAGTGATCCAAGCCTAAGACCACACCCCCCACATCCCTTGGGGTTGACAGGAAGCTCCAGATACCCACCTCTCCATAGCCCAGACCTCAAAATCCTCCCACCCTGATCTCCCTTGAATCTATTAGAACTCAACTAATGATAACATTTATCTCCATTTGTGCCAGTCACCACAAGTATTGCAAGACACCTCTCAACTGCTACATTCTAACCTTCATAAGGTTGTGTCCACATCCCCTCTTTAGGTCACTCTCTCACTGCCCCCCTGCTAATAAAACACAATGCACCCTCAATAATTCCTCCATAGTCTAAGCCTCTTCTCTGAATGCCCCCTTCCCTGAGGACTCTGGATCCCCTGAAGCCCACTCACAAGGAGCAGATGATTTTTCTCTCCTACCACCACTGTACCACAGATCCTAAAAGTTGTGTAAGGACTTTACTGCTTCTCATTGCTGCCTTTAGATAGCAATCCCTCTCCCACCTCCCTAAAAACTTCCAGCTTTTGACAGCTAGTGTCACCAACTAGCTCTTATTGCTGTTGTCAGAAATAGTCTCCCCTCATTTCTCAGACATTTTGTCTCTAAGAACATGGTCATTCTCAATGGCAGTTGTCCTGTCTTAATTCTTAGTGAGTTCAATATCAGTCATTCTAAAGCTAGACATGGTGATGCTCACTGTAGTCCTACCTACTCAGAAGACTAAGTTGGTAAGTTTGCCCAGGAGTTTGAGCCAGCCTGAGCAACCTAGCAAAACCCCCATCTCAAAACAAAATCATTCTGATAATCTGACAAGCTAGACTCTTCTGTTCCTTGAACATTTCTCCTCCATGACATTTTCCTCAACTCCACCTCAGTTACTCACTCATGTACTCACTCATGTAGCCATACCCTAGCCCTTCTCACTATAATTTTGGGAACCCCTCTGTAATCTCAATTTCAAACATCCCTCTTTCTGACCATACACTCCTCCCTTTTTAGCCCACTCACTTTGGACCCTATATTCTTTCAACCTCACCAGAATCTTCAGTCCATTGACCTTATCAGATTTTTACTATCTCTTCTTCCCTTTATTGTCTTCTCTCTTCTCCCTTTCTAGCTCAGATGCCATGCTCAGTTTAAAACCACTCCTCTACATAATACCCTCCAGTATCCTGCCCCTCTCTCACTTTGTGTTGCTTGGCAAAATCACAACCCCTGGCTAAATCCAGCTATGTCCCCATGAGCCCGCACCCACACAGCTAAAGCTGGCTAGGGGAAAATTCACAATCACATGACAACTGTCAGTTTAACTTAATGACCATGAACTCCAACCAGACTTTAATGCTGCTAGGCAATCATGCTGTCCCTTAACTTTCTGACTTTTCCAAGTTATTATTTTGCAACTCCCTTCTCCTCAAATTCCCAACACTATCTCCATATCCTAACTAACTCTTCCACTGCTTCCTATTTCACTGGAAAATTCAAGCCATCAGAAGAGAACTTCTAGAGACTCCTACCACCACATCACTTCACCTACCTGCACCCACATCCATATACATGGTCTTCCTGTTGATATCATACACGATTATTATGGGCTGAATTGTGTCCCTGAAAATTCATATGTTGGAGTCCTAACCCCCAGTACCTCATAATGTGACATAATTACCTCTTAAGTCAAAGCGAGGTCATTAAGGTGGGTCCTAACCCAATACTACTGGTGTCTTCTTATAAGAAGAGATAAGGACACAGATAACACAGACTGAGGGCTGACCATGTGAAGACACAGGGAGAAGATGGTCATCTGCAACTAAAGGAGAGAAGCCTCAGAAGAAACCAACCCTGTGAGACAATAAATGTCTGTTGTTTAAGCCATCCAATGTGTGGAATTTGTTATAGCAATCTTAGCAAATTAATATAATGATATTTCCAGACTGCCCTCTGAAGCCAGCCCCTTTCTTTTCCCACTAGATATCTTCTTCTCACATCAACTAAATGATATCACTACCTTCTTTACCTTCTTTCTCTCCCTTATCTCCAGCATTATCAATGTTGTGCTGTCTATTGGGTCATTTTGATCAGTCAATCAGGATTCATTTATACTGTTATTTCTCATCTTTATTATATATCACACTCAAATATTTATCATTGTATATATATATATTTATATTTATATTCTCTTGGCTCCACTTTCCCACCTGCCATTACACAATTCCCTTGCTCCCCTTTGATGCAAATCTCTTTTACAGATACATATGAAATATGTTTCTATACACAATATAAGACATCATTTGAACCGGTGTTCCTGTCTAAGACTATACTTCCCTAGGCCTTCTACCTACATCAGTTTGGGGCCAAGAGGGAGCCCCAGATGACCATACTTTTCTATCTCCCACTAGCTCTGCCTGTTCTGTTCCTCACTCACTCTGCCCCAGCTGTAGCCTCCCTGCTGTTCCTCAAACAAGCCATACTCACTATTGTCTTAGAGCATTTGCAATGTCTGTTTCATCTATCAGGAAAGTTCTTCCCCTAGGTAACTAGTTTGACTACTCTCTCATCCCCTTGTAATAGTGGTCTCTATTTGATGTTCCCAATTTTTCTCCTCCCATTCTCTCTTGGACACATTCTAATCAGGGATCCACCTCCACAAATCTGTTGAAATTGTTCCTGTCATGGTCATGGTCATGGCCATGAATGACTTCACGTTGTTCAATCCAGTGATCAATTCTTAGTCCTCACTTTACTTAACCTATCAGCAGCATTGGGCACTGCTAACGTGTCACTCCTCTTTGGTTCACTTTCTTCCCGTGGCTCCCAGGTCAACACATTCTCTGATCTCACTGGGTGCTCCTTCTCAGTTTCGTTTACTGGCTCCTCCTCTTCTTCCAAACCTCTTAAAATGAGAATGCCCCAGGGCTCCTTCCCTGTTCTTTGCATTTCTATGTGCACTCCCTTGGTGATGTCTTCCAGTCCAATAGCTAATACAAAATATTTCTAGGTTAACTTCCAAATTCATGTTTGCAGGCCAGATCTTCATCTTAAACTCCTGTCTGATACATACAACTGCCTACTCAGCACCTCCACTCAATGTCTAATGGACATTTCAAACTCAAAATGTCATAGGCAGAACTAATCTGTTCTATAAAACCTATTGTTCCTCCTGCCTTCCTCACTTCAATTGATGGCAATTCCATCTGTCCATCTGCTTGAGCCAAAAACCTTGACATCACCTTCAATTTCTTTCTTTCTCTCCCACTACACATCCAATCCATCAGGAAATCATTTTCACTCTACTTCAAAATGCATCCAAAATCCAACCACTTCTCACTATCTCCATTGGTACACGTAAGGTTGAATCCACCATCATATCTCTTCTGGATAACTGCAACAGCTTTCTAACATGCCTCTCTGCTTCCACTCTCATTCCCCTATGGTGGTACATTCTCAACACAAAAATTAAAGAGATCATTTTAAAATATAAATCAAATCATGGCATTTCTCTGCTCAAAATCCTGCAAAGACACCGTATTCCACTTGCAGTCAGAGTCAAAGTCCCTGCAGAAGTCTGACATTTTCTGGTTCTCCATTATATCTCTGACCTCTCATCTGCTCTCCTCATTCTGCCACAGCTGTGGCCTTCTTGCTATCCTTCAAACAGCCTGGGCTCACTCTTGCCATAGGACCACGGCAATGTCTGTTCCTCCAGGAAGGAGTGCTGTTTTCCAATAGAGCCTCTCGTTTAAATTCTCTCACATATTTCAAGGCTCAAATCTCACTATATCAATGAGACCTACCTGAACCATCCTACTTAATGCTGCAAACTGCCCACCTTGTTTTCTCTATCCCCCTTACCATCCTCTGTTTTTGCTTCATCACCATCTAACACACTGTATAATTTATTTACTTATTATGCTAATTATCTTATTTCAGTCTTCACCCATTGAAATGTAAGGTCTACAAGGGAAGAGACCTCTGCTTTCTTCACTGATCCCAAGTACCTAGAATTGTGCCTACAATAAATATTTGTTAAATGAATCATTTTCTGGTGATTTTTGCATTATGACAAGTTAGATCATATCTGTGTGTAATCTTCTACAACTTGTTTTTTTTCACCCAACATTATGAATTTTCACCTAATATTATGGATTTCTAAACATTTTACCTATGTTTATACAGTAACCAATAGAGGTGCATTTAAATGATATATAATATTCCATTATATGAATATTCCATAGTTAACTAATGCATTTCCATCCTTATAGACATTTAAGTTGCTTCCATCTTTTCTATTACAAGCAATGCGGCAGTTCATGTTCTTGCAATAGCCTCCTCTTAGTCTATAAACATGTCTCCTAGAATTGAAATTGCTAGATAACATAGTACATGCGTCTTCAACCTGACTGTACACTGCCAAATAAGTTTCCACAGTAATTGCATCAATTTACATTCATACCAGCAGTGTATGAGTCCCATTTTCCCCATATTCTTGCCAATATTTAGTATTTTCAGACTTCGTTAGCCCATCAAATGGGTGAAAGTGAGTATCTCCCTAGTGTTTGAACCTGTATGTCCCAGATTATTTCATGAGGATGAGCATCTTTTTTTAATTATACTTTAAGTTCTGGGATACATGTGCAGAATGTGCAGATTTGTTACACAGGTATACACGTGCCATGGTGGTTTGCTGCACCCATCAACCCGTCATCTACATTAGCTACTTCTCCTAATACTATCCCTCCCCTAGTCCCCCACCCACCGACAGGACCCGGTGTGTGATGTTCCCCTCCCTGTGTCAATGTGTTCTCATTGTTCAGCTCCCACTTATGAGTGAGAACATGCAGTGTTTGGTTTCTGTTCCTGTGTTAGTTTGCTGAGAATGATGGTTTCCAGCTTCATCCATGTCCCTGAAAAGAACACGAATGAGGAAGAGCATCTTTTTATAGGTTTCCTGGTTATATACCTTTCCTCTTCTGTGAAGTACGTTTTCAGGTCATTTACCTATTTTTCCTATAAGTTGTTTGTTTTTTAAGTATTGCTTCTTAGGGGTTCTTCACATATTCTGTATCTAATTATTGGTCAGCAATATATTTTGCAAAAAGTTTCTCTAAATCTGTTGCTGGTTTTCTTTTTTGAATCCGTATTATGTTCATTTACAACAAATGTAACTGGAATAAACCTGTTTGAGGAAAAAACATGACTTTCGGTATGCGTGCAACTCTACTGGTGAGAGCCATATATAAGAAAGTATCCTGTAAGGCAGATTTTCAAAATGTTTTATTTAAGCACAATATACATACATACATATCTTAGGTGTATATCTTGATAAATGTTCACAAAGTAAAGACACCCATATAACCAGCTCTCAGATCAAGACACAGTACATTACCAACCTCCCCCTGCCCCACCACAAGCTTCTTTTGTGCCCCTTTCCAATCACTATGCCCAAGGATGATAACCACTCTCCTGATGATTAGTTGTGCCTCTTTTCTGCTTTGAATAAATGGGATCTTTCAGTATATACTCCTCTGTGTCTGGCTTCTTTTGCTCAACATTAGGTTTGTGAGATTCACCCATGTTGTCATGAATTTGTAGTTGTAGTTAGTTTATTCTCCTTTATTGCTACGTTTTAATGTATACCACAATTTATTTATTCATTCTACTGTTGGTGGACACTTGTTTTTTTCAGTTTGGGGCTATTACAAATAATGTGATTATGAGCATATTCATAATGTCTTTAGTGAATATACATATGCTTTTTTCTTGGGTATATACCAAGAAATGGAGTTTCTGGTCATAGGGAATGCATAGGTTCAGCTTCAGTAGATAGAGCAAACTGGTTTTCCAAAAAGCTTGTACCAATGATTGCTCATCTTTTAACACTAATGTTATTTCTCATGTCTTTTATTATACAATGTTTGTGGAATCAAATATATCAATATTTTCCTTTAAAACTTATGTTTTGGGATTTTGTTTAGGAAACTCTCTACTCTGAGGACATGATTTTTTATTGGTTTTAAGATTTTGGTTGTGTACTTTGGTCTTTTATACATCTAGATTTTATTTTATATAAGGCATGGATCTAGATTTTTCTTCGAGAAGGGAAACAACTCTCCCAATCACATTTATTAAATTATTCATCCTTTTTTCACTCCTTTGCAAAATCACTTCTTTCATATAACAATTTACTATATGTGCCTTTTCTAATTTTGTAATCAATGTTTCAAATTCCACAAAAATTGGCCTGTTAATATTTTGATTGGAATAATATTGGATTTATGGATTAATTTGAGAAGAATTACCAATTTGCTCACTTAAAGTCTCCCCACATACAAATGGAGTATTGTTGGGAAAGACAACCCATCATGGTCCCTAAGCATTCACACATGTTCTTTCTGAGTATGCCAAAAATGTAAGGCACTGAAGACTCTTCACCTTGGCCATTCTCAGGGCCATGTTTGCAGTGAGAAACCCTGAAGGATGAGGAAACATCACAAAGAGCCGGCTTATTTCCATTTTCTATAAAAGCAGTGGATCCTCCAAATGTATTGTTTCTTTCCTGTAATGCAACCCACTGTGCAGCTATCCATCATTGGTCCTTTGCATTGCCCTTGTGGGATCTGGGGGGCATTGGGAACGAACACAAGCCAACAGGAAGTTCTAGCTACTGCTTTTTCTGAGTAATAAAGTCCTTTGCCTCTCACCCAAGATTCTCATGTCTTCTGACAGAATACCTGAAACTGTGTGTGTCAGGCTAATTTGTAAGTTTGTAAATAGGGTCAAATTCCAGACTTTTTGTAGTTCCTGACAAGTATATTCCTCCACTTTCCGATTTTTATTAAATTTCCTTTAGTACAGTCTCATACTTTTCTGCATAATGGTTTATACATCTTTGTTAGCTATCTTCCTAGCTGCCTTACAGATTTTGGGAATATCATGAATGGGTAATTTTTCCTATTGCATTTTCGAATTGATTGCTGAATTCCACACACCTATGCATGTCATTAGTATAGCTTCTCACATGGAATAATGTACTGTTTCCCTTGATAGAATGTTGGCTTCTCTTGAGAGCAGAAACCATGCCTTATTCATGTCTATATTCTCCTAATGAAACATTTAATTCAACTAATATTTATTGAGCATTGTTATGATTTGAATATGGTTTGTGCCCACCAAAACTCATATTGAGACTTGGTCCCCAATGTAACAGTGTTGAGAGGGGGTGGAATATTTAACAGGCTTCTGGGTCATTAGGGATTCACTCTCATGAAGGGATTAAAGCAGTCTGGTGGGAGTGAGTCAGTTCTTACTCTTTGTGGGACTGGATTGGTTATGCAAGTGCAAGTTGTTGTAAAGTGAGGTTGCGTCTCGTGTTTGGTGTTTTACTCTCTTTGCAGGGACCTGGTTTCCCTTCCATTTCTCTGCCATGTTTTGCCACAGTACAAGGCCCTCATCAGAAGCTACCAGAGGCAGCTGCCCAATCTTAAACTTCCCAGCCTGCAGAACAATGAGCTAAATAAACCTCTTTTCTTTGTAAATTGCCCAGTTTCAGGTATTCACTTATAGCAACACAAAATGGACTAAGACAAGCATCTACTATGTATCAGTTGCTAAATAAAAAGAGGTATACAATCATAAATAAAGTGCCTGCTCTCAAGGAATTTATAAAATGTGAAGGAGACAAACGGAGCCACAAAATATTTCTGTTAAGAAAGTCATATTGGCCAGGCATGGTGGCTCACGCCTGTAATCCTAGCACTTTGGGAGGCCGAGGCTGATGGATCACCTGAGGTCAGGAGTTCAAGAACAGCCTGGCCAACATAGTAAAACCTCGTCTTTACTAAAAATACAAAAACTAGCTGGGCATGGTGGTGCACACCTGTAGTCCCAGCTACTTGGAGGCTGAGGTGGGAGAATCACATATCACATGGACCCAGGGAAGGCGAGTTCACGCCACTGCACCCCAGCCTGGGTAACAGAGCGAGGCTCCGTCAAAAAAAAAAAAAAAAAGTAAAAAAGAAAAAAGAAAGTGATATTATGTATCATAACAAAGGTATGAACAAAGTGCTGTGGGAGTAGAGGCAATTCATCGTGACTTGGAAGATTCTGGAAGTCTTCAAACAGTAAGTAGTGTTTGAGTTGGGCCTCAGACAGTGATCTAGACTGTGCAGATGGAGAGCTAGGGAAGGGAGGTAACTTCTGATACCATGCCTGGCATTCAAAGTCTTCCACAATATAGTCCCAAACTATCTTCCCAAACCTAGCTGCTATGTCCTCCAGGAAATAAAAGTTAGTCTTTCATGCCAAATTCATCCATCAATCACATTCTAAACTCTAAATCTTTGAGTTCCCACCTTGTTGTTTTGCACTATAGCACAATGACTAAGAGCAAAGTATCTAGAGCCAAAGGAATTTGGATTCTGGTCCAGATTCTACAACTTACTGGCTATGAAGTATTGGGCAAGTAAAGCTAGAAATGCTGCTTATCTTATAGGACTGTGTGATCAATCAGGTAATTTTTGTAAAACTTTGGCATGGTACCTGGTACAGAGTACAATACTATGAATGCTACCTCTACTTTATCCATCCCTGTGATCTCAAGTCAATTAAAACATACTTACTGTATATCCACTATGTGCAATAGATTGTATTAAGTATTATGAAGAACACAAAGATGAATGAGACCCTATTTCTGCCCAGCGACATGTCAGGTAGAGAATAAAAAGTATATACACAAATAGGTCAGGTGCAGTGGCTCAAGCCTGTAATCCCAGCACTTTGTGAAGCTGAGGCAGGAGGATCACTTGAGGTCAGGAGTTGGAAACAAGCCTGGCCAACATGGCAAAACCCCGTCTCTACTAAAAATACAAAATTTGCTAGGCGTGGTGGCACGCGCCTGTATTCCTAGATACTCGGGAGGCTGAGGCACGAAAATTGCTTTAATCCAGGAAGTGGAGGTTGCAGTGAGCCGAGATAATGCCACTGCACTCCAGCCTTGGCAACAGAGTGAGACTCTGTCTCAAAAAATATATATATGTGTATATATATATATGTACACAAATAATCATGAGGCAAGGCAAATCAAAAGAACTGGCTTCTTCTAGCTCTGGCCCTTGATATCATGCAAAAGTCAGACCACATGATCATCAAGACCACTTCTAAGTCTAATAATTCTATGACATCTATGATTTTAAATGTTACATCAAGGTTAATAAGTACCAGGGGAAAGTGGAAAAGAAAGAAATCTAATTCCACCTGAGGGAGTCCAAGAAGCCTGCATAGAGGAAATGACATTTGAATTGGACCTTTAAAAATGGATAGCATTTGTTGAAGGAAGAAATGGGTGCAATGGAATTACAGGAAGAGGGGAAAAGAACAAAGAGAAATGTAGGGCACACTTGGGAAACATCCAGTAGTCTTATGTGGTTGGGACATCGAGATTCATAATATTTAAGCAGAGGAAAATCAGGTGAAAAAAGTAGGCTGGTGTCAGATTATGGAGGACCTTGAATGTCACGCTGAGTGGTTTGGATTTTATCTTGTAAGTTATTCACATTGGACGGTGACAAGAAAATCCACTGAAAAGAGTTGTGGCAGTTGTTCAGGTATAAAATAAGAAGAGACTGAATTAAGGCTGTGGGTCTAATAATTGAAAATTAAGGACAAGTCTTTTGGCGGTTTTTCATATACTACTCTGTGTATATTGTTGAATGATTTTTAATCAAACATGTTTGGAGGGCAGGACCCATTCATTCATTCATTCTACAAATATCTATTGAGCACTTACTATGTGCATGACAGTCTGGGCACTGGAAATAGAGTGATGAGTGAGAGAGTCAAGTTCCCTATACCTTAGTACCCTTTGTGCTAAAAGTACCAGAAAATGATGATACCATTGGAAGTGGGAAGACTAGGGACACATTGGTAGGGAGAATAAAGAGTTTAATCTTGACATATTAAGTTTTGGAATGCCTATATGTCAGTGAAAATATCAAATAGGCAGTTAGATACAGATATCTTGAGATTTTATGTACTCTATCTCAGAGTTGACCTTTTTTGTACTCCATCTCCATTATCATAATAAATTTTTTAAGGTTTGCTGTTTACTTTTTGAAAACCTAAGGAATTAGTGGCATCTTTATAGATAATAACATAGTACATTATGTTAATATGTTATACTGAATATGTCAACATGAGGCATCAACACATATAAATTGATTTCTTAACAGATATATATTTTTTCTCTTAAAATAGAAGGACATTATATGTAAGAAACTCATAATAATCCCATTTGTGATAATCTGCTTTACTGTTAGTAATTGTTTAACAAAGCAACAAATAAAAATCCCAAAAAGGATATATTGAACACTATGAAGGATATTATGAAACTTGGAGAAACATTAAAATTCGAATTTCAACCATTATTTTTGTTTACATTAAAACTCAACAGTTGGCTGGGCACGGTGGCCCACGCCTGCAATCTCAGCACTTTGGGAGGCTGAGGCTGGTGGATCACGAGGTCAGGAGTTCAAGACCAGCCTGGCCAACATAGTGAAACCCCATCTCTACTAAAAATACAAAAATTAGGTGGGTATGGTAGTGCCTGCCTGTAGTCCCAGCTACTCAGGAGTCTGATGCAGGAAAATCGCTTGAACCTAGGAGGTGGAGGTTGCAGTGAGCTGAGATCGCGCCACCGCACTCCAGCTTGGGCAACAGAGTGAGACTTCGTCTCAAAAACAAACAAACAAACAAAAAAACCCTCAACAGTTAAGTTTTGCTGAAATTAAAATCTCAACAGTAATTTTGTGAAAAGAAAATCTCAGCATCTATTTCTGTACATATTAATAAGAATAGTTAAGAAACTCTTGAGGAATAAGAATGAAGTGGGAAGACTTTCCCTATCAGATATCAAGACATTTATTATTATTACTGTTACAGGTAATAAGGCAATGCTGTACTGGCACAAGGTTAGATAAATAAACTGATGGAATAGAACAGACAGGTCAGAAATAGTCCCAATAATATATGAAAACTTGATATTTGACAGAGTTGGCATTGTAACTGAATGGGAGAAGGAAAGACTTTTCAACAAATGATATTAGGGTATTGGATATTCATAAGGAAAAAAATTAGACCTCTATTCTCATACGCTACACGAAAATTAATTCCAAGTATATTAAAAACCCAAATATGAAAGTCAAAACCATAAAATTGTAAATGTTATTATAGTATAAAGGAATATCTTCATGATATTGGAGTATAGAAAGATTCCTTTGAAAAGACACAAAAGCACTTACCGTAAAAAAGGATTGATAACTTCGATATCTATCTTATAATTAGAACTTATGCTTATCAAAAGAAATCACTAAAATGGAAAAATAAGTGGCAAGGTGGGGAGAGATGTATGGAACACATATAAAAGAGGAAGAACTAAAATTAAAACAAATAACTTCTACAAATTAATTTGAAAAAGTCATACAACTCAACAGGAAAACATGACAAATGTCTAGAATAAATGCTTCACAAAAGAGGAAATCCTAATGTTCAATAGGCAAGTGAAAAGATGCTCAACATTATTAGTCATCAGGAAAATCAAATTAAGAGATGCCATTTACACCAACTAGATAGGCAAAAATTAAGAAGTCTGATAATACCAAGTGTTGGCCAGCAGGTGGAGCAATGGGAATTGTTAAACCTGGCTAGTAAGAGCGTGAATTGGTACATGCCATGAGGAAGTTAGGCATCATCCAATTAAATTGAAGGTGCTCGTATTCCATAAACCAGTAATTCCATTCTTACATAAGTGCCCTAGAGATACCTGTGTTTATACACACTACCAAGAACATTGATAGTAGCACCGTTTTGTAACAGTCAAAAATTAGGTTTCATCTCACCCCAGTTAAAATGGCCATTATCAGAAAGACAAAACAGAATCTGGCAAGGATGTGGAGAAAGGGGAACTCTCATACACTGTTATTGGGAATGTAAGATGGTACAGCCATTATGGAAAACGGTATGGGTGTCCCTCAAAAAACTAAAAATAGCACTACCATTATGATTCAGCAATCTTGCTGCTGGGTATATATCCAAAAAAATTTTTTTAACAGTATATTGAAAAGATATCTGCACTCCTATGTTTATTGCGGCACTATTTACAAGATCCAAGTTATGGAATCAACCTAAGTGTCCATCAATAAATAAATGGATAAAGAAAATGTGATATATGTACACGATTTAATAGTATTCAGCTATAAAAAAAATAATGCAATCCTGTCATTTGTGGCAACATAGATGAGCTTGGAGGATTTTTTGTGAAGTGAAATGTGAAGTGAAATAAGCCAGGCTCAGAAAGACAAATATCACATGTCCTCACTCATATGTGGGAGCTAAAAAAGTTGATCTCAAGGAGGTGGAGAGTAGAACTGTGGTTACCAGAGGCTGGGAAGGGTACTGCAGAGGAGTGAATGAAGAGAGATTGGTTAATGGGTGCAAAAATACAGTTAGAGAGAAGGAATAAGATCTAGTGTTCAATACCACAACAGAGTGACCACAGTATTCAATTTATTGTGTATTTCAAAATAGCTAGAAGAGAAGATTTGGAATGTTCCCAATGCAAAGAAATGATAAATGTTTGAGCTGATGGATATCCCAATTACCTTGATTTAATCATTACACATTGTACACATGTATCAAAATATCACATATACCCCATAAACATATACAATTATTATACATCAATAAAACTAATGAACTGTAAAAATAAAACCTGCAAACAACCAGAATGTTCCTCAAAGTTATCATGAATAAATCATGGTATATTTATACAATGGTAAACTGTACAACAATAAAAATGGATCAACTACAGCTATCTGCAATATCAATGAGTCTCACAAGCAATGTGGAGTGAAACAAGATAGTCACAATTCCAAGTCTAAAAAGCATTTAATGTTTGAACATCTGTAAAACAAAACTGTTGTTTAGAGATGCTTATAAGGAAGAAAACTTATAAACAAAAGCAAAGAAATTATTATTACAAAAGTCAGCATGGGGGCTACACCTAAGATGGAGGGAGCGGTGTCATCAGTGGTGGGGGGAGAAGAGTAGGTTATTAAAGGGCTCTATTTCTTGCTCTGGCTGGTTATTACATGGGTGATGGCTTTGTAAATGTTCTTTAAACTGGCAGTTCTCTTCTGAATGTATCTGTTTTCTTAATGAAATAGAAAGTAGGGTCACTAGTTGGAAATGATGAGGGAGGGAGTATTAAAAGATTTGAGGAAAGGAAGATGATATGAAAGAACCAGAGACACTGGAGAGTGAACAGACTAGAGAAATACAATATTTTTATCTTTTCTGAAAGCTTTTTATATTGTTTCTGATTTATTATGCTTTTTCTCTCATATGCAACGTCATTTTATTAACTTTAATATACTACACTATATATAGTTATCCCAGTAAAATTATAATGCTATTTAGTGTTTAAAAATAAATTGTAAATGCAAAATTAAGTCAGAATATACCATATAATGATTTGTCATAAAACGTTATTATTTCAACTTGAGCTTTATAAAAGCTGATGTAGTTTATATTTAGAGAAAAATATATATCACGCATATATTGTGTTGTATGATGGCTTTTTATTCTTTTTTTTGACTTTTTATACCAAGTAATTTTAGTGTTAAATTGTATATTTTATGTGTTTAAACAGATATAGATATTTATTACCTCCTTATTTTATTGGTCTCAACTCCTAAAACTCATTTTTAATATCAGAAAACATAGCTCCATTAACATCACTAAACTAAATATTAACATTGACATTTAAAATTACTTGAAAACGACTATGCCCTTAAATTTTGCTCACAACTTTTAAGTGGAAAAAGTTGACAGGTCTGTATAATTTTACAATATTGCCTAGGATTTCATATGAACCGATTTGAAAAACTCAATTATTTAAATTATAACATGCTTTAGTTGTAAATCCATGTTTATATTATAATTGCATAGCTTCAAGCTTCAACATACATAAAGTTTTTATAAAGGCAAATATAGTAAATTTAAGCAATTATTAGCAATTTAGCTTTAAAATATACTCCGAGGGGAAAATACCCAAACTTTTTGCATTGCTCTTACACCACGGCAATCAGCACAGAATATTTCCATGTCCAGATGTGTGGAGTTTTCCCACACACTAAGTGAGCAATCAGTTCTGCAGCGAACACCAGCTGGGTGTACTCCAATTCCATTCTGACACAATCTACCTGGAGATAGCGTCATATCCCACAAGCTGAGGACTAGGTTTCACAAGACTGTTCCCAGGCCCTTCAGACACCAGTCGCAAATCCAAGCCTCCAGAACTTCTGACAGATGGGCTTCAAGTTTGAGTTCACATGACCCCTTCTTTGGGTTTAATTTGCCAGAAAGGGTCACAGAACTTGGGGAAATACTTAACGTTTACCACTTTATTATAAAGGATATATCAAAGGATAGAGATGAAGAGATGCATAGGGTGAGGTACTGCGGAAGGGGCTCAGAGCTTCTGTGCCCTCCCTGGGTCACCACCCTCCAGGAACCTCCACATGTTCAGCTATCTGGAAGCTCTCCAAACCCAGTGCTTTGGGGTTTTTATGGAAGCTTCATTGCGTAGGCATGATTGATTAAATCATTGGCCACTGGTGATCAACTTAACCTTCCATCCCTCTCCCCTCCCTGGAGGTCGGGAATGAGGCTGTTAAGTCCCAACCCTCTAATGGTGCCTTGGTCTTCCTGGTGACTAGTTCCCATCCTGAAGCAACCAGAGGCTGCCAGCCATCAGTCAATTATTAGCATACAAAAAGATATCACTTTGGAAATTCTAAGGATTTTAGGAGTTGTATGCCAAGAAACAGGATCAAAGACCAAGTATATATTTCACAATATCACATATATTGTGTGAGTTTTCATTTTATTATATTCTGTAATAACTGTCCCATTGTCAGAGATAAAACACGGTCTCTTAAAAAATAATTTGGATCTACAAACATTGAATCTAGGAATATTGAAAACTGATGTATGCAACTCTCAGATAGTTCAGGGAAAAAATATCCTGTGTGTGTATAGACAGAGTGCACACTTAAATAATAAAGCAAATGGGGAGAAACATTAATAATAGGGGAATTAGGGTAAAGGGGACATGGGTGTTCTTTAAGCTTTATTTATGCTTGCAACATTTTTAAATGTTTGAAATTATTTTTAAATAAGAAGTTAAAATGAAGAAAGGGACATGGATGGACAGAATGACATAAGTGGAAATCACCAGTGTACTTGGGAGATGAATGCATCTTTTTCCTTTCCTTATGCAGACTCTGTGTTCATACTTCCTTGAATCCACAAGTTGAGTACTGTCCCAACACATCCCGATCTGCAGATGTGGAAGCTCATCTTCAGCTCTCCTGGACCAGCCATTTTCTGCCAACCTTGGTGGCAAATGCTCTCTGACATCATACCTCCAACAACCATGTCTTTAATTTCTGTGGCATTCAGTGAGAAGTTCTCACTGCTAAATCTACAACCAAGTAAGACAAATACAGGACAAATTTGGTTCAGTAAGGAGATGCAAGAGGAGGGCATTACTAAGATATCTGTAGGGGGAAACTATAACACATGTCATCTTGGAAATCCTCAAAATTCCAGAGTTGAAACAAATGGTACAGTTGTACAGTGTGATTCTGTTTGTGAAATTTCAGTTCCTGAACTGGTGCTAATAGCAAACATGCCATCAGTAATATAAACTCATCAAATGTGCCAGTTGAAAGTAATTTTTATTATTGTTATTATTATTATCAGTAGCAGCATCATTATCATTAGCACAAAACTAAATCAATTATTAAAAGAAAGCAAAAACACAGCCCAAAGGCACGTGTCTTGCTGACAGTGAGTCAATAACTTTATCGTCATGTACAAGGGACAGCACCCTGAGGATATACCATATCACAGCTTGATAATCAACTCAGTAATTTGACCAACGTTATTGAGCACCTAGGCACAATGGAAGATTTTAAAATGCATACAAAAATCCCTGCTTTCAATGAGTTTTACAGTCTAGTAGGAGGTATTGAAGAATACAAGAACAAAGGGTCACATGAGATTAGTGACATAATGGAATCAGTACCCTGTATGAAGTGCTGTTAGAAAGGGGCATCACAGAGGCTGGGCGCGGTGGCTCACGCCTGTAATCCCAGCACTTTGGGAGACCGAGGTGGGTGGATCACCTGATGAGGTTGGGAGTTCGAGACCAGCCTGACCAACATGGAGAGACCCCATCTCTACTAAAAATACAAAATTAGCCAGGCATGGTGGTGGGCGCCTGTAATTCCAGCTACTCGGGAGGCTGAGGCAGGAGAATCACTTGAATCCGGGAGGTGGAGGTTGCAGTGAGCTGAGATCACACCATTGGCACTCCAGCCTGGGCAACAAGAGCGAAACTCCGTCTCAAAAAAAAAAAAAAGAAAGGGGCATCACAGAGACTAATGTCACATTCAGTTGGGGAAAATCAAGAACTCCATAGAGAAGGTGACCTCTGAGCTGGGCTTCAAGGAACTGGAAGGATTTTGGTAGACTGGCATGTGAAGAAGGAGCACTGCAGGTGGAAAGAATAGTGTGGGCCAGAGTATGGCCATGGGAAAGTTCATGGAATGTCTGGGGAGAGAACAATAGTTCATTATGGCTAGTGTTTGGGGTTTATGTAAGTGGAGTGACAATATGTTGAAAGTTATATGATGACCATATTTTGAATGGCTCTGAATGACAGGCTAAGATTTCTGATCTTTATGTCATAGTAACTACATTTAACCACATCAACAAAATATGCAATTTTCTGTGAAGAGATATGGTCACTTCACTTCCAGGTTTCTTAGGGAAACTCAAACGGTTTCTAGGCAATGTTATCACCTTGCTCTCAGAAATGTCCTAGCAGATAACACCAAGCAGACTATAGCAAATGTTTCTATTTTGCATGTAATTAAATCTTTTCTTTCAAAGTTTTTATTCTTTCCATCCATGGGCCACGCCTCTTCTCACTCCCATCTCCAGCCCCACTAGTTCTTGTGGCACCTGACGAGTTCATGCAAGCCTAATTTAGGATTTCCAGCCACAGCTGCTACCCTGAAAGTAGGACCCACAGCCTTGAGAAGTGAGAGGTGGTGGTAGAGGCAGTGAACAATATCATGAAAATGTAGCCATCTGAGAAGTTTTATGGAATTCCCATCCTAAGAGTCAAGCATAGTTCTTTGAAATTGGAGTTCCACTCAGTTTGGTCTGGAGGACACCTAGAGGGGTCCCAGAGCTCAGAGTGCCTAAGTAAGGTCATCTTTTTAAGTTTCTGTTTATTGCCAAGGAATTCCTTAAAGGAATGACACTTAATCTGGGTTACATGTTATTTAAAGGCCTCCTGGCTCTGAGGCTACTGAAACTGTGGAGAGACTGGGGTGAACGTTTCTTTTTGACTAAGGAATACTTTTGGGCTTTGTCCTTGCTCAACAGGTTGGTAGTTGGGAACTTCTCCCATGCAATGAGTTTATAGATGCTAAAGGATGGCTGTATTAGGCAACCTAGCCAAAGAAGTAAGCTATATAGAACCAACCAGGGAAGATTTAGAATAACAAAGCTGCCATGCCACACTTTCTGCAGCTAGTCAGTCTTCAGCTCTTTCCTGGAGTGCGACTTCCTCTGCAGGAAGTCATGGATTGCCGTAGTGAGGCCCCATGTCACACTGGACCTTAGGATGACTAGGGAGCCTCCACGGTAGATCAGGAGCAGCTTTCGGCCCCGAGTGTTCCATACATCCTGGGCAGAGGCCCACAGGCTTGGCATGTTCTGCCATCCAATATGGGACTGCATATTAGCAACCAGCACAATCAGAGGATACAGAACTAGGCAGGTGATTGTTCCATTGACACTACCAGACACCAAGGCAGGAACCCAGTGGGGCAGGCCTTGCTCTGCCAGGCCATCCTGGATGGGGTCCTTGAAAGAAAAATATAGAGCACTCCCCAGGCTGTTCCTGGCCAGGACAGGCCAGAAACCACGATAGTAGCCCAGTGACAGCCGCCCCCAAAGCCCATAAGAATTGAATTCCTTGAGAATGCTGAAGGTGCTGGGGAAGCGAGCTTGCTTGCGACCATCCTGGAGCACATTTTGCACCCTTTCAAAGGGGCTGAGTGCCACGGCCTCCACCACGCCAGACATGAGCCCGGCAGCCCAGCGGTGTCCCAGGGTGTGTGGCCCAACAGGAGAGAGAAAGCACA
Source organism: Homo sapiens (assembly GCF_000001405.40). Lineage (NCBI taxonomy): Eukaryota > Metazoa > Chordata > Mammalia > Primates > Hominidae > Homo > Homo sapiens. The sequence goes on from NC_000023.11 coordinate 104,104,951, forward strand.
GCAGGCTATCATAAGTCCCAAACAGAAGAGTCCCTTGCAACGTCTTGGAGAGAAGAGGAGGGTAGATTCCCCGGTAGAAGTATTGAGGACCTTCATGCCAAAGCTGTCTCACAGCCTCTGACACTGCCATGGCATGGATCTGTTGCCGGAACACAACCTTATAGATAGGAAAGGTCAGAAAAGTAGACATAAAGTTGGAAACGGCCCCAAGGGCATAGGCCTGGGAATGCCAGCTTTTCTTTCCTGGAGCCTCTGCTCGCGTCCTGTGCTGAAGCTCCTTCCCGGGAGAGTGGTTCTGCTCCCCCATGCTGAAGACAACTGGGTGCAGATGGAAGAAACTGGCAAGGGTGGAAAAAAAGAGATTAGACTGACCAATTAATTCTGTTGGCAAGCATTTTCATTGCTTAATTAGAAATGAACCCTAAGAAACTCAGGTCGACGGAAACAAGCAACTCTTTGAGCCAGTTTCTGATATATAAGCACACCCTTAAGAAATTAAGAATTAATTAACTTTAAATTAAAAGAAAGGCAATCAGTTTTTCTGGACAGAGCCACCACTACAGTATTTTGCTGACACAGCAAATATTCCAATATTCAAAGGATTACGACTGAAAAACATGAAATAGAGGAGGGGAAGACTCCAAAACTTAATGCATCAACTTTCACGACATGAAACTGTGCATTTTATAAACTACTTGAATAATACATTGCTATTCTGTTTAAAAAAATCTGGCACTATCTTGTAGAGGCAGAAAGGCATTTAACAGTTGAAGTGCAATGCTTTCTCTAAAAGTTGGTATTAAATTTGGGGAGGGGGAATCTCCCCTCGCCTTTCTCTCCATAGATTCCTGCCCAAGTTGTAGCTGTTTCATGGCAACGCCCAGCCCCCCTCCAGCAAGTGAGGAAAGGAAAGAGCAGCTGCTTCTGGAAGTTCAGTGCCTAAAGGCTCAGCACCTGGCAACTTCTAAGCCTAACCTTTAAGACCTGTAGCTATATAATAGAGCAGGGTTTCTTAACCTCAGTGCTATTGACATTTTGGGCAGGATAATTTTTTATTCTTGGCGCCTGTCCTCTGCACTCGAGAATGTTCAGAGGCTCCCTGGCTTCGGCTCACTGCGTGCCAGTAGCACCAGTAGTGACTTACACAGTGTGATGACCAAAAATATCTTGAGACCTTGCCAAATGTCCCCTGGGAGGCAAAACTGCTCCCGGCTTAGAACCACTGTACTAGATAGAATAGGCAGTGCAAGGACCCCAAACTATTGCTCCTTACCCCAGAAAGGCCAGGAAGCAGATGGCTAGTATGAGAAGCAACTTGGAAGCCAGGACATATGAAGGAATTTTGGGATCTAAAGAAAAAAAATGAATGCTCAGTGCAGATCTGAGGGAGTTTGCCAGAGAGGAAAGAGGGGGTCCCTGGCTGACGAGACAGGGTGTGCAGAAGCCAGAGCTGCCACCTCAGGGAAAGGAACAGAGATGTGTGGGTGTGGGGCAGGAGGACAGGGGAGAGGCGGAGGGGCATGATGGCCAGGACGGAGGGCTTCCATCTACAGTGACAGGGACACAAAGCTTGGCAGGAACTGCAGACCCACAAGTTTCACACAGAACCCTGGGCTATGTGATGGGGGCATGAAGGTTGGGACTCTAATTAAGCTAGCAGGCCAATGGGGAACCAGAGAGTCCAAGCTGAGGTCCCCAGGGAGGAGTAGAAGCCACACACTGCAAGAAGCCCAATGCAGCCTTCCCGAGGCTGCCAGGCCAAGAATCCGCCTTGGTGTACTACTCCTTCCAAAATCACTCCCATCAGCTCTGCTCTTCCCTAGCCCCTTCTCCCTGCTCCATCCATCTCCCCACAATCCCATTCCTATCCCCACTGCTGCATCCATATCCCCACAATCTCATTCCTATCCCCACTGCTCCATCCATATCCCCACAATCTCATTGCTCCATCAATCTCCCCGCAATCCCATTCCTATCCCCATTGCTCCATCCATATCCCCACAATCTCATTCTATACCCCCTGCTCCATCCATATCCCCACAATCTCATTCCTATCTCCCTGCCCCATCCATATCCCCACGATCTCATTCTATCCCCCCTGCTCCATCCATATCCCACAGTCTCATTCATACCACCCTGCTCCATCCACATCCCCACAATCTCATTCATAACCCCACCCTGTTCCATCTATATCCCCACATTCTCATTTCTATCCCCTTTGCTCCATCCATTTTCTCACAATCTCACTTTACCACCACGCCCCTCCCCTGGAGCCACACTCACCTCTTGGTGGAGGCAGATGGAGGCTCAGCCTCCTGTACTCTGCCCATAACCACCTCCCCCTACCCCCACATTCCATGATGGCCTTGAGCCTCAGCCTCCTTTACCCTCATAGCCAGTACACTGGGAGGACCCCTCTGCCTCTGACCCTTTAGCTGAGAACTGAGCAGGAGTAAAAACTCAAGAGGCCCACTCTTTGCATCCCTTTGGGCCACCTCTGGCCCCTGGAAGCCCCACTTCCATTTCTCCAGAGCCAAAGGGGACTCCTCCCAGATACCCAGGCTGCTAAATCTACAGAAGCCCCCAACAGTCCTCAGCTCTCCTATCAAAGATCTTCTTTCCAAAGTCTTACCTTCACCTAAATAAGGACAGGTGGTGAAGTAAATATTTGTCCTTTCTTCTACCTCAGAGTGCAATAATGTTCCATTTCCTCCCTACCATTTATAAACATGTTCACTGACACCATGAGGCAGGATGATTTAGCAGAAAGAAAACTGGGCTAGGATTTGGCAGTGCAAGGACTCCCAACTATCGCACCTACCCCAGAAAGGCCAGGAAGCAGGTGGGGTAGTATGAGATACCAGCATTCTAAGTGAGTTTTATTATCAACTTGATGTGTGACCTTTAGAAATTCAGTGACATCTTGGAGCCTTACCCATCTGAGCTGTAAATGGAGCAGAAAGGGCAAAATAATTTTTAGTCATCTCCATACTGTATCTGTCAGAGGGGGGTGATATTGGGCATTCAGGTCAATAGTTGATAGAGGAATTGTACTTTTCAATCCCCAACTCCTTCTGCCATTTTTGTAAATCATTTTGGGGGAATAAAGGTGAACAATAATTGAGAAACATCTAACCTTAATATGTAATCCATTTTATAAATCCAATCCTTTCCATTTTATGGGAGGGGAGTTCGTGTTTCTCCCATGTATTTTCTGTTAAGATGCCAGGCTTTGGAAAGGGCAGACAGACCCGAGACTGAATTCTGCCTCTGCCACTTAGTTGTGTGACCTTGGAAAAGACATTTCATTCAGTCTCAGGTTCTTCAGCTACAAAACAGGGGTATTAAGATCCACCTCAAAACGTTGTGGCAGAGATTAATAACATAAAATGAGACAAAGTGGTTGAGAATCCATAACATGGTGGCCTTGATAAGAAGGATCAAAAAAAGATGCTTCTGGACTTCACTATCTGTCTCCACAGAACGCATGCTCCTTCTGGATGCTCTCGGGACAGCCATAACCAGATACAGGGGCATTTGGGAACAAATCTTCTGTTCCCAAGGGAGGCAGGGAAGCCCTTACTTCCACAAATAGGAAGGTGCAACATAAGCAATCTAGGAGAGCCTGGCCCCTTCACATGAATTCAAAGTATAGACCACAGAATGGACCTAGAGTTGGCCTTAAGCAGATATCACCTGTACCCTATGACCTGCCTCCTATGTTTACAGCCTAGTAAAATGAGCCCAGAGGATTCCAGACTCTCCCAGCCAGTCTAGTCCACATGGGTAGACTGTGTGACTGCCCCAGGATCCAGCCACAAATGAATGCATTTGTCTGTTCATTCAGGGCATCTCTCAGCCAGTCCTTTGGTCTGCTCACAAACATGTATTGATCATCCACTAAATCATTGTGGGTAAACCACCATAGAGCTAGAGTGAATAGAACTTGGTGCCTGCCCTCAAGTGCTTAGAAATCTAGTCAACTAGCTTGGGAGACAGGTCAACAGTGTGCTAAACTCTACAGAAAGACAAAATAAAGGGTACAGTAATGAAGGTGGAAGCAAAAAGACAACAGCAATTTATTCCACCTGAGAAGGGGCATATGACTCAATCCTTAATTGAGTAGAGTAGAATAGGCTGTTGTTAGGTAGGGGAGTGAGGGCAAGCATTCTAGGCTGAGGAAGTGGCCTAAGGCACATAGGCTTAAGAGTGTGAGTTGTGCATGGGGCTGGCCTACCCCATGTGGTGAGAAGGAAATAGAGCTGTGGTTGACAGAGAGAAGCCCATTTAAGATGAGGACCACATTTGTCTTCTCCGCTGCATTGTGTTGTAGGGCACAGAGATGGGCTCTGGATACAGGCAGCCCTGGGTTTGAATTTCACTCTGTCACTTCCTAGCTTTATAACCTTGGCCAAGTTTCATCATCTCGCTGATCCTCAGTATCCTTATATGTAAAATGATTGTCATGAAGGATGCATGAGACAAAGTATGGAAAGTGCTTAGCACAGCACCTGGTATATAAGTTGCTTCATAAGTTATATTAGCAGTTTCATTTTTTAAAAATGAGATAATAGGAATAAAGGCAAGATAACAATTAAATTGTTCTAAAGGCTGCAATTGGTCTAATGAACTGGGTTATCTACAGAATGCATTTTGGACTGCTTGTTTGGAAGGCAGCAAAGAAGAGTTTTCATGGGCTTTGGAGTTCGACATCCCTGGCCTGCAGTCTCAGTGCCTCCACTTACAAGTTGTGAAGCCTGACACAAGTTACTTAATGTCCCTGAAATTCAGTTTCCCTTTCTGCAAAATGGGATACAATAGCTGTCTCAACAGGGTTGATAAGAAGCTTAAAAGAGATAACAGACAGAAAGTTCCTGGCACAAAGGAGGCAGGCAGCCAAAGGCAGCTATTATTGTTTCAACTGAAAGCTTTATCTCCAAACCTTCAAGCTTTTAAGGTTTATTTGTTGAAATTAGAAAATGTGGTCTCATTAGAGGCATCAGTTGGAACACACTCATACATGTGAGGCCATGTCCTGTATCCAATTGAAGCCAGGTTGCAAATACTACCCCCATCCCTGCATGAAGAGTCCCTCGCTTTGTTCTAGTAGCCCAACCCTGGCACCTTTACACAATCCATTTCCTGTCATTATTTTTGTCTGAGCTCTGACACCTATTCTTGGTCCTATGTGATTCCATCCCTACCAAGTCCAGCTGCAAATACCTAATTTGGTGATAAAGCCAATTTAAACACTGAACAAGACTCTTCTGGGAGGTAAGGGTCAGATGTCACGGGATGGGGGAGCAGAAGCAAAAGTCTGAAGGAAACCTAAGAGCAACTGCCAGCATCACCCCTAAGTGTGTGAGGTGAGCAACTTGCCTTCTCCATACATCCACACTTTCCAGCCTCCACCACCACTACCCCACTGTTCCATCCACAGACCATGATCCTGAGATGGAAGGTGCTTATCTCCAAATTTTTATTGTTTACTCCAAGGAACTCTAGATCTTGGGGTTGTAAATAAGAGGGCGGAAAGGAGCAAGTGAAGTACCTTGGCAGACTGAAGATGAAGCCAACAGCAGCGGAAGGGCATCAGACTGTTTACTTGCTTCTAAACATCAGGAGTCAAGAACAAGCCCCACAGAAGCCTCCTAGCCACACTATACATAAAGGAAGTAATACCTGCTCTCTAAGTCAGGGAAAAATGGAGCAGGTTTTCCAGCCACTGCCTTCATGGCCATTCACTTTGGACAGCCCTGCATGCCGTTTCCATGGAGTTGCTCCTTCTCTGGGGCCAGTGATGCCAAATCCAGCAAAGGAGAAGTACCCTGAAGAGCTCACAGAAGGGCAACCTAGCAACCTGTCCTTGAGCCAGGAAATGAAAGAGCCATATCAGCAACAGAGAGCTGTGGTTTGGGGGTTAGGTTAAATGGGGTTTTATTTCTCACACTTCTTCATCAAGCATGGCTTGAAGAAGGAAGACGTTATGACAGACCCATTTGAAAATCTGCAAAGCTGTGGGCTCAGAAGAATGTACGGAGTCCAGATTCTTTGCATACAATTCCAGGAAGGACCTCGGGTAGGAACCTGTGCTCTGGAGTTACATTTCATGACAGATATGCCATGGACAGATACACTGATGGCAGGCCCATTTACTTATAACCTTCAGCATCACGTGGTGGTGTTTAGAAAAGTGGTTCATGAATCTCTCTACACCTCAGAATCAACTACAGGGCTGGTTAAAACTACAAATCACACTCTTCACCCCTAGTCCTACTACATCAAAATCCCCCAGGGGTAAGGCCCAATAATCTACATTTATAACAAGCTCTCCAAAATGATTCTGAGGCAGCTCACCTTGTACTCACACTTTGGTTAATAGCATGAGTTCTGGATTCAGAGACTCAGTTCAAATTTTGGCTTCACCTTGTATTTTCAGACAAATCATTTTACCTCTCTGAGCCTGGCCTCTTTGGGGTCACAAAGGGCTGTCGAAATTATGTTGCTTTTATAAAACAGGCAGCTTGTTGTGTAAAAAGAAAAAAAAAGAAGAAAAGAAAAAAAGATTAATAAAAAAAATGAAAGAAAGAAAAGTACCAAGAAGAGTTTCCTCTTCTGTACAATGGGCACCATAAAGGTTGCCCTCATCTTCCCTCAGCCCTCTCCCCACTACCTCCTCACCCCCTCCCTCAGCACTATTATCACATTGAGACTGCTGTTGAGATGGTTTGAGACTACCTGTGCAAAAATACTCTCCAGGCAGCGCTGCAGGGCAACGAATTAGCATCTAGAGAGCAACAGACGGTGCTAGGTTGGATGCTGTAACTTATTTGCTGCAGGATACAGGCCAAAACTAGTAACCTGTCTCTCTCTGGCTCAGTTTCTTCATCTGTGAAATGGAGATAATGGTTCTTGCTCACCAATTCTATGCAATCCCAAGTTGGTCCTCCCATCTGGCTTTGGTTTTTCTCCACTATCCCTTAATCTGACAGAATAGAGGAGTGCTGGCAAGGGGCAGCCTTTGAAGTCAGACATGGTGACTTGGGTGTGAGCTCTTAACTCTGCACTTCCTAACTGTACTGCCTGGGTGCTTCAGTCCTTTCCTGTTAAATGGGCACACTACTACCTCCTTCACACGGCTGCTGAGAAGAGGAAAGGAGATGTCCATGCAGGCGCCTCTGCACACAGAAAGCACTCAGTAAACGCTGTTTCCCCGCTTCCCCCTATACAAAGGTGAGGAACTCTCATTGTTCACTTGGTTTCTGTCCCACCTCGTGTTTAAGGTATCCGGTCTAAAAGCCCGGAGGAGAGCCGAGGTGTAAGGGGATAGGGAGAAGGGAAGAGATGGGTTAGCAGCAAACTCACGGATGAAAGGGAAATGGGCCCAGTCCGTGCGTCCGAGCTGCTGACGCCGTGCCGCCTCCCGCGCCTGTCTGCCGCAGCCCCCGCCCGCCGGCCCGCCGGCCAGCCGGCCCGCTCCCCCTTCTTGCTAGCAGTAGCTTCGGGGCCGGAGGCTGTGCGGCGAGGCCGCCCCCTCGCCCCGCTGATTGGCCGCGTCGCCCGGCCCGTCACGCTCTTTTGTCTCAGTCGCCAGAGACTGAAAGCAACCGCGGCTGCCCGGAGGGCCGAACTGGAGGGTGGGCGCAGCCTTGGCTGCCTTGGGAACCGTGCTGCCTCGACTCGGCTACCCCTCGCTGGGCGGTCGTGCGCACTCGCTAGGTCGGGCAGCCCCGGGTCGCTTAGCGGCCGAGGAGGCGGCAGAGATCCCGTTCCCCTGCAGAGCTACGGGGACCGGAAGGCGAAACAGAGCTGTGGACGCGGGAGCACATGCTGCCCACCAGTGGAGCACAAGTAAAGAAAGAACGCGCGATTGCCCGGCGCGGAGAGGGGTGGGGGAAGCCCCGCCAGGACTGGGCGGCGCCCGGCTTGGAGAATCAGTAACTGCGAGGCAGGGGATGGAGCACTCCCTTGGCCTGGTTGCGCTGAGGAAGGAGTTGTGGTTCATCTGGATGCTGCCGACTGGATAGGATTTAGGATTTGCCTGGATTAAGGTGGGTGGGGGTGTTGTCGTAGGTCGGGGGTGTTGTTGGGTGTCGGGGGCGGGGTGTGTTCGGGGAGGTGGCAAGGGGCGGGAGGAGACGATCGCAAGCTGTCTTGAACCCCTTTTGCATCTCCTCATCTCTTCCTGGGAAGGAATATGAGGGTGGGAGGTTATCCAACTTCTAGTCTCTTTCTCCCTGGCAGGTCATCAAAGCCGAATCCGAACTTGAATTCTGTGCGGCGGATTGCAGAGCTGGTAGGGCGAGGGTCTCCCGGAGGAAATGTAAGGGGGATGCGCGGGAGGGCAGGAGGCACTTTGGCTTGCGTTCAGAAGATGGGAGAGGGAATTTTCCGCCTGGCGACAGTGGAGGCGGTGGAGGGGAGGTATCAGGTTTTCAGATGAAGCTGCTTCCAACCCTTCCTTTCCCTCCTTCGCGGCACAGTCTTGAGGCCCTGAGGACTGGGATCTGCGACACCCAGTGGACAAAAGTCGGCCGTACCCCAGAGGCTAATTTTCTCACGGCAGGCACCTGTTGCAGAGGCTGCACGTAAAATAAAGGCGAACGCTAGTTTCCGAGCTCATGTAAGAATCTGAGAAATAACGGGGGAAACGTTGACAAGGGGGTGTGATTGAGACCTGAGGCCATGAGGTTAATGGTTTCTTATTATCATAAATCTGTGACACACAACCATTGAGTTCCGTTTTGAGGGCCCAGTATCAGCTCCCAACACTATGTCATCTAGAATTAGAAGCAACAGTTGTCGCCCCTCCTGGAGTACAGGCAGGAGGGGATGGATGTGGCTCTGAAAAACTACCTACTAGCCCAGGGACACCTGCTAGCTCTGGAATGTTGTAATTGCCAGTCTCCTGCAGGGTATTGTTAAGGCACTGGGCAGATATAAAATGCACTGCAAGGCTATTCAGGAAGATAGAGAATGCTACTGCAGACTGCTTCCCCACAGCCCACTATCTTATTAACCTTTTTTACTTTCCTTAGAATCCCTACTGAAATATAAGGCAGGCACAGCCCAGGAACGTTGCTTTGGAGAATCCTGCAGATAAGGCTTTTCCAAAAAGCGCGAGCATCTTGTTGTATTCAGATACCCTATCGTCGTCAGTCATGGCTAGCATCACTGCGTGTGTGGGTAACAGCAGGCAGCAGAATGCACCTTTGCCGCCTTGGGCCCATTCCATGTTGAGGTCTCTGGGGAGGAGTCTCTGTCCTTTAGTGGTCAAAATGGCAGAGAGAAACATGAAGTTGTTCTCAGGAAGAGTGGTGCCAGCCCAGGGGAAAGAAACCTTTGAAAACTGGCTGATCCAAGTCAATGAGGTCCTGCCAGATTGGAGTATGTCTGAGGAGGAAAAACTCAAGCGCTTGATGAAAACACTTAGGGGCCCTGCCCGGGAGGTCATGCGTTTGCTTCAGGCGGCCAACCCCAACCTAAGTGTAGCAGATTTCTTGCGGGCAATGAAATTGGTGTTTGGGGAGTCTGAAAGCAGTGTGACTGCCCATGGTAAATTTTTTAACACCCTGCAGGCACAAGGGGAGAAAGCCTCCCTTTATGTGATCCGTTTAGAGGTGCAGCTCCAGAATGCTATTCAGGCAGGCATCCTAGCTGAGAAAGATGCAAACCAGACTCGCTTGCAACAGCTTCTTTTAGGCGCTGAGCTGAATAGGGACCTGCGCTTCAGGCTTAAGCATCTTCTCAGGATGTATGCAAATAAGCAGGAGCGGCTTCCCAATTTCCTGGAGTTAATCAAGATGATAAGGGAGGAAGAGGATTGGGATGATGCTTTTATTAAACGGAAGCGGCCGAAAAGGTCTGAGCCAATAATGGAGAGGGCAGCCAGCCCTGTGGCATTTCAGGGCGCCCAGCCAATAGCAATCAGCAGTGCTGACTGTAACTGCAACGTGATAGAAATAGATGATACCCTTGATGACTCTGATGAGGATGTGATCCTGGTGGTGTCTCTGTACCCTTCACTGACACCTACAGGTGCCCCTCCCTTCAGAGGAAGAGCCAGACCTCTGGATCAAGTGCTGGTTATTGATTCCCCCAACAATTCTGGGGCTCAGTCTCTTTCTACCAGTGGTGGTTCTGGGTATAAGAATGATGGTCCTGGGAATATTCGTAGAGCCAGGAAGCGAAAATACACAACCCGCTGCTCATATTGTGGGGAGGAGGGCCACTCAAAAGAAACCTGTGACAATGAGAGCAACAAGGCCCAGGTTTTTGAGAATCTGATCATCACCCTGCAGGAGCTGACACATACAGAGGAGAGGTCAAAAGAGGTCCCTGGAGAACACAGTGATGCTTCTGAGCCACAGTAAGGATCTAGTCCAGCCCTAAATGAGTCCTTGACTGTATTCAGAGTCTGGTAATGGGAATAACAGGAGAGGGGGGTGGGTTTCTAACTGCATGAATTAATCCACAAAGCAGTTTTCCTTTGGGAAGGAGAAGAGGTCTTGCATACCAGCACAGTGGATGGGGAATGGTGTGACCTCTGTCCCTGCTCTCTTCTCTGCTGGCTTAAGGGTCTATTCTCCATGTGTCTATTTCTTTGATGACTTTATACTTTTTATGAAAGGAGCATCTTTTCATTAAACCTTCAAAAATAAAGGAAGATACAAAAACTAAAGTACAAATTACCTGAAACTCAGCACCCTTTTGTAACCATTGTCAGCCCTTTGGTGAATGTCCTTCCAGATATCTCCCTGTACCTGTGTACCCAGATAGATATATGTATAGATAAGAGTGACCAAATATAAGTGCTGTTCTATACTGTGTATTTTTCACCAAATAATGTATCTCGTGGACTTCTATGTCGATGAATATATATAAATATCTAACTTCATGTCTCTGTGTGATGTTACTTTTAGAAAGATAAAGAAAAATGAAACTAAATATAGAAGCTATAAGGGGGGGTCATACCATGAGGAGGGGTTTTTATCGACCTCATTTATAGGAAAGGAGAAAGGAAGCTGAAATGGACTGAATATCTCCCATACAACCCCTTAACACAACTGACCTGTCTCCTAGGTCATAGAGCCAACCCCTGCACCCATGAGTTAATAATGTTCCAATGTTTTCTTCTTGAACATATCATGAGACATCAGATGGGGAACGGGGGGGGGACAAAAATTGAAAATGGGTATTCCAGAGGCTCCATTCCTGTTTGTATTGGGAAGGGACAACTACTCCTGCCCGATCTCTTGACCTCAGATTAGAGGGTGATAAAAGATGACATGTGACCTCTATCCCTGAGGGTCCCAAGTTTCTGGTAGGTACAGTAGTCCCTATCTTCACGAAGAGGTCAAAACTGGCAAGGAGCAGGGGGGAATGATTTCATTTAAGGCAAGGAGTGGAGTGAAATGAATGCAGACCTGAGGACCTGAGGGAGTTTGCCTGGGAGGAAAGAGGGGGTCCCTGGGCTGACAAGACAGGGTGTGCAGCAGCCAGAGCTGGCACCTCAGGGAAAGGAGCACAGAGCTATGTAGGTGGAGGACAGGAGGACAGGGGAGAGGGGGAGGGGTATGATGGCCAAGCTGGTGGGCTCCCATCTACAGTGACAGGGACAGGAGGCCTGGCAGAAACTGCAGACCCACAGGTTTCACACAGAACCCTGGGCTATGTTGTAGGGGGAGTGGAGGTTAGGACTCTAATTAGGCTAGCAGGCTGATGGGGACAAAAGGGTCTAGGCTGAGGCCCCCAGGGAGGAGTAGAAGCCACACACTGCAAGGAGCCCAATGCAGCCTTCCCGGGGCTGCCAGGCCCAGAATCCACCTTGGAGTGCTCTCCTTCCAGAATCACCTCCAACTCTGCTCTTCCCTGGGCCCTTTCCCTTGCTTCATCCACATCCCCATAATCCCATTCCTATCCCCACTGCTCCATCCATATCCCCACAATCTCATTCCTATCACCCCTGCTCCATCCATATACCTACAATTACATTCCTATCCCCTCTGCTCAATCTATATCCTCACAGTCTCATTCATACCCCCCTGCTCCATCCATATCCCCACAATCCCATTCAGTTCCCCCCTGCTCCATGCACATCCCCACAATCTCATTCAGATCCTTCCTGCTCCATCTGTATCCTCAGTCTCATTCCTATCCGCCCTGCTCCATCCATATCCCCACAATCTCATTCAGATCCCCACTGCCCCATCCATATCCCCACAATCTCATTCATATCCCCCCTGCTCCATCCATATCCCCACAATCTCATTCAGATCCCCCCTGCTTCATCCATATCCCCGCAATCTCATTCCTATCCCCCTTGCTCCATCCATTTTATCACAGTCTCACTTTACCACCACTCCCCTTCCCTGGAGCCACACTCACCTCTTGGTGGAGGGAGATGGAGGCTCAGCTTCATGTGCTCTGCCCATCACCACCTCCCCCTCCTCCGCATTCCATGATGGCCTTAAGCCTCAGCCTCCTTAATGCTCATGGCCAGTAGACTGGGAGGGCCCCTCTGCCTCTGACCTTTTAGCTGAGAACTGAGCAGGAGTAAAGGTCCAAGAGACCCACTTTTTGCATCCCTCTGGGGCACCTCTGGCTCCTGGCAGCCACCTCCATCTCACCACAGGCAAAGAGGACCCCACCACCCACGCAGGAGGCAGCTTCATCAAGCCCCCAAAGCCACAGGGTCCCCCAACACTACCTGGCTCTTACAGCCCCCTATTCCTCCCTACCTCTCCCAAAGTCTATCCTTGGAGGGGATTTGCCCACTCATCTCTCCAAGATTAGAATATAGTTCCCCTTGCTGCTCACCTTTTCTCAAATTCACTCTATAAATGCTATTGAATGATTTACCTAGATATGCTGTCATAATTTCTTTCTGAAACCAGGTAGAGTGAAAAGAGGAATAAATGCTACACCTACCCCCATCCTCCTTTTCACTGGAGTTAGCTTGGAGGTTCAAGATCATTACTTTGAAACCCTGCTGTGTAATTCATCCCCTTTCCTTCCCCCCCATCCTGTCCTCTGTTGTGTAAACCTGAAACTGTCTAAATTTTTACTTCACCAAAATGATGCAAAAGTGAGACTTTTTATTTCATTTTGTGTCACACTGGCTTTCCTTTATTCAAGAAGTATGTATTTTCCCTAATTGGAAGACAAAGAAGACTTGGAGTGATTACAGGGTTAAGTGAAAGAAGGCTTTTAAAAAATTTTGTGTTTGATACCCTTCATTTATAATTATTGTTTTTCCTTTCCTTTCTCCCTTCATTCTCATTAGTCGCCAAGAGATGAAAATTGCTCTTTTGTCTTGTCAGGAGAAACCAGCCTTTGAATGACCTCCTTTTGCAATATCTCCCTCCTTCTTGATACTATTTTCCCTTGTTTCCATGACATCCATCTCATGGTTTCCCTCTCCCAGATCTTTTTGATGCCTACTTCTCAGTGTCTTTTGCCGAATATTCTTTCCCTTCCTGATCCTTCCACAATAGCAATAAAAATTAAAATCACTGCAAGTGCGATTTATTCCAAGCTTATTACATGCCAGGCACCCAGTGCCAAGCCTTTAAAATGCATTATTAGCTTTTCATAGCAACTCCCTTAAGATAAGCATGACTTTCTATTTCTAACTTGCTATTAATTTAATTACTATTAATTGACACATATTTCAGATGATGAAACAGGCTGGGAAGTTAGGAAACGTACTTAGGGTCATGTAATTATTTAGTGGTACAGTCAAGGATAAGACACTGGACTGACTGATCCCAAAGTCTGTGTTCCTTACTTGAGTTAGCCATCATGTGCACAGCACCCCATGAGGTAGGTGTTACTATTATATAAAGATGATACATGAGGAAAGCAAGGTCAACAGACATAATTAGCCAAATATCATAGCAGCAAGTGGCTTGTGCGCCATACACAAGGATGCAGCCTTTAAGGAATACTTGTGTGACACAGGCCACCTTTCTTTCACATCCTCTTGTTGCAGCTATCCTTCCTGCTGCCTGGCAACCATCCCCTCCCCCTTCAGAGTTGCATTATCACATTCAGTTCAGGTATCAAGTTTCCAGTCTATGCTTTTGGTGCAAATGGTTTTGAATTTGATGTATGCAAGAGGAGACAGCTGCAACAATGAGTGGAGGAGAGATAAATTGTTCAATTCATGGTGCTGGGGGGAACTTCATTACCTGATTGGAAAAAAGGTCAGTTTCCTTTCTCCCATGACACTAAATATGAATCCCAGATACATTTGAGCAGTAAATGTAGATTTTATGCAATTATGTATTAATTCTTCTTTAATCGTATATTTTGTTATAAAATGAATAAAAAGAATCAAATGTTCAAAAGCAACCCCTTTTAAAGCTGCAACACAATACATGTTAAACCTCTGGGTTGGAGAGAACTTTCTATGGTTAAGAGTAATGAAAGAAAGTATAAAAGAAAAGACTGATAACTCAGAAGACAGCATTAACAGAAATAAAATACCAACAGTAAGCTGAGAAACATTGGCAACAAATATCATGGAAAGGGGGCAGGGCTGGCAACAAATAAGAGAAGCAATAATAACAGCAAATCTGTATTGTGTTTAGATAGTTAACATTTATTAAGGTCTTACAAAGTGCCAGGCATATTCTACAAGCTCTACATGGCTTTATACTTCATTTCATTCTTACAACAAGCCCTGAGATAGATCTTATCTTAAAATTTCCACATTCTAAAACACTCTTTAAGCGGGGGGCGGGGGGAGCAGAGGAAAGTGCATAAAATATAAATTTACAGCTTAACAAATTATTATAAAGCAAATCACCATAAAGATCAAGAAACAGAACAGATCAGAACTCCAGAAATTCCCATAAGTCCTTGCCCAATCACAACCTCTTTCCTCTCTCCAAAACAAAACAAAACACTCTCATGACAGTTTTAGCTGTTGCTTTCTTACTTTCCTTTATAGCTTTACCACTCAAATATAGATGCCCAAACACTACTGTTTCTGGAGCTTTATGTAAATAGAACTATAATGCATATATCCTTCTATATCCAGCTCATTGCCCTTACAATTATGCTTCTGAGATTCAACCTGGTTGCATGCGGCATCGGTTCATCATTCTCAGTATTGTGTTACAGCTTTCCATTCTACGACTTTACAAGAAATTATCCTTTTACTGTCGGTGGACATTTGGACTGTTTCCAGTTGGGGACAATTATGAAAAATGTTGCTAAGAACATGTTTTTAATGTCTCCTGGTACATATGTGCACACACAAGGTATATATGTAGGAGAGGAATTGCTGGCTCATAGATTGTGTATATTTTCAACTTCACTAGATACCACCAAACTGTATATCAAAGTTGTACCAATTCCCACTTCCACCATCAATGTTTGAGAGTTCCTGTTGCTCCACATCCTCACAAACACTTGACATTGTCAACAAAGCTTCATAACTTTTGCTTGAGGTTTTGTACGTCTATTATTACATTTAGTTCAAGGTAATTGTGTATACTACTATAAATTAAATATTGGTTTAAATTTCATTTTCTAAGGGCTTGTTGATGGTATATAGAAATATAACTGGTCTTTTGATGTTGATATTGTACACTGACTTTGCTAATCTCTTAATAATTTTAATCTGTAGCTTCCTTAGAATTTTCTGCATACACAAGCATGTCATCTGTGA
The DNA here is from genome assembly GCF_000001405.40 of Homo sapiens. NCBI lineage: Eukaryota > Metazoa > Chordata > Mammalia > Primates > Hominidae > Homo > Homo sapiens. Next base: position 104,120,630 of record NC_000023.11, read on the forward strand.
ATGATGGTAGTTTTATTTCTTCTTTCCCAATCCATATACATTTCTTTTTCTTACCTTACTGCATCGACTGGGACCTAGAGTACAACTAGTGAGAAGAGACATTCTTGTCCTATTCCTGAACTCAAGGGACCACTTTGAGCAATTCAACATTAAGTGGATGCTTGCTGCAGGTTTTTAGTAAATACCACTTATCAGTTTAAAAATGTTTCCTTCCATTCCTAATTTACCATAAGTTTTTAAAATAATCAATGGATGCTGAATTTTATGAAATGCTTTTTCTGTATCTATTATATATGCTTTTTTCTCATTTATTAGTTAAAATGCTAAATTACATTATTTGGGTTTCTAATAATAAACCAACCAGGCATTCCTGAAATAAACAAGATTTGGTCCTGATTTATTACAATTGTTATATATTGCTGGATTCAATTTGCTAATATTTTGTTTAGGATTTTTAGATCTATGTCTGTAAGAGAGATTCACCTGTAATTTTCCTTTCTGTATAATGTCTTTGTGAGATTTTGGTATCAAAGGTTTGCTGGCCTCCTAAAACTAGTTGAGGAATACAATTCTTCTTTGGCTTTCTTCATTTAAAAACCAGGCAACTGAGGTCCAAGGTGTTTAGATTATTTTTCATAACTGCATTAAATCCAATTATTTACTTGTATCCATGATTTATTAAACCAGCCTCTTTAGAGCCATTCATTACCTTGTTTCCTTGTTTCACTGTTATAAACCCACTGAGAAAAGCATCCTTATTCACATACAGGTTTGCACATGTGAACGATTATTTCCTGAGGATACATTCCTAGAGGTGACGTTACTGGAACAAGCACTATGTTTCACAGGAACCAGAGCAGAAAGAGAGGTGGCCTGTGGCACATCCTACTTTAGTAGCTCTGGCTCACATTCAGGGCCCTTCCTCATCTCTTAAACTTGCTGGGAATACCCTTTAACTCTGAGCTACTAGAGACTTTAATACTTAATAATATTTAAAGGTCAACTCAGCTCTAAGAAACTCCCCAAATTAAGTTTTCAAATGATTTGGCAGGAGGAGCGGGTTGTTTTTAACATTTTCAATGGAACTTTCCAAACCCACATGAAATTATAGAAAATGAATGATGAATCCCCATGTACTCATCATTCAGCTTCAAGAATTATCAATATGTTGCATAATTTGTCTCATCCCCCACATTTTGATGAAGTATTTTAAAGCAATTACTAGACATCACATCAAATGGTATGATATATATATATATATATATATATATATATATATATATATATATATATATATATATATATATGAACATAGATATTTGGTAGAGATGGCAATCGCACTCTGTTGCCCAGGCTGGTCTCAAATTCCTGGCCTCAAGTGATCCTCCCGCCTTAGTCTCCCAAAGTGCTGGGATTACAGGTGTGAACCATCATCCCTGGCCTGATTCTTCTGTATTCTACCCATAGTTCTATCCCCCCTTTTTGTTCCAAAATTTTCATTGTGGTAAAAGTTACAAAAAATTCACCATTTTGACCATTTTAAAGTGTACAATTCAGTGGCATTTAGTACGCATTCCAAATATTTTTTATTTGTATATGTCTTTATTCTGAGTCCATTTTTCCAGAGGTTTATTAGTTTTTTGTACATATTTAGATGTCTGATTTCTTTTTTTTGTTTTTTTTTTTTGTTTTTTTTTTGAGACAGAGTCTCGCTCTGTTGCCCAGGCTAGAGTGCAGTGGTGTGATTTCTTCTCAGCAGGTGCAGACACTTCTCTGAAGACCAACAGCAGAACTGAGTCTCAGGATGGGTAAAGGCTTCTGTAAACCTCCAGATCCACAGCCCCAACTACTTTCCCTTCACCCTGGCTGAATACCACATCTTGAGGCAATCAATTACTAAAAGGCTGCTCACACTCTCTTTTTCCGTAATGAGACTACTTCAGCCCCCTTTTATTTGGCTACTCTAAATTCTCCTTTTATAGGGATACAACAGCCCTCAATGACTTCTTGAGGAAAAAGAAGATAATCACAAATTCAGTTTCAACAAGCAGGACATTTTGCTATACTGTACCAACTAAGCCATGTTCCTCAATCCAGCTTTTGGGAGTCTGAGAAGAAATACCTCTCAGAGCAGGGAGTCAAGGAGATATATTTTTATTCCAATCTGAATACTGTACTTTGTATAAAGGTGGCTGATCAGGTTGCCTGTGGAGAGGTTGGGTGGTTGGACAAGAAGAGGGATGTGATTTGGGCATTCCTGAACCTTTGGCTCCTTATCCTCAAAGGAGGAAAGGAACTTGGGCAAAGTAGTTAACTTCTCTGCTTCAGCTTCCTCACCAGTAAAACGGAGACAATAACAGGAAGTCCCTCACAGGGTTGTGGTAAGAATTAAATGAATGAACACTTGAGAAGTCTTTAAAAGAGTGCCTGGTGCACTGTAACTACTGTGCCATAGAATGCCATCATAACGACACCAATCGCTTCGCTCCAAACTCTCTGAGCACCCTTGTAGATGGATTACCTAAACCGTCCCTCCCAGACTCTTCACAGAGAATTTCATTAAAGTCAGTAGACTTCAGCTACTCTCTCTCATGTGCAGGGGAAAACAATATAATCCCTTTATGAGCTAACCAAATAAATTCTCTCAGGAACTGCCCTTGCATGAAGAACATACCTCCAGGGATGCTTGCTTAGTTGGGGAGGTGAGTGAGGCTCTCTGGACCTAGCTGAGATGGCCTGGACCTAAAGGAAGAGAGTAGCTCAAATTCCCCACAGAATAACTCAGAAACTTTGAAGGATGGGAGCTGGTAAGCCAAAGAGGTGAGGGAGCTCTAGGGTCAGGCAGGAAGCTCAATGGAAGAGAAATTTGAGAGAAATTGTTCTAATATTCTTCTGTGTAGTTTGCTGATTTGTTTATTTTTTTTTTTTACTTTTTTTCCCTTTTTTTAAAATTATACTTTAAGTTCTGGGATACATGTGCAGAACGTGCAGGTTACATAGGTATACACGTGCCATGGTGGTTTGCTGCATCCATCGACCTGTCATCTACATTAGGTATTTCTGCTAATGCTATCCCTCCTCTAGCCCCCTACCCCTCAACAGGCCCCGTTGTGTGATGTTCCCCTCCCTGTGTCCATGTGTTCTCATTGTTCAATTCCCACTTATAAGTGAGAATATGTGGTGTTTGGTTTTCTGTTCCTGTGTTAGTTTGCTGATAACAATGGTTTCCAGCTTCATCCATGTCCCTGCAAAGGACATGAACTCATCTTTTTTTATATATTTATAGTATTCCATGGTGTATATGTGCCACATTTTCTTTATCCAGTCTATCACTGATGAGCATTTGGGTCAGTTCCAAGTCTTTGCTATTGTGAATAGTGCTGCAATAAACATACATGTGCATGTGTCTTTATAGCAGAATGATGTATAATCCTTTGGGTATATACACAGTAATGGGATTGCTAGGTCAAATGGTATTTCTGATTCTAGATCCTTGAGGAATCGCCACACTGTCTTCCACAATGGCTGCACTAATTTACACTCCCACCAACAGTGTAAAAGCGTTCCTATTTCTCCACAGCCTCGCCAGCATGTGTTGTTTCCTGACTTTTTAATGATTGCCATTCTAACTGGCATGAGATGGTATCTCATTGTGGTTTTGATTTGCATTTCTCTAATGACCAGTGATGATGAGATTTTTTTCATATGTTTTTTGGCCGCATAAATGTCTTCTTTTGAGAAGTGTCTGTTCGTATCTTTTGCCCACTTTTTGATGGGGCTGTTTTTCTCTTGTAAATTGGTTAATGTTTTACTGGTTAGCCTTTCAAAACAATTTCTGGCCAGGCACAGTGGCTCATGCCTGTAATCCCAACACTTTGGGAGGCTCTGGAGGAGGATTGCTTGAGGCCAAGAGTTCAAGACCAACCTGGGCAACACAGCAAGACCCCATCTCTACAAAAAATAAAAATGAAAAAATTAGCCAGGCGTAGTGGCACATGCCTGTAGTCCTAGCTGCTTGGGGAGCTGAGGCAGGAGGGTCACTTGAGCCCAGGAAGTTGAGGCTGCAGTGAGCTATGATCATGCCACTACACTCCAGCCTGGGCGACAAAGCAAGACCTTGTCTCAAAAAAAAAATACATTCAATTTAAAAATGTATTGTAACATTGTTTAGTGTAGCACACGCTCAACTAAAAAGAAATAACTTTTTTCCTTTTTTTTTTTTTTTTTTTTTTTGAGACAAAGTCTCACTGTCGCCCAGGCTGGAGTGCAATGGCGTGATCTTGGCTCACTGCAACCCCCATCTCCTGGTTTCAAGCGATTCTCTTGCCTCAGCCTTCCTAGTAGCTGGGATTACAGGCACACACCACCATGCCCAGATAATTTTTGTATTTTTAGTAGAAACATGGGGTTTCGCCATGTTGGCCAGGCTGGTCTCAAACTCCTGACCTCAAGTGATCTGCCCGCCTCAGCCTCCCAAAGTGCTGGGATTACAGGTGTGAGCCACCACGCCGGGCCAAAAAACAACTTTCAAACACAGAAAGGGGAATAAGTAGAAGTGAAAGTTCCCCAGCTTCCCACAGTCTGGTCTGGGGTGTGTTCTTCGGCTTTTACACAAACACAAACATATCTATTCTTGTTCTTTTTCTATAAAAGTTGGGTCATAGCAGGTACGTGGTTCTGATACTCTCTTTCATATTGTCTGCTGTGCTAAAATAAACCCTCTCCACTGTCCCAAACCTTCAGCAACATCCTGCTACTTGCCTTGTGCTGTTTATGCTCTTTGGACCAGCTGCTTGAGAGTTTTCTGTCAGTGAAAGGAAGAAATTATAGTTTCACCTCACTACAATCATATCGTAATAACAGCTACTGCTTATGGTACCCCTACTGTGTCTGGCAGTCTCTTTGGTGCTTTACTTGAATTCTCATACCCATTCCTCACAACAACCCCTTGGAAGTCAGTCCCACTATTATCCTATGTGGGTTCACAGATGAAAACTCAAGGCCCAAAAGGTAATGAGTGGGAAGTTAAGGAGAAAAGCACATATACTGGAGGCAGGACTTGGGCATTCAGCATCTCCTTAAATCTTTACAATGACCTTAAGAGGGAGCTGTCACCACAAATGAGGACACTGAGGCTGCAGAGTTCACAGAGCAAGCAGCATTCCTGTTCTCTGCCAGGATGAAGCCACTGAGAGTTCGTAAGTACATCCATCCCTTTCCGTAAAACTTGATGAAAGAAAGCTAGCAAAGATCTGAAAACATGGAGATACACGCAGTGCTCAGTGACTGCAAAACTCAATATAATAAAGATGTCAATTTTCCCCACAGTTATCTATGGATTTAACATAATTACTATCAAAATCCCAGAGGGATTTTTCATAGATACACACAAGCTGGCCCAGCATGGTGGCTCATGCCTGTAATCCCAGCACTTTGGGAGGTTGAGGCGAGAGGATCACTTGAGGCCAGGAGTTTGAGACCAGCCTAGGTAACATTACAAGACCCAGTCTCTATACAAAAAAATTAAAAATTAGCCAGGTATGGTGGCACATGCCTGCAGTCTTAGCTACTTGGGAGGCTGAGGTGGGAGGATCGTTTTAGCCCAGGAGTTCGAGGCTGCAGTGAGCTACGATCACATCACTGCACTCCAGTCTGGGCAAAAGCACTTGTTAGGAGGAGATAGAAAAGGAAAAGAAACTCTCAAAATTCAACAGTAAAAAAGACATAAATATTCCATTAGAAGGCCTGGCACAGTGGCTCACACCTGTATTCCCAGCACTTTGGGAGGCTAAGGTGAGAGCATCACTTGAGGCCAGGGGTTTGAGATAAGCCTGGGCAACATAGTGAGACCCCATCTCTAAAAAAAATTAAAACATTAGTCAGGTATGGTGGTGCACATCTGTGGTCCTGGGTACTCAGGAGGCTGAGGCAGGAGGATTACTTGAGTCCACATCAAAGCTTCAGTGAGACATGATTGTGCCACTGCACTCCAATCTGGGTGACAGAGTGAGACCCTGTCTCCAAAAAAAAAGTAAAAAATAGATTCCATTAGAAAATGAGCATGAACATGAATAGAATTTCACCAAAAAGAATACGCAGATGGCAAAGAACATGAAAAACATGTTCAACATCATTAGTCACTAAGGAAATGCAAATTAAAACCACAATAAGCTAAGCTATCATTGTACACCTATAAGAATGGCTAAAATAAAAAACAGTAATACCAAATGTTCACAAGGATGTAGAAAAAATGGATCTCTCATACAATGATGTTAGGAATATAAAATGGTAAGGCTCTGGAAATCATTCTGGCAATTTCCTATGAGACTAAACATGTACTTATCATATGACCCTGCAAGTGCATTCCTGGGCATTTATCCCAGAGAAATGAAAACTTATAGTCACACAAAAACCTGCATGCTGATGTTCACAGCAACTTTATCTGTAATTGCAAAACGAGGAAACAACCCAAATGTCCTTCAACTAGTAATTGGATAAAGAAATTCTGGTCTATCCACCCAAGGGAATACTACTCAGTTGGAACAAATTACTGATACACACAACAACCCAGATATGACTCAAAAGGATTACATTTGGTGAAGAACGTCAATCCCAAAAGACTACATTGTATAGGACTCTATTTATGTAACATTCTCGAAATTAGAAAATTTTAGAGATACAGAACAGATTAATCATTGCCAGGGAGCAAGGATGGGGCAGGGTGGGTATGATTATGAAGGGGAAGCACAAGGGAGGTCCTATTGAACAGTTTTATATCATGACTGTGGTGGTTGTTAAACAAATCTATACATGGGATAAGACCACACAGAAAAACACACACACATAAAAATGCATGTAAAATGGTGGAAATTAGGTCTATATTCTAGTTAACAATCTTGTAATAATTTCCTGGATTTGATATTGTACTATAATAACGTAAGGTGCCACCGTTAGAGGAAGCGTGGTTTCAGGTACATGGGACTCTGTACTTTTGCAACTTCCTTGTGAGTCTATAATTACCTTAAAATAATTTTTAAAAATAACTAGCGTGGGGCTGGGTGTGGTGGCTCACGCCTGTAATCCCAGCACTTTAGGAGGCCAAGGTGGGCAGATAACTTGAGGTCAGGAGTTCGAGACCAGCCTGGCCAATATGGTGAAACCGAGTCTTTACTAAAAATACAAAAATTAGCTTGGCATGGTGGCACATGCCTGTAATCCCAGCTACTCAGGAGGCTGAGGCTCAAGAATGGCTTGAACTGGTGAGGTGGAGATTGCAGTGAGCTGAGATCACGCCACTGCACTCCAGCCTGGGTGATAGAGCTAGACTCTGTCTCAAAAAAAACAAAAAAACAAACAAAAAAAAAACTAGTGTGGGATTCCAGGGTGGCAGAAAGTAGCCTTGGCGAATTTCTTTGCTAGACTTGTTTTTCCTGTGTTAGCTGTCTTCCGTGCACAGCTGGGGTAGTTTAAAAATTCCTCCTCCTTTTGACAAGTTTTACAAACAGTGCTAAAAAGAAGTGTATCAGTGCTTCTTTGTAAAAAGCATTATTATGTTTTCTAAAGTGACAGTTATTTTAATAATATATTTACAAATAAAAATTATATACAGATGGTGAAAATATTAGTACTTTTAGACCCTAAAGAGCTTTTGCTAATGTAGGTTACAGATCTATCAATATTTATTATATTAGAAATCAAAACTGAAAAATTTTAAAATTTGTATTAATGTATTTAAAATAAATCCACTGATTATCGTAAATAAAATTTTATTAAAATAATTGCATTTTCAGAAACAAAGAATTTAGGAATGTTTTACGTTTCTGAAAATCTCTTAAATGTCTGCCTCAGTACAAGACAGCTAGATTCCCATATTTGCTTCTGCATTTAATGTTGTAACATGCTGTTTTGGATAAAGTATATGAAGACAAATCCAACCTCATGGAGATATGTAGTTGGAAAAAGGATTTCCCAGTCACCTGAAAGGGTCTGTCTCAGGTGTCTCCAGGACTCCTCACACTACACTTTAAGAACCAATATGTTAGAGAGACATAATGAAACATTTTCAGATAAAATGTTAAGATGTCAGCAATTTGCACTAAAGTACTCCAAAACACACACACACATAAACAGACACAGACACACACACGTACACACACACACACACACACCCATGTATGTATAGTTGATTCATTATTTGTGGTAGTTATATTCTATAAAGTCACCTCAAGCAATGAATTACCAAATACCAAGCCACTGCTCCTAGTGGAAATACAGGTTTAGATTCCTGGGAGCCTCTGGTTGCATTCCTTAAAATGATCAATACACAACCTTGTTTTATGTATGCTTCTGTCTAAAGACACCTTCTTTAATATATATTTCTTAAAATAATAAATTATATGCAGTATTTTATAGTAAAACATTAGCCAAGAAGGGTTTAACATTTTCCTGATCCTGGGTTAACATAACCATAAATTTCTTTGGTTTTCAAAAGCCTCACAACCATGCTGTCCACTATGCTTTTTCTAATCAGTAGTTATGAATCCACAAATTTTGCTGCTTTTCCATTTATTCCATACCTTCATCACACACTAAAGATGTTATTTTAGCACCATACAGAGCGTCTTCACATATAGACTGGCAAGCCTTTCCTATTCCTTTTTCTGGATGTACTGTGTTGCTGATTTATTAACATTGAACTCACAGCAGACAGCGTTATAACTCATGCCTGATGGAAGCCTATCTAACACATGTATTTTCCTCTACAGGGCACATCACTGCCTTCTGGCTCTTAGAAACACTAGGCAGTACTTCAGCACTATGATTGGGGGACATTTTAAACAGCAAAATCACCAAAAAAGCCACAAAAATATGGCACTAGATCGACTACGAAAAGAACACTTGCTTACAGTATGAGAGCAGAAACAAGAACATTGCCTTTTCTAACCTCAGCTGGGAACACTGAGTGCCTGACAACTAAATTGTTTTGCCACTCTGTGCAGGTCTATGAATGACTATTGAAAGCACTGCAAGTATCGATTTGGGGTTATAGATAAGTCTGAAGTAAGTGAACTTGCAAATATGAAATCTGTGAATAATAATAATAAACTTTTTATATATGTATATATATATAACTACATTTATATATATAAGAATCAACTATATATATAAATATATATGTAGTTTTATTTATATATATAAAACTACAAACACATATATATCCACACAAATGTATGTGTGTGTGTGTGTGTGTGTGTGTGTGTGTGTGTGCCATTCAAATGATGAGCAGACACTGTAATTGTTGAAGCTGGATGATAAGTATATGGGGATTCATTTTACTAGTCTAACTTTGTGTATGTTTGTGATTTTCCATAAGACAAAGTTTTGTAAAGTAGTTTATCTTGGACTGCATTGCATTTCCACTTTCTTTAATTCCTTATCAGCACGCGGAAGTCTGCAGCTGTCAAAGGTGAAGTTCAAGTGACGTTTTGGTACAAACTGCCATCCACCACCAATCCAACTGACCATACATCCTTCTGGGGAGTACTAATCCAGTACGCACTCCCTGCTATAACAGGGACAGTGACAGGCAGAATTGTAACATCAACAGCTCTTTCTCTTGGAGAGAACCTCTGGGTCAGAGGTAATGGAACCCTGTATTATTTTGAGAGCCCATTGAGCCCAGACAAGCTGACTCTGTGGAAGTGTGGTTTTAATGTGTATGTATGGCTTTAGCAGAAGGTAACTTGGATTCTGGTCCGAGGGTGTGGATTCCAATCACTTAACTCCAGCCTGGGTTGAGTCAGCAATCCAGAGAAAGGGCTTCAGTCAAACAATTCTTAGGAGATCCAGTACTGTCCAACTAACCTTCATATATTCTCTCGACTCTAGTACATGGATATGCTTGACATTTTTAAAGAACAGGAGGTGGGCAGACACTTCCTGTTTTACAAGGCGAAGCATCCCACTATCCTTGTAAGCAAGATCAGTCTGTCCAGCAGAATTTTGCATCTCATCCCTTCCCTTACCTTCTCATAAACCTCATGCATCAGCCATCTCCTCTCTCCCCTATCTTCAACATTCTCTTTCTCCTAACTCTTCCCCATCAGCATATGCACACTCCCAAGTCTCTGTCATCTTCATAAAAATTCTCCCTTGATCTTATGTGATCCTCCCACTCCATCAGATCTTTCCCTTTCCAAGTTTAACGGAAATATAACGTGCATGTATGGTTTCCACTACTTCAGTGCCCAATGTTCCAGTTATATACTGCTGTGTAATAAACCACCCCAAAACTTGGGGCTTAAAACAATAATCATTTAATTATACTCATGACTGTGTGGGTAAGGAATGTGGGCAAAGCTCACTAGAGAATTCTCCTGTCCCACGTGGCATCTACTGAGGTCACTCAGTGGTATCCAGCTGGCTGGCTAGGTTGTTTTGGAGGGACCAAAATGACTTCCGTCATATGTGTGGCGCATTGGTGGGGATAACTGGAAAGCTGGGCTCAGCTGGGCTGTGCGTTCTCTCTCCATGTTGTCTCTTGACCTCTCCATTTGATTTCTCCAGCAGGGCAGTCAGACTTCTTACATGGTTCCTGAGGGATCCAAAAGACCAAGGCAAAAGTTACAGGATTCTTACAACCTATCCTTGGAAGTCAAGCAGCATTAATTCCCTGCATTCTTTCAGTTAAACTTTTGTACAGGGCCCACCAGATTGAGCAGTAGGGGGACTACACAGAGGTACAGTTACTTGGAGGCTTGGTTGATAGGAGCCACATGTTACAGACTACCGCCCCCATGTACTCCTCAAACCACTGCATTCCTCATCACTCCATTGAAATTGTAATCTTTGAGGTAAAGACAGACCTCTTAGTTGTTAAATCCAATAGATGCCTGTCAGTACTTGTTTTGCTTGTTTTTTGTTTTTGTTTTTGGAATTGGACCCTATTGACCACTAAATTCCTTCTTGAAATTCTCCTCCCCTAGCTTCTGTATATCACCTTTCCTTGTCTTTTCTTCAGTCTCCTAAAGTGACTTATTTCTTAGGCTCTCCCCTTATCTACTGGGTTTTGCTATCAGTTCTCTTCTCACTCTGTATATGCTACCTAGTTATATCAACTACACCTATAGCCTCATCTATCACTTATCTACTGGTGATTCCTCAATATATATCGCCATCCCAGACTTCTCTCCAGTGATCCAGAATCTCATGTACTCACCTAGATGTCCAGCGGGTACTTCAAACAGCCAAAGCTTAATTCGTCTTCCTTACACGTGCTCTCTTCCTTGTGTTTTCTCTCCTGTATTTACCACCCGCCTAGATGCACAAGGCTGAAACTTGGACGTCATCCTTAACTCTACCATCTCTCCTATTATACTGAATACAATCTGTCACTGATCCCCGACCATTCAACTTGCTAAAAAGCTTGTCAATTTATCTATTCCTCTCCATCCTAAATACTAGGTCTCTGGCAGAGGACTAGATGGGGGTCTCAGTTCATCATTCTGATCTGTAAACCATATAGAAATTAACATTTACTATAATACACTCAAACACATTTTTTTGTAAAGCAGAGGTGATCCAGAGATATCAGGATAGGAGATATTTAATGAGTTAAACTCCACATGGGGAGAGGCACTCAAGTTGGTAGCAATGGCATGTTGCCTTTCGGTAACCTCTAGGGTGAGGTTACTTCAGTTCCTGGGAAGCCCCAACTGGGGGCTTACTGGCTAATCAAGCTCCTTATGCCCCTGAACATGCCGTCCTGAAACATCAATTGCATTTAGTGTGATTATAAAAACTGCCTTTATCAAGCCTCATCATCTGGATCTCACATCCAGATTGTGTATAATTTCTTAATACATTGCCAGCACATCGTGGCTACACACACCACAGGTTACATCACAGTGACCAGACAGATTCTGGCTTCTAGTAAATGACCAAATAGCTCCTATCAAATCCATCCTCCTTCAGATGTAACAACTATACACCCTGGACAAAATTTTTTTTTAATTACCTGCAAGTATTGACAAGCAACCCAAGGCAGGCAGAAACTGGAGGAGAATCTACATTTAAAAGAAGAGATCAGAACTAAATGAGATTCCCATTTTTAAGACTTTGAACCACAGGGTAGGCCCCAATCAATTCCCTGATGGGTGAACCTTACTGACTTGAAGACAAGAGGACAGAGTTCAGAGTTTCCACAGCAGCTGAAAACTGTGGGGATAAAATCTTGGAATGGAGAGAGCCAGATAGGCAGAGCCCTGAATTCTGTGTATAAACTCTACCAAATCACTGGCTGACCTCTGAATTATGCATTCATGGGACAGTCTCCAAACAGTCTGTATAAGGCTAAAAGAACTGACTAGAGACTTCAGTTGCTGCCTGCCATGAGGGAGACAGAGCATGGAATTTGAGTTTAGTCAAGTTAAATGCTGCTGAAACAAAAATGTCAATACTTTTCAGAGGGATATAATGGAATCCAGATTCTCTAGAACATGTCCTCTGCAATAGCCAGGAGACAAGTCAAAATGACTGAACATTGTTTTGAGAAAAGTCAAAATGATTGAACACGTTTCCTATGGGAAACAGAAAAATGTAACCTATACCAAAGAAAAAAGGCAATCAATGAAGACTGACCCTGAGATGACTGACATGTTAGAATTAGCAGACAGGAATTTTTAACCAGCTATTATAATGATTCCCAAGGACACAGAGGAAAATATGCTCATAATGAATAGTTACCAGCTGTACTGCAACCATGTAAAGATGAGCACCCTATAGAGGTGGGTGGCTGGTTCACAGTCTAGAAGGTAGAAGAGACTGGGAGTGGCAAGCCTGGCCAGGACCTACAGCACCCACCGACACTGTCTTAGTTCAGATTCTTATTGTTTTTCATGTAGACCATTAAAACAGTCTCAAAAATTGCCTCCCTGCTTCTGGTTACTATTTACTATGACCCCCAGCACACACAGAAACCCTAAACACATCTGCATTGATTCCAGAATTACCTATTTGAACACAGATTTAATTAGGACTTTACTGATTCCAAGTAATAGAAACACCATTTGGGCCACAGAGTCAATTTACCCGAAGTTTCACATAATCATAAGTAGATGAGCCTCAAGGACAAGTACAATCAGAGACTCGAACATGAACAGGAATCTTTCAATTGCTCCTCCTGTAAGTTCACTTCATTCTCTGAAACAAGTTTCCTCCCCGTGGCTGTAAAAAGGGCCACCAGCAGCTTCTGGCCACACATCTCCTAGCTGTGCCACAAAACCAAGAGGCAATATTTTCCCTCAATTAAATTTTTAAAAATTGAAGAAAAACATTCTGATTGTCCTGACCTAGACCACATGCCACACCTCAACCAATCGAATCAACTGTGGCCAGGGAGACAGGTACTATGATTGGAAGCTCTCATGAGCACTGAATGGCTAGACAGGAGAGGAGCAGCACACCAGAGTCACAGAGGGGTTCATTTCCAAGGCAAAGGAAGGATTCTGGGAAAAGAAACTGTCAAATGATAAAGGTCTAACAGGTTTCCTGTGGTTGCCACTTCAATGTGTGGCAATATCATCCTCCACGCAAATGTCAGTGTCCTGGGATTTCTCTTACAGCAGAGACTTCTGTTGTTCCCCAACATCTGTTCTCCCCTTCCCCCTACCCAGTATTTTACTGCTTGAAACATAAATGCAATGACCAGAGGACAAGTGTCACACGGTGGAGACGATAGGACAGAAAGTCCATAAGTTATTTTGGATGGCTAATAACTCACAGCTGAACCTGATGCTAACTGACAACCCCCTCACTCCCCACATCTAATCAAGGCAAAACAACACTGAAGTTAAGAGTGTGGGTTAGAGCCAAACCACCTGAGTTTGAATCTAGGCTCTGCCACTTACTAGTTCTGTTCAGCATATTACTTTATCTCTCTGTTCCTGTTTCCTTAGGCATAAAATGATGTTAATGTACCTCATAGGTGGGTTGTGAGAATTAAGATCATTCACGTAAGCACTTAGAACAGTGCTCAATGAGTGTTAACTACCATTTTCAAGGCGTCTCAATTTTACCTACTAAAGATCTTGGAAGACTGTGCCTTCTTTCACAGCCCAAAAGCCACTTTCCATCACTTCAATGAGTCACTGCCTCCTCCACAGCGTCCTCCACATTGCCTCAGCCTGACCTTTCTGAAACACCTTGATCTGACCATGTTACTCCTATTGGAAACCCTTCAATGATTCTTCCTTTCCTACAAAATAAAGCCTTAACTCCTTAGCCTGGTGACCAAGGTTCCTTGCATAAGAGCCCGAATGGACTTTCTGGGCTCATCTCCTGCCACTCCTCCATGATGCCCCAAAGCCCAGCCACACTGAATTACTCTCTACCTTCAACTTCCTACCTGCCTCTAAAGTACTAACCACTCCCGTGTTCCCTCCCTCCTGAACTCTTTCCTCCCTTGGCTGCTGTGGCACCACACCCTCCTGGTTTGCTTCCAATCTCCCTGGCTATTCTTTTTCCATCTTTCTCATGGGTTTCTCATTCTTCAGCCCATCTGTGTCAAGGTTCCCAGGTTCCATCCTTAGCCCACTTCCTGTTTCACTGCATGTCCTGCCCCTGAGTGATGGCATCCCCTGGCAAGCTTCTAAGCTCCACCGACAGCTTCATGATCCCCAGATTTTCACTCCTAACCTCTTTCCTGAGTTTTGGTTTCACACATCCTGATATATCACACCCCCTGAATAGACACCTCAACCTCAGCATGTCCAAAACCGAACTCGTGTTTCCCACCCCAAACCCACTTCCCCTCTTTACTCTGAACCTGTTGCTGGCACCACCATCACCCAAGCCTGGAATTCTTCGATCTCCACATCTAAGAAACGACCAAATCCTAATTCATGTCCTCAATAACTCTCCAACCTGTCTTCTCTCCATACTCACTGCCATTGCCCTCGTTCTGGCCTAAATCCCCTCTAGCACAGACTCTGCCACAGTCACCTCCCTGCCTGCCTCCACTCACTGCTCCAATCCAATGGGCAACCTGTTACCCACCTCCAGCGAAAAACTCATCATGTCACTGCCCTGCTTGAAACTCTTCACTAGTTCCCACTGCTCAATCAGACACAATTATTCTGTGCCTCACAGTAGTTAAATATCTACTATGTACTGGAGCCTATGCTAAGTATGAGGAATGCTTGAAATGGCTGCTGCCTTTTAAGGAATTTACCATCTATCTGAGAAGACAGACATATAAATAACCACTAATAACATGATGCAATAAGTCCTGTGATAGACACACCCACAGAGTATTACAGGAGCACAAGACTTAGGGGTAGGAACCACATCTTCCTAATCTTTGTATCTCCAATATCTGATACCAACTTTGATTAACTAGAGAATTTTATTTGAATACTGAAAAGATGCCCTTCTCTGAGCCTCAGCTTCCCACTATATAAAATGGCTCACAACTCACATATCAAAATATATAATTATGTATTTATGTTACATATAACACACACATTATATATGTATACAATATGCATACACATTATATATGTATATAATATGCATACATATTATATATGTATATATGTCTGACATAGTGCCGGAAGTCTCAAAAGATGTCAGTTTTGCTTCTCCCCTCACCCCTTTAACTCCATCATGGGAGGCATAGCAGAGGAAACGGCAGGTCAGTGATGTAAGAATTAGAAGCCCAACAACTGAAGAACTGGAAACAGCATCATTTCTGTCCTCTGTCTGGTAATGACAGAATGGCTGGAGCACTAGGCAGCTCCAAAACAGCCTTGGGCAGGAACGGCAGTGCTCCAAGACCATCAGAACAAAGGGAAAGAAATCACAGCTTGAACTTTCGTGGACAGGAGAAAAAATCTGACGTGGACAGGAACATGGACTCCTGGCTGGAAGAGGGCTGCTCCTTTCCTCCGCTACTTGAATCCTTCTGCAATATCGCCACCTGGTGGCTATCTAGCATCCCTTTACTTAATTCCCCAGTGCAGTTTGCTCTGACAGCCCACTGCACTGTGAAAATTCTAGAAGGGAACAGCCTCGCTCAGTGAACTGTTTCGGAACTGCTCAAAGTTAATCATATCCTTCTCCATGTCCTGCAAAGTGTCTTGTACTCAAGCTCTATTATAGCACCTCTCATTGTATTATAAATGTTTACCTGTACGCATTCATTCATGCACCCAACAAATTTGTAAGTGTCGTACCTAGAACAGACAGGCAGAGGAGAAACAATGATGAACAAAACCAGTTGACCATGTAAAGAATTAAACATGTACACAGAGAATTAAAATAGCCATATTTCCAACCACTATAAAATAATTATTATAATATTTAATATTTGTTGAGCACTGAATACTGTATCTGTATTATCCCATTTAATGCTCACAACTCAGTGAGGTAGATAATATGATTATCCTCGTGTTACAGATGAAGCAAAAGAGGAACAGAAAGGTTGGGTAAATTGTCCATAGTCACACAGCCAGGAAATGCTAGAGCTCAGATTCAAGCCTGCCCTGGGTCCAGAACTCATGCAATAGTTAAAAACAAGCAAACAAACAAACAAACTACTGTAACCCCCGCCTCAATGCATGTTTGATGATTCAATAAATAAAAACCTTGTACCTCCCAAATTCAAGGAGATAAAAGTTCAGGTAGTAGAATCTCCTAGTAGGAGGTTTAGCTGATCAGGAACTTGACTCCATCCCTCTGAATCTCACCTAACCCCTGGAGATACGCTCTGCTTGATCCCTGCCTCTACTGTAGCCCTGCACCCCCCAAGCCCCAAAGTGAGTGCTCCTCCTTTCATGTGTGAACAAACATAAACCTGAAAAAGCCAATCCTTCAAGATGGATCTTGAGCAGCTCACTGGGCCTAAATGTAAAATAAAGCCAACGAGCCATTTGCCGACTAGGGGTCACACACATACTCTGAGTTCCCTGAAAACCTGCACTCTTTTATCTTTCAGACTTTCAGTGCTTCCCTGAACCAACCAATCAGAGCTCATCTTCCTCAGCCAATCAGAGCTCAGCTGTGTTGACCAATCAGGGCTATGCTATATGGACCAACCAGAACTCAGCTGCATTGACCAATCAGAACTAACCATGCTTCAATCCTTCGTTATAAATGTACTTTTGTTTTACACTGGAGGCTGTGACTCCTGGGTTTGCAACTGTTCACTGGAAGTCTCTTTCTTCCAGTCTCCTTTTCAGAGACCTTTTGTTCACAGATGTTCTGTCTCAAATATAGACCAAAAAAAACAAAACACTCCATATGATTCTTCCTAACATGATGGAGACAAGTTGGCATTTTCAAGATGCTACCAAATTCTAAAAGTGAACAGAACAGAAATAAATTTCAGAACGCATTCAAAAAGTTTCTATTTTGACCACACTCACACGGTTTTTAGGCTTTGTGCATTTGATATTTGGATTTATGGCTAGACTCAGAGATTTAACATGTGGCTGCCCACCAGCCAGCATAGTGGTTCACGCCTGTAATCCCAGCACTTTGGGAGGCTGAGGCAGGAAGATTGCTTGAGGCCAGGAGTTTGAGACCAGCCTGAGTAACAGGGAGACGGCGTCTCTACAAAAAAAAAACAAAATTTAGCCAGGCATGGTGACGTGCCCGTACTTCCAGTTACTGGGGAGGCTGAGATGTTAGGATCACTTAAGCCCAGGAGGCAGAGGTTGTGAAAAAGGAAAAGTTCTCTCGTACCCCTTGCAGGGTGTGCAATGGGGGGTGTAGCTCACTTCTTCAGTGCCCCACTGCTCAAACCTCTATGGGAGCATACAGATGGGCTGGGAGCCCCACGGCAGTGTCTAGGGGTGAATGTTTACAGCTGAAGCCCCAGTGGGCGTGTGTTACAGGGTGTTCTTTTAGTTTAGCTGCCTGTAGGCAGCTTGTGTTAGCTCAATTCGACCCCTGCCTTATTGCAAGGACAGAGAGCTTTCTGTATCCTGGAGTTCTTGCCTTGGTGTACTGGAGGAATCAGATCACACGTGGGCTTGGAGAATGAGTTCAAGATTTTATTAAGTGGAAGTAGCTCTCAGTAGACGGGGGAACCAGAAGGGAGATGGTTTTCCTCTGGAGTCAGGCTGCTTGCGGCCCAGGTTTTTTCTGACTGCCCTAGCCAAACTCCGTGTCGTTCTGCCGCTCAATGGCCTGCCGGCGTGCTGGTAACTGTCGATGCGTTCCTCTCCACATCCAGCCACCTGTGTGTTCCTCCACTGATGTGCTCCTCTCAATGCCCAGCCACATGTGTGTCTGCCTGCTAGCGTCTCGGGGTTTTTATAGGCACAGGATGGTGGTATGGCAGGCCAGGGTGGTCTTGGGAAATGCAACATTTGGGCAGGAAAACAAAAATGCCTGTCCTCACCCAGGTCCATGGGCATAGGCCCGGGGGTAGAGGCCTAGCCAGGGACCACACTCTTCCCTCCTTCCATATCATTTAAAGGGATCATGCTCTTCCCTTCCCAGTACTTCCCTTTCCCCTTCCCTATCAGTTGCAGTGAGCTGAAATGGTACCACTGCACTCCAGCCTGGCTGACAGAGTAAGACCCTGTCTCAAAAATAAAAATTGGCTAGGCGCAGTGGCTCACGCCTGTAATCCCAGCACTCTGGGAGACTGAGCCCAGTGAATCACTTGAGGCCAGGAGTTCAACACCAGCCTGTCCAACATGGTGAAACCCTGTCTCTACTAAAACTACAAAATTAGCTGGGCGTGGTGGCACATGCCTGTAATCCCAGCTACTTGCGAGGCTGAGGTAGGAGAATTGCTAGAACCTGGGAGGTGGAGGTTGCAGTGAGCCAAGATTGCACCACTGCACTCCAGCCTAGACAACAGAGTGAGAAACTCCATCTCAAAAAAATAAAGATAGGCTGGGTGCAGTGGCTCATGCCTGTAATCCCAGCACTTTGAGAGGCCAAGGCGGGCAGATCACAAGGTCAAGAGATCGAGACCATCCTGGCCAACATGGCAAAACCCCATCTCTACTAAAAATACAAAAATTAGCTGGGTGTGGTGGTGTGTGCCTGTACTCCCAGCTACTAGGGAGACTGAGGCAGGAGAACTGCTTGAACCCAGGAGGCGGAGGTTGCAGTGAGCCGAGATTGTGCCACTGCACTCCAGCCTGGCGACAGAGCAAGACTCTGTCTCAATAAATAAATAAATACATAAATAAACAGATAAATAAAATAAAAATAAATAAAATAAAATGTGGCTTTTAGTAAACACTCTATGCAAGACATTGTGCTTTGCACTATTGATGCATTCTCTCATTTAAACTTCTCACCAAACCTGTGAAGCAGGTAGATATTCCCATTTTACAAATATAATAGGACCAAAGAGATAAAGTAAGTTTCCCAGGGTCACACAGCCAATAAGCAGAAGATCTGGCATTTGAACTTAAGTTGTCTGACATCAGGTCTTGAATTTTTTATGACTATGATATACAGCCTCCCCTCCTTATTTATTTATTTATTTTGAGACAGAGTCTCACTCTGTTCCCCAGGCTGGAGTGTAGTAGTGGGATCAAGGCTCAGTGCCACCTGGACCTCCCAAGCTCAAGAAGCAATCTTCCCACCTCAGCCTCCCAAGCAGCTGGGACTACAGGCATGTGCCACCACACCCTGATAATTTTTGTCTTTTTTGTAGAGACAGGATTCCGTGTGTGTGTGTGTGTGTGTGTGTGTGTATCACAGCATAGTTTCTGGCTTTCTCCCAGGGATAAGCCTGGCTTTTATTCTTGCATTGGTTCAGTGAGGGGATTTAATTACATATAATCTCCATGGCTTGTGTTAAATTGAACTACTTCTTACCACCTATTTTCTTCAACTAATCACCTCTTGCTCACTCTGTAGAACTAGGTTAAAACTCATAGCTCCTGCAAGAAGCCTTCCCTGGTCTCTCCAATTACCCCCTTTAACATTGGTCTCTCCCAAATTCATTCTAAAGGAGAGGTCCAAGTCTAACAAATTTTCTGGGGAATACCATAAACAGTAGAGGAAATTGGAAGTCCATCTCTGGGGAAAAAAATGAGCTCAAACGTATCTCCAGATGTTTTCATATGTCTATGAGCACAGAAACAGTCTGGCAGGGACAAAAATGACATGGTCTCACTGGCTGCCCATAGTTCTCACCCACTGGCCTGCTTGTGAACACAGCCCAGCCTCCACCCAGGACAGTCTTTTAGAGTCCTGAAGAGACAGGAGAAGGCCACCTTAAGCATTTTTTTTGGTCAGTCCAAATCCTGCCCACCGCTAAGAAGTTCTGACCCAAATATACACATATATCAAAATTATTATTTCATACGGAGATCTGATTATGCCCCAGGCAAAACAGAAACTTATGAGTAGGCATTTTCAGAATGGCAGAGTAAGAACCTCCAAAAAATCTGCTCCTCAAATCAGCAAAGAGAATATTGGCAAAAATTGTTAAAATCAAGTTTTTCAATATTCTGGAAATTACCCAAAAGCTTGCAGCGATCTAAGGAGCATTTATTCAAGAAAACAACTGAATCTTAGCAAGAACACTGATCTTTGTGGCCTTTTAACTTGCCCTATTCACATCCCCCTCTCTTTTGCTCAGTGATAGCCTTGAAAACCAGAAGCCTCGCAATCGCAGTAAGCTGTGAAATCCAGCTGCTGGGACAACTGGATATGCGCCTGGAAAACAAAGCTGGGCTCCTACTTTACACCACATGCCAAACTTACCTGAAAACAAAACAAAGGCATAGGAAAGAAAAATGTAAAACTCCTAGAAAACACAGGTGTAAATCTTCAAAACCTTAGACATTCACATGAATTTTTACAATAAAACAAGTGACTCAGACATTTTGTACCTTGGCCCATAACCATGTGGTCAGTTGGTAGCCATACTCAACATTTATAACCAATATCTCTGAATGCTCACTGATTAAACAATTCCAACAGTACAAGGACTTCTACTACTCTTTTTTTCCAGATAGAGTCTCACTCTGTCACCCAGGCTGGAGTGATCATAGCTCACTGCAGTCTCCACCGCCTCAGCTCAAGCGATCCTCCCACCTCAGCCTCCCGAGTAGCTGGGACCACAGGCATGCACCACCACGCCTGGCTAATTTTTGAATTTTCTGTAGAGACAGGGTTTCACCATGTTGCCCAGGCTGGTCTCCAACTACTGGGCTCAAGCGACCCACCTGCCTTGGCCTCCCAAATTGCTGGGATTACAGGTGTGAGCCACCACACCCAGTCCTAGGACTTCCATTCTTACCTACAGATAGAATAGGTTACCCAGCAAAAACTATTGATGTATATAAAATCTAAAATGTGGCCACATATGGAGACTTTAAAAGTGAACCAGCCTTCTCACTACTATGCTTGACTAGTCTTTTAAAAGAAAAAGGTTCAGGATCAGCCTGGGCAACATGGTTAAACCCTGTCTGTACAAAAAACACAAAAATTAGCTGGGCATGGTGGCAGTCTCCTGTAGTCCCAGCTATTTGGGAGGCTGAGGTGGGAGGATTGTTTGAGCCTGGGAGTTGAGGCTGCAGTGAGCCATGATCTCACTGTTGCACTCCAACTGTCAACACAGTGAGACCCTGTTTCAAAAAAAACTGAACCAGTTTCTGCCAGATTAAAAGAATGAAACTTCCATACATGTCATTGGAAATAACACTGTGTTTTCCTCTCACACAATGAGACAGAGATGAGCAAATGTCTTTTCAATCTCTGATAACTAAGTACTATTACCAAGGAAGATTGAACAGCTAAACGTCTTCACAGTTTCAACACTAACGCTAGCCACGTGTCATATGTTAAACACCTCAAATAAGATATACTGAGGCAAACATTCACATAACCAAAGCAAAGTAGAAATCGTTTTTTATAAACAACTCGAGATAATTGGCTGAAAATGATTAGTGAGAGTTCCTCAAAGGCTCGTCAGCATAGGCAACTACAATATTAAATCTTGTTACTCTGATTTCCGGCAAGATAGCCAAACAGGAAAAGCTCTGGTCTGCAGCTCCCAACAAGACCGAGGCAGAGGGCGGGTGATTTCTCGAGGTCAGGAGATGGAGACCATCCTGGCTAACATGGTGAAACCCTGTCTCTACTAAAACTACAAAAAAAAAAAATTAACTGGGCATGGTGGCAGGCGCCTGTAGTCCCAGCTACTCGGGAGGCTGAAGCAAGAGAATGGCGTCAACCTGGGAGGCGGAACTTACGGTGAGCCGAGATTGCACCACTGCACTCCAGCCTGGGCGACAGAGCGAGACTCCATCTCAAAAAAAAAAAAAAAAAAAAGAAGGCGGGTGATTTCTGCATTTCCAACTGAGGCAAACAGGGTCTGGAGTGGACCTCCAGTAAACTCCAACTGACTTGTTAGAATGAAAACTAACAAAGAAAGGAATTCCATCAACATCAACAGAAAGGACTCCCACACCAAAACCCCATCGGTAGGTCACGAACGTCAAAGACCAAAGGTAGATAAAACCACAAAGATGGGGAGAAACCAGCGCAGAAAGGCTGAAAATTCCAAAAACCAGAACGCCTCTTCTCCTTCAAAGGATCACAACTCCTCACCAGCAGGGAAGAAAACTGGACAGAGAATGAGTTTGACAAACTGACAGAAGTAGGCTTCAGAAGGTGGGTAATAACGAACTCCTCCAAGCTAAAGGAGCATGTTCTAACCCAATGCAAGGAAGCTAAGAACCTTGAAAAAAGGTTAGACGAATTGCTAACTAGAATACCCAGTGTAGAGAAGAATATAAATGACCTGATGGAGCTGAAAAACACAGTATGAGAACTTCGTGAAGCATACACAAGTTTCAATAGCCAAATAAATCAAGAGGAAGAAAGGATATCAGTGATTGAAGATCAACTTAATGAAATAAAGCAAGAAGACAAGATTAGAGAAAAAAGAGTGAAAAGAAAAGAACAAAGCCTCCAAGAAATATGGGACTATGTGAAAAGACCAAATCTACGTTTGATTGGTGTACCTGAAAGTGACGGGGAGAATGGAACGAAGTTGGAAAACACTCTGCAGGATATTATCCAGGAGAACTTCCCCAACCTAGCAAGGCAGGCCAACATTCAAATTCAGGAAATACAGAGAACACCACAGAGATATTCCTCAAGAAGAACCCTAAGACACATAATCATCACATTCACCAAGGTTGAAATGAAGGAAAAAATGTTAAGGGCAGCCAGAGAGAAAGGTCAGGTTACCCACAAAGGGAAGCCCATCAGACTAACAGCAAAACTCTTGCCAGAAACCCTGCAAGCCAGAAGAGAGTGGGGGCCAATATTCAACATTCTTAAAGACAAAAATTTTCAACCCAGAATTTCATATCCAGCCAAACTAAGCTTCATAAGTGAAGGAGAAATAAAAGCCTTTACAGACAAGCAAATGCTGAGAGATTTTGTCACCATCAGGCCTGCCTTACAAGAGCTCCTGAAGGAACCACTAAACATGGAAAGGAACAACCGGTACCAGCCACTGCAAAAACATGACAAATTGTAAGACCATCGACGCTATGAAGAAACTGCATCAACTAACGGGCAAAATAACCAGTTAGCATCATAATGACAGGATAAAATTCACATATAACAATATTAACCTTGAACGTAAATGGGCTACATGCTCAAATTAAAAGACAAGACTGGCAAATTGGATAAAGAGCCAAGACCCATCAGTGTACTGTATTCACGAGACCCATCTAATGTGCAAAGACACACATAGGCTCAAAATAAAGGGATGGAGGAAGATCTACCAAGCAAATGGAAAGCAAAAAAAAGCAGGGGTTGCAATCCTAGTCTCTGATAAAACAGATCTTAAGCAGTAGAGGTCCACTCCAGACCCGGTTTACCTGAGTTGGAAATGCAGAATCACTGGCCTTCTGCATCGATCTCGCTGGGAGCTGCAGACCAGAGCTGTTCCTATTCGGCCATCTTGCTGGAAATCAGAGTAACAAGATTTAATATTGTAGTTGCCTATGCTGACGAGCCTTTGGGGAAGTCTCACTAACTATTTTCAGCCAATTATCTTGAGTTGTTTATAAAAAGATCAAAAGAGACAAAGAAGGCCATTATATAATGGTAAAGGGATCAATGCAACAAGAAGAGCTAACTATCCTAAATATACATGCACCCAATACAGGAGCACCTAGATTCATAAAGCAAGTTCTTAGAGACCTACAAAGAGATTTAGACTCTGACACAATAATAGTGGGAGACTTTAACACCCCCTGTCAATATTAGATCAACGAGACAGAAAATTAACAAGGATATCCAGGACTTGAACTCAGCTCTGGACCAAGCAGGGCTAACAGACATCTACAGAACTCTCCACCCCAAATCAACAGAATATACATTCTTCTCAGCACTACATCACACATATTCTAAGATTGACCACATAGTTGGAAGTAAAACACTCCTCAGCAAATGTAAAAGAACAGAAATCACAACAAACTGTCTCTCAGACTACAGTGCAATCAAATCATAAGTCAGAATTAAGAAACTCACTCAAAACCACACAAATACATGGAAACTAAACAACCTGCTCCTGAATGACTACCAGGTAAATAACAAAATGAAGGCAGAAATAAAGATGTTCTTTGAAACCAATGAGAACAAAGACACAACGTATCAGAATCTCTGGGACACATTTAAAGCAGTGTGTAGAGGGAAATTTATAGCACTAAATGCCCACAAGAGAAAGCAGGAAGATTAAAATCAACACCCTAATATCACAATTAAAAGAACTAGAGAAGCAAGAACAAACAAATTCAAAAGCTAGCAGAAGACAAGAAATAACTAAGATCAGAGCAGAACTGAAGGAGATAGAGACATGAAAACCCCTTCAAAAAAATCAATGAACCCAGGAGCTGGTTTTTTGAAAAGATCAACAGAATACATAGACCACTAGCCAGACTAATAAAGAAGAAAAGAGAAGAATCAAATAGACGAAATAAAAAATGATAAAGGGGATATCACCACCGATCCCACAGAACTACAAACTACCATCAGAGAATACTATAAACACTTCTATGCAAATAAACTAGAAAATCTAGAAGAAATGGATGAATTCCTGCACACATACACCTTCCCAAGACCAAACCAGGAAGAAGTAGAATCTCTGAATAGACCAATAACAGGTTCTGAAATTGAGGCAGTAATTAATAGCCTACCAACCAAAATAAGTTCAGGACCAGACGGATTCACAGCCAAATTCTACCAGAGGTACAAAGAGGACCGGGTACCATTCCTTCTGAAACTATTCCAAACAACAGAAAAAGAGGGAATCCTGCCTAACTCATTTTATGAGGCCAGCATCATCCTGATACAAAAACCTGGCAGAGACACAACAAAAAGAGAATTTCAGACCAATATCCCTGATGAACATCAATGTGAAAATCCTCAATAAAATGCTGGCATACCGAATCCAGCAGCACATCAAAAAGCTTGTCCACTACAATCAAGTCGGCTTCATCCCTGGGATGCAAGGCTGGTTCACCATATGCAAATCAATAAACATAACCCATCACATGAACAGAAAAAACGACAAAAACCACGATTATCTCAATAGATGCAGAAAAGGCCTTTAACAAAATTCAACAGCCCTTCATGCTAAAACCTCTCAATAAACTAGGTATTGATGGAACATATCTCAAAATAATAAGAGCTATTTATGACAAACCCACAGCCAATATCACACTGACTGGGCAAAAACTGGAAGCATTCCCTTTGAAAACCAGCACAAGACAAGGATGCCCTCTCTCACCACTCCTATTCAACATAGTGTTGGAAGTTCTGGCCAGGGCAATTAGGCAGGAGAAGGAAATAAAGGGTATTCAGTTAGGAAAAGAGGAAGTCAAATTGTCCCTGTTTGCAGATGACATGATTGTATATCTAGAAAACCCCATCGTCTCAGCCCCAAATCTCCTTAAGCTGATAAGCAGCTTCAGCAAAGTCTCAGGATACAAAATCAATGTACAAAAATCACAAGCATTCTTATACACCAATAACAGACAGAGAGCCAAATCATGAGTGAACTCCCATTCACAATTGCTTCAAAGAGAATAAAATACCTAGGAATCCAACTTACAAGGGACGTGAAGGACCTCTTCAAGGAGAACTACAAACCACTGCTCAAGGAAATAAAAGAGGATACAAACAAATGGAAGAACATTCCATGCTCATGGGTAGGAAGAATCAATATCGTGAAAATGGCCATACAGCCCAAGGTAATTTATAGATTCAATGCCATCCCCATCAAGCTACCAATGACTTTCTTCACAGAATTGGAAAAAACTACTTCAAAGTTCATATGGAACCAAAAAAGAGCCTGCATTGCCAAGTCAATCCTAAGCCAAAAGAACAAAGCTGGAGGCATCACACTACCTCACTTCAAACTATACTACAAGGCTAAAGTAACCAAAACAGCATGGTACTGGTACCAAAACAGAGATATAGATCAATGGAACAGAACAGAGCCCTCAGAAATAACGCCGCATATCTACAACTATCTGATCTCTGGCAAACCTGAGAAAAACAAGCAATGGGGAAGGGATTCCCTATTTAATAAATGGTGCTGGGAAAACTGGCTAGCCATATGTAGAAAGCTGAAACTGGATCCCTTCCTTACACCTTATACAAAAATTAATTCAAGATGGATTAAAGACTTAAACGTTAGACCTAAAACCATAAAAACCCTAGAAAACCTAGGCATTACCATTCAGGACATAGGCATGGGCAAGAACTTCATGTCTAAAACACCAAAAACAATGGCAACAAAAGCCAAAATTGACAAATGGGATCTAATTTAACTAAAGAGCTTCTGCACAGCAAAAGAAACTACCATCAGAGTGAACAGGCAACCTACAAAACGGGAGAAAATTTTTGCAACCTACTCATCTGACAAAGGGCTAATATCCAGAATGTACAATGAACTCAAACAAATTTACAAGAAAAAAACAAACAACCCCATCAAAAAGTGGGCAAAGGACATGAACAGACACTTCTCAAAAGAAGACATTGATGCAGCCAAAAGACACATGAAAAACTGCTCACCATCACTGGCCATCAGAGAAATGCAAATCAAAACCACAATGAGATACTATCTCACACCAGTTAGAATAGCAATCATTAAAAAGTCAGGAAACAACAGGTGCTGGAGAGGATGTGGAGAAATAGGAACACTTTTACACTGTTGGTGGGACTGTAAACTAGTTCAACCATTGTGGAAGTCAGTGTGGCAATTCCTCAGGGATCTAGAACTAGAAATACCATTTGACCCAGCCATCTCATTACTGGGTATACACCCAAAGGACTATAAATCATGCTGCTATAAAGACACGTGCACACGTATGTTTATTGTGGCATTATTCACAATAGCAAAGACTTGGAACCAACCCAAATGTCCAACAATGATAGACTGGATTAAGAAAATGTGGCACATATACACCATGGAATACTATGCAGCCATAAAAAATGATGAGTTCATGTCCTTTGTAGGGACATGGATGAAATTGGAAATCATCATTCTCAGTAAACTATTGCAAGGACAAAAAATCAAACACCGCATGTTCTCACTCATAGGTGGGAATTGAACAATGAGAACACATGGACACAGGAAGGGGAACATCACACTCTGGGGACTGTTGTAGGGTGGGAGGAGGGGGGAGGGATAGCATTAGGAGATATACCTAATGCTAAATGACGAGTTAATGGGTGCAGCACACCAGCATGGCACATGTATACATATGTAACAAACCCGCACGTTGTGCACATGTACCCTGAAACTTAAAGTATAATAATAATAAAAAGAAAATGTGGCACATATACACCGTGGAATACTATGCAGCCATAAAAAAGGATGAGTTCATGTCCTTTGTAGAGACATGGATGAAGCTGGAAATCATCATTCTCAGCAAACTATCACAAGGACAAAAAACCAAACACTGCATGTTCTCACTCATAGGTGGGAACTGAACATTGAGAACACTTGGACACAGGAAGGGGAACATCACACACAGGGGCCTGTCATGGGGTAGGAGGACGGGGGAGGGATAGCATTAGGAGAAATACCTAATGTAAATGATGAGCTGATAGGTGCAGCAAACCAACATGTCACATGTATACCTATGTAACAAACCTGCACGTTGTGCACATGTACCCCAGTACTTAAAGTATAATAACAAAAAAGAAAAAAAAATCTTGTTACTCACTGAATAGTTGGCCACTGTTAATATTATTACTACTTTTTACTTACAAAAAACTCCACACACTTCTGTTAGTTTTAATCAAGATGTTCAGTTAAAAAATAAATAGTTCAAGATCTTATTTTAAAAGGAGGCACAATTATCTATAGATTTTTCATTTATCCACAGCAGTTTCATTTAGCATAATGGATAAATTATCTTCCCATTTTCCCCTCTACTGTCCACTTCTGTCCACTCTGAAGTCTCTGGGATCAAAAAGCCCCTCATCAGCAGCAAAGCAAAATGCTTTGTGTACCAGCCTGTTTCTTCTCTACCAACTATTTGCCTTCCTTGCTCCTTTTACTTCAATCCTTTTATGTTAACCAAACTCCCCACCTCTGTTTGAATTACTATTGCTTCGTAATAAACCAATCCAAATTTAGTGGCATTAAACAACCATTTTACTTTGTTCTAGGATTCTGTGGTTTAAGAATTGAGACATCATGGAGCAGAGATAGCTTGTTTCTACTTCATAATGTCTGGGGCCTCACCTGGGAAAACCAGAAGGCTGGGGGCCGTAATCCTTTAGGAGTTTTCATTTACAGGCTACTGGTAAATGTTGGCTATTAGCTGGAACCTCGGCTAGGGCTGTTGATCAGAGGACCTATAGGTGGCCTTACCATAGGCCTGGGCCTTCTAACAGTATGGCAGCCTCAGGGTAATCAGACTTTGTACATGGCAGCTCAGGGCTCTAAAGGTGAATGTCACTGCAGGTGAGCCAGAAGCTACACTGCCTCTCATAACCTAGCCTCAGAAGTCACAGTTTCACTGCCCCCTATTCTATTGGTTAATATAATCAAAGTTGGCCCAGATTCAAAGGAGAGGAGACATTTGACCCTACTTCTCAATGGAAGGGTGGCAAGGTCACATTACAGAAGAGAGTGTGGGATGACAGGTACTACGGTGGCCATCTCTGAAAAATACAATCTGCCACTTTCTCCCATGTACTTCTCCTGCTTAAGTATACTTTGATCTGATTTTTTAGGGAAAAACCACCTCAGGAGACTAATATTTTAACTGAGGCTCCTAAGCTCTGTTAGATAGTAACCAGAGGGCTGGGCACAGTGGCTCATTCCTGTAATCTCAATACTTTGGGAGTCCGAGGCGGGAGGATCACTTGAGGTCAGGAGTTCGAGACCAGCCTGGCCAAGATGGCAAAACTCCATCTTCATTAAAAATACAAAAATTAGCCAGGTGTAGTGGCACACACCTGTAGTCCCAGCTACTTGGGAGGCTGAGGCAGGAGGATCACTTGAACCCAGGAGGCGGAGGCTGCAGTGAGCTGAGATCGCACCACTGCACTCCAGTCTGGGTGACAGAGCAAGACTCTGTCTCAAAAAAGAAAAAAAAAAAAAAAAGAAGGTAACCAAATGCTTTCATCCACATCCAGCCCCAAGCTTTCCTGTTCAGCATATCTGACTATTTATCTGCTATAAATGGCCAGGAAATCTGGCCTCCAATAAGCTGCTGGACCCAGTGCTGATCACTCTGGAGGAAAAAAAGCAACCACTGACATGTGGCAACTGGCTTGGCACTCACAGCTGGGCCTTGGTGTTCTCCCGATGAACATAACAATTTCATAAACTGCCACTATCAGACAAGGCCAATATGTGACCACAGTGACCAATAAAAAAGCAAGACCACCTCATAACTGTATCTGAAGAAACAAAACATGAACTTTGACTAAGCCATAAAAATGACCAAACACTCTGCTATCCTTGCTAACAGTGACCGGTGCTACTTTACCAATTAGCCTCCTTCTGGATAAGAGTCATTAAGATACACAATCACAGAATTATTCCCATTTCCTAACAGAGTCCAATCCAGGGCAAAGCCTCACTTCTTTAAATCTTCCCCAAATTCACCTAACACAGATTCAAATCCCGTAATAAGTCCTTTCTGACACCCTCCAACAGAGAAGCACCACAGCGCCCATGGTGTGCGCTCTCCCTCCATGTAATGCACTGAGCAATCAACCCAACCTGTTCAACCACAGGTGTGTTCCTGGTGGTCTTGGGCTAGAGGGCAGTGACGACTCCTCTAAGGACCTCGCATAAGAAAACTCGTTCCTAGCAGAGGTCACTTCCCATCCCCTGAATTCTAGCTTTCAGTCAGACTTTCGATTTGGCTCTTTTACACTGCAGTTTTGGCAGACAATTATATAAATCCTTAGACTGCCAGAAGCTATTAAAATGCCCCTAAAGTTATATATATATATCTTAAATATATGTGTATATGAGATCTGGTCCCCCAGGTTTCCTCCTTATCACCTTATCAAGTGCAGAAAGGTTATTCCAATAACAATGGCAACAGCTGCCCTGTCCCCAGCACAGTCACAGGACCTAAAGGAAATCTGGCTTCACACACAGGGTGCTTAAGCCTCTGCTTTGGGAAAAGCAATAGGTAGGCATAGGACATCTCAGTTGCAGATCCCAGATTCACAATCCTATTTCTGCCACCTCCTCCTCCTCCTCCTAGTGTGTTCTTCATTTTTCTCCTAATCTTATTTTGCAAAGCAAAAACGTGACATTATCATTACCCTTTTCCTCCTCTCCTTTACAGTTCTCACTCACTTGATGCAAGGACTCTTACCCTCAGAAAAACCATTCCAAAGAAAAAACCGACCTCCATAACCTAGTAGTTCAGTGCCAGACCAGAATCCCCACCCCACTTCAGGTCAGAGACACATATTGATTTAAAGTTTAGTTTAAGGAATCAGCTGTAGCACACAGAAAATATGGACTGGGAACAATCCCATCTGAACTTGAATTCTGGAGTAATCGCGTTTGCTGCTTTGACACCCATAGCCCAAAATTCTCCTTCACAACCATCTGTCCACTCTCAGGGTCCCTGAGATACTGAATGTTCATGCAACAAAATTAAATCATTACTACTCAGGCATCATTTAGGAAATGGAGCTACAGAGTTCAAACTTACATAAGTTTGTTTTATCTCCTCACATTTCACGGAAAATAACACTACCTGTAAGACTAGGTGTGGATTTAGACAGATGAGGACTACTGTGGAGGTGCAGGGTAAGTGCACAAGCATTAAGTGAGAGGCTCACCAATCACGTGCAAAAGTTGATTAATTTTCAGGAGTCATATGTGGTTGTCTCGCTGACTCCTTTGGAATATGGACATGATAGAGAACAGATTTCTTTTCTGTTTTTTTTGTTTCGTGTTGTTTTTTATTATACTTTAAGTTTTAGGGTACATGTGCACAACGTGCAGGTTTGTTACATATGTATACATGTGCCATGTTGGTGTGCTGCACCCATTAACTCGTCATTTAGCATTAGGTATATCTCCTAATGCTATCCCTCCCCCCTCCCCCCACCCCATGACAGGCTCTGGTGTGTGATGTTCCCCTTCCTGTGTCCATATGTTCTCAATGTTCAATTCCCACCTGTGAGTGAGAACATGCGGTGTTTGGTTTTTTGTCCTTGCAATAGTTTGCTGAGAATGATGGTTTCCAGCTTCATCCATGTCCCTACAAAGGACATGAACTCATCATTTTTTATGGCTGCATAGTATTCCATGGTGTATATGTGCCACATTTTCTTGGTTCGCTCTTGCCGCCCAGGCTGGAGTACAATGGCGCGATCTCGGCTCACTGCAACCTCTGCCTCCCAGGTTCAAGCGATTCTCCTGCCTCAGCCTCCTGAGTACCTGGGATTACAGGCACCTGCCACCACGTCCAGCTAATTTTTGTATTTTTAGTAGAGACAGGGTTTCACCATGTTGACCAGGCTGGTCTTGAACTCCTGACCTCAGGTGATCCACCTGCCTCGGCCTCCTAAAGTGCTGGGATTACAGGCGTGAGCCACCGCGCCCAGCCTGAGAACAGATTTCTGAAACATCCAAGGCACTGGCCATTCTAGCACCTTGCTGGCCCCTACAAAGACTCACAATAGACTCAGGCCAGTTTGTATGGACTTTTTGGTTGTCTTTTTATGTGTGTCTGAGTGTTTGGTTTGGGGTTTCATTTATTTTGTTTTGTAACTGGCCTAGCGAGATTTGGGATGAAGCATTGACAAGAGTCTAGAATGATTAGTGAAATTTCTGAAAATGTGTCCTAGCCTTTTTCAGGGTCATGGGAGGGGGTTTGAACGGGAGGTATAACTGTGGACTGCCACCCTCCAGGAGTCTGTTTAGGGCCACCCCCTAAAGGAAGGCTTCAAATTAAGCTGTAACAAAATGAGATTTCTGATTCTGTGTTCTAGAGTAAATAAAATGATTTCAGTCACACCTTGCATAGCAACAGGAATATATTCTGAGAAATCCATCGTTAGGCAATTTCATTGTGAGAACATCATAGACTGTACTTACACAAACCTAGAGTGTGTGTATATATATATATATATTTTTTTTTTCTCATATGGAAAACAAAATGTTCCAGTACCAATAATGAACATCAATCATTACCGCAACTGATCTGCAATGCCAATATCAAGTGCTGTATATCAGGTTTCTATATATGCTCCATTATAATCTTCTGGGACTACCATAATATATGTGGTCCATCGTTGACCAAAATGCCACTATGCAGTGAATAACTGTATTTCTTCTAAAGGGAGAGTTTTATTGGTGGGGGTGGAACTACCTACCAATTCTGACTTCTTATACTAATCTTTGTCTGTCAATTAGCTTGTCACATTGTCTTTTTAATTTTTAACCTCAAACATAATTTATTACCAGAAATTAGGAACACTTCATTTTTCGTTGTTGATACAGTGGAGGTGTGAACTCCACTGTAAACAACTACTTGAATATATAAAAATCAGCAAGGGATTTGAATAGAAAACTGCTACTTTGTGTTTTTAAACAATTTATGGTATAAGTCACTGTGACAAGTACAATGGAGAAAAACAATTTGCTTTGTTTAGTTCAGGAAGATGACCTTTGCTCGACCATCCAAAACATACAAACAACAAAAACACATCCATTTTATTAAAGACTTAAATATATGACCTGAGACCATAACACTACAAGAAGAAAACCTAGGGAAGAAACTACAGGACACTGGTCTGGGCAATGAATTTTGGGGTTTGACCCCAAAAGCTCAAATAACAAAAGCAAAACTAGACAAATGGAATTACATCGAACTAAAATGTTTCCGCACAGCAAAGAAAACAATTAACAGAGGGGAGAGACAGCCTACAGATTGGGAGAAAATATTTGCAAGCCCTACTTCTAATAAGGTGTTAATGTCCAAAATATATAAGGGACTCAAATGACTAAGTAGCAAAAAGACAACCTGATTAACAAATGGACAAAGGACCCGAATAGACATTTCTCAAATGAAGACACACAAATGGCCAACAGGCATAAGAAAAAATGCTCAACATCACTAATCGCTAGGGACATGCAAATTAAAATCACAATGATATATTATCTCACACCTTCCAGAATGGCTATTATCAAAAAGGTGAAAGATAACAGGCCAGGATATGGAGAAAAGGCAACCCTATACATTGTTGGTGGGAATATAAATTAGTACAGCCATTATGGAAAACTGTATGGAGGTTCCTCAAAAAACTAAAAATAGAATTACTATATGATCCAGCAATCCCACTTCTGGGTATATATCCAAAGAATTTGAAATCAGTATGTCGAAGAGATATCTGTACTCTTATGTTCATTGCAGGATTTATCACAATAGCCAAGTTATGGGATCAACCTAAGTGTCCATCAGTGGATGAACAGATAAAGCAAATGTGCTATACATACACAATGAAATATTATTCAGTCTTCAAAAATCAGGAAAATCTGTCCATTGATGAGCCTGGAGAACATTATGCTAAGTGAAATAAGCCAGGCACAGAAAGACAAATACTTCATGTTCTCACTTGTATGTGGAATCTAAAACAATGGAACCCACAAACACAGAGAATAGAATGGTGGTGATATTTCAAAATTTCATATTCCAAAAGAGCTAAGAGTACATTTCAAATGTTAGCACCACAAAAAAACTATTAAATTCCATGTTGAGTCATTTTTGTGTAAAAAAAGATAAAATTTTAGGTGATGAATATGTTATTTACCTTGATTTAATCATTCTACATTGTATATATATAAAATACCACTTTGAACTCTATAAATGTATACAATTTGTAAATATACAATAAAATTATACAAATATAAAAATAAAAAGATTTTCTAAGCAGTGTCAAATAAGTCCATTTTATTTCATATCTACTGTGTCTGAATTCAGACATGCCTGACGTTTAGGAGTGTGCCTAGCCTTCCCTAGGGGAGATATTCTTTTTTTTTTTTTGAGACAGAGTCTCACTCTGTTGCCCAGGCTGGAGTGCAGTGGCGCAATCTTGGCTCACTGCAACCTCTGCCTCCCGGGTTCTAAGAGATTCCAGGAGATATTCTTTCCAATTTATTGTCAGCTCCGTTTAGACCTATAGTTCTCCAAGTATGGCCCCATGTCCAGGAGTATCAGCATCTCCTGGGAACTAGTTAGAAATGTAAATTCGGGGGTCCACTCCTGACCAACTGTAGGGGCAACTCTGTGGATGGGACCTAGCAATCTTGGTTTTAAGAAACGCTCCATCTGATTCTGATTCACAGGAAAGTTTGAGAGCCACTGACTTAGACTGCTATACTGTTGTTTCTCTGGTAAACAAAGAGGCTTCTTTTCTTGTTCAGAGAAATATTGCTTAGGATTTCTGGTGGGTGCACAATTCCCTGCTGTGAACCGAGTTTGCTGGAAAACCAAGTAACTAGCACCTCCATCGTAGTCCTACCCAGAGCTTGCAGGCTTTGCACTCACGTAAGACTGATTCTTCCAGAGGCGCCTGGAAGTCCCATTGTGATGGGCAAATGCTCTTACCAGAAATAAACTAGTTGTGGGGACCGGGCGCGGTGGCTCATGCCTGTAATACCAGCACTTTGGGAGGCCGAGGCAGGCGGATCACTTGAGGTCAGGAGTTCGAGGCCAACCTGGCCAACATGGTAAAACCCCGTCTCTACTAAAAATATAAAAATATAAAAATTAGCCGGGAGTGGTGGTGGGTGCCTCTAATCCCAGCAACCCGGGAGGCTGAGGCAGGAGAATCACTTGAACCCGGCAGACGGAGGTTGCAGTGAGCGGAGATCACGCCACTGCATTCCAGCCTGGGCGACAGAAGTAGAGAGACTCCTTATCAAAAAAAAAAAAAAGAAAGAAAGAAAGAAAAAAAAAAAGAAATACACTAATTTTGGGCCTTAAATGCTACTCAGTTCTCCAGTTCACCTCAACAGGGAGGGAAGGTGCTTGGAGGAAAATTGCACTTCGTTTTTGCCCTGCTTATTTTGTCTTCAAAATATATGTTAAATCACCGCATCAAAGAGCCGTCCCAGATCTCAACTCCCAGATGAGTTCGGTGGCACCCAATAGATTTTCATAACACAGGATCTATCTCTGTCTCCTTGTATTGTAATAGCCTGTCTCCAAATGCAGATAGCAACCGGCAGGCTGTAAATGTCGAGGAAAAAGCCTAATTCCTTTCCTCATCCGGAGCCTCTAGTGCAGTACCCAGCACAGAGCAGGTACTTGGTATTTTGGTAAGGGAAATCAATCAACGCATCAATAGCAGAATCTGAAACCAGGGACCTAGATCTTTCCAATAAAATCATCCTGCTGAGATGTGACTCAGATGTACTGGTGCCCAGCAGACAACACGTTTTCGCCCTGATTTTATCCTCCATTCATCCGTCCGCCCCCTCCCCCATAGACCCCGCCTGTCCCCAGCTAAAAATAATGAGGGGATTCACACATCTCAGTGTCAACACACACAACACAGTTGACACGCCCCTTAATCCTACAGCTACGCCATCAATTCTCGCCGCCGGGTCCGTCCGCTTGTCAGTTTCCCCTACTCCTCATCCCCTCGCAACTTCTGATCCCCTATCACTTCCGTTCCCGTTTGCCTGCTAGGCTGGAAGCAGGATGTGTCTACGCCCTCAGCCCATAAGAAGTGCTACAAACCTCCGCCTCGCTCGCTGTCATGGCGGCGACCGACGGCCCCTTTCCTGTGGCCTCAGAAAGCAGCGACAGTCGCAGTCACCGGACCTTCGCCCATCCGCCGCCCTCACTTAAGCGACGCACAACGGAGCTCCCACAATCCTCTTTGCTTCCGCTCTCTTTATTTCCGCCTCCCCCGCCCCCGCCTCGACATTAACCGTTTCGCGACTACGTCAGTTGGCCGGTCTGTTTGGGAGAGCCAGGCGACTAATCTGGTATAGAGACCGAAAAACACAGGTAAAAAGACCTAAAAGACTTAGTCATCTATTGGAACATTTCCCCAGTTTGTTTGTAAGTTGGCTTGCAAGCTTATCAGTCATTCTCAAACAGGAGCTTAACTTACTTAGGTGAACAGTTCATGATGACGCCTTTAAGCTGCTAGACCAACCCAAACTCCGAATTTGCAGTTTCTGACCTTTCACCTTGAACCTGTGCCCTTTCTACCCTCTATTCTCCATCTCCTTTTGGTTCTTGTCTGACTCTTTAGCTGCATATGTAAAGAGCACAGACTTTGAAACCTGAGCTCCCGCGTTCGAATCCCCACTGTACCACTATCTAAACATGGCATCTTGGGCAAGTGATTCAAGCATGCTATTCCTTGGCTTTTTCATCTGTAGAATTGGTATAATAATAGTACTTACCTCCAGAGTTGCAGTAAAAATATTAAAATTTCACATGTGAGGAGCACCTAGAACATTGCCTATCATGAAGTTAAGCAGTATATTGAAATATAAATTATAATGATTGAATTTGATCTCACCTAAGACCTCTGGCTAATAAATAATAAATGATAATAATCATTTCACCTGGGATAGAGGGGATTGCCCTGTTCTCTCCAGGCTGAGGCTGTAATACCTGATTCTAGGGACTGCTGATATGGAAATTACTACCACTCTGGCTGGAGTCAGAAGAGTATATTAAAGAGTCTCTTTGTACTGTCCTAAAATAAGCAAAATCCAACGTTTGCAGTTCTATGGACCACGCACTATGATAAGTGCTTTAAACCCATTTTGTTGTTATTGCTTCATCCTCACAATAGCCCTTTGCTGGTTCTTAAGTGTATTACCCTTTCCTGTCCTCTTTGTCTGCTTAAAGCAGCTAAGAAAACTCAGATTAGTCAGATTGCATATAAATCAATAACTTGCCCACGGTCACAGAGCTAATAACAAATAGAGCCAAGACTTAAACTCAGATACATTCAGATGTGTCTTGGTATTTCTCAAATATCACTGAGAAAAAGGCCACCATAAATTCTTTTCAAGTGCTCTCTCTCCCCCAACTCCCCACCCCAAGAATTGCCTGAATGCCCATACAGAAAGACTAGGTTCTCTTCAGAAGCAGAAGGGCAGAACCCACTAAGGCAAAGATCTCTCCCTTGAAGGCTGGCAGCCAAGGAGGTGACTATAGTAGGAATTGGCATAACCAGCTCACTCATTGCCCTCCACTGTGCCACACAGGCCCCATTACTTCCTATAGTACTGAAGACCACTGGGGATAAAGGTACAGGGCCTTCACCTCATCCCACCGTTCTGTAAAGCTTGGATATTAGCAAAGATCTTGCTTATTTTAGGACAGTACAATGAGACTCTTTAATATACTCATCTGACTCCACCCAGAGTGGTAGTAGTAATTTCCATATCAGCAGTCCCTAGAGTCAGGAATTACTGCCTCAGCCTGGAGAGAACAAACCAATCCCCTCTGTCCCAGGTTAAAACAAAACAGGAATTCCCTCTGTTCCTTCAGAATGTACGGTACCCAGGATGTTGTTATTCTTGCTCCACACCTACCCACTCTCACTTCCCAACTTATCATCAGGCAGTCCACAATGGTTTTTTCAGGGGAAGGATTGGTGATGGTGAAGGGACTGAAGGAGAAGGTAAATCACCAGGTTTGCTGAAGGTAAATGAAGCACTGCCTTGTCCCTACCTCTGTACCTCTTTTGTAGCTCCCTGACCTTCTTTCTCATTTGGCATTTCAGAACCCATCACTCCACACCTAGGAAACCCTCTTGGGTTTGAATTGCAGACAAATCATCTTGTCTTTTATTTTTTCCCCCAACACCCAACGATAGCACACATGTCTGGGCTTGGCCAAATTTAAAAACAAAAATAACAGAGGTAGCACGGAAAGACTTTTTACTTAATTTTCTCCATTATTTCTAGCTGTCAAACTATTAGAAAGTGTCAGTGTAAGGGGTAGAGCTGTGAGAAGTCGAGTTTCAGAGGCGAGGAAAGAGAAAAATCCTGATGCAAAGCAAAAGTGTTGGCAGAGGAAAGACGAGCCAACAAGAGTGTCTCTAGGGCCGGTAGAAATAAACAAATGGTGGAGATTGGTGAGTGGGTTTCATACACAAAGAAACCTTTCCCTTTTAGCTCCTTTCACCCTACACACCATATCCCCATTCCAGAGACTTCATCTGCCTTAAATTCTCCTAACCAACCCAGTTCTTTCCTTGCTGGGCATCTTGCCCTAATGGCAGAATTCACCACCAGCTGCTACTGCTAAGCAAACTGGGTAGTTGAGGGGAGAGGATGTTCGTAAACCCAATGTTAGAAAGGGAGATGTGTTCCTAGCATCCTTAGTCGTACTCATAGCATATTTTTAGAAGCAATGCTCTACGTACATAATTTAAGTGTTCAGGTTCTGCAGTGCTTTCTTCAGTATGTTTCAGTTATTTGTTTCTTCAGAGCTGTTCTGGGGTCCTAACATATATATGACAGTGTTTCTATACCATAGTGTTTTACACAGCTGGTGACCAGTTCAGGCCCCCTTTACAAGGCAGATAGATCCATCCCCCAGCTGCTGTGGGTATTAGCTGATGAATACAGCTGCTTCCTTCTCTGCAGAATTGCACTCTGCAGAAGAGGTTCATTGCCTGGGAGATTTCTGTTTAATAACCCCAACCCCTACACACACAACCCTGCAGCCAAAAGCAATGACTAACTGATGATGAG
The DNA here is from genome assembly GCF_000001405.40 of Homo sapiens. Taxonomy (NCBI): domain Eukaryota; kingdom Metazoa; phylum Chordata; class Mammalia; order Primates; family Hominidae; genus Homo; species Homo sapiens. Next base: position 104,159,868 of record NC_000023.11, read on the forward strand.
AGTACAAGGGTACCTTGCCTCAAGGTTGACCAATTCTGTGGTGTAAATCCTACTCCAGAGCTCCTCCTGGGATTAGGCTAGAGCTTGTTTCCAGCGAGCTTAGGTTTTTTCCTCCAGCCATATCCTGCTTCTCTCACTCCGCTGCTGCTGAGAGCACTCGCTCTAAATCACTGGCCCAAGAATCATGCCCCACCTTAGGCTCTGCTTCTAGGGAACCCTAATACTCATCATGCTCAGCTCATGTTTGTCAGAGGATCATGTAAAGAAGTCCCTCTGTAGGCCCTCTGTTGTAGGCAGAGCCATCGTACCCATCTCTGGGGAAGTCAGGAGTGAGTTAAGATGTAACTGGATAAGACCTCTTAAGTCAAACTTGAACATCTGTCCTAACTCAGATTAAAATGAGATCTGGCCTATTCCTGAAATCTACTGTCTTGGTGACACCAGCAGACTACATTCTATCAAATTAGAAATGAAGATATATCTGTTTGTGCTTCATTGTGGAAAAATTATGTTTTTATTAAAAAGAGTTATGTGGCATTTGTTAAAATTTTAGTTAAGTCACAATTATTTTGTGATAGACACTGCTATAATAGCATGAATCTTAAATTTATCAGCTGTTGGTTGCTATATGTTTGTTGAGTGTAAACTCTGTGTTGTCAAAGATGATCAAAGAATGAGCCCAAGGTTAGATACCTGATAAGCATGCTCCGATTAGTCTAGAAGTGTTAAAAGAAAAAGAAACAACAACAGACCGGATTACCAGCTTGCAAATAATAAAAACATATCCTAATTTAATAATTCTTCTATGATTCAGAAGACATATTGGATCATCTTTACAAACTTCAATCATAATATTGTAAAAATGTACAAGTACTAGTTAAGAGTAATGTTCAGATTGAAAAAAATGTTCAGGTTGAAAATGACCAGATTGTTGAAATATATATTTGCAAGGATGAAAATTTCAAAACATCTAGCATCTCCTCCAAAGTATATATCCTATTATTTACATAGTAAATAATGTATAGTCACTGATTCTAATCTCACTTGACTAAATCCATTCCTCTAGCTACAATAAAAGAACCAAGATAATAATTTTCTTTAGGATTACCTATTTCTGAATATATTTTAATACATTCCTTTTGCTATGACCTCTTGTAATTGGTTCCTTTTATTATTTTTATTTACATGTATTATATATCATAATTTATTTTAATTCCTTTTTTGCTGTTTAGCAAAATATATGATCATCTTCCTCTCCAAAAAAATCAGATTATGGAGGGTCTTTTAAGTGGTTACTTTTGGTAACTAAAACAAACATTTTCTTAAGAAAATATCATTAAACCAAAAATTCATACTGATCTGAGAAATGTTGGTTGTTTCTGAAAAGCCCTTTCTACATTAGTCAAATAAATTACAATATTTGTAAGTCTCATGGAGTATTTTAGTTGTGTACAAGATTTTCATTAAAGCATAGGAAAGAATATCATAGCTACTTGCTTAACACACATATACATCAAAGAGGAGATATGACTTTCCTAACTTATCTGTAACAATGGCTAAACAAAGGTTTGGTAAGAGCAATTGAAGAATGGTGAATTACCCCATTCATTAAAATTTTTAAAGTACTTAAACATTAGACTGGATAGAATTTTACGGGGGAACAATATATCTTATGTTCTTTTTAAAAAGAAGAAGAAAGAGGCTGGGCGTGGTGGCTCACCCCTGTACAATTTGGGAGGCCGAGGTGGGCGGATCACGAGGTTAGGAGTTTGAGACCAGTCTGAACAACATGGTGAAACCTCATTTCTACTAAAAATACAAAAATTAGCCGGGCGTGGTGGTTCATGCCTATAATCCCAGCTACTCAGGAGGCTGAGGCAGGAGAATCACTTGAACCTGGGAGGTGGAGGTTGCAGTGAGCCAAGATAGTGCCACTGCACTCCAGCCTGGGTAACAGAGCGTGACTCTGTCTAAAAACCAAAAAAAAAAGAAGAAGAAGAAAATTATATGAGGACAAATATAAAAATGTTATAATCGTCCCCTTGGTTGGTATTTCTCAAAAATTTTTTTGCCATCAACCCTTAAGGGTGTGAACAAAAGTTCTCTGAAAAGGAATTTGGAGGAAAGAGACTATATTCCACTGAACAGTATGCAAACAGGCTTAAAATGAAGGTGTGTTCCAGACAACAAAAGAGGGTTTAGGTTTAATTGCAAAAGTTCACACCCAGGTTCCCAATCACATCCATTTATGCAAATGAAGGATACAAACTTGCTTAGTTCTGATTGGTGGAAGCAGCTGAGCCCCAATTGGTTGATGTGGCTGAGCTCTGATTGGTTGATACAGCTGAGTTCTAAAAGTCCCAAAGTTAAAAAGGTGGAGGTTTTTTGGGAACTCAGAGTGGGTGTATGACCTCTAGTCAGCACATGGCTGTTTGGCTCTCTATTTTAAATTTAGGCCATTAGCATTTGCGGATTCATCTTGAAGGATTGGCTCTTTGAGGTTCACATTTGTTCACAAGGGTTTCTATGATTGTATATGATTGATATCACACCATTTATTATCAAAAACGTTTTCTAAGTCTATCTTTCAAAATTCACCAGTTTCACCACAGAAACGATCCATAATTTCAGGGTTACAATGTTTCATCTAAAATGTCCATCTTTTGTTGGCCTACTCTTCTAAAAGCCCAGGCCAAATGTCACTCACTGTAAAAACCTCACTAATCTTCTTTCTCCCAAGCCAAATTCATCCTTTCCTTAAATGTCCACTGATCTTTGACAAAGGAGCAAGGGCAATATAATGGAGGAAAGATAGTCTTTTCAATAAGTAATGTAGGAACGTCTGGACATCCACGTACAAAAAGAATGGATCTAATTCTTACATCTTTCACAGAACTTCCTGAAAGACCTACCACCTCTTCAATGGAAAGCATCAACAGTTTGCACCCTACAATTCTCTGAATTCCTCACCTCAAAATCCTCATCTTGCTGCTTTCACCAATCCTGGATTGTTGTAAAATGATGCTTGCCCAGTCTTAATCAAGACCCCACATTGAAATATCCACCTTAAATCAAACTTCCAATTCTTAATAAATTCTGCCCAGACATTTCCCTCTGAAACATTGCCAAAGCTTTGTGCAAGTTGAGGTTTTCCTTGCCAAAATACGTAAGAAATTCAAGCTTTGTTTTATCAGCAGGTTTTGTTGGTGATATTTGACTCAGCTAAATACACACACACACACACACACACACACACACACACACACACACACTTCGAGCTCATCAATCACATGAAAAAATTATAAGGGTTAGATCACCAGTTATTGGGTTAAGTCCAGTATATTTCTATCCAATGGTAAACAAAATGATAAAAGTTAATTGACAATTCTCGATACCACTCAGTCTCTCCTGCAGCCATCAGCTCTCTGGTAGGTAAATTATGCATCTGAAGACTTTAAGGCAGATTACCCCAGGGTTTGCTCTCAGGCTCAGATCTTCAGAGAAAATAAGGAACTACTATACCCACCCACATTTTCAGAGAAACAGAAATTAGGAAGGATCTTGGAGAATGGAAGGGAGAGATGAATTGGGTAAATCCATTGAGGTGAAGTACACCCAAGGGACAAACCAAATCGAAGTGAGACAAGAAGGCAGGATGCCCAACAGTCATCAACTCCAGTGATTAAGAACTTGGTTAAGATGTATTAATACATTATTACCATATATTTAAGTAAACATTATACATACAGTGCACCAACTCTATGTACTGCTATCCGTGTCTATGTCAGTATTTCTCACTGAGAAATATATGGAGGGACCTCTTTTTTTTTTTTTTTTTTTCCTGAGACGGAGTCTTGCTCTGTTGCCCAGACTTACTGCAACCTCCACCTGCCAGGTTCAAGCGACTCTCCTGTCTCAGCCTCCAAAGTAGCTGGGACTACAGGTGTGCACCACCACGCCCAGCTAATTTTTGTATTTTTAGTAGAGATGGTGTTACACCATATTGGCCAGGCTGGTCTTGAACTCCTGACCTCAGGTGATCTGCCTGCCTCGGCCTCCCAAAGTGCTGGGATTACAGGCATAAGCCACCGTGCCTCGCCTGGGACCTCTTTTTTTTTAAAAAAAATTCTCTCACACCCAAACATTTCTGTAAATTCTTTTTATAATATTTCTTAAATGTAAACAAACATTAAATTCTACATGTTCATAAAGCTCTTGTACAAATGTAACACCAAAGCAAATTTACAAATTGTGCACAAACTTTTTTACAAAGTCAGTGTAATGTGGTATATATGATGAAACAAAACTGCCCTAGAAACGTGAACATACTACTGACTGGCAAGCATATGCTCTTGGCCTTCGGCTTGTAAGTATGTCTTGGGGTTGACTCCACTTTCCCATCACTTTATTCTCTTCAGACTACTGCAACCCTTCATTTGTTTAGGAAGATGCCAAGTATGAGGTGCACCTCATTTGTCTTCTCACAGGATCATGACAATTAAAGTAGTATTATCTTATGCTAATTCATTGTGAAAATAAACTCAAATACATGTCCTAATCATGTGGCAGCAGTTAGTTATCATGTGGTCATACAGATACTTCAGAATATGCTTAAACACAAAAGTAAAACACATACTTGTAGAAACCTCACAGACTCTCTCATTAGACTCCGCTTTAAAAAAACACCCACCTCTTATAGTATGTGTAAAAGGTATATATATTTAAATTAGACCACCAGGCACAGTAGCTCCACCTGTAATCCCAGCACTTTAGGAGACTGAGTTGGGTCAATCACTTGAGGTCAGGAGTTCGAAACCAGCCTGGCAAACATGGCAAAACCCGTCTCTACTAAAAATACAAAAAATAGCCAGGTGTCGTGGCACATGCCTGTAATCCCAGCTACTCAGGAGGCTGAGGCAGGAGAATAGCTTGAACCCGGGAGGTGGGGGTTGCAGTTAGCCAAGATCGCCCCAATACACTCTAGCCTGAGCGACAGAGCAAGACTCTGTCTCAAAAAAATATAAAATAAAATAAAATAAAATAGACTATTTCGTTAGCTTCTTATTAACAGTTCCTGGTGCTATTACCTGAGTGCCTGCATTATCATGCAGCACTTGACTCTTGTTTCATTTGGATAATCAAGTCTCTTGTTTTTGGGGACTAAGCCATGGCCCATTCAGCCTCACTGGCCTCAGACCCCTGGGGATTGGTGCATTAGGGACCATAGAACAAACCATCATCAGCCTCACTTCCACAAGTTTTAAATTGGTCAGCCTCATTAGATATTAATGAATGATTCATTTTGAAAGCCACATACACAATGCAACACACCTTCTTGCAATCTCAATGAAAGAAAGCCGGCATGCTCAACAGTCAAACAACCAAGTAACTGAAGCAAGATAATGTATACATTTTAAAGGCACGTTGGAGAAGCTGTTTTCACTATAAGTTGCATTGGTAGGGCAAGGCACAGAGTTTAATACTGAATGGGGCTTGTTTTAGTGACAACCCCCCACTTCTCCTGCCCTCTTTCTCTTCTTCCTCCTGCCTTCTTTCATTTTTCCCCTCCTTTCCGCCTATTTAAGTTCTATGCTTTCCTGAAGGATCAATGTAGTTTCTTCATAAATATAGTTAATGCAAAGAATTGCTTTTATTGAAGAATTATGCTCTTATATGAAAATGTGCTTCCTTTTATAAAATAATATTAGGTAGTTTTAAAAATTGTCTTCTTTGGGCAAAGTAAGAAATTAGTAATCTTGGGGTTTCCTCTATTTTTTTTTAATCTTACGCATCCAAGAACAGGAATCACTTGCCCAGAATATAGAGAAGAGAGATGAGATAAACAGCAAAGTACACTATATAACACCTAACAAGTTGATTCAAGTTGAACAAGTTAAGCTCCATAATATATTTTCTACGGGAGGGAGGGGGCAAATTAGCAGGTGTGCCTTAGTCTCCTTTGGGAGTCAGGGAAGGCTTCACTGAGGAGATAACGTTTGAGCTGGAGTTTGAAGGATTAGCAGGGGAGAAATGGCAGGGCATTCCAAGCAGGGTGCCTATGAGCAAAAGGCGCAAAGCACAAAAGAGTACGACGTGTCCAGCAGCTCTGAGTAGGCGAGTGGCTGCAGCGTAGGGTTCTTGGAGTTAGGTGATCAAGGGTGAGGAAGGGACTATTTTCCCTGCTTGGACGATTTCTCCTACACCTCATTGCACGGTGCTGGGCACACACTGCAGGAGCTCAATAAATACTTGTTGAATTGGGACAGAATGAAAGAGTGCGCTGGGAACCAGGGCATCTGGATGTTTTCTCACGCACCCGCAGTGTGACCTTGGCCAAGTCCCTTTTCTGGGACTGCGGTTCCTGCTTAGTAGTCGAGTACGAGTGAGAAAGCGGAGGAGGAGGTTGGCCAGAGGCGCCTAGCCTTTCTAGCGGCCTGAATCCCTGATTCGATGCGTAGAGGGCGGGGCGGGCCGCTTGGGGCCGCGGCGGGCGGAGGTTCAGTTCCTCCTCCGGTCCAGCAGGGGGCACGGGGAGTGGCTTCCCGCCGCCCTTCCCCTCCTTGCGGGCGCCGGGCAGACTGCTGCAGTCGCAAGCGGCGAGCGCAGTGGGCGGGGCGGGCCTGGCCGGGCCGGGCGGCGGCGCTGCGCTGACGGGCTGAGTCTGGCGGCGGCGGAAGCTGCAGAGGCCACCGGGGCGCTAACTGGGTGGCCGGTGGGCCGCTGTGGCCTCGAGCAGCCTCTTCGCGCGGCCCCGCACCCCGGCAAGCAGCAGCGGGCCGCGACGCCCAGCCTGCCAGTGAGCTGCGACGGGCACACCCCGGAGCGTCGGCGACTGCGGACAGGTTAGAGTGGGGGCAGGGGCGGGCGCGGGAGCAGCCCAGGGCCAGAGAGGGAGCCCGAGCCAGGCCATCTCCAACCATGTCCGACGAGGCCTCGGCCATCACTTCCTACGAGAAGTTTCTAACCCCCGAGGAGCCCTTCCCACTCCTGGGACCTCCTCGCGGGGTGGGCACCTGCCCGAGCGAGGAGCCGGGCTGCCTGGACATCAGCGACTTCGGCTGCCAGCTGTCCTCCTGCCATCGCACCGACCCGCTCCACCGCTTCCACACCAACAGGTACGAACTGCACCTGAGGGCAGGGGTGGATTTTCCACTTCTGGTCGCCCCCCGCTCCTGATCCTTCGTCCCGGGCTGCGCTTCCAGTCGCCCCCTCCCCCACCTGCTTTCGACCAGCGCTCATTCCCGGCCTCCTTCCCTGCCCCCCCTCCCTATTTTCACCCCTGCCCTCCTATTTTCCTTTCGACCGGCGTTTTACTCTCTTTTCCTCATTCATATTCTGGCTATAGCGACTCCTCCCTTCCCTACCTTCTCCCTCCCTTGCTTCCCTTCCCTCCCCCCATCTGTACCCTACGAATCCCAAACCCCCACCCTTGATTTTTAGATACGCCCCTGTTTGCATCCATCTGCAAAAGTTTAACCCCTTCCATTTCCGGTACGCTGTAGAGGAATTTGGATGGCTCAAGATCAATCCATAGATCTTTTGAAAAGTGGCGTTGAAAGGTGGAACATTTAAAGCTAGAAGCTTCATTTTCCCTATTTTTAATCTGTCTCACAGTCCTGTTCCCCCCGCCGCCACCACCCCTACCCCATTTTTTTTTTTAGTTGAGCGCTAGGAAACTAGTCGATTCTCTCTTTTTTTCCTCCTCCTTTATTAACTGTTTGCCTTAGCGCTTTAGGCTCTGCCAAAATTGGTAAGCTTAAATCTGGAGGATTCCTTCATATGACATATCCCTTGGTTTCCTTCCCCTTTGAAGAGACAGAGTAAGGCTTAGGATGGACTGACTTACACAAATTTATTCAGAGGGTGTATCTCCTCCTAACTGATTTCAGTAGAAGGTAGTGTTCTGGAGACTTCTCTCATGCAAGCATTTACGTGTTAGATCAAATCTTGGGGGGTGGGTTGAAGACGTTCTAGATACAGCCTCAAGTTTTAACATAGGTGGATATTTGAGATACATATACAAAGGGCTGGGGGGGTGTGTGGTTAAGGCTCTAGGAGAGGGGTTCAGCTATGGAAAATACTGGAGATAAATTAAGAAATCTAGTTCTGACTTCTGATCCAAGTTTATGATGTGAGTTTGATCAAATTCTTCCATATTTTAATGTCTTTAGCATATTTCTCCCCTCCCTTCCCTTAAATCAGTCTGTAGATTGAATGAGCTTCTACCAGATACAAGGAATGTGTAAAAGATGTTTCTTACATAAATGAAAGTTATAGTCTATGGAAACAAGGTGTTATAGTTAAATAATCAGAATATCAGTATAACACATCTCAAAAGGAAGTGGCAGTAAATTTATTATGACTACTCTAAATCGTCATTGCAAAAAATGAAGAAACAGGCCCAGAAAGAAAAGATTGAGTTCAAGGTCATAAAACCTAGTCAAGCAAATCCAAGACTATTCCTTTGAAGCCAATGATTAAACTTGGAGCAGAACTAATTGATCCAGTGTTACAAATAGAACTTATGGTTTCCTAGACCAACTCACAGAAGCCTATTTAACCCCTGATGTCACTGTAATGTGAATGTAACATATTCATGAAATCAAGTGTGCTTAGGGTTATTTATGTTGAAAAATAATGTAAAAGAATACCTTTGTACATATTTGGCATTTAAGTTTTGCAGCCTTGGAGCAAGTCACATACCCAGGAAAGTTAAATAATTTCAGAATGATCCTGCTGTGATGATGAGGGCAAGGGAGTGAGGGCAGAGGCTGTGGGTAAGTACTGCCAAAACTGGGTAGAGGTGATGGGGAGTGAAGTTATGAGAATAATATGTTTCTTACAACTTGTTCTGTTCCTTCCTCCTCCCCGTTTTTTCCTGTGTTTTCTTTCCCTTAAAGACTGTGGTGAGGTCAGGACTGTTTTTCAATGGGGCAGTGAGGAGGGGAGAAGGAGGTTCTTTGCAAGCCCCAGTTTTTCCAAGTCAAGCATTTTTCCTAGTTACTGCTTGCTTTTTTTTTTTTTTTTTTTAACTTCCCTCTCCTACCCTACTTTTCGCAAGGCTTGGCATGGTGGCAGGGGTTCTAATGCTCTGTATCCTTTTCAGCAGAGAGTAGGGGAAGCAAAATTAGCGATATTCACAGCACATGATGTTTCTGTCCTAGGCTACCTTGCCTTTTAAATGTATTATCCTTCTGCAATGTTCTGCTTTCTTACCCCTCCTCAAGATGGTGCTTGAGAGGACCATAGGCTTCCAGCCATTTCTTTTCAGGGAGAAGCACACAGCTAAATCATATATCGGGCAAAGTTTAGGGAGTTCTTTTATTTTGGAGTTGTATGTGTCACTTTTTTCCTTCACATCACATCATTTGTCAATTCAGGCAACAACCCAAAAATCAGATTTCAAATAGTTGAGTGCTGAAATTCTGCCTTGGGTTTAGTGATTGTAAAACAAATTTTCATTGGAAGTAGGAAGCTTGTTAATTGGTAGATATTTGACTTAACCTTAATTTTGCTTCCTTCTTGGTACCTGATAAGAAAAATGTGGAGATTTTAAAAATAATGCACTTGATAAGGACCTTATGATTATGACAATTTTGTGCCTACTCATTTACTGGATTCTGGGCTATATTTGCAATTTTCATTAACAAAGACAGTCACAGCACTAACAGTCCCTGAGGTTGAATGGTTGCAATATTCAGATTTTTTTTTTTCTTTAAAGACAGAGTCCTGCTCTGTCATCCAGGCTAGAGTGCAGTTGCACAATCTTGGCTTAGGGCAACCTCCGCCTCCTGGGTTCGAGCGATTCTCCTGCCTCAGCCTTCTGAGTAGCTGGGACTATAGGCGTGTACCACTATGCCTGGCTAATTTTTATATTTTTAGTAGAGACAGGGTTTCACCATGTTGGCCAGGCTGATCTTGAACTCCAGACCTCAGGTGGTCCACCCACGTTGGCCTCCCAAAGTGCTGGGATTACAGGTGTGAGCCACCGCGCCCGGCCCAGTATTCAAATTAAAGTCATTTGTGATGTAGGTTGGTATGTCACTGGTCTAGGTTCAGTAGAAAATACATTACATGGACACAGCCAGTTTCCTAAGCATTCATACCTTAAGACCTACATGGATTGGTCTAGAATTTTAGGAAAATAGAATAAATTTCAATAAGCCAAAAAAGTGAATGAATTTTTTAAAAATGTGAAATGTCAGTGTGGAACATATGTAGTGTTTAAGACATTTTCTTTGGTTTTGGGGGCAGTGATTTTCTGATGTAAATGGAGGTTTTCTCTTAGCACTTCCAAACTATTGCATAAATCTTTTACTCAGTTATGTGATTTTAGAGCTCCGTTTTCAATCACCATTAACCAGAAAAACCTAAAGACTATTGTGTGCCTTTGGTAACACCCATAGTTTTCCTATCTAGATACAGAATTAGAGGTGCAGAAGAGCTGTGGGTTGCAGGTGGGAGAACCATGTTGGAGGAATTTGGTTTGGGGACTTGCTGAGACAAGTTGAAAATGGGGGGTTAGGATTTGGAGAAATATCCAAGCTAGAAATACAGATTTGGGAGTAATCAGTAGAAGTCCGTGACGTGATAGAAGTGGAACTACAGGTTACAAAGGTTGAGAGAGTGGAAGGTTTTCAATAAATTTAGCAGGGAAAGAAAGGAGAAGGGGAGATGTTGTGAGAATTTGAAAGGGAAATAAAGGTTTCTTTTTTTCTTTTTTTAACTTCATTTAGTTTTTCTTTTCCAAGAATAGAGATGTTAGCTCCTTAGAAGCAGGCCACAGGAAAGGGAGAAATTGAAAATATAAAAGAAGGTGGGATGAGAGATAGACATGATGAACTCAGAAGTCCAAATGGGATCATTAGCCTTAGAAATGACATAGAGTGTTTTTTACTTCCAAGGCAATAAAGAGGGCAGGAAAGATGGGTAATGAACCCAACACAATTGGGGTAGCTAGGAGGAAAGTAGGGAACTTAAGTGGGTAGAAGAAGGGGTTGTATATTCTCTAACTTGGAACCTTGGTGGCCTGTTGGACTCCAGAATAGCAGCAGAAGTCAGGTTGGCTATATGGGGATTCTGGCAGAGAGTCAGTGGTGAATACAAGTACTGATGGGGCACTGTACCCTAAGAATGAATATATAGCATAGACTTCAAATGACCTTCATCAGCTTGGCAGAACTTCATTCAACAGTGCTCATTGGCTGGATTCTTATCTTCAGAAGTGGCAGTCAGGCCCACCTGAGAGAAAAGGGGGTGCAGAGGAATGTGTACATGGTACACATGCTTTTCTTAATTTTAACGTTTAAATGGCTGTTTACCAAAATACCATTGAAAGTCCTTAGTCTGTATATTCTTGCTGAAACACCTTGCAGAGAAATGTTCTTGGCTTTATTTTTTTTTTTAATTAAAATTTGGGCAGCAAGCCTAGTTATTGAGTTAAACACCGTGTTTCACTGGAATTCTTTTCAACGTCTTTCAAGATTTTGGAGAAAGTCTCTTTTGAGAGTAATATTATGGTGATAGCTAGAGTCGAAGTGTTAGGTAACTTTCTCTTAGTGGAATATAATGTAAGGGCTTGTAAATTTAAATAGTTTAGTGCTGAGCACACAATGGACATTCATTACAAGTTTGAAACTGACAGAACAGTCTGAAAGAATCACACTTAAATTTTTATTTAAAAACTTATTATAGAAAACTGAGGGCATATAAAAAACTATAGACCACTCATGATCCTTTTCCCCAAAGGTAACAACTATCAACATTTTGATGTTTCTTTTAATGTGTCTATGTACAGATATAATTTTTAAACATCAGGATCAGTTTGTGACCTGCATATTTGCTCCTATATTGTTGGGTGTTTTCCTTTTGAATAATCTGAAAATATGATTTTTAGTGATTATAAAAATACCATTCAGATATATCATTTAATCCTCATATTTTAGGGGCATTTATTTTCCCTTTTGGACTATTACAAATAGTATTGTTTGGACATATTTGTACACACATCTTTTTTCCAAATTTCTGTTTGGGGAAGGGAACACAATCCTAGAAGGGGAATTACTGATTCCAAATGAATGAACCTTTTTAAACGTCTAGATGTACATAGTACTGCCAAATTGCTTTTAAGAAAGATTATGTCAACTTAGACTGTCACTGGCAATGGATGAAAGTACTTCCTACTTTGTTTTTATCTATATTGCCTTAAAATTATGATTTTAAAAATTTGCAAATTAGAAGATATAAAAATTTTGCCAGGTGCATTGGTTCACACCTGTAATCCCAGCGCTTTGGAAGACCAAGGTGGGAGGATTGCTTGAGCCCAGGCATTTGAAACCAGCCCGGACAACGTGATGAAACCCTTTCTCTTCCAAAAAAAAAAAAAAAAAAGAAATGTGAAAATTAGCCAGGCGTGGTGGTATGTGCCTGTAGTCCCAGCTGCTGGGAAGGCTGAGGTGAGAGGATGAATCAAGCCCAGGAGGTCAAGCCTGCAGTGAGCCATGGTCGCACCACTGCACTCCAGCCTTGGTTGACAGAGCAAGACCCTGACTCAAAAAAAAAAAAGGAAGATATAAAAAATGTTACAATCTTTACTAGTAAAAAATACTGTTATTCTATTTTATGAATGATTTGTTCAATTATGAGCCCGGTTTACTTGCTGCTGATAATTAAAAACAAAAGACAAAGACTTCTAAGAACATTCAGAACCTTGTGATGATTACAAATCTGAGAAACACATTGACTTTGCCCAAAGGTAAGAGCACAAAATGAAGCAAATTCCTGACTCCTTTGGCAGTGATCTAATGGTTAGATTACTAAATATGGCATCTTTTTTTTTTTTTTAAGGAATGTCACTATTACTCATGGAGAGAAACACATTTCTACAGAATTTTTACAAACTAAAAAGAAATTCTAATTAAAAACAATTATCTAACAGTTTTTCCTAGCACCGAACATAGTACTTGGTACATAGAAGATACTGACTAAATGTTTGTTGAATGAGTGAATGAATAAAGGGAAAAAAATCACATGTAATTTGAAGACACAAGAGAAAAATAGTTTGCTCAGGACATAATGTAGATAAGGCTTACTGTGTCCAGAATGTATTTTTGTTTTGTTTTGAGATAAGGCCTTGCTGTGTTGCTCAGATTAGAGTACAGTGGCAGGATCAGCTTGCTATAACCACAGACTCCTGGGCTCCAGGGATCCTCCTGCTTCAGCCTCCCGAGAGTAGCTGGGAATACAGACATGCACCACCTTGCTCAGCACATTTTTTAACTTTTTGTAGAGATACTGTCTTGCTTTGTTACCCAGACTGGTCTCAAACCAGGGTATGATTCCTCTTCATAACTTTTATTGCAAGACCTGGGATAATTTGGTTAATTAAAAATTTTTCTAAAATGAGGATACTGTTCACCTAGCGAGCATGTGATGAAAGTAATATTACAAGATATTCTAGGATTCTTAGATGAATTTTATTTTTTTTACTATCTATAAAAATTTATTGACATCTACTTTCTATTTACTGAATTATAATAGTGTGTGTGTGTTTCAGTGTTTTAAAATGGTCTACCTTCAAAAGAAAAGGTACCATAAAGTTTTTCAGGTTGTCCAAATTTTGTATGTAAATCAAGAACTTCTAAAAGATTAGCCATACAAAATGGAGGAAGTTAAAAAAAATGAAGTGCGTAATTTAAGAAACAGTAGATTTAATGAAGGATGAGACACGACCTAATAATAGGTAAATAACAGACTTTTCATAAGGAAGTCATTACTTCAGGAGCTTGTTAGTACTGGAAATACTAAATAATTATCTTAAGGATTAATTCTCTATGCTACTGGCAAAGCAATGAAGATTATCTTATTAATAGTATAAAACTAGTGGAAATTTACAAAGGAAAACAGATTGATAGATTTCAAGACCAAAAAAAGATCCAACCAAAAAACCCTGCAATAAATACTGTAGACAAAATGTTAATATCCTTAATACATAAAGAACTCTTACAAAATTAGTAATGAAAATATTAGCACATAGGAAAACACCATAGCGAAATAGCTAATGAATATTTAAAAATTTGATCTTGCTGGTAATTAAATAAATAAAACTTGATATAAAAATGTTTCTGTGCTGGTGCAGTGGCTCATGCCTGTAATTCCAGTGGTTTGGGAGGCTGGGGCGGACAGATGGCTTGAGCTCAGGAGTTTGAGACGAGCCTGGGCAACATGGCAAAACCCCATCTCTACAAAAAATACAATAATTAAGTGGGCATGTTGCACCTGTGGTCCCAGCTACTTGGGAGGCTGACATGGGAGAATCGCTCGAGCCTGGGAGTTGGAGGCTGACATGGGAGAATCGCTTGAGCCTGGGAGTTTGAGGCTGCAGTGAGCTGTGTTTGTGCCACTGTACTCCAGCCTCAATGAGAGAAGTGAGTCCCTGTCTCAAAAAAGCAAGAAGTTTCTGTCCTATAAGATAGGTAAAAAAATTTTTAGCAATTTTAGTGCTGTTAAGATTGTGATGAAATGAGCACTTTTATATACTGCCCTGGGGAGTATAAATTGATGCTGCCTTTCAGAAAGGTGTTGACTAAATTGATCCTTAGAAATGTTCATATTCTTTGACTCAGTACTTACCTTTCAAGCAACTGTATCCTGAGATAATATATTTTGATAAATAATTATAAACAATGCTCATCTCAGTATTATTTCTAATATTAAAAAATTAGAAACAGCTTATGTATCATTGGGGAATAAAGTTAAATAAATTATGATACATTTAGCCAATGGAATATTATATAGGCATTAAAATGTTTTCAAGTAATATACTTAGGAAAATGTTTAGCATATTAATGTTAAGTGAAAAAAGCAATATACTAAAATATATATACACAGAATGGTTGCTGATTCTGTAAAAAATATGTATGCACATAAAAATAAACTACCAAAATATTATAGATTAGTTATTGCTGGATAATGGAATTATTGATCATTTTATTATTCATTCCTTTCTTTCCAACATCTTTGCAATGAGCCTGTACAGCATTAATATGAAAAAGTTACTTAAATATAACAAATACTTCTTGAACATCTACCTGTGTAGATGCTTGTTAGTGCTTTTCTCTGCCCTGCAATGGCCCCACTCTTCCTTTAACAATAATAATAGCTGTCATATATTGGGCACTTTTTATGTGTGCTACAAGTGCTGTGTATGCATTCTCATGTGATCATCACGATACCTCCATTGGGACACAGACTTGGAGAGAGTGTTATTTGCTTAAAATCAATTAGCTAGGAAGTGACAGAGCAAGAATTTGAACTGTCTGATTCCAGAGCTTACTCATAACCACTATGCTGTATGCTTTGTTTATGGATGAAGATTTTACTTTAGTCCTAATTTAAATACTACTTTCTTTTAAAATAGTGTACTACAAAAATTTTCAGACAGCTACAAAGGTAGAGAGAAAAGTGTAATGGACCCCATGTTCCTGTCACCCAGCTTCAACATTTATTCATATACGGCATCATGCTTCA
This sequence comes from Homo sapiens, assembly GCF_000001405.40. Classification (NCBI taxonomy): domain Eukaryota; kingdom Metazoa; phylum Chordata; class Mammalia; order Primates; family Hominidae; genus Homo; species Homo sapiens. The sequence continues at coordinate 104,175,396 of NC_000023.11, forward strand.
TCTGTACCTCTATCCACTCCCCAACCCCTGCCTTATTTTGAGGCAAATCCTAGACATGTATCATTCATAAATATTTTAGTATATTTCCTTAAAAGGTAGGGGCTCTTTTAAAAATACAAAAAACCTCACATTCCTTATAAATGTTATAAATATGTCCTGTTAATTATATCTTAAAATTGTATGGATTCTGTAGTTCTCTTGATTTCTTTCGTGTTGTGTTTTTGAAGGTGGAACCTAACTTCTTGTGGAACAAGTGTTGCCAGCTCAGAAGGCAGTGAGGAGCTGTTTTCATCTGTGTCTGTTGGAGATCAAGATGATTGCTATTCCCTGTTAGATGATCAGGACTTCACTTCTTTTGATTTATTTCCTGAGGGGAGTGTCTGCAGTGATGTCTCTTCTTCTATTAGCACTTACTGGGATTGGTCAGATAGCGAGTTTGAATGGCAGGTAAGTTTTTTTGTCCTTTTCTTGACATTGTTACTACCGAAGTAGAAGTATAAACTTTTCTTTTGATATTTTCATCTCTACTTCAAAGTAAATTTCTCTAATGTTTATCCAGTCCTGGAGATTCTCTGACATGTTTTAAGGTTAAGAATTGGATGGGATATCTTTATTTTTGCTAATGTACCTTTTTGATGCTATAGATATCCTTTTGTAGATTTTTATGTTATTTAATACTTGCGTAATATTACCATTATTATATATTATCGGTACCTTTCTGTGCATGAATCCAAGCAAAGTTACACTTCCTACCCTATAATAAATAGCTTTTGTGTCCTTATAGGACAAATATCAGTCACATTATGTACCTAATATCATAAACTGTTATTACCATAAATACATGATTTTTGGTTCTGTCATCAGAAATATATAATTTCTCATTTTGTATTCTGTTTGTATGTAGACATGTTTTTCGCCTGACACTTTTTTCTTGTGGCATATATACCATGTAAAATGGCTTTGTGGTAAATTGTTTGAAAATCCTGCCTTATAATAAGTGCAGTTTGTCAGAAAATTTAGATTGTGTTATTACAACATTCATATTCTGATTGTAAAAACAATAAAACATTTAAAGACGTTTTCCCTGCCTACAGCAAAGATTTTATTCGCTAGATAAACTCGAATGTCTGCTACATTTGAAAGCCATCTGAATACTTGAAGTTTTATTCCAAAAGAGGGATTGAATATTATAATTTCAAACAGCTTTCAAATAATACAGAATGGCATCAAATTTAAAAAAGTCTCCAAGTCCCACTCTACTATGGTTACCACTGTTAGGAGCTTATGCAGATATAAGTATGTTTGCATACTGTTAAAAACATATGGGATTATACTTCATCCACTGTTTGGCCCTATGCTTTTTTTCAGCTAACACATCTCATTCTTTTCCATAACTGGATCATAATTTACTTAATCCATTTCCTAATTATGGCTATTTCGGTTGGTTTCAGTTTTTTGTTGTTATAAACAATGCTACACTGAAAAGATGAGATTTTTTTTTAAGAAAAAAAGTAATTCACAACCCTTCCATTTTTGTTTTTCATATTATTTGGATTAAAACATTTTTAAACTTTTTAAAAATTTGAGATGAAATTCACCATTTTCATCATTTTGAAATGTATAATTCAGTAGTTATTAATATACTCACAGTTGTTCAGCCATCACCGCTAATTCCAGGGCATTTCTGTCAACCCCAAAAGAAATCCTATACCCATTAGCACATAGTCCCAATTCTCCCCTCCCCCTTATCACCTGGCAGCTACTAATCTAATTTCTCTATGGATTTGCTTTTGTGGATATTTCATATCAATGGATGAATATATGGCCTTTTGTGTCTGGCTTCTTTCACTTGGAATAATGTTTTCAAGGTTCATCCATGTTGTACCATATAACAGTACTTCATTCCTTTCTATGGCTAATATTCCATTGTGTAGATGTACAGTACCACATTTTGTTCATCCACTCATTACCTGATGAACTTTTGGGTTGTTTCTACTTTTTGGCTGTTATAAATAATACTGCTGTGAACATTCAGGTTCAAGTTTCTATGTGGATTTATATTTTTAATTCTCTTGAATATACCCCAAAGAGTGGAATTGCTGGATCATATGATCACTTGCTATTTAACTTTTTGAGGAACTGCCAACATGTTTTCCAGAGTGACTGCACCATTTTACTTTTCCACCAGCAGCGTATGAAAGTTCCCATTTCACCACATCCTTGTCCACACTTGGCGTTGTCTTTCTGTTTGTAGCCATCCTACTGGGTATAAATTGGTATTTCATTATGGTTTTGAGCATCTTTTCATGTGCTTATTGGCCATTTGTGTGTCCTCTTTGGGGAAATATCTATTCAGATACCTTGCTGCTTTTAAAATTGTGTTATTTTACTTTTTATGGTTGCGTTGTAAGAGTTCTTTCTATATTCTGGCTACTAGACCCTTATCAGATATATGATTTGCAAAAATGTTTTTATTCTGCAGGTTGTCTTTTTGCTTGTTAGCATTTGTTCACTTGATAGTGTCCTTTGACACCAAAGTTTTTAATTTTGATGAAGTCTAATTTATCTTTTTTTTGGCTGTACTTATGATGTCATATTTTAAAAACCACTGTGTAATCCAAGATGAGGAAGATTTTCACCTGTTTCCTTCCCAGACTTTTAGAGTTTTAGTTCTTACATGTAGGTCTTTGACCATTTTGAGTTACTTTTTGTATATGATATGTAAGATAGGAGTCCAGATTCATTCTTTCTTTTTTTTGTTTTTTTTTGTTTGTTTGTTTTTTTGAGACAGAGTCCCGCTCAGCTCAGTTGCCCAGGCTGGAGTGCAGTGACGCAATCTCAGCTCACTGCACCCTCTGCCTCCTGGGCTCATGCCATTCTCCTGCCTCAGCCTCCTGAGTAGCAGGGATTACAGGCACCCACCACCAAACCCGGCTAATTTTTGTATTGTTAGTAGAGACGGGGTTTCACCATGTTGACCAGGCTGGTCTTGAACTCCTGACCTCAGGCGATCTGCCTGCCTCGGCCTCCCAAAGTGCTAGGATTACAGGTGCATTCTTTCCTTTTTTAAGAACAGAGTCTCACTATGTTGTCCATGCTGGTCTCGAATTTTTGGGCTCAAGCAATCCTCTCACCTCATCCTCCTGAGTATCTGGGACTACAGGCATGCACCACTGCACCTGGCTCGCAAATTTATTATTTTGCATGTAGGTATCCAGTTGTCCCAGCACCATTTGTTGAAAATATTATTCTTTCCTCATTGAATCATCTTGGCACCCTTTCGAAAATGAATTAATCATAGATGTGTGGGTTTATTTTTGGACTCTAAATTATATTCCATTGATGTATGTGTCTGTCCTTAACGCTAGTACCACACTGTTTTAGTTATTATAGCTTTTCAGTAAGTTTTGAAATTGAGATGTGTTAGTTCTCCCACTTTGCTGTTCATTATAGAGATTGTTTAGGCTCACATCTGTAATCCCAGCACTTTGATAAGCCGAGGTGGGTAGATAGCTTGAGCCCAGGAGTTCGAAACCAGCCTGGGCAACAAGGCAAAACCCTGTGTCTTTAAAAAAAATGCAAAAATTTACCAGGCGTGGTGGTGTGCACCTGTGGTCTCAGCTACTCAGGAGGCTGAGGTTGGAAGATCGCTTGAGCCCTGAAGGTGCAGGTTACAGTGAGGTGAGATTGCGCCATTGCACTCTAGTCTGGGCAACAGAGCTATTTGGGGTCCTTGCAATTCCATATGAATTTTAGGATCAGGTTGCCCGTTTTTCAAAAAAGAGTAGTTGGGATTTTGGTAGAGATCACATTGAATCTGTAGATTGCTTTGGGGAGTATTGCCATCTTAACAATATTAAATATTCCGATTCATTAATATGAGATGGAATATCTTATTTATTTAGGGCCTCTTTATTTCAATGATGTTTTGTAGTTTTCAATGTCTAAGTCTTACACTCTCTTGGTTGAATTTATTCCTAAATATTGTATTCTTTTTGGTGCTGTTATAAATAGTATTGTTTTCTTAATTTTATTTTCAGATTGTTCATTGCTAGTGTATGTATAGAAATACAGTTGGTGTTAGTATATTGATTTTGTATCCTGCCAACTTTGCTAAAATCATGTTAGATTTAATAATTTTTTCCCATGTGTGGATTATTTATCGTTTTCTATATTTAAGATCATGTCATCTGTGACTAGAGATAGTTTTCCTTCTTTTTTCCTAATCTGGATGCCTTTTAATTCTTGCTTAATTGCCCTAGCTAGATCTCCTGTACAGTGTTGAATAGAAGTGGTGAAAGTGAGCATCCTTGTCTTTTTCCTAATCTTAGGGGAGAGGTTCAGTCTGCTTCTCGATGTGGTTTTTTAGTATTTTGTTAAGGAATTTTGCATCTATATTCATAAGGGATATTGGTCTGCAGTTTTCGTTCTCAGTTGTGTCTTTGTCTAGCTTTGGTGTCCAGGTAATACTGGCCTCTCATAAGGAGGTAGGAAGTGTTTCCTCTTCTGGTTAAAATTTTTTAATAAGATTTTCTCATTTAAGATACAAACTTTTTCATGATATTGATAATGAATTTTTCCTTTTTTTTTTTTTTTTTTTGAGACAAGGCCTGGCTCTGTCACCCAGGCTGGAGTGCAGTGATGCAAAAATGGGTCACTGCAGAATTGACCTCCTGGGCTCAAGCAATCCTCTTGCCTCAGCCTCCTCAGTAGCTGGGACCACAGGTGGGCACCACAACAACCAGCTATTTTTTTTTAATTTTTTTGTAGAGACGGGGTCTCACTTTGCTGCCCAGGCTGGTCTTGAATTCCTGGGCTCAAGCGATCCTTCCACTTTGGCCTCCCAATGTGGTGGGAATACAGGCATGAGCCACTGTGCTCAGCCAGTGTCTCTTTTTTTTTTTTTTTTTTTTTCTCAGTACAGACTTTGTATTTAAAATCAGACTACAAGGATTCTTAGTAAAGCATAAATCAGATAGGAGTCCTGATAATTCTAAGAAATATTTCTTCTGCTTATTTTATGTGATTTATTTAGAGTTATCATCCATAATGTTGCAAGGTGGCAGGCATTTTTAAATTTTAATTGCTGGCTTCTTCACTCATGTTATGAGTAGTTAAGAGTGGAAAACCATCCCCAGCCATTCACCGTTAATGTACATGAGTGACTATGATGTCAGAACAAAAATCAGACCTGCCTTAGTAATGTGTTTTCCCACTTGTGAAATTGGAATACGGATACTCTATTACCATGGATATCTGCTATTTAAATATGCTGAAAGATTTAAAGTGCTGTCTTGTATTTGTGGGATTTTGTAATCATGAGCAGTAAATTATCCAAGAATATAATTACAAATTGTATGTTAGGATTAATATGGATTAAAAATCATTACTATAGTTAAAAAATTTGTATTCTGTTATGATTAAAAACTACATCTGTTTAAATCTTTCTTTTTAACAGATGCTTTAGTTACTACTAAAGTAAATATAAATGATTTATGGATTCTCTGGGAAGAAAAATGCTCACTACTTAATAAGATGAGATTTTAACCTTAGAATGAATTAGCATCTTTGCATTTTGCTTTGCTGATAATTTTCTTTGCTTTCAGTCCTTTTGTTATTAAGGATATATTTGAGTAGTCTTAAGAGTCTGAGAAATTATTTCTATTGTTGATCAGGAAAGCTTAGAAAATTTAAACAGTGAGTAATCAGCTGTCACACTTGAAACCTAGAGGTGCAATCTGAAATTACATATCAGCTGTTACAGAAATGAGCTTACTCATAAAATTCTGCTGCATTCTGCAGAAAATATGGCAGAGATTTAAGTCTCCCTATGTTTCACAATTACTGATCATAATATAAATATGCCAAATATTGCCCATGAAAAATATGGGCTGAGAGTTATTAAGTATTTATTCTGAAATATAGTATCAGTTATAAAATGGAAAATTGCTGGTCTAATAAATATACAGGAGCCCATACAATTCTCCTGTACAACCGCTAGTCTAATCCCGTATCTCCAGTTGACTACTTGACATTTCCACTTAGATGACCTTAATATTTAATACTAACCCATTATTTGATGCTGAGTCTTTGATGCAGTGTTGCAACTTCCAATTACAATGTTTCCATGGAAAAAATAGACTCTGCTTAGTGACATGTCTTACAACTTACTGAAAAATTACTATTGTCTGTCCAAAGGACACTTGTGCTTGCTTCTCCCGTTATCACTACAAACTCTTTATATCCCAAATTGCATTCCTCTCTTATTACAAACTTACCAGACAGGCAAAACTGTTCAGCATAGTTGAAAGCATTAGATTGGTGTCCTACTTTGGATTCTGCCACTAGTTGTATGACCCTCCCCAGACATCATTTTTTTCTTATATGTAAAATGAGGATGTTGGACTAGAAGATCTTTAACATCCTTTCAGTTACCTTGCTATGAAAATTGAGGTCTTTAAGTGTATCACTCTGAGTGGGTTGTATGACCTGAAATGTCACCAATTTTTTTCTGGTCTCAACATGAGACTCTTTATTACCTTATCCATTCAGTTATCAAACAGCTTTGTAATTTTTTTTCTTTTTTCTTTTTTTTCTTTTTTTTTTTTTTGAGATGTAATCTTACTCTGTCGTCCACGCTGGAGGTGCAGTGGTGCGATCTTGGCTCACTGCAACCTCTGCCTCATGGGTTCAAGCGATGCTCCTGCCTCAGCCTCCCGAATAGCTTGGACTACAGGTGCACGCCACCACACCTGGCTAATTTTTGTATTTTTAATAGAGACAGAGTTTCACCATATTGGCCAGACTGGTCTCGAACTCCTGACCTCATGATCTGTCCGCCTCGGCCTCCCAGAGTGCTGGGATTACAGGTGTGAGCCACTGCGCTCGGCTTTGTAAATTTTCATGTTATATTTTTCCTATCTATTCCCATTTTTCTTTCCATGTTTGCTTATTTTCATCCACGCCTAGATTACAAGAGCTTCCTATCTAATTCCAATCTTTCCTCACTCTATTTTGTCCCCATAGTGCTTTTTAGCTGATCTTCCCTAAAGACCAGTTTCATCAAGTTACTTCTTAGAAAATGTTATCGGCCTACTTCTGCATATCATATGACGGTTTCTGGTTCTTCTGTTGAGCTTTCAAATCCCTAGCACTGATTTTCTGTGTTAATCATATTGACATATGATTAAATGATACGATATCTAGAATATATGTCACCTCATACTATGTTTTTTTCCATCTATGACTTTACTAAATTATTCTCCTTACCTGAATGTCTTTTCCTTTTCCCCCTATCATTCTGAAACACTGCCTTGTGAAATTAACCCAGGCACTTTAGCAACATGTGACATTCTCTGAGGGATTGTGCTGCTTTTTTAAGGGTCCAAAACCATGGCAAGGGATGGAAAAAGAAAAGTATATCTCTTTATTGAGTGTTGCCTGTGTGCCAGGCATGTTACCACATTTAAACCACTCAACAATCCTTCGAGATTGATGATATTGACCACATTTTACTACTAACTCTGAGGCTCAAAGAAACAAACTAACCTACACAAGGTCACACTGCTAGTGAGCAGTGGAGCTGGGATTTGAACTCTGGGATCTTTTTACTTATCCCTGAAAAAAAAATGACCAAGGTACCATTAATTACCTTTTTTACACCCCTCCCTCCCCAACAAACGCATAAAGAGAAGTAAAGGTACAAATTTAAGTGCCTGGCAGATATTCTCCAAGATTTAGGTGAATTTTTTTTATTATATTTTGAAAGTATAGGTATTTCAAGAGTTCTTCCGTTTACCTCATTTATCAAAGGAACTTGATGTAGGGGAGGCCTTTTGTCTGATAAGAAGTATCTCTTTTTTTTTTTTAGGGGCCACAGGGAGATTTCTGATGTGATTTGAAGTCAAAGAGAAAATAGCACGCATTTTCTTTTTTGCAATTAAAGGCTGAAAAAGAGATGGTATTCATATGTGCATTCAGCAATCATCCTTTCATAACACCACCTAGATAACAATTAGGGTCAAGGGTGAACAGTTCAAGCAGTGTTAGTTAATGAGATTTTATGTTTTGTTTTCTTTTGTTTTTTTTTTTGAGATGGTCGCTCTGTCTCCCACGCTGGAGTGCAGTGGCACGATCTCGGCTCACTGCAACCTCCACCTCCTGGGTTCAAACGATACTCCTACTTCAGCCTCCTGAGTAGCTGGGATTACAGGTGCGCACCACCACACCCAGCTAATTTTTGTATTTTTAGTAGAGACGGAGTTTTGCCATGTTGGCCAGGCTGGTCTCGAACTCCTGACCTCAGATGATCCACCCACCTCCGCCTCTCAAAGTGCTGGGATTACGGGCATAAGCCACTGCGCCCAGCCGTTAATGAGATTTTAAAAGAAGTTATACAGATTGTTGGTAGTCACTTATGTACTTGGACTTGTCAATAACTGTCATAGTGAAAATGTGGTTTTTAAGAGTAGTAGCTACTTATGGGGGTGTAGAAAGAATGGCCTCTCTCTTAGACAATTTCATTTTAAACATCATAGTCATCTTTTGCATAGTGATTGACTCCTATCTTTGTGGTTTCATGTATTTCTTTGTGATTGATTCCCCAGTGCCTGCCTGCAGTCCATTGCAACTCTCCCAAACTTTAATCCTGCAGCTTCAGCCCACTGCTAGATATTTCCATTGATGACCTGTCATCTGAAACCTAGCATTCATCATGTGCTGTGTTGTATAATTGTATGTCTGTGTTATTGTATTACTTTCCCAAGTAAAGTTTTTGTGTAAGGACTTAACACTGCTTTGAATCCCCTGTACCTATTATACTGCTGTGTACAAAGTAGGAGTTCAAATACATGTGATCACAATAGTCTTCATGACTAAAGTAGCTCTTCGCTTTTTTGGTAACCGCAGAAGCCTAGAAATCATCCAGAGTTCAGATACAGTTGCAAGCTCTATAGAACCAAAACACAGCAAAAAGGTACTGTTTTATACCTTGTAAAAATGAAGTCAGTATATTTGAAAATTGTCATTTGCTCCTTGTAGAAGAAAAGACTTTACCTTTTTGATGAATGACTTAAATATATTTATTTAAAATTAAATCCATTCTAACTTTTGGAGGTAATGGATATATTTATAACCTTGGTCATGGCGGTGACCATGCATATACTTGAGTATATGCATATGTGCAAAAGTATACATAAATATATATAAAATTATAGCATGTATTTTTGCTGTTTGTCTTAAATTGATTTTCTGTATGTTAGGCTTGCTTTTATTCCTCCTTTGTCTACACTTTGTCTTCTATGATTTTTTTCTAATTTTTCTCTTGTAATACTTCTGGTTCTTAAAGTGTTTTACTTTATTTTAACAGCATATTTAAAATTATTTTATTATTTATTTATTTTTTGAGACTGAGTCTTACTCTGTCGTCCAGGCTGGTATGCAGTGGCACAAACACGTCTCATTGCAGCCTCAACCTCCCAGGTTCAAGCGATCCTTACATCTCAGACCACAGGCATGTGTCACCACACCCAACTAATTTTTTTTCCTTTCTTTTTTTTTTTAATAGAGATGAGGTCTCGCTATGTTGGACAGGCTGCTCTGGAACTCCTGGGCCCAAGCGATCCTCCCACCTCAGCCTTGCAAAATGCTGGAATTACAGGCATGATAATTTTTTTTTTTTTTTTTTTTTTTTTAGAGAGACGGGGTCTCGCCACATTGCCTAGGCTGGTCTTGAACTCCTAGGCTCAAGCAGTCCTCCTGCCTCTGCCTCACAAAGTGCTGAGATTACAGGCGTGAGCTACTTTGCCCGGCCTTAATTTATTTTAATTGTCTTGAGGTCACTAATACAGACTTGAGGTCAAAGACCAAGATGTATTTGTCTTTATATTGACAATATGTTTAGCACAGTCTCTGGCAAAAAGCCAGTTAGTGGCACATCATTCAGGTCTCCCCAGATGGAGACCAGTGCTTCTTTTTCATTACAGTGTGGAGGCCCTAGTCATATTCTCATTATACATTAAAAACTTTAATGATGATTGACTCTTCGGTTACCATTTTAATAAGTCTTGATTATGAGTCTAAGCTTTTCAAAAACATCTTTCATTGAATAACTATATGCAAAGAATATATATTTATATACTTATGTTGCTGCTTTGTATAAAATAGGCATGGATCAGAATTAATGTCCTCTGATTCTATATTTGCCATTAGTCTTTTTTCTTTTTTTTTCTTTTGAGATGGAGTCTGACTATCTCCCAGGCTGGAGTAGTGCAGTGGCACCATCTCGGCTCACTGCAACCTCCACCTCCCAGGTTCAAGCGATTCTCCTGCCTCAGTGTCCCGAGTAACTACAGGCACAGGCCACCACACCCAGCTAATTTTTGTATTTTTAGTAGAGACAGGGTTTCACCATGTTGGCCAGGCTGGTCTCGAACTCCTGACCTCAGGTGATCCACCTGCCTTGGCCTCCCGAAGTGCTGGGATTACAGGCATGAGCCACCACGCCGGGCTGCCATTAGTCTTATATTAAAGGAAGCCCTCTTAGCACAGCCAGCAGCACGTCAGTCTCATAAACTAACTTTTAATCGATGTGGAAAATATATTGTAGTATTTAAAATGTAGTCTGAACAAATTTTGCTTTCCTTCCCCACACCCTCCTTATTTTTATAAAGTTACCAGGCAGTGACATTGCCAGTGGGAGTGATGTACTTTCTGATGTCATACCCAGTATTCCAAGTTCACCTTGCCTGCTTCCTAAAAAGAAAAACAAGCACCGGAATTTAGATGAACTCCCTTGGAGTGCAATGACAAATGATGAGCAGGTAAAGATCTTGACATTCTTAATTAAAAGCTTTTATGTGGAGACTAGGTAAAGCTCAGTTTATTGCCTGTTTAAAGCTACTGGGGAAATGTGGATTGCTTAGTAAATCTGAATTTGAGCTTTAACGGTTTTTCAGGGAACAAATATAACCTTAAGTGCTTCTGCTATGTAAACACATTATAATTGACATAATAAAGGATCAGAAGTTTTAGCAATGATCTTATTGTAATTTTTTCATCACATAGGTGGAATATATTGAGTATCTGAGTCGGAAAGTGAGTACTGAGATGGGTCTTCGGGAGCAACTTGATATTATTAAGATCATTGATCCTTCTGCTCAAATCTCCCCTACAGACAGTGAGTTTATTATTGAACTTAACTGTCTCACAGATGAAAAACTGAAGCAGGTATGTAAAGAAAATACAGATTATTTACCTATTAAAAATACCACCATCTTATAAAATGTAGACTAAAATAATCATGTGTAAATACATAGATAATTAAGGCCAAAATCACTGCTGCGAAAGGTAATATTAGAAAAAATGATGGCACATTGATTTAAGAGGTTTTATGTACATCTCACCTGCCAGTACCTTTCTGGGATCAATGTGAATCTAGAACCTGCTTTTCAGTTGTATAGGATTTGAAATTTAATGTCACCATTTACGGAGTGGTTAGGTTAAGGTATAGATTTATTCTAACTCAGTTTACAGGAGACTAATTGACAATCAAAATACTAATTAATGAGAGCTATTCTTTGATAAACAGCTGAGGGATTTGAGTAGTTTTATGCAGTAATAATTGAGCCAGGCTAGGGTGAAACCTAGTGAATTTTCCCTCTGCTGTTCTGAAATACGCATCTCTGGTACTCTGGTATCATCTTCTTTTTTTTTTTTTTTGAGACAGAGTCTCACTCTGGAGTGCAGTGACGCGATCTCGGCTCACTGCAACCTCCACTGCCCGGGTTCAAGTGATTCTCCTGCCTCAGCCTCCCAAGTAGCAGGGATTACAGGCACCTGCCAACGCACCCGGCTAATTTTTGTATTTTTAGTAGAGATGGGGTTTCACCATCTTGACCAGGCTGGTCTTGAACTCCTGACCTCGTGACCCACCTGCCTCAGCCTCCCAAAGTGCTGGGATTACAGGCGTGAGCCGCTGCACCTGGCCTCTGGTATCTTCTAAATACAATTTTTGCTGTTCTTTTTCTGGTACGTAGCTGAGTGAATACTTACGTTCTTATGTTCTACTTTTGATTTGTTTCTTTGTTTTGCATTTATCATTATTTATGAAAAATTTCTCTTATTTCAGTATTTCTCCCAGCAGACATACTATAATTTTCTACATTCCAGCAAATTTTTCATTAGTATGATAAATTGATGTCTTGCATTTGAAGACAGGTATTGTTGGCCCCTAGCTAAGATTTAGGAAACAACCTAATCTTAGATAAAATCAGCAGCTTACTTAAATTGTCTTAAGTGGAGACTTTTAACAAATGCCTAATCTCATCTATTTTATTTTATTGTTAGTTTGTATTTTGAATGCCATTTTTTTACAGTCCTAAATTTCTGAAGGCGAGTAGCCTTCCATTTACTGATTATATTTTATGTGCTTTTAAAATCCAGCTCTATAACGTGTTTTCTAGCTTTTTGAGCATTTATTTTCTAGTACTTATTTCTAAATTTAGCCTTTCTATTCTACCTTACGTATGCATCTGCAGCACTTTTGACAGTCTTTTAGATTAAGTACAATATTATTTTTCCCCCAGCATTTTGAAGGTAGAACATCAAGGTGCAACACTAACCAGTTTGTGTTTGTGCATCCCAAGGTCAGAAACTATATCAAGGAACATAGCCCTCGCCAACGGCCTGCAAGAGAGGCCTGGAAGAGAAGCAACTTTAGTTGTGCAAGCACCAGTGGAGTGAGCGGTGCCAGTGCCAGCGCCAGCAGCAGCAGTGCCAGCATGGTCAGTTCTGCAAGCAGCAGTGGGTCCAGTGTTGGAAACTCTGCTTCAAACTCCAGTGCCAACATGAGTCGAGCACACAGTGACAGCAACCTGTCTGCAAGTGCAGCAGAGCGGATTCGGGATTCAAAAGTAAAACGTCTAATCAATACAAAACTTTACCTTTCAATATTAACATTAGTACTCCTTCATATAAATTTCTTGAAGAGTTAAAATGATCCTGCTGTCTAGTTGCCTGTGGGTTTTGGTCTTAATTGAACAAGCAGGATGCTCTGCTGTTGAACAAAGCACTCTAGGCTGAGTGCTTTGAAATGCTGTTTTGACCCACAACCATATTGCATTCAATCTTACCTGATTTTTGTGTATGTTTTAAGTAAGATAAATTGGTGGAAATAATGAGTTATTCTCAAGATTGCAATATTGACTGCAACTCACTACTGAGCGAATCTCACTACGTTGCTGATGTTGCTGTCTATTAGCTCCTAAGAATGTTGTGTATGTCTTTTGTGTGTGTTAAATGTTTTCTTAATGTTTTAATCTTAAATGTTTCTTCTTAGCTAATTTAAAAATCTAATACTTTCTATAATTTCTGTCTACTCTTTTCACAGTTGAGAAAGTTCTGTATAATATTGTCGGGCACTTAAAAAAAAAAAGAAGGTATAAGTATATTTAGAATGGTCCTGTGGCTTAGCAGGGGAGTTTGATTCCTTGCAATGGCAAGAATCTGGAGCCAGTTTAAAGATGATAAGAGAATCTCTCTAACTCTTTAGTGACCCAGTGGTGACTTGAAGATACACAATGATTCTTTCCCTGGTTCTTAGGGAAGTAGCAGAAACATAGCCAGTTTTGTTGCTAAGGAATTTCTCTAGATATGTGGTCATTCCTTTTTATTATCAGTTCACCGGTGACAAGGATGGGAGTATCCACTGAGTTTCTGATGGATTTTTAAGATGGTATTCGCCTACTACAAAAAAGGCATGATTTTTTTTTTACCTGCCATTGTAAGATTGCTAGTGTTTTTGGATGAAAGGCACCTGAGAATCATAAGTATTAGAGATTTGGGCAATGTTCTCCACAGGTGTATTCAGTATTGTCGCCTAGTATTAATTATGTGTTCATTATGCATTTGTACCAATGTACCTTAATGGAATTTAAAAAAGAAGTCTTTGAAGTGACTTTTTATCTATCACTAGCCAAAATGATCGTCTCAACTCTTCCTAATCAGAAGAGTCACTGGTCAAATACCACAAAATTGGAATCTTAATCATTTTTAAGCCTAAGCCAGTGGCTCACTTATTGGAACAAGGATCATACTACAGAAGGATTTGAACAGCTCTTAAAGTTAGAAAATAGAGAATTTGATCCACAAAACATTTTGGGGTGGATATGCCAAAAACTAAACCAAACTGATTTAGAAATTTTTATTTTGACAGAAGCGATCCAAGCAGCGGAAGTTACAGCAGAAGGCCTTCCGCAAGAGGCAGCTGAAGGAGCAGAGGCAGGCCCGGAAGGAGAGGCTCAGTGGGCTCTTCCTTAACGAAGAGGTGCTGTCCTTGAAAGTGACTGAGGAAGACCATGAAGCAGATGTTGATGTTTTGATGTAATAAGGGTGAATTTATCAACGTTCTTTGTGAGCATTAAAATACTCCATCCTTATGGGTTTACATGCATCTTGACCAAAATTTTGGTTAGGGCTGTGCTGATGTACCATTAATAATTTAAGCCAGTGGTTCTTGGCAGGTGATCCCAAGACCTGCAGCTTCAGCATCACTTGAGAAGTTGTTAGGAATGCATACTAGTGGGCCCCGCCCCCAGACATAGTGAATCAGAAACCAACAGGGAGGCGCCTAGCATTGTTTTTTTAACAAGTGCTGGGTTATTCTGATGCACAGTCTAGTTTAAGAACCACTACTTTGGGTAAACGTTTTGACTGTTTAAAGTTTATGGCGGTGAAGTGGGCGTCTTCAAAGACTAGTACTTACACAGTTTAGAAGATTTCAAGGTACTGCTGACAGTAGTTTATTATGTCAGTATACATACATGTGTAGAGATCATAATTTAGTTCCCTTCTTAATGTTACAATTTCTTAGTTTACTTTTCCTAAAGGGCCATAGCATAATTCTTGATTCCTGGTGGAAATCTTTTCTGAGGTGTGGGGGTGGGCAAGGTGTGGATTGCTGTTTACGATAGTGCCTTCATTAGTTTTAGTTCTGTCTGTTTTCATTCATTATTGACTCAAAGGTATTAGAACAGGCCCTTATCTTTTTCCTATTAGATTTATTTTTGTTTTTTACTTTATGTAAGTTCAGAATCCTTTTTTAAGTGATGACTACTGATGAAATAATGTTACTAGTAGCTGAATTTTAGACTTGATGCTATGTTGATTAATATTTAAATGGTGAAAGTAATTAGGCAAAATAAGCAATTCTGCTTTTCTGTTGCTTTCAGAATTTTTAGGCTGTAAAATTGTCTCAGGCAGGAAGTCAGTCTATATCTCTCTCAAGTTCTTATTGTAGGTCATTTTTTTTTCAGCACAGCTCTAATTTTTAAATATTTGGTATAACAGCTTCTGGCATGTGACCTAGTTAATGTTGAAAATTAACTGATGAAAACCCTTGTAGATCTGCTAAACTTCTCTATAAATTGCTAGAAATATACAGAGCAATGAGATATAGAAAACACCTTAGCTTGTTGGTTATTAATAGAGCTCTAATTTTAACTGTGAAATCATGGAGTTTCTTTAAATGTTTTCCTAGAGTGTTTGTTATCATGAACATTAGAAATAGCATTATTCCTTTTCTTCTACCACATGTCTTGAACATTCACATGGGTTAAAGAAGATGGAAACTGATACTACTGACAATCAAGCTGCTTTCTGACTTTCATAATTTTCTTTATATTGTGGATAGCATTTTGAAGGTGACCGTGATTCTGTAGGAAGAGCTGTAATCAATATTTTTCAAACTCTAAGAGTACAGAGGTTAGTAAGATTTCTTTTTTTTTTACTTTTTGTTACGTCAAGTAGCTTATTAAGAAAAAGATTCATGACTTAAATTCTTAATTCTCAGTTGATACAAAGGCTTATAATCATGTGTTTTAAAATTTTGATTTCATTTTCGTTCCTTGAAGGTTAAAGAATGGAAACTGGGGATAAAAATTAATACACTGCAGCTTTGCCAAGGTCTGTGATATGGTTGTAACCTTTTAAAGACTACTAAAGTCATAATTTGAAATTTTTACTAAAATAAAACATATGTGTCTATGGTTTTCAATTGGAGTAGTCTTTCTTACTTTCCCCCTTCCCCTCTTTGGTTCTCCTAACCAGCTTAGAGGACCCAAAGAGAGCTTAGGGATAGACACCAGAATACTCTGTGGAGGTGGAACAACTTAACCTCACTGTTTTCCCTTCCAAGTATAGGAAGAGCAAATAGAGCATAGTAACTGTATCTAAATTCTCTACCTGCTCTTAGCAAAAGCAAAATCCCACAGAATGATTGCCTGCTGTCTTTACCTATTCTTCAAGGAAAACAGGCCACTTTTGGAGACCATAGAGCACCATTTATCTGTCAAATACTTGGAAACTATTTACTTAACGGTCATCAGTAAAAAACCCTAAACAAGGTCATGATATAATTTAAGACCAATTCCCCTACTCTCCCAATAATCACATAGTCTTATTACTTTCAATTTAACTTGAGTCACTATTAAGCAAGTTTACCAAAGTGCCACAAAGTTGATTTTTAACGTTTGTAAAGGTTTGAATGTTTATAGAAGTGCATCATGAAATTTTGTGTAAATCCAGATGAACTGTCATTATAGTACTATAAATTAGAGATAGTCCATAAAGTTGGGTTGAAGGAGATTGAAAATATTTCCTTTGATTAAAAGAAAATAATTAACTAACTTGGGCTTGCTTGTGATTGAAGAGGGAGATTAGATAGTCCTCTGTCCCCCCAAAAAAGAAACTAGCAGAGAAAGACATAAAAAGCTCTTTGGTGTCTGTTCATGTGCTGTACATTTTTTCCGTTTTAATGTCTTGTGTAGATAATTCAAAGTTTGAACTATTTCTTTCTTGGAATAAGTAATAATTTATTCAATATGGTGTATCTCTGAGTTCAATTTAAAACAATCCAACTCAGTAATATTTATTTTTAAATACAAATCCTAACTAACCAATTAATTAATAAAAAGGCAAGACTTACTTGCTGTAGTATTGGTTCTCATCTGTAGAGAACTGACATTGGAGCAAATTTTAAGTCTCCCCTTTGAAAATAAGCCTTGTTAACTGAGGGCGTAATACATTTCCCACAGATTTATCCAGAAACATTTTATTAGAGATCTTATAGTAGTATCTCAGTTCCTACTACAGCTTTCTAAAGGATGAGACTTGCATTTAACAAAATGACATATATAATATTTTTCTATAGTTTTGCAACTGAATTAAAGGAAGGTGATGTATTATAATGTGTAGTGAGGTATAAAGGGCTAGTTCATTCTCTCCCAACAAGAACTTAGAATAAAATAACACTTTTTTTTCATGAGACTTACCTCATTTTTGTTAGGCTATGGCAGTTTTGTCCAGTTCCTCTGTCCCTTGAGTGAATTAGATATTGGTGAATTAATCTCAGAAACTGACCTATAAAATAATGACTCATTATAGATTGGGTGAACTTCTCATTTTATTTAGCTTTTAAAAGTGCTAAATCCTCTCATAAAGGAAAAATTATAGGAAACTATAGCGGTATCCAGATTCTGATGAGCTTTAAAAATTATAAAATATAGCAAATGTCTTCATATTTTAGCCAGAAATATTAGTACACAACCAATATAGAAGTCTTGTTTGTTTCTGGGTTCTCCAGCAGAGACTTTTTGTTTGTGGCTTACTCTGTATAGCCTCATGTGCCTTAAAGGTGGTGAACTCTAGTTTTTGTCAATATCAGGCTTTTCAAAACTCAAAAACAATCCAAATGTTGTAATTTGTTTTGCATAATGCCCATGGAATTGGATATCAGTAAGCAAAGCCATTAAATCGAACCAATCAATGCTAATAGAGTATAAAAACAAAAACCTTCAAATTTTAAGTTTCATTTGTGTAACTTTATTTTCGGCCTAGCTAGATCATTGAAGAGCCTTGAAAGTTATCTAAAGTATGGCTTAATGTATTTTTTTCCCTCTGAAAAAGATCATATGCCAGGATACTTCTTCAAACCAGATCACTTTTAATATCTAGAAAGATAATTTTCAAGGTATAGGCAAAAGCACTTCAAGGACAGAGATTATGTAGCAAGTTGATTCTCTAGGAATTCTTTGAACTCATTTGTGTAATAGCTGGAACACACTCCTCTTCTTTCCTTTAACAAATGAACTTTTAGCACTTCTGTCTTCAAGGAAAAACATTTGTTTGGAATTGAAGGGTACTCGCAGTCCGTTTATAGTTTGGGACAATTAATAGGAAAATCCCCAGTTGCATTCAAATAATAGTGTTGATGTTGAGGGCACTGACTCATTCAGCATGTCTGAACTAGAAGTAAATTTAATTCTGAAAGGACTGTTAGTTAGGAAATAAGTATTTGTATACATATGTACTGTGGTAACTTTGGATTCATTTTAAGTCTGATAAAGTAAGATAAACTTTGTCTTAAAAATAAAATTATGCTAAGTGAATAAAAACTGAGATATTTTAAGCTAGGCATCTTTGTTAGCATAGTATCCGGAACATAACTACTTATAATGCTTAGGTCTTATTTCTTTGGAAAATAAGTTACTTATTCCAGAAGCCTTAGAAGGAATTCTGAAAATTCTTCTAACTGGCCATTAAGAGTAAGGAAGTTGAATGGTACTGCTGAAGATCTGAGTTGACTCACTGAAATTTTATTTTCTTATTTTTTTAACATTAAAATTATTTCTTTTTGGCTCTCCCTCTAGTTATTTTTTAAATTAAGGTAATTACTGTTTTAACCTAGAGCATATAATGGCAAATTAAATTTTAATTTGACACTCATACCGAACTCAGAAAAGCTTGTTTGATCTTCTCTAAATTCTGTATGTAGTACTTTTTTTAATTGTCACATTTCTTTGTTACATCTTTGTGTCCAACAAAACCTGTGGAAATCTGTGTTCATTTTTGTGGTGAGGGATGGGGGTGAAAAAGGGGAGACTTGCTCTAATTATGCATATACATTTGACTATGTAAAGGTAGTTGTAGACTATATGTATAAATAACAAGTTAACACTTAATATTCTAAATTGTTCTAAGGAACAGTGGCCTGAAGCCATGACTAGTTTTGTGGAGCTGCTGGCTCTTTTAACAGTAGCTGACCTATTGGATTTAAACTGAGACTGAAATTGACATTTGTGGTTAGGTTATCTAGCTGAGGCTTTTAACAATGGAGCAGATAATGTCTGTTCCTGTAGTGGATCCATTTAATTTCCTATTTGAGTACTCTCACTTAACAAGTATTATCTATTCTGAACCTTTGTGTTGGGAATTTAAGGACTATTGTCAAAGGCTATTAATGGTAAACAAGTATATGCAAAACAATTCACATATGGGTAAAAATTTCAAATTGTGGGTTTTTGTTTTTGCTTTTTAGTTTCAAAGATTAGTTATGTAGCAGCAATATCATAACCAAAGCAAGTAGGAAGTTGACTGGTTTGGAGAATCTTCAAGTAGTTTTAAATACTGTAATGTATCAGATTGTTAACCAGGATTTTTTTTTCCTGTATTACTGCTAAATATATTACTATATTAATGCACTTTTGTATATATAACTGTCTTCTGTACATTCTGTACTTACTACAGTGTATATAAAGCCTGTTTTCCCTGAAGCTGTGAGGGAATAACAATAGTTGTATCATAAGTCGTTTCTATTTTGAGTTCCTTCTTGTACTTGAAAGTAGTTCAGTAGTGAAATCTAAATGAGTGTGTATGGTTGTAATTAAAACTGGCAATGTGGCAGAGCTGTCTTTTGAAACTGAATACCAGAATGAAAAGTGTTGTTTTGGTTAAGAACTCTTATAATATATTATTTCTTTTGATGTACCCTGAGTTGTTACACAGCCCACTCACTGCTGCTTACTACTTTATACTTCTGAGTCAGCTCCTTTCATGCTCTATCCCAGAATATTTACCAACAGAGGAGAACTGCTCCCTTTTCTGTTTCTCACAGTTTGGTTATGGCTTTATAAACTTTTATTTGGTGAAAGCCCCAGATACCCAAATGTCATTGGCAAAACTTATTTTTTTTTCTGGACAGATCAGATTTCTAGAGAGAGCAGATTTCTAGAGAGATTAGCATTCATAGTAAGTGAAAATTGTCTAATTTTTTTAATCCATGCTATTACTGGGCAGTAGGTCTAATTTTTTTTGACAAAAAATAGATCTATTTTCCTTATATATTGATTTAGAATCTTAAGTTAGAATTTTATAGAAGAAATGTCTGAGCAGTTCTATGTATGGAGGAGCAATTCAGCTTTTCAGCAGCAACTTTATCTTTTGCCACTAGAGGGAGATCTGTGGTTGCTTTCTCCTTTGGAGAATAGCTGCTTTGCTTTTATTTTTAATTTCTAAGGTTGGAATAGAACTTATTCTCAAAATTCCTTTAGTGTTATTAAATATTTTCATTTATTAGTCAAAGGTAAGTTAATTAAGCTTGTTTAATGATGCCAATCTTATGCTTTTCTGTAATCTTCAATTTTTAATAAATGTGAGTTAGATACTAAGTGAAATGTGCGTGTGTGTGTTTCTTCTCTTAGGTACTCTAGAGCTCCATATGTGGCTAGTGACTACCATAATGGGCAGTGCATAATGTACTATCCATTATGGTAGTCACTAGCCACATATGTCTATTTAAATGAATTAAAGTTAAGTAAAATTTAAAATGTAGTTCTTTAGTCTCCTTAGCAATTCTTCAAGTATCCAGTAGCTACCATGTGGCTACAGGCTATTTACTGTATTGAAAAGCATGAGATGTAGAACATTTCCATCATCACAGAAAGTTCTGTTGGACAGTGCTGCTCTAGAGATTTGCTGGTTTATGTAGTGATCATTATCATCATTTTATCAGTGAACAGTAATTAGTGGCTAAAAAACTGCTGCCCACAGTTAACTGTTGTAGGTGATTGGTGTGAGAGGGAGATTAAACTTTTTCTTTTTTTTGAGACAGGGCCTCGCTCTGTCACTCAGGCTGGTATGCAGTGGTGTGATCATAACCCACAACAGCTTTAACCTCCCAGGCTCAAGCGGTCCTCCCACCTCAGCCTCCGAAGTAGCTAGGACCACGGGCACATGTCACCACACTCAGCTAATTTTTCAATTTTTTGTAGAGATAAGGTCTCTACAAAAAATGTTTTTTGTCTAGGCTGGTCTCGAACTCCTGGGCTCAAGCAATCCTCCTGCTTTGGCCTCCCAAAGTTCTGGGATTATAGGTGTGAGCCACTGTACCCAGCCTGTATTTCATTTTCTGCTTCATTAAAGCCACTACCAAATTTGAGAACTTGGTGGTTTAGTGGAGAAATTTATCATAGTGACCATTTCATTTGACTATGAATAAGATTTAATGTTTGAATAATGTGAGAAGTTTGGGCCAGTTTCACAGATTTTATAGTTGCAGAGTGCTGCCATGCAGCTTTCTCTGTGAGTTAGTCCTTCGATGCAAAAAAAAAAAAAAAAGCAATTATAAATGACAGTGCTGTGACACAGAACTGAATACATTTTAGAAGACTCCAGTTGTTTAAAACTATGCTTACAAATAAGTAGAAACGTGAATTTCGGAATCATCCCCTCAGTGTTTGTTTGTTTTTTTTTTTTTGGAGGGAGGTGAGTGGCGATGGAGTCTCACTGTGTTGCCCAGGCTGGGGTGCAGTGGTGCGATCTCCGCTCACCACAATCTCCACCTCCCGGGTTCAAGCGATTCTCCTGCCTCAGCCTCCCGAGTAGCTGGGACTACAGGCATCCACCACCACACCCGGCTAATTTTGTATTTTTAGTAGAGACAGGGTTTCACCATGTTGGCCAACGTGTTCTTGAGCTCCTGACCTCAGGTGATCCACCCACCTCGGCCTCCCAAAGTGTTGGGATTACAGGCGTGAGCCACCGCACCCGGCCCAAAGTGTTTTTTAATAATTCTTGTGAGAGCCTTCATAGTCACTGTTACTTGAGTTGGACAATCCTCTGCCCTCTCACCATCAGTTTGGATCTCATGGTAAGTGAGATGTTTGTATTACAGTATCCTTGTTTCTTAGTAATAAGTTGATAGATACTAGATTTAGGTATAGTGTTGCTTCTCTTTGTAATGAGCAAACATTTTAACATTCCAGTTTATTCCTTTGGTTACCAGGATCCTGTTACATGCTTTTTTATCTTAAAAATATGTATTTAGATTGGATTTATGTATTTTCAACTTTGTATTATAAAGAATTTCAGCTGGGCGCGATGGCTCACGCCTGTAATCCCAGCAATTTGGGAGGCCAAGGTGAGCAGATCACTTGAGGTCAGGAGTTCAAGACCAGTCTGCCAACACAGCGAAACCCTGTCTCTACAAAAAAAAAAAAAAAGCCAGATGTGGTGGCACACACCTGTAATCCCAGCTGCTCAGGAGGGTGAGGCAGGAGAATCACTTCAACCTGGGAGGCGGAGGTTGCAGTGAGCCAAGATCACGCCACTGCACTCCAACCTGGGCGACAGGGCGAGACCCTGTCTCCAAAAACAAACACACAAAGAATTTCAAGTAGAGAGAACAGTAAGATGAATCCACACATACCTGTATCTACTTCAACTCTTCTCACAGACAATCTTGTGTCTTTTACTCCCACCTACCCACTCACCTTACCTCAACTCCCAGTGATACTAAAGCAAACCCCAGGTGACATATTTCATTTTTTAACATGTCAGTATATGATTTTTAAAAGGTAAGGACACTTTTATTTTCTTGGAGACAGAGTCTCACTCTGTCACCCAGGCTGGAGTACAGTGGCGCAATCACAGTTCATTGCAGCCTCGGCCCAGGCCCAAGCAATCCTCCTTCCTCAGTCACCCAAGGTATTGGGACCACTGGGACCACTGATGTGCACAACCATGCCTGGCTAATTGTTTTATTTTTTTTTAGAGATGGAGTCCCTGTGTTGCCCAGGCTGATCTTGAGCTCCTGGGCTCAAGTGATCCTCTTACCTTGGCCTCCCAAAGTGCTGGGATTACAAGCATGAGCCACCACACCCAGCCTTCCCATTTTATATATAATTATGATACCATCATCATACCTCCTTATTTATTATTTATTTAAATATACCTTGTTTATTTATAAATAAAAATAGTTCTGTAATATCAAATATCTGGTCTACCTATTTGAAATCAAAATCATAACCATTGTGTTCATTTCAAAATCATCAAGATTATAACCATTTGTGTTAATTTCAAAATCATTCTGCATTTTGCTAGCACCAAGGTAGAATAGTTATTTTTACTATTACTTGATAGGTCCTGATGGTGTCTTGAGCACATTTTAATTGAAAGTGAGGTATCTATTATTCTTAGATAAAAACATTCCAGTTGTTTTCCTCACTACTTTGTTGTTAAAGCCACAGGATAATTTGAGTAGCAGGCAGGAAAGTAACTGTTCAAGATAAGCTGAGCCAGGTATTTTCTGTCCCACCTTACCTCTGGGCTTAATAATTTTCTTTTTTTTTAGCTGAAATCGGCCCACATGTAACAGATTCAAATACCTAGTATTTATTTTAAAAAAAAATGTAAGGATCCCATGGGGAATATAAGGAAAAATAGACATTTCTAACCTTTTATTTATTAGAAATTAAATCTTTTTTAACAGATAAAACAGAGACTATTGGTTTTTGTTTTGCATTTTAACTTACCAGAGTATACTTTTCAAATAAATTATAAAATTTGAGAACTTGAAAGGACTTTGGAGATCATCTGTCTTGGTTTTCGAACTTGAGCAGTGGATCAGAATCCCCAGGAGGGCTTGTTAAAACACTGATAGTCAAGCTCCACCCCCAGAGATTCTGATTGAGTAGGTCTGGGGTGGGGCTTGGGAATTTGCATTTTTAAAACAGGTCCTATGTGATGCTGCTCATCCAGTGAACACACAGAACTATTGATGCAGCTCAGTCCCTTCTTCTCCCTCCCTGCAAATGAGAAAATTTACACTAGGAGGAAAGTTACTTCTTTGCCCAAAACTGGTTAGTGATACAGCCAAATCTAAATCTAAATCTTGAGGTGACTTACCCCAAATCCAGTGCTTTTATATGTTTTTTCCCTTCAGAGTAGTTGGCTCCAGAAGCTTTCTTTCGAGTCTCCTCTGCATATGTGAATTTTCTTGGTAGTAGTAAATCTTTTGTCTTTCTAGGGCAGAAGTTACTAACCTGGAGTCTAGCGATCAAAATTATTGGCAAAATTTGTTTGCTGATATGTTTTTCTAGGGAGGGTTTTGTATCTTTTATCAAGTTCTCAAGTGAATTTCCTTCCCCCTAATGACTAACATTGTGTTTTTAGGGCACTTTTGGTTTTTGAAAATAACCAAGGGTCATTTGGAAGCTGTCTGGTGGTTGATGTGAGTGAGAAATCTGGAAATTTCTGGATTTGGCCAATGAGGTATAATTTTTAAAGTAATTACGCTGTTTTTTTTTGTGTGTGTGTATGTGGCCTTAAAACTGGTGTTGATACATACTAGAGTTCCAGAAATATCTTGGGCAAGACAGCATTATTGGACTAGGTGTATCAGGGTGACATAGAATGGGGTGATACTAATTTGGATGTATTAGCTCTGGCTTATTGATTTAAAAGAGTTTTCATTGCTTTATAATCATAAAATGTACTCTAGAGAAATCTTTCACTAATGTTTTAGAAATATTGGGTTAGATTTCCCATAATCACTTACCAAATCCGAGATAACAGAGCTAGTTGATCATCTGAAAATTTGAATGAGATATAGGCTTTTTGATTTAATGGTCATTAAATCAGTCTCTTTATTTTGCAGATGAGAAACTTGAGGCCCAGAGAGGTAAAGTGCTTCATCCAGATCACATGGCTGGTTGATGACAGATTAAGGGCTAGAATCCAAGTCTCTGGAGGTGTATCACGCTGCATATGTCATGCTGTTACTTTTCACAGTGGTTTGCACACTTGTACAACTCACACCAAGAAACTGGGAGAAACCACCCTAAGATTTTGGTATAGAACAGTGGTCCCAGTATGTGGACCATCAAAATCAGCATCACCTGGCAATTTGTAGGAGGTACAAACACTCAGGCCCCAGCCTAGACCTACTGAGTGAGATGTTCTGGGGGAGGGGCTCAGCAATCTGTGTTTTTTTGTTTGTTTTTTGAGACAGGGTCTCACTTTGTCACCCAGGCTGGAGTGCAGTGGGGCGGCCACCACTTACTGCAGCCTCAACGTCCTGGGCTCAAACAGTCCTCCCCCCTCAGCCTCCCAACTAGCTAGGACTACAGGCATGTGCCACCATGCCCAGCTAATTTTCGTATTTTCATAGAGACAGGGTTTCCCCATGCTGCCCAGGCTTGTCTGGAACTCCTGAGCTCAAGCAATCTGCCCGCCTCATCCTCCCAAAGTCCTGGGACTACAGGAATGAGCCACCGCACCTGGCCAGAAATCCATGTTTCAATAAGCCTGCCAGAGTATTCTGATGGACATTTAGATTTGAGAAACACTGATATAGAGTAGTGTATCTTTGGCTGAACATCAGAATCATCCGGGAACTTTTAGAAAACACTGGTGCCAGGCCGGGCATGGTGGCTCATGCCTGTAATCCCAGCACTTTGGGAGGCCGAGGTGGGCAGATCACCTGAGGTCAGGAGTTTGAGACCAGCCTGGCCAACATGGTGAAACCCCGTCTCTACTAAAAATACAAAAAATTAGCCAGACGTGGTGGTGGGCACCTGTATTCCCAGCTACTTGGGAGAATAAGGCAGCAGGATTGCTTGAACCCAGGGGGCAGAGGTTGCAGTGGGCCAAGATCATGCCATTGCACTCCAGCCTGGGCTACAAGAGCAAGACTCTGTCTCAAAAAAACAAAAAGAGAAAATACTGGTGCCTGATGTTCCCTGTCCCTCACCCAGACAAATTAAATTAGAATCTCAAAGGTGAGGCCTGGGTATTTATTGTTTTATAATAAACATTCTATTTTGGAATAATTTTAGATTTACAGAAAAGTTGTTACAGATAGTACTGAGATGTCCTGCATACCTCTCACCCAGTTTTCTTTAATGTTAATATCTTAATGTAATTATAGTACATTTGCCAAAACTTTGAAACTAATGTTAGTACATTACCGTTAACTAGAGACTTTATTAAGATTTCACTAGTTTTTCCACTAATCTCCTCTTTATATCCCAGAATCCAATTCAGGATCCCCTTGCATTTATGTCTCCTTATCCTCCTCTGGTGCCTGATGTTTCTTAGTCTTCCCTTTCTTTGCTTTTTTTTTTTTTTTTTTTTTGAGATGGAGTCTTGCTTTGTCGCCCAGGCTGGAGTGCAATGGCGGGATCTCGGCTCACTGCGACCTCCACTTCCCGGGTTCAAGTGATTCTCTTGCTTCAGCCTCCCAAGTAGCTAGGATTACAGGCGCCCACCACCATGCCCAGCTAACTTTTTTGTATTTTCAGTAGAGACAGAGTTTCACCATGTTGGCCAAGCTGGTTTCAAACTCCTGACCTCAAGTGATCTGCCTGCCTCAGCCTCCCAAAGTGCTAGGATTACAGGTGTGAGCCACCATGCCTGGCCCTTTCCTTGCTTTTCATGATCTTGACCAATAGGAGAATTGGTCAGGTATTTTGTGGAGTATCACCCCTCAATTTGGGTTTGTCTGATGTTCTCATGGTTAGACTGGGATTTGGGGACTTAAGGAAGATTACCATAAAAATGAAGTGCCATTCTCTTCACCTCAAAGATATACTGTCAACATGGTTTAACACTAGTTATGCTAACTTTTATCACCTGGCTAAGATAGTGTTTGCCAGACTTCTTCATTGTAATGTACTATTTTTCCCTTTCTGTACTCTGTTCTCCAGAAGCAAGTCATTCAGTCCAGCCCACACTCAAAGGGGAGAGGAGGCTCCACCTCCTGAAGAATGGAATATCTACATATATTATTTGGAATTCTTCCATATGAAAGATTTGTTTCTTCTGCCTACTTATTTATTTTTATTTTTATTTTATTTTTGAGACGGAGTCTTGCTCTGTTGCCCTCCCAAGATGGAATGCAGTGGCGTGCTCTTGGCTCACTGCAACCTCTGCCTCCCAGGTTCAAGCGATTCTCCTGCCTCAGCCTCCCAAGTAGTTGGGATTACAGGCATGCACCACCATGCCAGGCTAATTTTTGTATTTTTAGTAGAGAGGGGGTTCCACCATGTTGGCCAGGCTGGTCTCGAACTCCCGACCTCAGGTGACCCGCCCAGTTCGGCCTCCCAAAGTGCTGGGATTGCAGGCGTGAGCCACCGCACCCAGCCTTTATTTATTTATTCAGTCATTCATGTCAGGACAGATTAATGGATGTTTATTTTATACTTTGGGTTGTAACCAAGTACTGTTATTTTGTTACTCAAATTTTTCCAGCTTTGGACATTAGAAATTCTTAAAGCTTGGCTCCAGTGTCCCTTTGACCTGCCCTCATCCTTTTGAATTTTGAGCAGTTCTTTGCTTTCTGGCACTACACGATGCCCCAGCCCTAGAGTTAGCCATTTCTCTAAGGAGCTGAGCACCATTTGATTCTTTTATTTTGACATAGGCTCACACTCTGTCACCCAGACAGGAGTGCAGTGGTGTGATCATGGCTCATTGCAGCCTCAATCTGCTGGGCAAGCAATTCTCCCACTTCAGCCTCCCTGAGTAGCTGGGACTATAGGCGCAAGCCACCACACCTGGCTAATTTTTCCATTTTATTTAGAGACAGTGCCTCGCTGTATTGGCCAGCCTAGCCTCAAATGCCTGGGCTCAAATGATCCTCCTGCCTCGGCTTCCCAAAATGCTGGGATTACAGACATGAGCCACCATGCTTGGCCCTGAGCACCATTTTTTAAAAGACTTTAGGAGATTTTAATGCAGAATAAGTGTGGGAGCCACTGATTGAGGATGAGTCATATTCTTCGGTAGACCTCCTAATGCCCTGATCAGACCAAATTCTTATTAGGTATCCTCAAAAAATTTAGTCATCTTTGATTCATTCCTCCCCCTCCTTTACCTTCATGTTCAATCTTACCACCAGAGCTGTTTTCTCCTCAGGATCTAGAGCAATACTCCTTAAACCTTAATACACATAGGTACTTGTTAAAATGCAGATTCTGATTCAGTAAGTCTGTGGTAGGACCCCAAGATTCTGTGTTTCCAGCAAGTATCCAGGTGATATGAATGCTGGTGATCCATGACCCACACTTTGAGTGGCAGCAAGGGTCAGAACAAAGTTCAGACAACTTAGGACATTTCAAGAGCCTCCGCTGTTTGCCTGGCCTCAATTTACTTAGTGCATTTGTTCATTTACTCTACACTCAAACCAACCAGTCTACTCAGCGTTTGTGGTCTGCAGCTTCTCATGTGGCTTCTAATGATTGTGGCAATTCATGCCCTGTATAATTCCCTTCCCTTGGGTGTGGGCTGGACCCAGTGACTTGCTTCTGATCAATAAAATACAGCACAAGTGAGGCAGTGTAGAAAATTGTTGTCTTGCTCATGCAATCATTTGCTGGCATTCTCTTCTGTCCTCTCGGTCGCTGGCTCTGATAAAGCAAGCTGCCATGCTATGAGATGCTCTGTGGAGAGGGCCACATGGCAAAGAATCATGGAGGAGGCCTCTGGCCAACAGCTTGTGAGGAATTGAATCCTGCCAACAGTCATGTGAGTGAGCTAGGAAGTGGATCCTTCCCAGTAGATTCTTGAGAAGAGTGCAGCCTTGTGAGACCTGAGCTAAACACCCAATCTAAGTAATGTCCGATTCCCGACCCACAGAAACTGCAAGATAATGTGTGTTGTTTTAAACTGCTAAATTTTGGGGTAATGTGTTATGCAGTGCTAGGTAACTAGTACATCATTTACTAAAAATATACAATGAAATGACTTCCTCTTGCATCCTTTTCATCGTGCAAAGGAAAACTCATATGCTGCTTCCTCGTTCATTTATTCAGCAATATTTGTTGAATGTCTACTAGGCACTATGTTAAGCACCATGAGATGAGTGGTAAAGAAAAACAGATACAGTTTCTGCCTTCACACAACTTACATTCTTTTCTTTTCTCTTTTTTTTTTTTTCTTTTTGGAGACGGAGTTTCGCTCTTGTCGCCCAGGCTGGAGTGCAATGGCGCGATCTCGGCTCACTGCAACCTCCACCTCCCAGGTTCAAGCGATTCTTCTGCCTCAGCCTCCCAAGTAGCTGGGATTACAGGCACCTGCCACCAGGCCTGGCTAATTTTTGTATTTTTAGTAGAGACAGGGTTTTGCCATGTTGGCCAGGCTGGTGTCAAATTCCTGACCTCAGGTGATCCGCCCACCTTGGCCTCCCAAAGTGCTGGGATTACAGGTGTGAGCCACCACACCCAGTCTACACAGTTTACATTATTTTGCATAGGTTTTCAGTTTCCCAGAAGAGGGAACCAATATGCATTTCATTAAAAGAAAGCTAATTTTAATGCCAAGAAAGTAGGAAGGACATAATCTAAAGAAGCTGTGTGGAAACTTTTCTACGTTGTTATATTGATCATTTTGCTACAGACCAGTGAAAAGTTCATTATAGACCAGCACAGGCCACATGTAGGCTGCTGCTTCTAGGCACTATTCAAATGTTTATGTACCTTTATTCAGCTTGTATGTCATTCTGCCTTACAATTAAGAAGGTTTATTTGTCTTTCCCACTAGTCCACATTTTCATTTTTACATCCTTGTGGTTCCTTGTGCCTGTGTAAAGAACTTTGTTAATTTGATATTATTAATAGCTTTGTCAATCTGAGATTAATGGAGATTTCAATTCAAATAGGTTACTTTAAAAACCCTAACACCATCGGGGAGTACTTACTGAAAGCTTTGTAAATCCCTGTTCCTTTCCAAATGATTTTGGTCATGATAATGATACTTACTAAGGTTACAAGTTCCAGTCATCGCAAAACAAAGCAAAGCTATTTAAAGGCCGATGAAATGAAGATAATTTGTGATTCTTAAGTATCTTATTGACATGTATTAAAATTCTGGACTAGTTATCTTAGTATTATATTATCCAAATTTTATCTGTAATGTATGTCATTTTATATATCTGCACAACACCCGTATGATAAAAATGTGCCAAAATATATATAAGGGGATCATCATTTGAGCTTAATTGCCCACAAATTTTCTGCATACTCAGATACTTATGTCTGCTTATAGCTAGAATAAACTGATTAGCTTATAAATTTAGAGCTTCTAACTGCCTTGCAAGGGAGAAATAGTCTCTCAGTGAGCCTGGTAACACTGATTTGTGATTAATTGTTTTACTTAGTTGATTCATCTATGATCACAGTACAACAAAAATGTCACATTCACTTAGCAGTGTTAACTCCATTTACCTCGTGTGCATTTAGAAAACTGCCTTGTCATCAGTATAGTATGAATATGTCTAAATAAGATAGTTATTGAAAGATTTATTTCCGGCTGGGCATGGTGGCTCATGCCTGTAATCCCAGCACTTTAGGAGGATGAGGCGGGAGGATCACTTGAGGTCAGGAGTTCAAGAACAACCTGGCCAACATGGCGAAACCCCGTCTTTACTGAAAATACAAAAAAAATTAGCCAGGTGTGGTGGTGGGCGCCTGTAGTCTCAGCTACTTGGGAGCCTGAGGCAGGAGAATTGCTTGAACCTGGGAGGCAGAAGTTGCAGTGAGCTGAGATCATGCCATTACACTCCAGCCTGGGCAACAGAGTGAGACTCCATCACAAAAAATAAATAAATGAATCAAAATAAAAATAAATGAAGATTTATTTCCACTGGGAGTATGGCCATTTAAAAACGTCCTAAGGGCTGGGCGCGGTGGCTCGTGCCTGTAATCCCAGCACTTTGGGAGGCTGAGGAGGGCAGATCACCTGAGGTCAGGAGTTCAAGACCAGTCTGGCCAACATGGCAAAACCCCACCTCTACTAAAAATACAAAAATTAGCCAGGCATGGTGGTGTGCACCTGTAATCCCAGCTACTTGGGAGGCTGAGGCAGGAGAATCGCTTGAACCCAGGAGGCGGAGGTCACAGTGAGCCGAGATGGTGCCACTGCACTCCAGCCTGGGTGACAGAGTGAGACTCTGTCTCATAAATAAATAAATAAATAAATAAATGTATGTTTTGGGCCGAACGGGAATGAAGGTGGGCAGACACTTATTAGCCCTTAAACCACTTTTAAGCAATATAAGAGTCAATACTTAAAAGTCAAAAATAAGATTATATATTAGGAAAAATTAAAAGCATAGAATCAAGCAATACTGAGGGAAACCACTGCTCTCACAGACCTTTAAGACAAAACACTTTAGTATCAGGCCACGACAAAAGTCAGAACAAGAGGAGAAAAAGTCACAGAAGTTGACAAAAAAGCTAAAACAGAGAGCCATCATCTCCAGCATTTTTAAAAGAAGAGAGCAGAGAATAGTGAGACAACAGTTGACCCTCTGAGACATGAATCCAAGAAGCTCCAAAAGGCACTGGTTATACCATTAAAAGCAAAATTTCCCATAACTCAGCAAATTAATACCTTAAGATAACCCAGTTTATTAGACAACAGTCTTTTATTAAACAGCACAGCTCCTCACAGAGCAGGGCTAAATTGTAGACAGTGCACCCACAGTCAGCAATGTATGGGCTCTTAGCGACTGTATTTATACTCACTTATTCCCACTTTCAATTACATGCAAATTAAGGGGTGGGTTAATGCAAATTGAGGGGATGTCTTATTAAGAACTTTCTAAAAAGAGATGGTAACTTCTGGGTTGTTGCCATGGTGTTTGTAAACTGTCATGGTGCTAATGAGCAATGAGGGCAGCTCAGGATCACTTTAGTTACCATCTGCTGGTTTCTAATGGTTTTTTCATTTCATCCTGTCCGGACTGGAAAATAAGGGCTGGCAGTCTCCTACCTGAGAAAGGTGTATGTTTGCCAAAAGACATATGCTAGAA
This sequence comes from Homo sapiens, assembly GCF_000001405.40. Taxonomy (NCBI): domain Eukaryota; kingdom Metazoa; phylum Chordata; class Mammalia; order Primates; family Hominidae; genus Homo; species Homo sapiens. Next base: position 104,207,320 of record NC_000023.11, read on the forward strand.
TATTTATAGCAATACTATAATATCCCCAAACTGGAAACTAATCAAATGACCAACAGGTGCATGGATAGATTAATCAGGGTATATTCACACAATGGAATACTATACAATCTTGATCATGAATTATCTACAACTATACCCAACAATATAAATCTGTCTCACCAACATGATGTTGAGCAAAATAAACCAAATACAAAGGAGTACATAGTACGTGGTATTAAAAGAAAATTAAAACTATGTTGCTAGGACTAGGATAGTGGTTACCTTTATGGGTCTGGGATGCCTGTAATGACTACAAGGGTATTTAAGGGGCCCTTCTGGGGAACTGGTAATTTTCTACTTCTTGAGATGGCTGTTGGTTAGTTAAATAATGTAGTCTACTTGTAGAAAGTCAGTGAGCTGTACACTAATGTGCAATATTCTGTATGTATATTTCAATAAAATGCTTCAAAATGAGCATTTAAGCCAGAAGGCAATGATTGCAGTCAAAATATTCTAAGGGCTTATACAAGGTCCTTAATTACATTAAATTTTAATTTTATTTCAATGAATATTTAAAATTTTTATTTTAAATTTGAATTTCAAGGATTGTTTACTGAAAATAAAAGAGTAATTAACTTCCAAATCTGTAAAGGGAAAAAATGGAGCAAGAAAAAAGAATCTTTAAAATCTAAAAAAGGCAAGAAAAGAAAAAAAAAAACCCACAAAGTGGGATGAATAGAATGCACAAAATGGCTGAAAGAAAATCAAATATATTTTTTTAAATAACAATAAATGTGAAACAACTAATGTTAAAAGATTATATGATTAAGTTAAGGGAGAAGAAAAGCAAATGCTCTTTGTAATCTCTTTGTAATAGACACATCTAAAACATGAGGACCCGTAAAAGGTGAAAGTCAAAGAACGGGAAAAGGTATATCAGGCAAATAATAACCAAAAGAAAGGTGGTGAAACTACATTCACAACAAGCAAAATAGACCTGAAGGCAAAAAGCATTACTAAAAATAAAGAAGGTTGTCACTATGTAATGATAAAAGGTTCAAGTCACTAAAAGAATATAGCAGTTCTAAACTTGAATTTGCCTAACAACATAGTTTCAAAAATATAGAGAGCAAAATTTACAGAACTACCAGGAGAAATTGACAAATCTACATTATGGTGGGAGTTTTAAGCACTTTTCTCTATTTTTAGATTGAACAGATAAAAATTCAATAAGGATATAGATTTAAACAACACAATTACTAAGCCTAATTTAATGGAATGTATAGAACACAATCCCAATTATTACAGAAGTCTCAAAAAGCCCACACAGCATTTTTACAAAATTCGACTGCAGACCAGGCCTTAAAACATGTCTGAACATTTTTTTTTAAATATCATCAGGGCACATTTTCTGACCACAATGCAGATAAACTGGAACCAATAGAAAATAATAATTAGAGAAAAACACATCTTTGAAAGTTTGAAAATGTACTTCTAAATAACTCATGGGTCAATGAAGAAGTAACAAATTTAAAAATACAGCTGAATAAAAATGAAAGTACTATCCAACAAAGTGGTGCGCAGCTAAATTATCTCATGGGAAATGTATAGTCTTAGATGCTTATAAAACGAGAAAAGGCTTCAAAATTGATTATTAACTGTATAAATGAAGAATTCAGAGACAGAACAACAGAATAAAACTAAAGAAAATATAAGGCAGGTAACAAGAAAAATAGGAGCAGAAATGAGTGAACCAGAAAACACTAAATAGAGTCATTTTTGGCAACTCCTTTTTTTTTTTTTTTTTTTGAGAGAGAGAGTCTTGTTCTGTTGCCCAGGCTAGAGTGCAGTGGCGCGATCTCAGCTCATCAGCTCACTGCAACCTCTGCCTCCAAGGCTCAAGTCATCCTCCTGCCTCAGCTGGGAATACAGGCACGCGCCACCATGCCTGGCCCCTAACTCCTTTCTTTAACTCACACCCAAAACCCACTCTGTCAGCAAATCCTGTTGGCTCTACCTATAGAGTTTTCCAGAATCTGACTATTTCTTACCACTACTGTTGTTACCACTGAAGTCCAGGCCACCAACACATTACTTGCCTTTAGACTGTGATGCAGGTTTGACCCGTGACAAAGGAAAGTGGGAAGAAAGGAGAATTGGGGAGGAACAGCCTCACATTGCAGCATAGCTCTGAAAAAAATCCCAGCCAGCCAAGTAGGGAGCTCTGGTGCAAAGCTCACCCATGTGTAAAGATTGTCCTGTGCTGGCCATAAATGGTGAGCCATTGTACCACCATTATGTTCAGTCATAGGCTGAGAACTACCTGGGAAGCACATGGCCTTGACTCTAAAACTGAACAGACCCTAAAGCAACCTGCAACTTGAGGCTGTCAGATAATTGCACCCCTTGACTAGTTTCTCTCTTGAAGGGAGATCTGAATGGTACACCTTCATGTCTGCCATAGTAGGCATTTTTCTTTGATATAATCACAGAAGACTCGGGACACTTAGAACAGGGCTTGACAAATTATGATCTGTGAGCCAAATCCAGCCTGCTGCATGTTTTTTGTAAATAAAGTTTTGTGGGAACACATCCATGCCTCTTCATTTATTGTCCATGGCTGTTTTTGTGCTACAATGACAAAGTTAAGTAGTTGTGACAGAGACCATATGGCCCCCAAGCCTAAAATATCACCCTTTACAGAAAAGCTTGCAGATTCCTAATGTGTAAGGCACTATCGAATCTATGAAGCTATACATTTGTTAGGAAGAGTAAGACATATGCACAAATCCTTAACAATGCCAGCGCTATCTTATAATTTTTATTCTTTCTACTACATGTAAGCCCTTTGTGTGTATAGAAGGAAGTATTTAAGAAGGGTAGTTCTATGTTCCGATTTAGGCTTTCAGGTTTATTGTGACTGCTCTATGGAGAAAGTATCATAGGAAGGCAAAGATAAAAGCAGGGAGACCCGCTAGGAAGCCATTGGTATAGTCTAAGCAAGAAATGATGATAGTTTGGATTAGGATGACGGTAGAAATGGAAAGATGACATCTTATGAGATGAGGAAAAGTTAAGAGAAATTGGGTATTGTGGGAATCAAAGATTCATTTTTGACATGTTGAATTTGAGATATGCAAGTGGAAATATCAAACAGATCATTAGATATAGGAGACTGAAGCTGAGAAATGATCTGGTTGAAGATGTAAATTTGGGAAACAGCATATAGGTAGTATTTCAAGGTAGGACTGGATGGGATCATATAAGGAGAGAATGCAGATGGAGAAGTGTTTCTCACAACCAAGACTTGTGACAGCAAATTTCAGATGTTGGAGAGAGGAGGAGAAGTCAGAAAAAGTCCAGGCTAGTGTTTCTAGAGAGAGGGAGTGTGAAATGCTGCTGAGAGTAAGATGAGGAAGAAAAGGGTCCACTGCATTTGACAATATGAAGATTGTGGTGACCTCAAAATTAAAAAAAAAAAAAAGAAGTTTTTGTGGAATGCTGATGGACAGAGGCCAGAATGTGGTGAGTTTAAGAGAGAATGAGAAGCAAGGAAGTGAAGATAGCCAGTATAGAGACAACTCTGTTGAGAAACCTTACTGTGACAGGGAGCAAAGAAATAAGGTGGTAGCTGGAGGAGGCTGTGAAGTCAAGGGGAATCCTAGAGTCTTTTCGAAGGCTTTTAAGTAGAGTGGTGACCCCATTATAATTTGAAGAAGACTGAGCATCCTTACCTTCTTTTGCAGAAGAGAACTTACAAAGACAGATCCAGAAGAGAGAGAATTAGGGTCTCAACTATGGCAATGGCCATGAGGATGGCAAGGGGGGAACAGATGCATTCTTCACTGTATAGAAGCCAGTTACCCCAACTTATTTTTGCTGAGATTTATGTATGTTAGTCACCCTTCTCCGAGGTGTTTCTTTCTCAAACACACAACTCACTTATAGAGTTTTTTTCCTTTTCCTCTAATACTTAAATTAGCATTAAATGTTAGAGATGGAATGAAACTAATAAAAACTAATTCGCCAGCTCTAGCCACACACCATGCAGGCTGCTACATCGCCCTTGTTTGTTTTGTTACTTAGACTTTGGAATCAGAGAGAATAGGCTACCATAGCTGTCTCTTTCACTTTTCTCCTGTGTGATGCTGAGCACATTTGTGAGTATTACGGGAGGTAATATTTTAAAAACGTTTCTAGCAACTTTTCCACTCTGGTATTGGTGGACTGGGAATTTGGGCAACCCTCTCATTGAAGACAATTATGAAAAGTATATGTGTGTGTGTGTGTGTGTGTGTGTGTGTGTGTGTGTGTGTGTGTGTACGTGTATCAAAGCAATGAAGAACTGTGGGGATCGAGATTCAAAAGTCTAAGAAAAGGCAGAAACTCGTAGAAGTGAATCTGGCATTTGGACAACTTTTCCTCTAAGGCCTCTCTTGATTCCAGAAGAAACATCTAAATGACTGAGAATCCAAGCAGTGCTATGATAGCTTCAAGTGGAAAGGGGGTACAAAATCTGCAGTCCAGAGCTCAGCAAGGACAGTAGGGCCTGGCAACTCCACCCCCCCACCCCCCACCAACTCTTGGTTGGGACTTCAAAATGCTGTAACTCTAGGAATAATGGGAAACCAGAAATAGACTGACCATTGCAGGATTTAAAGACCAGTTTCTGATAATCTCAGTCATTGAAATGGATCAAGATAATTCCAGATTGCTAGGGACTCTGAGCAGGGCAACTTCATTCTAGGCCTCAAATGATCTTTTGCATTGTTCATAGATAGTGTTCATCACTCACTCAAAATTAACCATGTACAAGAGGAAACAAAATGTTGTGAAGAAAAACCTAGAAAAGCAACAGAGGCATTCAGAAGGTATTTGTGCCTAGGATCACAGGCATTTAAAAAATATTTGTTGGGCCAAGTGCAGTGGCTGATGCCTATAATCCCAGCACTTTGGGTGGCTGAGGTGGCAGGATCGCTTGAGTCCAAGAGTTCAAGGCTGCAGTAACCTATGATCAAGCTGCATCCCAGCCTGAGTGACAGAGAGAGACCCTGTCTCTAAATTTTATATATATATATATATATATTTTACATGTGCTTTACATACTTTTTACATATATTATATATATATATATATATATGTTTGTTGGAAGAATGAGTTGTAAGTATTATTTTTCTCATTTTACATATAAGGAAATCAGTACTCAGAAAGGTAAAGTATCCTGCCCAAGGTCACACAGCTACTGAACTGTTGAGCTAGGATTTTATCTAGATTTGTCTGATTCTAAAGCTGTTGATTCTGTTCTCTACAGTGGCAGGTTACATATGTTAGCTTATTTAATCTTCACTATATCTTCATGACCTCAGTATTAGTATCATCTCCATCTTATAGATGAAGCAGCTGAGGCTCAGAGAAATTCGAGATCACACCCCGAGAAACTAGTTGAGCCGTGACTCAAATTCAGGTTGATCTCATTTTCAAAGCCTTTGCTCTTAACACCACATCACAAGGTTGCATATACACTTAGATTGCCTTCTGTCAGAGCAGAGTGCAACTACAGTGTTTTCATCTCAGGTTTTAGTGTCCAGAAATCTCCTATTCTAACATTATGTACTTTGCCTCTTTTAAGGTGGCATCTTCTCCCAATAAATTTACAAGTGGGATTTTATCTTTGAAACTTCCATGTTATAGATGATGGTTAATAAAACTCTGGACTAGGTTTGAGTTTGATTTATGTAACCTCCTCCCTGAGGCTCTGTTGCTTGATCTGCAAAATAGAGCTAATAACACCACCTACCTCATAATGATGTTGTATGAATTAGTGCCTCGCAATAGAACTGTTAGCACATCATTATTGTTAATGATGCTTCTGTTCCTGCTTTATAGAAGGGGAAAGAGAAGAATGAGAGGGGTAAGGCACTTATCTGTTTTATGTTGTGTTCTCCAAGGGTTTACTTGAGGAACAAGTGTGCTTCAGGAACATGAATGGATTTTACTCTTGTTGTTCTTTTAGGATAAACTCTAAATACAGTTTTTCTTATTATTTTCTTACTCAATAACCCATTGTTTCTCTCTCTTTTTTTTCATTTGTTTGTTTTTGTTTTTGTTTTTGAGACAAAGTCTGGCTCTGTCTCCCAGGCTGGAGTGCAGTGGCACAATCTCGACTCACTGCAACCTCCGCCTCCCAGGTTCAAGCGATTCTCCTGCCTCAGCCTCCCTAGTAGCTGGGACCACAGGCACCCACCACCACACCCACCTATTTTTTTGTATTTTTAGTAGAGATGGGGTTTCATCATGTTGGCCAGGCTGGTCTTGAACTCCTGACCTCAAGTGACCTAACCACCTCGGCCTCCCAAAGTACTGGGATTACAGGCGTGAGCCACCACACCAGGCCCCATTGTTTTTAACTGCTTTTTGGATCATGTACATCCTCATCTTAGCATCTGTGACTTTCCATGCTTTACAGTCCCCTCCAAGGAGGGGCACAGTTCCCTGTGCCTCGGATGACAGCACTTATTGCTCCCTAACCTAGCCCCTGGGCTATGCGCTGGCTGCTCCCCTCAGGCCCTCAGAAAACTGAGGTCATTAAGTCTTCTACCCTACTCTCCTTATCCGGAAAGCTGATTTCTCTTCTGACCCATGGCTGTGTCGTTTAAGACCTGGCTGGAGATTCCTATCTTCCAAGTGTCTCATTCATTTATTCAATGAATATTTATTGAGTGGCTACTCATTGGGGATATAGAAATGAGCAAGGCAGATAAGACCAGCTTTCTTTCCTGGCGCTTCCATTCTAGGGAGAGGGGAAGAGAGGATGAGGGAGGGAGGAAAAGAGTGAGACAAAAAGAAAACAAATACAACAATTTCAGATACTCAAAAGCACTATGAAGAAGATAAAATCAGATAATGTGATGGAGAATGTGTCAGTTAAGACTGGGGAATACTGAGGAGGGGAAATTTAAGTTTTGACTTGAAAGACAAGATTAGGAGCAGCCATCCATTCCTGGCAAAGGGACCTGCTAAGTCAAAGAGACAGCACAGAGCACAGCACTGCATACAAAACAGGCACTTTGTAGATTCTTGTTGAACGCATAAGGATGGCTGCCTATTACCTTGCTTTTCAGGTTACAATGTAATTATTCTCTCTGTAGGCAAAACCATTCATGATTTGAAAATATATATATTTCTCATCCAAACACTGTCATTGATCACACTAAATTTACTTAATATCCACAGAGACAAGAGAAGGGAGAAACTCTAAGGCCACCAAATAGATCTGGCCAGCCACCAGCCACTTCCATTGGATTGGCTAACTAAACCTTGTGGCCTTGCCAAGGTCCAGCTGGATTCATGGAAGCACAGTCATATCCACAGAGCACTTTACAGGGGCACCCACTTCCCAAAAACAAGATGGTCCTAGGCCAGGCACGGTAGCTCACACCTGTAATCCCAGCACTTTAGGGGGCTGAGGCGGGCAGATCACTTGAGATCTGGAGTTCGAGACCAGCCTGGCCAACATGGTGAAACCCCGTCTCTACTAAAAATACAAAAATTAGCTAGGCGTGGTGGCATGTGCCTGTAATCTCAGTTACTCGGGAGGCTGAGGCAGGAGAATCACTTGAGCCTGGGAGGCGGAGGTTGCAGTGAGCCAATATCGCACCATTGCACTCCAGCCTGGGCAACAAAAGCAAAACCCCATCTAAAAATAAACACATAAATAAAAGCACAGGCAACAAAAGCAGAGACAAATGGAGCTATACCAAACTAAAAAGCTCTGCACAGCAAAGGAAACAATCAACAGAGTGAAGCGACAGCGACAATCTGCAGAATAGGAGGAAATATTTGCAAGCTATGTGGCTGACAGGGGATTGATATTCAGAATATACAATGAACTCAATAGCAAAGACCAAATAATTCAATTAAAATGGGTAAGTGAGCTGAACAGACATCTCTCAAAAGAAGACATACAAATGGCCAACAGATACATGAAAAAATGCTCGACATCCGTATTCATCAGGGAAATGTAAATCAAAACCATAATGAGATATTTCATTCCAGTTAGAATGACCTAAGTGAATTAATGCAAGAATAGAAAACCAAATACCGAATGTCCTCACGTATTCACACCCCAAATCCCAGCATCATGTAATATACCCAGGTACCAAACTTGCACATGTACCCCCGAATCTAAAATAAAATTATTTTTAAAAAGACAAAAATAACAAATGCTGGCATGTACACAGAGAAAGGGAAATTCCTTTTTTTTTTTTTTTTTTAGAGACGGAGTCTCACTCTGTTGCCCAGGCTGGAGTGCAATGGTGAGATCTCGGCTCACTGCAGTCTCCACCTCCTGGTTCAAGTGATTCTCCTGCCTCAGCCTCCTGAGTAGCTGGCACTACAGGTGTGCACCACCACGCCTGGCAAATTTTTGTATTTTCAGTAGAGACGGAGTTTCACCATGTTGGCCAGGCTGGTCTCAAACTCCTGGCCTCAAGTGATCCCCCAGTCTCGGCCTCCCAAAGTGCCAGGATTATAGGCGTGAGCCACCATGCCCAGCCTGAGAAAGGGAAATTCTTATACACTGTTGGTGGGAATGGAAATTAGTGCAACCATTGTAGAAAACATTATGAATATTCCTCAGAAAACTAAAAATAGAAATATCGTATGATCCAGCAATCCCACTACTGGGTATGTGTCCAAAGGAGAAGAAATCAGTATGTCAAAGAGATATCTGCATCCCCATGTTTACTGCAGCATTATTCACAATAGCCAAGAAATGTAATCTTGACTAAGTGTCCATCAACAGATGAATGGATGAAGAAAATATGGTATAAATACACAATAGAATACTAATCATCCATAAAATAGAATAAAATCATGTCATTTGCAGCAACATGGATGGAACTGGAGGCCATTATGTTAAGTGAAATAAGCTAAGCACTGAAAAATAAATACCACATGTAGTCACTCATGTGGAAGTTTAAGAAGTTGATGTCATAGAAGCAGAGAGTAGAATAGTGGTCACTGAATGATGGGAAGGGTAGTGGGGAAAGGGTGATGAGAGGTTGGTTGGCAGATACAAAATTACAGCTAGATAAGAGGAATACATTCTAGTGTCCTGTAGCACTGTAGCTCAACTATAATTTAAAACAACTCATATTTTATTTTATATATTTTCATATATTTTCAAATAGCTACAGAGTGGACTTTGAATGCTCCCAACACAAAGAAATAATAAATGTTTGAGGTGATGGATATACTAATTAGCCTGATTTGATCATTATACATTATATACATATATGAAAATATACTGCACCCTATAAATATGTACAAGTATTATACGTCAATTAAAAATACCAATGGGGGAGGAGAAAGAGAGAGAGAGAGAGAGACAGAAAGACAGAGAGACACAGGAGAGAGACAGAGAGATAGAGAGAGAGAGAAATTCTCTGGGGAGCTTTTAAAACTAACAATGTCCGGCTGGGTGTTGTGGCTCACACCTGTAATCCCAGCACTTTGGGAGGCCGAGGTGGGTGGATCACTTGAGGTCAGGAGTTTGAGACCACCCTGGCAAACACTGTGAAACCCCATCTCTACCAAAAAATACAAAAATTAGCCAGGTGTGGTGGTGCATGCCTGTAGTCCCAGCTACTCAGGAGGCTGAAGCAGGAGAATCGCTTAAACCCGGGAGATGGAGGCAGTCAGCCAAGATTGTGCCACTGGACCCTAGCCTGGGCGACAGAGTGAGTGAGACTTTGTCTCAAAAAACAAAACAAAACAAAACAGCTAACAATGTCCCAGCCTCATCGAGACCAATTAAATCAAAATGGTGAGGGAGTAGATCTGGACAGCAGTAGCTTTAAAAACTTCCCAGATGGTTCCAATATGCAGTCAAGGTTGAGAACCAGTGATCTGAGTGGTAGCAAATCCTTTCCCCTGGGACCACAGAGACATGGCGAGAACCTGGGAGGCTGCAAAGGAAATTCAGTACATTGAAAAGACAAGTATATTTCATTGTGATTTTGTACTGGAATAAGCCTCACACTTTTAGGCTAATTTTTCATAAATAGCACTTTAATCCCTCTGCAATTTGAGGAACTCACCAGAATTCATTTCAATGCAATAAACATGCAGTTGTTGCCAACCGTAGATGTTCTCTAGACCTTTTGGTACCTTCAAAAATAATGATATTAAAAATAGTGGCTACAATTTCTTGTGTGCTAACCACATGCAAAGCTCTCTGCTCCCATTTTCTCTCTCTCCCCTCTCCCCCTCCATCCTTTTTTGGGGGGGGGCAGGTATCATGTCGTGATGGAGTGCATCACGGCTCACTGCAGCCTTGAACTCCAGGCTCAAGCGATCCTCCCACCTCAGCCACCCAAATAGCTGGGACAACAGGTGTGTGCCATCACACTCAGCTAATTTTTAAAACTTTTGTAGAGACAGGTTGTCCCTATGTTGCCCAGGCTGGTCTCAAACTCCTGGGCTCAAGCGATCTTCTTGTCCGGGCCTCCCAAAATGTTGGGATTACAAGTGTGAGCCACTGCACATGGCCACATTTTCTCATTTAATCTTCACTGTAACCCTATGAGTGGGTACTATTATTGTTGCCATTTTAAAAATATTCACTCTAAGGCACAGAAGGGTTAAGCAATTAGTCCAGATTACACAGCTGTAAGTTACAGAGCTAGGATTTGAGCCCTGGCAGAAAGATTCCCGACCTTCACTGTCTAATGTGGTAGCCACCAGCCACATGGGGTTATTGAGCACTTCAAATTTGGCTAGTCCAAGTTAATATGTGCTGTCAACTTAAAAAAATACACCTGGTTTCAAAGAATATAAAATAGAATATAAAATATTCTATATAAAAAAATATTAAATAGAATATTAAAAAAGAATATAAAATATCTCAATAATATTTTAATATTATCACATGTTGAGATGATAGTTTAATATAAGTCAAAATACAGGACTATACTTAATTTTCCATGAATCTTCTTATTTTTAAAATGAGGCTATTAGAAAACTTAAAATTACATATCCGACCCACATTATTTTTCCATTGCACAACTGCTCCAGTGGCAGCATGGTAACCACGACTTTTGCTTGAATCAGAGATTAAGCAGATTATTCATGCTGGCAAGAAGCTTACGGTTTGAGTAGGAAGAATGTAAGAATCAAGTATTTATCTCCAAAATTATATTATAATTAAGTGCTAGGAAGGAGGAAGGAGAGAGAATTTCTAGTGTGTTATGTGGCAGGGGAATCTTTAAGCGGATTATTAGATTAATCGTGAAGGTAAGGATAAGGGGATATATGGGGTACATTTGGAAATATGCTAGAAGTCTAGTTTGGGGCATATGATACATCAAGAACAGTAGAAGATGAGGCTGCATAAATAAGTGAGGACCAATTCCTAGCAGGCCTTGAATACCAGATCAAGGAGTTTGGACTTTTGTTTTCCATTATAGGGAGCCATTGACAGGTTTCAAGCAAGAGAGTCATAAGATGACTTGGCTTTAGGGATGTTAGTCTTCCAGCTCTATGGCGGGTGGTAGTGGAGATGGGACTGGAGACAAAGAAACTGGTGGTAGGGAACAGTTAGAAAGCTGTACCAATAACTCAGAAGAGAGGAAATGAGTGCCTGAATTTGATTGTTGGCTGTAGAAATTAGGAAGGCATGGAGTGATTTGGAAAGTTCTGCCAAAGGAGAATCACTAGATTTGGCAGTAGATTGGGGCAGGCCCCAGAGAGGAACTCAGGTACGATTCAGTGAATGCAAACAGTGGTGTTTCCACAGATTTGGAGACTGACAAAGCAGTTCAAGAGGGTCAGGGTCTCCTGAGTTCTTTTTTTTTTTTGGGGGGGGACGGAGTTTCTCTCTTGTTGCCCAAGCTGGAGGGCAGTGGCGCAATCCTGGCTCACTGTAACCTCTGCCTCCTGGGTTCAAATGATTCTCCTGCCTCAGGCTCCCGAGTAGCTGGGATTCCAAATGTCCGGCACCACGCCTGGCTAATTTTTTGTATTTTTAGTCGAAATGGGGGTTTCACCATGTTGGGAAGGCTGGTCTCGAACTCCTGACCTCAGGTGATCCACACGCCTCAGCCTCCCGAAGTGCTAGGATTACAGGCATGAGCCACCGCGCCCGGCCCAGTCTTCTGGGTTCTAGACATAACATGGTTGACCTTAGACTCCAGGCTGGCCCCAAGGCATGTGAAGGATAGAGGGAGGGAGGAAGGGAGGAAAGAAGGAAGGCAAAGCTTGACTCTCTGGGAGCTGGGGACATCACTTCCCTCTGGCCTAAATTTGCCCATCTTGAAAAGGGGAGATAGCAGTAGATGATCCATAAGTGTCTCCCCAACCACACCATGAGGCCACTATTCTAAAACCTGTGTTGATAGGAGTAGATGTCAGTAAGGCATAATAAACTTACCATCTGAAATTACATACCAACCCTATTTTGTTCTCAAGATGTGTCTTTATTAGCTACATTTCCCTTCTTGTGCCTGTGATAAATAGTCTCCAAAGAAAATTTTCTATTGCAACAAATTTATAGGTGAAAATTTGGTGAAGTGGGAGTGGGTTGGGAGAACATGTAAAATATTTAAAGATCACTAAAGATACTTTGCTGCCCAAGAAACTTCAATGACTACGATACAAAGGAGAAAAAAACATAACCACAAGGAGTTATGGAACCAAAAGTGATAAGCATCAGCTTAAAACTTTCAGGCCTTTGCTTCTTACTGATTCTAAACAGAAAAAATCCATAAACCATAATAGTGCTCCATTTAAATTACTTACAGCAAGTGCTGCTTTTCAGAGCCTGTCAGACATCATGGTGCTCTTTCAACTGCACTTTGAGTGTACAAAGCAAATCAATATGGATAGAAACAGTTGTAATTTTGGCCAGTTTACAAGTGTATCTTTTCACTGCATACAATCAGTTTTGATGTAAATGGTTCTAAATACACATATATTTGTGTGTGAACAAAAGTTCTAAGAAAAAGAATTTGGAGGAAAGACTTTCTTGAGGTGAACAGTTTGCAAGCCAGGGAGATGCAGCCTTTGGTATAAAATGAAGACGCATTCCAGAGAACAAAAGCAGGGTTCAAGTTTTATAGCATAAGCTCCCACCCAGGTTCCTAATCATGCCCATTTATGCAAATAAAGGATTCAAACTCTCTTAGTTCCAATTGGCTGATCCCTGATTAGTCGAGGCAGGTGAGCTCTGATTGATTGGTTCAGGTGAGCTCTCATTGGTTGGTTCATGTAAACTCTGGAAGTCCCAAAGTTAAACAGAGGTGAGTTTTTGGAGGAACTCAGAGTAAATGTGTGACCTCTAGTCAGCAAATGGCCACTTGGCTCTATTTTAAATTTAGGCCTAATTAGCCACTTGGGATCCATCTTGAAGAATTGGGTTTTTCAGGTTCACATGACACATGGTTTTCTACATATACAGCTCTGCTGAAAAAGGGAATTGATCCCCACTGTAGGCACAGCTCTGTCAGACTCCCTCAGAGGCTGAGCAGAGAAGGAGCAGGCCACGAAGGTGGAGAAGATTAAACAAATATGATTTCAGCAGAGTGGACCATAAAATGCCCCTTCCTCTGGCAATTCCATATATCTCAATATAGAGCCAGTCCTTGTCAAAATTGCCCAATGGGCAGTTAGAGAAAAGGGTAGAAGCCTTGAATCAAATTGTATCATGGAGGCAGGGTAGAGAAAGTGTGAAGAAGAGTGTGTCTCTGTGGCCTGTAACGATTTCAACAGATAATTTGACAGCTTGAGCACTAGGAAACAGCTTGTCATCCAATACCCTTCCACCAAAATTAGGTTGCCATAGTTGTCATTGTCATAGTTGTGATGGAGCCCTTACTCCAGTATTTCTCTAAACGGTCTAGGAACCACCTGCATCAGTATCAGGGATTGAATGAAGCTTTTTTGAAATATTGATTCTCTGATTCCTATGTTGGGCTTCAGATACATTGAATTATATTCTTTGGGAGTGGGGCCTAGGCACATGCATTTTAATAAGCTCCCAGGTGATTGAACGCATTATCAGAGTTTGAGAACTACTGCTTCACAATATAAGACTTTGAGGTGTACATCATGTCATGTGTAGTACTTGGCAGTGTTGCTTAGTGAATTCAAACAATTCTGATAAATGATTGGTTTGTACATTACTTGCTCAAAGTGAAGTGCTTAGCTTTCTTCTCCTTCTTAGATCTGCAATATCTATGAACAATATCAGAGTGATAGACTGAAGACTGGGCATAGGCAGAGAATGTTACTGCCTTCAAAGAGAAAATTGAGACTCTAGCTTCAACTACCTCAACTTCTTCCTTGCCTGAGGCTGTTCTTACAGGGAGAATGTTCAGCCTGCTACCATCATAATGTTAACTGCAGATTTTTCAGAGTTATCCTTTAATAGATTAAGGAAAGTCCCATCAATTAATCAGTTGCTAAGAGTTGTTTTTTATTTTAATCAGGAATGGAGGTTGGATTTTGTCAAATATTTTTCTGCGTCTCTTCAGATGATCAAATGTTTTTTCTTTTTTCATTCTGTTAATTTGGTAATTAAATTGATTTTTGAGTGCTTAAACTTTGTGCTTTAGCAACTCATGGAAGATTCCAAAAGTTTGCACCAGTTATTCTCAGCCAGAGATAATGGTCTAGCTTTGATTCTACATTATTTGTTGAGATCATCTCAAAAGTTAGATTTTTTTGCTCGTTTTGTCGTTGATTTCTTTTTAAAAAGTAACATTCCTTGTATTAATAGAGACTGAAAAGCTAATATGTTTTGGGGGCAATATAAAAACATAAAAGCTTTAAGCAATTGTTCACTATATACTTGTATCTTATAATATGGGTGTATTGTATTTCCATTTCATTAACTCTAAAGAGTTAACAAATCATACCCATTTTCTGTTAGTTTTATTATTTTTCAGTAAATTACTTTTAACTCCCTTACTTAATTCTAAGTACCATTTCCATTTACCATCTGAGTATCTATGGAGATAACATTGCAATTTATTTCTTACGTTAACCTGGGTTCATAGGTGACATCCAGTTCTATTTAGCCAAAGGGGATTAAGTGATAGACACACCAAACTAGATGCTCTCGGAAAGTTTATTTTGATTATGTAGTAAGTGTCCTGCTGTACAGTAGTTGATGTCTGTTCACTCACTCTATTTAATGTCTCTTCTTTTTCATCGTTGTTTGGGCCTTAATTTTAGTCTAGTTAGTAAAGCTAACAGTGGAGAGGATTTTAGAGTAGCTCTTTCCACTGAAAGAGAATCTGTTGGTGAACTTATATTTTAATTTCTTGGCTTGCTTGACGTATTCTTTTCCATCTCTTTTCTTGGGTCTCCTGTTTACTCAATGCATATTTGACAAGGAATTGCTATAAATACCCAGAATTATCTGACTATAAAAAATCACTTTCAAATTATTTAATTGTTTGCATCTTTCTTGGTTGGTAGAAACATCCCAGAACACTTAGTAGTAAAGAGGGAAGAAGGAAGTTCCATTTTTCCATTTATCCATTTAAGATTTTTCTTTTCTTTTTGGTGGGGTAGATGGGCAGAAATAAAATATAATAAAGTATTAATAGTGAAAGGATAATAAAAAGAACACTGGTATTGTATATTCAGGTGACTTAAAATTCTCTGTTATAGAATTAATTTTATTCTTCAGGAAATTCTAGCAAGGTAGTAATAATGTGGATGAGATGATTCAAAAGGTACCCAAGGAACTGTCAGCGATGTCCTAAAGGTGGAGGATGTGAACCTGTTTTATTTTGGTGGAGAGAGTTGGAGGGGAGTTAGGAGGCAAAGAATTGCTATCAGGATTTCTAGACAGATGTTGTCATGTGTAATTAGTATGTCACCTATTTTTCTTTTCTTCACTATCAGTCAAATATTACTGAGTAACAACCAAGCACAAAATCTCAGTGAGACACAGTGATATGCTTATTTCTTTCTCTTTTTTTTTGGGAGGGAGGGGGGAAGACAGGGTCTCACTCTGTCACCCAGGCTGGAGTACAGTGGTGCAATCATGGCTTACTACAGCCTTGACCTCCCAGGGCTCAAGCGATCCTCCCACCTCAGCCTTCTGAGTAACTGGGAGTACACCACCATCCCTGGCTATTTTTTATAATTGTTTTTATAGATGAGGATCTCACTATGTTGCCCAGGCTTGTCTTAAACTCTTAGGTCCAAGCCATCCTACTGCCTCAGCCACGCAAATTGCTGGGATTACAAAAGTGAGCCACCATGCCAGGCCTAATTTATTATATATTAATTAAGCGTTGGCTGATCAAGGCAGCTTGGCCGGGCAGCCATGCTTCAAGCTATGGATCTGACTGGGGTTGGTTCACCACTGCTGGTTAGTTCTGATCTGCTCCAGGTGTGTTCATTCTGGGGCTCAGGATGAAGGTGCTCTGGCTACCCACGGAAAGCCCTTCTGGCCATGGCAGAGACACAGAAGTAAGTGAACAAAGGATCTCTTTAGACATTTGTCAAAAGACAATATACAAATGATCAATAAGGACATGAAAAATTGTTCAACATCACTAGTTATTACATAAATGCAAATCAAAACCACAATGAGATACCACTGCACACACACTAGGATGGCTATAATAAAAAAGTTAGATAGTACCAATTGTTGGTGAGCATGTGAAGAAATCATATACTGCTGCGGGAATGTAAAATAATACAACCACTTTAGAAAACTGTTTGATAAGTTCTTCAAATGGTTAAACATAGAGTTACCATATAACCCAAGAACTCCACTCCTAGATATATACTCAAGAGATCTGAAAACATACATCCACACAAAAACTTGTACACAAATGTTTAAGTAGCATTATTCATGATAGCCATGGAGATATAGAAACAACCCAAATGTTCATCAACTGACAAATGGATAAATAAAATGGGAAGTATCCATATTATAATGGAATATTATTTAGCCACAAAAGGAATTAAGTTCTGATTCATGCTACAACATGGATGAAACTTGAGTACACTGTGCCAGGTATTAAGAGGCCAGTCGTAAGGATTATGTATTGTGTGATTCTTTTTATATGAAATGTCCAGAATAGGCAAATCCATAGAGACAGAAAGTAAACTCCTGGTTACCAGAGGCCAGAGAGGGGAGTTGGAGAGAATGGGAAGTGGCTTCTAATAAGCATGAGGGGGTTCTGTTTGGGATGTTGAGAATAAAATTGATTGTGGTGATCATTATATGACTCTACTTTACTAAAAGCCACTGAATTATGTACTTTACATGGGTGAATTATATGTTATGTGAATATCTCAATAAAATTTATATACATACATACATACATATGTACATAGAGAAACATGCACTGACTCTTAAAGTCTGGTCTTGAAATTAGCACACTGTCACTTCTACTTGTATTCTAATGAGCAAAGTAAGTCACATGGCAGAGCCCAAAGTCAAGAAGTGGGGAAGTGCATTTGGCCTTTACTAGGAGGAACAGCAAAGTTACATGGCAAAATACATGGACACAAGGTGAGGTGAAGAATTGATGCCAATAATTTAATCTACCACACCACACTAATATTTTCCCTTTTTCTTCCTATTCATGTTCTAGGCCTCATTCAAAGACCACACAACAGCTGGCCATTACTGCTACTGTATTGAAATATTCAATATGGATACCTGAAAACAACACTTAAATAACTATAATTGTTTTTCTTTCCTTATAAAGATTGCATCAAGAATTGTGCTTCTTTAAAATGTTTTATTTGGACAATTTTTCCCCATACTTGGATTTTCTCTGCAACATCTGGTTAAAATGGGCTAAAATTTTCATATTCAAAAAGGATCATGCCCTTTTTTTTTTTTTTTTTTTTTTGAGATGGGGGTCTCACTCTGTCACCCAGGCTAGAGTGCAGTGGCGTGATCTCGGCTCACTGCAACCTCCACCTCCTGGGCTCTTGCAGTCCTCCCACCTCAGCCTCCTGAGTAGCTGGGAGTACAAGTGCGTGCCACCATGCCCGACTAATTTTTTGCATTTTTGACAAAGACGGGGTTTCACCATGTTGTCCCGGATGATCTCAAACTCCTGAGCTCAAGCCATCCCCCCACCTTGGCCTCCCAAAGTGCTGGGATTACAGGTGTACTCTGTGCCCAGCTAGGATTATGTACCCTGTGCCCAGCTAGGATTATGTTCTTAAGATACATCCTCCAGGGCAATACAAGCTTTCGTGAAATAAAAACAAGTGGAAATTACCTAATTACCTGCTTCTGTCTCTCTCTCTCTCTCTCTCTCTCTCTATATATATATATATATATATATGTATATATATATAGACACATAGAGACACTCTATATATATAGACACATAGAGACACTATATATATATAGACACATAGAGACACTATATATATACACACACACATACATATATATATATATAAAATAGTTACCTAATTACCTGCTACTTTCTCTCTATATATATATATATGTATATATACACATAGAGTGTAGGAGGTAATTCATATATATAAAATCTATATTGATAGATAGATAGAGTGAGTGAGTGAGTGAGTGAAGGTCTTTCTCTGTTACACATGCTGGAGTGCAGTGACATGATCGTAGCTCACTGCAGCCCTGAACTCCTGGGTTCAAGTGATCCGCCTGCCTCAGCCTCCCAAAGAGCTGGGATTACAGACATGAGTCACCACACCCAGCCCTGCTACAAAATATTTAAAACAACTTGGTTAACTCCAGTGCTGTTCATTGTAGTAGTTCAACTGGGACTTTCATCTGACACTTCAAATAAAAAAAATGTAAATACCCTTGCTGGACAGTAAGAGTAGATCCCAGGGAAACCCAAACTCTTTGACTGCAGTGAGATTTTATTTTTCTTTCAATAAGTATATGAGACTTAAACTCTTTGTGGGCATTTATTTTTCTATATAAAACATAAAAAAATTTTATTATTCATATTATTCAACTTAATACATACATCTCTGTGCCAAACTCTGATTATTGCACTGGGATAAATTTCTAGAAGTGGAATTGGCCAGGCATGATGGCTCACGTCTGTAATCCCAGCACTTTGGGAGGCTGAGGCAGGAGGATCATTTGAGCCCAGGAGTTTGAGACCAGCCTTGACAACACAGTGAAGATAGCATGTAGAAAAAAGTAATAACTTATTTCTAGCTTGTAGTACTTACAGTGGATTAGGTGGTACACATACAGATTTTATGGTGTATTCCTGCATTGCTTTTTTAAACAGGTAAACACAATTGCCCAAACATTAGATGAATACTTCTGATACTTGCTAATCTATATTTCTCTCTACAGTATCATGAGGAACCTCAGTGATACAGAAGAAGTGCTTTAAAAATAAAAGTTAATAGGCCGGGTATGGTGGCTTACACCTGTAATCCCAGCACTTTGGGAAGCCAAGGTGGGTGGATCACCTGAGGTCAGAAGTTCCAGACTAGCCTGGCCAATATGGTGAAACCCCATCTCTACTAAAAATACAAAAATTAGCCTGGCATGGTGGCACATGCTTGTAGTCCCAGCTACTTGAGAGGCTGAGGCTGGAGGATCACTTGATCCTGGGAGACAGAGTTTGCAGTGAGCTGAGGTTGCACCACTGCACTCCAGCCTGGGCAATAGAGCAAGACTCTGTCTCAAAAATAAATAAATAAATAAATAAATAAAAGGTAATAGAGATCAATTCTGAATTTTGTAAAACGTTTCAAGCTTTTGAAATGTTCATACCTTCCTATCCAGTAGTTCTACTTCTATTTTTTAAAATTTTTTGTAGAGACAGGTCTCACTATGTTGCCCAGTTAGGTCTTGGACTCCTGGGCTCAAATGATCCTTCTGTCTCAGCCTCCCAAAGTGCTAAGATTACAGACATGAGCCACCACACCTGGCCAATTCTACTTCTAGAAATTTATTCTAATGCAGTAATCAGAGTTTGGCATAGAGATGTATATATTAAGTTGAATAATATGAAATTGCTGATATTTGACCATTTTTCACCTTCAACAATGACAATTATATATGGTTTAATCTAATGCAAAGATGTTAATCACAGTGTTAATTATGATGTGGATAGCTAGGGATGAGTGAAATGTCCAACAATAAAGTATTGGTTTAATAAATTATGGCAACCGATATACTAGAATTCTATGAAGCCACTAAAAATTGTAATGATTGAAATGTATTTTTATTGTCACAGAATGAGGAGGTTCCTGATGTATTAGGAGAAAATGATATCATAAAACAGAATGTATAATAAGATCTAATTTTTATTTAAAATTATATAAACATATATTTAGATTAAAAAATTAGAATAATATACACCAAAATGTTCATGGTAATTATCTCTTAGTTGTAAGATTGTGATATGGTTTGACTCTGTGTCCGCACCCAAATCTCATCTTGAATGGTACCCCCATAATTCCCACATGTTGTGGGAGGGACCTGGTGGGAGATAATTGAATCATGGGGGCAGTTTTCTCCATACTGTCCTCTTGGTAGTTAATAAGTCTCATGAGATCTAATGGTTTTATCAGGGGTTTCCACTTTTGCATCTTCCTCTCTCTCTCTTTGCCTGCTGCCATCCATGTAAGACGTGACTTGCTCCTCCTTGCCATCTGCCATGATTGTGAGGCTTCCCCAGCCACATGGAACTATAAGTCCAATTAAACCTCTTTCTTTTGTAAATTGCCCAGTCTCGAGTATGTCTTTATCAGCAGTGTGAAAATGGACAAATACAGATTGCCTGTCATTTTTACAGTCTACATTAGGATTTCTGTTTTTTTTGTTTTTGTTTTTTGTTTTGTTTTGTTTTGAGACAGGGTCTCATTCTGACACCCAGGCTGGAGAGCAGTGGTGCAATCTCAGTTCACTGCAACCTCTGCCTACCGGGCTGAAGCAATCCTCCCACCTCGGCCTCCTGAGTAGCTAGGACTACAGGCATATGCCACCATGCTCAGCTAAATTTTTATATATTTTTTGTAGAGACAGAGTTTCACCATGTTTCCCAGGCTGATCTCAAACTCCTGGGCTCAAGTGATCCACCTGCTTCAGTCTCCCAAATTGCTGGGATTATACATGTGAGCCACCGTGCCTGGCCTGTATTTTCTAATTTTTGACAATAGAGTATAATTTTATTATATAAAAATCAATTCCATGAGAAAATAATAAGTCATGATCATCTGTGATAGGAAGAGACAGAAAGAATTTTGGCCCCATCTCTACAAAAAAGTTTTAAAATTCGCCAGGCCTAGTGGTGCAGGCCTGTAGTCCTAGCAGCTCAGGAGGCAAGAGGATCACTTGAGCCCATGAGGTTGAGAGTACAGTGAGCCATGATGGCAACATTGCACTCCAGCCTAGGCAACAGAGTGAGACTCTGTCTCAAAGGAAAAAAGAAAAGAGTTTTGGAATCTGTATGGTTGAACCCAGTATTATTTTAAAGTATGATGTACAATGAAAAAGGTTGCATTTAGGAAATCTTGTTTCTAGCTTATAGTACTTACAACAGGTTAGATGGTACACATACTTCTTAGCTAGGGATTCAGGCCACCCCAAAGTTGTATTATACGACACTGTTGCTTCCCAAATTCTGTTCCCACCCTCAACTTTGCTCTTCTTTTCTCCCAAACATACTCCAAATGGCCTCACCTCTGTTCCTTTGAGTAGGCTGCTCCTGCTACCGGAAATTTTCTGCCCACCTTCTCTGTTAGTTGAAATGTCATTTATCCTTCAAGGTTTAAGTAACTGTCACCTCTTCCCTGAAGCGTCCCCTAATCCCTCCATTCAAAAACGAACCACTTTTCTCCTCAATCCCTTCCAATAACATTCGTTAGCAACCGCTGGCACTTGCCTAATATCCCACTGGTTGCTGTCTGCTGCTGGAGGGCAGGGACTAGGTCTGAGCCATGTCTGTAGCTTCTAGAGTCTCCAGAACAGTGTCACGAACCCACTGGGCTCTCCAATTTGGGTCTGGCAAGGCTTGTATGATCTGGCTTTTGCCTGCTGCCTTAGCCTGATTTCTAGCCACCCTCCTCCTTTCTGCAGCTACACTGGCCTTTTGTCAGTTCCTCAAATGTGCCAAGTACTTTCCTCCCTTGGGGCTGTTGCCCACACTGTCCTCTCTGCCTGAAATGCTTTCTCATCCATTCTTCATCTTGTTAACTCTAACTCATCCTTCTCTCTCTGCTTAAAACATCACTTCTCAA
This sequence comes from Homo sapiens, assembly GCF_000001405.40. Lineage (NCBI taxonomy): Eukaryota > Metazoa > Chordata > Mammalia > Primates > Hominidae > Homo > Homo sapiens. The sequence goes on from NC_000023.11 coordinate 104,229,538, forward strand.
GAAAGCCTGCCCTGACCTCTCAGAAAAAAACCTGCATAGTTATCACCCAGCCACAATCTCATAAGCTTGTAGTCATGGGAGAAGGGGTGAATGAGGGAAAGTGGAGGACTCCAAACAGACTCACCCACTCTCTCCACCACCATGACTAGGAGACGCACACTAAATGCCTGCCCTGTGGGCTGTCAGTCAGGAGGTTAACACAAGACCTGCTCCTTTTCTAGGATGCCCTATGCCTCCCAGCCTATTCCTTTGCTCCTTGGGGCATAATGATTTTTAAGACTCTCCCAAGCTTCTCTCATTCAGAAGAGCAGCAAAATGTGTCAGAAAGAAGGATCAGATCATGTGGGTCCTAAATCTTGATTTGCTGTGGAGAGGCCTCACATCTTGAAACCTTGTGAACTTTTGGTCCTTGGCGATCAGGAATTTGAGATTGGAACGAAGTAATGCAAGTGAAGAATAAAGTTATTGGAACTCAAAGGTAAGGGTGGAGAGTAGAGAAAAAGCACATACAGGAGCAGGACCTGTACTAAGGAATATTAGGGCAGAACGACGGCGTTCTAGTTTTGTTGGTTTTGGAAGGGCATCCCATGACATTCGACTGCTTCAGAGTTGTGAACATTGCCTAAAATTAGCCTCTTATGCAGAGGTTACAAATTGGCAATTGCAGGCAGAATCTGGTCCTCAGACTTGTTTTATTTTTTATATTTATTTATTTATTTATTTATTTATTTATTTATTTATTTTATTGAGATAGAGTCTCACTCTGTTGCCCAGGCTGGAGTGCAGTGGCACAATCTCAGCTCACAGCAACCTCCGCCTCCCGGGTTCAAGCGATTCTCGTGCCTCAAGCTCCCGAGTAGCTGGGATTACAGGCTCACTCCACCACGCCCAGCTATTTTTGTATTTTTAGTAGAGATGGGGTTTCATCATGTTGGCCAGGCTGGTCTCGAACTCCTGACCTCAAGTCATCTGCCACCCTCCTGGGCCTTCCAAAGTACTGGGATTATAGGCCTGAGCCACTGCGCCCGGACTTCAGATTTGTTTTAATTGGCTGGCACAGTGTTAATAAAACATATTTTAATTAGTCACCAACATTAAAGATTGGAAGATTTCATATAAAATGTTTTACTTCTGGCTTCTCTTGAAAAACCAAAAACTCTGGCACCCAGCTCCACATTCCCATCCAGGACAACATTCAGCTGGAGTTGAGTAGGGGCTGTTCATCACCCTTTTTTTTTTTTTTTTTTTTTTTTTTTTGAGATGGAGTCTCACTCTGTCACCCAGGCTGGAGTGCCGTGGCAGATCTCGGCTCACTGCAACCTCCACCTCCTGGTTTCAAACAACTCTCCTGCCTCAGCCTTCTGAGGAGCTGGAACTACAGGCGTATGCCACCACGCCCAGCTAATTTTTGTATTTTTAGTAGAGACAGAGTTTCACTATGTTGGCCAGGCTGGTCTCGAACTCCTGACCTCAGGTGATCCACCCGCCTTGGCCTCCTAAAGTGCTGGGATTACAAGTGTGAGCCACTGCACCCAGTCTGCTTCCCTTTTATGTTACCTGACTGGCTCTGTAGACATTTGGGTTTGAAACCCTTTATTTATTTATTTATTTTTTTTGAGATGGAGTTTCACTCTTGTTGCCCAGGCTGGAGTGCAGTGGCCAATCTCGACTCACTGCAACCTCTGCCACATGGGTCCAAGTGATTCTCCTGCCCTAGCCTCCCGTGTAGCTGGGATTATAGGTGTGCACCACCAAGCCCGGCTAATTTTGTATTTTTAGTAGAGATGGAGTTTCACTATGTTGGCCAAGCTGGTCTCGAACTCCTGACATCAGGTAATCAGCCCACCTCTGCCTCCCAAAGTGCTGGGATTACAGGTGTGAGCCACCATGTCCGTCAAAACCCTTGATTTTTTTTTTTGGAAGGGATTTGTTGTGGTGGTGGTGGTGGTGGTAGTTTTTTTGTTTGTTTGTTTGTTTGTTTTTGTTTTGACAAAGTCTTGCTCTGTCACCCAGTCTGGAGGGCAGTGGTGCAATCTAGGCTCATTCAAGTCTCGACCTCCCGGGCTCAGGCGATCCCTCCTACCTCAGCCTCTTAAGTAGCTGGGATGACAGGTGCACACCACATGCCTGGCTAATTTTTGTATTTTTTGTAGAGACAGGGTTTCACCATGTTGCGCAGGCTGGTCTCAAACTTCTGGGCTCAAGCAATATGCCCGCCGTAGCCTTCCAAAGTGCTCGGATTACAGGCGTAAGCCACCACACCCAACTTTAAGAGTTTTATTATGGGAAATATCAATCATACATTAAGGTTGAAAGAATGGTAAGATTAGCTCCCATGCATGCATCACCCTCTTTCAACAATACTCATTCATAGCCAATCTTATTTCATTAATACCCTCACCCATTCTCCAACTCCCCGTCTTCCCCCACCCTGTTATTTTGAAGCAAATCCAGACATCATATTATTTTATTAGCAAATATTTTAATATGTTTCTCTAAAAGATAGACCCTTTTAATGAACAGAATCACAGTATCATTATCACAGTTAAAACATGGCCAATTCTTTACTATTACCAAATATCCAGTCTGATCACTATTTAATTCTTCTCTATGTTATTCACCACATTTGATTTCATTTCTTTGAGGAAAAAGAAGTGGGAAAGGTAGGTCTGGGAAAGGGAAGTGGGAATAGAAATATGAATATGACACTTTGATCTCCAGAAGGCCATGGATGAAATGATTCCTTATGTCTGTACAATACGTTTAACTCTTTACACTTTTCTGATTTTTTGAAATATGTCTGATTTCACTTGATCCCTAGAACAACTTTGTATACACAGCGAAGAGTATTGTGCTTAAAATTTTGTCAGACAAAATAGATACAGTGGGTTAAGTGGTTTAACTTACAGAGATAGTAATAGAACTGTAACAAGAACCTAGACCACCTGACTCCTAATTAGGCCTCTTTCCATCTTGCCACATATGAAAGATGGCAGGAGAGGTTATGATGTGATGATAGGAGACAGTATGGAGAGATAGTAGTGAACATTTCTGGAGCACTTACTCTGTGGCTGGGGGTTATACTATCTACATTACGTATGTTATATCATTTATTCTTCTCATCCACTGTCTATGATTCCACTCTTATAGAGAAGGGCACTGAAGATATGGAGGTTAAAATGTTCCCGGGAACAAACAGCTGGGAGATGGCAGAGCTGGAATTGGCAGCCAGATCATTGTAATACTAGCATCACAGTGCATGACCACTATGTTACACTTGACAAAGCACAAGTTCTGGAGTCAGACGGACTTGACTTTGAATCCTGGCTTTTAGTCACTTTGTGACTGTGGGTAACAGCTTCCTCATCTTTAAATGGGATTCAGAGTACCTAACTCTTAATGTGAGGATCAAATAAGATCATCTGTGGGCCAGGTGCAGTGGCTCACGCCTGTAATCCCAGCACTTTGGGAGGCAGAGGCGGGCAGATCACTTGAGGTCAGGAGTTCGAGACCAGCCTGGCCAACAGCAATCCTCCCACCTTGGCCTCCCAAAGTGCTGGAATGAGCCACTGTGCCTGGCCCCCAGCTAACTTTTATTGGCCTCAGAGATGGGCTGGTTGCTTGAGGTCAGGAGTTCAAGACCAGCCTGGCCAACATCTCTCTAAAAATACAAAAATTAGCCAGGCATGGTAGCACACACCTGTAGTTCCAGTTACTCGGGAGGCTGAGGCATAAGAATCGCTTGAACCCAGCAGGCGGAGGTTGCAGTGAGCTGAGTTCGTACCACTGTACTCCAGACTGGGTGACAGAGCAAGATTCCATCTAACAAAGAAAGAAAGAAAGAAAGAAGAAAAAGAAAGAAAGAAAGAAAGAAGAAAAAGAAAGAAAGAAAGAAAGAAAGAAAGAAAGAAAGAAAGAAAGAAAGAAAGAAAGAAAGAAAGAAAGAAAGAATCACCCATGTAAATTATTTAGTACATCACCTGGCACAGAGTAAAGGCTCAATAAATGTAAGCTACCGAAAAAGGGAGGAGGGAGATTATAAAAGCACTATCTCCACCAATGTGTCCCAGCCAAAGGAAATTTATCTCCTTTCTGATCAGCCCCTTAAACTAGTCCCATCTCATATTATCCCAGCAATATGTGATTCATAATCAGCGTTTCTCTACATTTTTATACTTGGAATAAAATGACAGTATATTTTATACTTTGAAATTAAAGAGCGTTTTAATTCTAAGGATTTCTATTCTCAAAGGCACAATAGGTTTGCTGTGGAAATTCCAAATCCAGTCTGCTATAAGCTGCATGGGCTCTTGTCCTTTCATCTTATGAAACATTTGAAAACTAGTACCAAGTGATTCTGGGAAAACTTTTCTGTAGTTGAAGGAAAAGATGTATAACTGAGAAAGTCCTTGGATGGTGTGAAAATTGTACAAATTTCATAAATGTGGTGGGGGTGAGGGAGTAAAAGAAGTGTGATTTCCAGCTTCCCCTATTGCCCCCTATCTCTGAGCACCTACAGATTCCCAAGTATTTTAGGCAGGAAAGTAGGAGTACAAAAGTGGTTAGGCAGGACTGAACAAAAGTGGTGCAGCATGTACCAAGCAGAAGCAATTAATTTCCAGAAAGATGATTCCTATGTTCCAAGAGCCAAGAGCCAGAAGAGGCAGGGGCCATGGCCAGGTCTGTTAACTTTTTTTTTTTTTTGACAGAGTCTTACTCTGTCACCAAGGCTGGAGTGCAGTGGCATGATCACGGCTCACTATAGCCTCAACCCTCTGGGCTCAAGCAATCTTCCTACCCTAGCTTCCTGAGTAGCTGGGACCACAGGCGCTGCCACCATGCCCAACTAATTTTACATTTTTTGTAGAGATGGGTTCTCTCTCTGTTGCCCAGGCTGGTCTCGAACTACTGGGCTCAAGCGATCCTCCCACCTTGGCCTCCCAAAGTGCTGGGATTAGAGGAATGAGCCACTGTACCTGGCCTCCTGCTAACTTTTATTGGCCTCAGAGATAGGTTGAGGGCAGAGAGGAACAAGGTCAGTGAAAGAATAATCCTTTGCACAGCTTTTACTGAGCAAACGTATTAGTTTCCTGTAGCTGCTATAACATATTATCATAGATTTCATGGCTTAAAACATAAACTTATTTAGCATATGAGCCTGGGTATGCTGGCTCATGCCTGTAATCCCAACGCTTTGGGAGGCTGCAGTGGGAGGATCCCTTGAGGCCAGGAGTTTGAGACCAGCATGGGCAACAAAAAGAGATCCTGCCTCTACAAAAGATATAAAATTTGCTGGGTGTGGTGGACATGCCTGTAGTCCCAGCCTCTTGGGAGGCTGAGGCGGGAGGATGGTTTGAAATCCAAGAATTTGAGGCTGCAGTGAGCCATGATGGAATGATTGTACTCCAGCCTGGGTTAGAGTGGGACACTATTACTAAGTGCGGGGGGAAAGGTATCAGTGGCACCGCATTCACTTCTGGAGGCTCTTGGGGAGAAATTGTTTCCAGCCCAGCCCACATTCCTTGGCTCCTGGCCCCCTCCTCCATCTTCAAAGCTAGTAATTGTGAGTCTAGATTTTTCACATCTCATCATTCTGACCTAGCCACCTATTCTTCTTCCTTTCTCTTTTACTTTTAAGGACCCTTGTGCTTACATTAGGCCCACCTAGAGAATCTCTCTTTCTCTCTCTTTTTGACAGATGAGGTCTCATCTCTCACTCTCCATTCTCTCTCTCTCTCGTTTTTGTTTGTTTGTTTTGCTTTGTTTGTTTTTTACAGATAAAGTCTCATTGTGTCACCCAGGCTAGAGTGCAGTGGCGTGACCAAAGCTCACTGCAGCCTTGAACTCCTGGGCATAAGCCATCCTCCTGATGCTCCCGCCTCAATCTCCCAAGTAGCTGGGATTACAGGTACACACCATTGCGTCTGGCTCTCCCTATTTTGAGGACATCAGATTAACAATCTTAATTCTATATTCTACCTTAATTCTCCTTTGCTACGTAACATAACACATTCACAGGTTCCAGGGATTAGGACACAGACGTCCTTGGGAGACTGGGGTTATTATTCCACTTACCACAGCTGCTGAATGTTGCAGAGAATTGGCCCTTGTTACCAAAGGGAGAAAAGATTGTGGGCAATTGTGAGACTCCAGCAATACTGACAGAATATTTAGGTTTTAGGTATTATTTGTAAAATAGCTTGTTATTTATCTACTCTTGAATGGGAAGATAGCATATTTGTAAATACGGCAATTTGTGCCAAACAATTTTCTAATTTTAATACAACTTTAATTAAAATGGAAAAATAAGCAAGAAAACAAAATAATAATTTAAAGAGTAATAAGTACAGATTCATCTCACCACATATTAGAACAAGATACAAAGCAGTAATGCTTAAAACTGTGATACTGCCTCGAAAGTGAAGTATTTATCAATAGAATGAAGGCAAGAGGTTGGAAATAACTTTAAGCACATATGACATTAACAGATGTCAAACATGCACCATAACACAATGAGTGAAGTATTTAATATTAAGTGAGCACTTGAGAACAACTGAATAGTAATGTGGAAAAATAAATTTAGAACTACCTATTTCCTACTATAGGGCACAATAGATCTCAGTTGGGATTTTAACTGAGTTAAAAATCAAGTAAAATTAAATCTAAAGAATAGAATAGATAGCTCTTCATAAACTCAATTATTTGAGGAAGTATAAATCCAGCTGTGAGAGAAGGATAATTTTTAAAGGATTAAAGCAATAAAAAAAACCCAGAAAGCGGCTGGGTGCCGTGGCTCACGGCTGTAATCCCAGCATTTTGGGAGGCCGAGTCAGGCAGATCACTTGAGGTCAGGAGTTCGAGACCAGTCTGGCCAACATAGTGAAACCTGCCTCTACTAAAAATACAAAAAATTAGCCAAGCATGGTGGCACGCCTGTAAAAACAAACACAAACAAACAAAGAAAACGAAACAAAACAAAACTCAGAAAGGAAAATGTGGACCACAAAGCGAAGAAAAAAATTCTATCCCACAATAGAATGTGGGGAATAGTGTGATAAGTGACAGATAAGTATTAGTTATTTTAAACATGTTTAAAAACTTGGCCTGGCCCGGTGGCTCATGCCTGTAATCCCAGCACTTTGAGAGGCCCAGGCGGGTGGATCACTTGAGGACAGGAGTTAGAGACCAGCCTGGCCAACATGGTGAAACCCCATCTCTACCAAAAAGATTTTAAAAATTAGCTGGGCGTGGTGGTGGGTGCCTGTAATCTCAGCTACTCAGGAGGCTGAGGCAGGAGAATCGCTTGAGCCTGGGAGGCAGAGGTTGCACTGAACCAAGATCGCTCCACCACACTCCAACCTGAGCGACAGAGTGAGACTCCATCTAAAAAAAAAAAAAAAAACCCAAACAAACAAACAAACAAAAACAAAAAATGTACTGAACTCTGAAAGGATACCACAAAATCCTTGAAGGTAAAATGTTTTAAAAGTAAAAGAATGACAATTTGCAGAAAAAAAGGTACAAAAATTAAATACTTGAAAAATATGTAAACCTTATTATGCGACAAGGAAATACAAACACAAAAAAGTACTGTTTTTATACCTATTTAATCAACAAAAAACATTTCTTTTTATTTTTGAGACAGAGTCTGTCTAATTTAAAAAATTAGCCTGGCTAATTTTTTGTATTTTTTGGTAGAGATGAGATTTTGCCATGTTGCATAGGCTGATCTTGAACTCCTGTACTCAAGCCGTCCACCTGAGGCCAGGCACGGTGGCTCATGCCTGTAATCCCACCACTTTGGGAGGCAGAGGCAGGCAGATCACCTGAGGTCAGGAGTTTAAGACCAGTCTGGCCAACATGGCAAAACCCTATTTCTACTAAAAATACAAAAATTAGCGGGGCATGGTGGCACAGCCTGTAATCTCAGCTACTCAGGAGCCTAAGGCAGGAGAATCGCTTGAACCCGGGAGGCAGATGTTGCAGTGAGCCGAGATCGCTGCCACTGCACTCCATCTTGGGTGACACAGTGAGACTCCATCTCAAAAAAAAAAAATTGATAAAATCCAATGTTCATGAGGCTGTGGGGAAATATGTATGTTGGAAGTGAAAATCATAACAACAGTAACCAACACTGTGTCCACCTTCTTCATAACATTTCTGTGCAAGGGAACTATTATTTCTCCCATTTTATAAATGAGGTAACTGCGACTCAGACAGGTGATGTAACTAGTCCACCATCACGTGGCTAGTATGAGCAGAACCAGTCTAAAAAAACTTTGTTGAAGTCCAAACCCTGTTTTTTGTTTTTTGAGAGAGTCTCACTCTGTCGCCCGGGCTGGAGTGCAATGGCACGATCTTGGTTCACTGTAACCTCTGCCTCCCAGATTCAAGAGATTCTTCAGCCCACCACCACGCCCGTATAATTTTTGTATTTTTAGTAGAGACGGGGTTTCACCAGGTTGGCCAGGCTGGTCTCGAACTCCTGACCTCAAATGACCCGCCTGCCTTGGCCTCACAAAGTGCTGGGATTACAGGCGTGAGCCACCGTGCCCAGCCAACCCTGTGTTCTTAACCAAAGCTCTATACAGCTCTCTATGGCAATATGTAACAAGAACAATGAAGAGATTCATACATTTTGACTATTCTAGCCCCAGAAATTTATCCTAAGAAAATAATTTCAAAGCATAAATCTCTTTGTTCTTAGATATGTATAGATGTATGTATATATATTTACATATATACACAAAGATGTTTATTAATTTAACAAATATCTGTTTGCTCATTATCTACCATGAAATAATATAAACAAATTATAATATATGAATGCAGACATTAAAATAATCAGTGTGAAGAATACTATAAAATATGCAAAAATAGGCCAGGTGCAGTGGCTCACACCTGTAATCCCAGCACTTTGGGAGGCTGAGGTAGGAGGATTGCTTGAGGCCAGGTGTTTGAAACCATAGCGAGACACTGTCTCTACAAAAGAAAAATAAAGAATACTAGCTGAGCATGGTGATGCGCACCTGTGGTTCTAGCTATTCAGGAAGCTGAGGCAGAAGGATCGCTGGATTCTGGGAGGCAGAAGTTGCAGTGAGGTCTCTTCTCACCACTGCACTCCAGCCTGGGCAACAGAGCAAGACCCTGACCCAAGTAAATAAATAAATGGCAAAAATGGACATCCTATATGTAAAAACAATTAGTCACAGGGTGAGAGATCCAAGAGCTAAATTTAGGCAGAGAGGTTATGAGACTTGGGATGGGGGTTGGGGGAACTGTCTAATAACATTTTGAGGGGTGACCCCTACCACTTGACATTTTTGATGCCAGGGTATACACTTTCACCTCAATTGCCTATAAAAACAAACTTTGCAACAATGGGTGATCTATGCGACCTGCATTTGGTGGGTAAGTCCTTTAGTTCGTCAGAGAATACCCTCTCTCCCCGTCCCACGAGCAGTAAGATGCTCCTCTTGCCGGGTTTCCCTAGAGCAGCCTGTTTTTTGAATGGGAAGTAAGGGGAGGCCAGAGTCCACTGGCCGACAGGCTCAGGTGACCAGTGGAGTCGGGCTTTCGGAGGGCACCTCCTATGGAATTTCAGCCCAGCCCAGAGGAAGGAATTATTTTCATTTACAGTGACTACACTGATCCCTTCTCTGGAATTAATTTGTGTTATGAGCTACCAGGGCATTCGACTTCCATTAACTGCCCCTCTTGACAATCTGAGACCCTCCAAAGAGCAGGTGATGGCTGTCATTCAGTGCACCTTGGAAGGGTTCTGAGGATGGTATTGAGCAGGGGGAGTGGTGGGGAGAGCCCTTTCATAGGTAGTCCATTTGAATTTGTAGACCCTTTCCAATTATGCCACTAATTGTTTAAAAGGATTGCAAGACTAAAAAAAAGTTTTAAATCACTAATCTGTTATTGAAAGGTCTTTTAAAAGTTAATTTTCTTCCTGAATACTTCTTAGTCAATACAGACTTGCAGGCCAAGATACCCTGCTGGGGTGCTGGCTAACACCTGGCTCAGCAGGCTTTCTTCTCTGATAATGAATTCTTCTTGCTTTTTGTAGGAAGGAGTTTGATGATATTAGGCCACTAGATTTAGGAAATATTTCCAGAAGTCCTGTGTTAGCCAATTGGAATTTCTCATTGGAAAAACTCTGCCATCAACAGACAATTTTTTCTCATATGACCTCATCTGGGGGCAGCTTGACAGCTATATCTGCCAACAGGTGGAAATGATGTGGCTGGAGCTTGTTGAGGGCATTCTAATGACCAAAAGAAGGGCAGAAGGAAATGAACTGATGTGATCATTCCAGGATATTTTCAAGTTAAAGATCTGTTGTGTGCATGGCACACTTTTACCTATGTAACAAACCTGCACTTCCTACACATTTATCTTGGAACTTAAAATAAAATAAAATAAAATTTAAAAAAGATCTGGTGTGTGCATATGTGTGTGTGCACATATGCATGTGTATGTGTGGAAAAGGAAGAGGGAGTGGGAACAGCCCCAAATGCAGAGCTCGCCATGAGACTTGGGAGGAGCAACTGAGTGCTCTGCTGCATACTGGGTCCCCAGAGGAAGAGGTTGTGGGTTGACCATCCTAGAGGTCAATGCTTAGTGTGGGGAAGCTCATCTTCACTATCCAAAAAGGGGTGGAAATTGACGTAGTTCCAAAATTTGGCCAACAAACTGGATTTGAAAACACAGCCAAATGGACAGTGGTGTCACAGATTCCAAATAAAATTTAACAACTATAGATTCACATCTACTGGGTGAAAGGGGAGAAAATGGAAAAAAGTGAATTCAGACATAAGTAAGATACAGCCCTCTGGTCCTGCATTGCTTAATTCCAGTTTGTGATGTTTATAATTTGCAGCATTTAAGGTACAAAACTTTTGTTGTGGATATATTCAGAGATAAATGTGCTGCTTATTTGCTATTTCTTTTTTACAATTTGTTTATTTTATTTTTTTCTTTTTGAGACAGAGTCTTGCTCTGTTGCACAGACTGGAGTGCAGTGAGGTCATCATGGCTCAGTGAAGCCTTCGCCTCCCAGGCTCAAGTGATCCTCCCACCTCAGCCTCCCAAGTAGCTGGGACTACATGAGTGTGTCACCACACCCAGAGAATTTTAAAATTTTTTGTAGAGACAGGGTCTCACTATGTTGCTCAGGCTGGCATTTGCTATTTGAGAACAATGCAGACATATTAAATGTGGAAAGCTGGACATGGTGGCATGTGCTTGTAGTCCCAGCTACTCAGGAAACTGAGGGCAAGAGGCTCGCTTGAGCCCAGGAATTTGAGTTCAGCCTAGGCAACATAGCCAGACACGGTAGGTATCTCAAAAGAAAAAAAGAAAAGGCCCGGTGCAAAGGCTCACCCCTATAATCCTAGCACTTTGAGAGGCCAAGGTGGGTGGATTGCTTGAGCTCAGGAGTTCAAGACCAGCCTGGGGAACATGGCGAAACCCCTTCTCTACAAAAAATACAAAAATTAGCCAGGTGTGGTGGCATGCACCTGTAGTCCCAGCTACTCAGGAGGCTGAGGTGGGAGGATCACTTGGGAGGTCAAGGCTGCAGTGAGCCATCATCGCACCATTGCACTCCAGCCTGGGTGACAGAGTGAGACCCTGTCTCAAAAAAAAAAAAAAAAAAAAAAGGATTAAAATAGGAGAGAGTGTGTGAAAATGCCTTCCCTGTACTTGGTTCCATATATAAGGGCTTTTCAGGTACAGTGACCTTGGGGAGGTGGGAAAAAAGTAGGACTATGGCATTTGATACACTCAAGACAGTTTTCTTCAAAAATAAAAGAACAGGACTTCCTTTGAATACAGGAGTGTAGAATTGCAAGAAACGCTCCACAAACTACTTTTTCATTTAAAAAATTATGGTGAAATATACATAACATGAACGTTTCCATCTTAAATTAGCTGGGTGTGATGGTGCTTGCCTGCAGTTCCAGTGCCTGTGGTCCATTAACTACTTTCATAGCTATTGTCTGATAAACTTAAAAAAAAACAAAAAACAAAAAACACCGCCAGGCGCGGTGGCTCATGCTTGTAATTCCAGCACTTTGAGAGGAGGAGGTGGGCAGATCGCTTGAGCCCAGGAGTTTGAGACAAGCCTGGGCAGCATGGCAAAACCCCATCTCTACAAAAAATACAAAACTTAGCAGGGTATGGTGGTGCATGCCTATAGTCCCAGCTACTGGGGAGGCTGAGGTAAGAGAATTGCTTGATCCCGGGAGGTTGAGGCTGCAGCGAGCTGAGATCGCGTCACTGCACTCCAGCCTGGGTGACAAGGAGACACTCTGTCTGAAAAAACAAACAAACAAAAATCACCAAAAGAGACACCCTTTGATTCAAACAAGCAGAGTTGGCCATATTCATGACTCGTTTTACCTTTCTTTTGAAAATATGAAGCTTCCAGATTCCAATGATATGGTTTGTTCACAGTCTGTCCTCCATTCACCTAGAAAAGGGGAGATTGCTTTCTCTTTTAAAAAGGAAAGCTTAAAACAGAGAAAAGGTTCAGGTAGAGGAACAAATGAGATCAAAATTCCCAATTTGATACTCAATGATTTTAAATGCTGAGTTTTTATCCAGAAATATTGCATGATGATATATTAAAATAAATCCTTAATAGAACAGAATGCTCAAGAAATGGGGATTATTCTTTTTAATGGCACTTTCTGATGAACTGAAAATTAACAAGAAACCCATGTTTTGTCTATTTCTATCCTTTACGTTGAAAAAATTGTGAAAATATGCATTAGTCCATTTTCCTCTCAAATTTGAAGAGTCTAGCAAACAAAATTAAACCTTTGATTCAAAGTCTTTGGCTTGAATTCTATCATAGGCACTTATCAGCTGTGTGATTTCAGGTAGGTTATTTAATCTCTTTTGTCTTAATTTCCTCATCTGCAAAATAGCGATAGTTATTAATTCATGCATAATGCATAGCATGGTATTTGGCATATTGTAAGCCCTTAGCAAATTTTAGCTCTTACCATTATCACTATTTATTATTGTTAAATGTACAGCACCATCGTAGGTGCAATGGGGGAATAAGAAAAGTAGGAGAACCAGATGGAAATTCCAGGTGCTTACTGCGCAGGTAAGGTATACAAGAATTACATCCACAAAACAGTTTGGTTTTAGCGGGATGCTGTAAGTTATGAAGGTTCCTGTCAAATGAGTGATGCACACTTCAGGCCCACAGGGGTTCAGGGAGGGGAGAAAAGAGCTGGGAAGGTAAGGTTGAGAAAGGGAAGGAAGAGGAAGGAGGAGAGTTGAAAGGAGGAGGAAAAGGCATGACAGAAGCAAGCCCAGAATGATTCAGCTAGACGAGGAAGGAGGATGGAACAATACCAGCTAAGAAAGGTGTGGGTCAGAAATGAGCATGGCATATTCTGGAGGTCTGCTGTGTGGTTGCAGTGCCTCAGGGTCATCATTTTGGAGATCAAACGTCCTTGCTAGGACTGTAACTGAAAAAGAAGCGGACAATTGGATCGAATGGATGCTGACCCCTGGGACTTCTCTAAATGGTATACAAAGCACAACACAATGAAAACCACAGCAAAATAATTTTAAAAGACTTAAAAAGGAAAAAGGGATTAAAAGAAAAAAGACTTTCCTGGTGATTTACCTTACCCTGCAATAAATACACAATCCTGATGAACCAATGTTCTCTGCAAATATGATCCTATTTAATTGAGACATTGATATATAATTTTACAAGGCTTATCAGCTATGGGAGAGAACAAGCCACACTTGTGCAAAGATCCCTGAAATGTCAGGGAGTGGGGCTATGAATAGAGAAATTCAAAATGCCATTTGAACTTTGCCTGTGGGTTGAGACCTTCTCAGGGTTCCCCAGGGAGGAAATGATAAGGAGTAGTGTGAGGTGAACAGACCTTGATTTCTGGCCTAGGCTTTGCTTGTTACCCTTGTACAGGGACTTCATACTTGTGAAGATGACCTTCTTATCTTTTCATGTCCTGCCTGTTGACCATCACAATTGATGATCAGCCTTCTTGCTTCCTATTTAGAATGAATGGATTGAGCCCTCAAGCAGAGTTTTAAGACTATAGATGTTCATTTAATGGAAGAACAGGTTGGGCCATGGAGATGCCCTAAAGTCTAAGGCTCTATGTTAAATAAACACCAGAAGAACCAATTCAGTACCTTGCAATATTTCTGTGTGACTGTGACTCCCTGTTGGAATTGAGGTTTTGATATGGTAGGTGGGCCCATGAAATTCATTGGACATGCTTGGAAATTCCTTCTGGTTAAAGTGAAGAAATAGAACCATCCTGGGTATTTCTTGAGGTACTGGGGCTGGGCACCTTGGCCAGGGACAATCATATCATAGGACCCCCTCTCTATCCTGGTTTTCCCTCTTTCCTCATGAATATTTCAGTCCTGGAGAGGCCCCTTGGGATGATCAGTTGAGTTAATGAAAGGTAGGAATGAGAGGAAAAGAGAAAGGGTAGCCGCATTGCTTTGCCTTGTGATGGGGACTGGGGAAAGAGATACTAGGGACTGATTTGCATATGAACCTGTGTTCTGTTTTTCCTGTCTTCTCTTCTGTAAAGCCCTGCTGGCTAGAGCCACCTCCTTGAGCCCCACTGGCTACCTCCCAGAGACACTATACAGTTGGCAGTGCCAACTTACCACCTATCTCCCCACACCACAGCAACAGCTTGGTCCCCAGCCATGGACATGGCTTTCTTTCTCCCCTAGGTCACCACAGGCTGATTTCCTACTCCTGACTTCAAACATCTGCTTCATCTCTTTGTCTCTCTTGTTCAAAGGGAATTGGTCAGAGACTCTTCCTTGGTCTCTACTCTGCCTCTTATTTATTTCCTGAACCAAGATTCTTGAGCCTGGAATAGAAAATTGTGTTCCAACTCCACAGTTTTCATAGAGACCCTAGTTTTGTCTGGGGGCTGTGTTTCAGAAGGGTCCAGGTGTATCAATTATGCTGCCCATGCCTGTATGCCATCTCTTCAATCACTTGTGTCCCCTTGTTTGTGAAGCACAACAGAGTGTGCTTTCAGAAAGAGTCTTTTGTATTCCTAGAGTCTAAAAATATTTGCATGTAAATGTTGGGAATCCAGACAGTCTCCTTAAGATCTGTGCTTCTCATGGGGAGGCACACAGACCATTGGGGTGCATTTGAAAATTAAATTTACACAAATTGCACCTTGGGTCCCTGCCCCATAGTGCTGTGCTAACATCTGAGAAGGAGAGAGTGTGACATTGATCAAGGCAAAGCATAAATAACCACATTTCAAAATGAATACAAATTGCATAATGACAGTTTCCAAACTATTAGCCTACTTTACAAAAAAAGTTAATTCAACACAAGCCCAGAACTGGCTGTTGCTTATGTGCTGTGCTGCCAGTTGGCAGGCACAGCTTTGCAAGGGGATTGGGGGAAATGAGGATTATTGTAGTGGAAGCACACTCGGCCTTTTGTGAGGAGGGTACAAATTGCATCACTCTCTCAAGCCCCTGCTGTTCAGCCGTTCAAGAGTGGACACCAGGATACTGCATGCCTTCAGGGGAAGTTGCTTACTTTTCCTAGAGGTAAAATGGCCCAGTGCCGAGGCTTGGGGAGGAGCCCTGAGTTTATAGCCCCTTGAAGGAAAAAGGTCTGGGCAGCTGGAGGTGATACGCACTGAGGAGCTACACCTGCAATGGTATGTGCTGCCCCTAGCTGGGCAGTCCTGGGCACCAAGGGAGGCCATGGCGATACAGAAGCTGGCCTTCTCTGGGATGAACTCTGCATGCTATCTTGGGCAGACCATTCCGCTGCTCTGGGCCTGTGTCTCCTCATCTG
Organism: Homo sapiens; assembly: GCF_000001405.40. Lineage (NCBI taxonomy): Eukaryota > Metazoa > Chordata > Mammalia > Primates > Hominidae > Homo > Homo sapiens. Next base: position 104,245,394 of record NC_000023.11, read on the forward strand.
TAAAATGAAGAGAGTGCACTGGATGGCTGTGAAAACCCCCTTCCGCTCGAAAAGAATGCCATGGTCTCTTCCTTTAAATTGCACGTCCCCTAGAAAGAGAAAGGCCCATTGCTTGGAAGAGTGGCATGAAATGATGGTATTGGTTCCTTGTGGTCGCCATACTTTTACTGCAGGACTCAGGAATGTTTGTTTCATTTGCAAAGGAACATGAGAAAGTGCCTGCTAGGAAAAAGGAGGTGTCTGGGGCAAAGGGTTCATTCTCTTTGGGTCACCCTACTGCCTTGACTAATTGGAAGGGAGCATTAGGAAAGTCCCAGATGAATTCCCCCAATTTCATGCAGCATTCTCAGAAAGACGAGTGTGTGATGAGGGTTATGCTATGATATGTACTGCCTCCAGAGAGCCTCCACTCAAGGTTTGAGAGCCCTGCTCCAGGATCTATGCACCACTTTGTACTAACTCCCCTACTTCCATCAGTAGGAGTCCCTGGGGTACAGAAATTTGAATTAGACAAAGTTGGATTTACCAATTAGGAAATTCAGTAAAGGACTCAATTTTTATTTAATCATTTATTTTTAGAGACAAGGTCTTGCTGTGTTGCCCAGGCTGGAGTGCAATGGTGTAATCATAGCTCGTTGCAGCCTCAAACTCTTGAGCTCAACCCATCCCCCTGCCCCAACCTTCCAAGTAGCTGGGACTACTGGATAAATTTTTTAAAAAAATTGTAGAAACAGAGTCTTGCTATGTTGCCCAGGAGGGTCTCAAGCACTTGGCCTCAAGCGATCCTCCGGCCTCAGCTTCCCAAAGTGTTGAAATTATAGACGTGAGTTGCTGCATCTGGCCAGGACTCTATTCAAGCACCATATTTTACCTTCAGGTTTTCAACAATTCCTAGAGCTACCAGCTCCAAATGATTGGGTAGAAAAACAGTACATCCATACATGCTCAGCACATGCCCAATTTTAAATATAACACCCCATGATCAAAATTCGGGCAAATGTCTGTTCTTTTGAAAAAAAGTCAAACCACTCTGTTCTTCTATTTTGTATATATTTACAGTAATTTCTCTCTTTGTTTAAGAAGTCACCTTTCACACCTATCTCAAGGGAGACCCTTGTATTCTCAGCTAAAGAATTATTTCTAGTCCCTTCTTTCTTTGCCCCTTTTTTCTAAGTACTTGTAGTCCAAGTAATGGCTTAGAATTTTGATTCTCAGGCACTTCCAAGTTATACCTCTAAGTTCTGATGACATCTATTTGAAACAAGATCCAAGTTATATAAATCTAGTTTTATTCAAAGAGGCTTCTTGTCCCCCTAAATAGCTCACCTTCTCCCTGCTTAATTTGACCATAAAAATTACTGTTGTGAAAGCTCCTTGGCATATGTTCTTCAATGTGAAACAATTTTAGAAAGCAATAGCATATCCAGAATTATTAGAGTACTGCACAATGCTGAAGCTCCTGCACCCCTCCTGAGATCACATTCATAACTTTTCAGCTAAAACTAACTTCTGCAAAGACCATCTATGAAAGGTAAATGTTATTTGCTGAGAGCTAATTTCTAAAGGCTTTTTATAAATTAATTTCCTTATATTACAATAATTCTTATCCATGTCTTAGGGAATTGGAAACACGCTTTAAGAGAAATGCTGTTTAGAAGCCAGGCGCAGTGGCTCGCACCTCTAATCCCCAAACATTGGGAGGCTAAAGTGGAAAGATTGCTTGATGCCAGGAGTTTGAGACCAGCCTGGGCAACAGAGTGCAACCTTGTCTTGACAAAAACAAACAAACAAAACAAAACAAAACAAAAAACAAATTAGCCTGGTGTGGTGACACGCGTTTGTAGTCCTAGCTACAGAGCGAGACCCTGTCCCTAAAAAGAGAGAGAGAGAGACATGCTTTTTCTGAGATTATTGTAGAAGACCTCCTCCTTTTAAAGCCTAGACTGAGAGGAAGGTTGTTTTTTGTTTTTGTTTTGTTTTGTTTTGGTGTTTATTTTTCTGTTGTTGTTTTTTGAGCCAGGGTCTGGCTCTGTCGCCCAAGCTGGAGTAAAGTGGTTCGATCATAGCTCACTGCAGCCTCAACCTCACAGGCTCAAGTGATCCTCCCACATCAACCTCCTGAGTAGGTGGGACTATAGGCATGTGCCAACATACCCAATTACATTTTTAAAATTTTTTGTAAAGATGGGATCTCACTATGTTATAGAGGCTGGTCTCTAACTGCTGGGCTCAAGTGATCCTCTCACCTTGTCTTCCCAAAGTGCTAGGATTGCAGGTGTGAGCCACCGCGCCTGGCCAAGAGGAAGTATTTATCTGCAGGAATGTTTTGCATATTTCCTGTCCCCATCCCACTATCCCTCCTTAAATCATCTGGAACCTGGAAGAAGTAGATATGACTTGAAAATAATATAAATGTCTCTTGAAGACTCTATTCATGTATGCAAAAGAATATTTGTATTTTTGCTTCTTCCAGGCTGCCTGAGATGAAAAAAAATGCTCTATGTTTGTGTGTGTCCAATTGGTTATGAATTAACTGTGGGATTCGTGTGCTGGATGCTGTTTGGCTTTGAGTCTCAGGGTGGCAAGGCTGGATGGGGTATTGGCACCTTTATTTGTACAGACCCTGTAGCTCCAAGAGGACTTAAAGCATTGAGAAACTAGATGTTAACAAAAGGGAAACAATGGGAAACAAGAAAGGCTGAGTTTCAAAATCACCCGGTGAGGTTGGCAATGGGCATCACAGATGCATTCCTGGATGTTTCTCACTCCCATCAGAGACTGGGACTCTTGGGGAGGTAATGACCTCCTTGCTGCAGAAATCTTAGATATAATCTAATCTAAGACTCTAACTGCTTTGCTAATGCTTGACATCCTTATGTGTGAAGGGAGAGAAGAAAGGAATAAAAAGTATCAGGCGGACCCGGTGTGGTGGCTCACGCCTGTAATCCCAGCACTTTGGGAGGCCGAGGGGGAGTGGATCACCTGAGGTCAGGAGTTCGAGACCAGCCTGGCCAAAGTGGTCAAAGCCCGTCTATACTAAAAATACAAAAAATTAGCCAGGCATGGTGGCAGGCGCCTGTAGTCCCAGCTATTCGGGAGGATGAGGCAGGAGAATCACTTGAGCCCGGGAGGCGAAAGTTGCAGTGAGCCGAGGTCTCTCCACGGCACTCCAGCCTGGGCAACAACAGCGAAACTCTGTCTTAAAAAAAAAAAGTATCAGGCAACACTGCAAAAAAAAGTATGCTTTTCTGAGAAAACAGAGCTGCCCTTCAAACTGGGAGCATGTAACTGCTGTGAAACTTGTCTTTGATAACCCCCTCAAGCCCGCCTCCTGTGAGAAGAAATTCTGGTATAACTATGACACCCTTATCTGAAGCCATTGTTATCATTTCATAGCATAAAATGTGTTCATAAAATTACTGCAAATGGCTAGAAATTGCTCAAAAGTAAAGGCTCTACGAAAAAGTTAAATGTTTAAAAAATAGTGGGCTTGGCCTCCTCCCACTCCCCCATTTTGGTTTTTGTTGCTTCCTACCGAGGCAGATTTGCATAAAGACTGCAGACATAGCAAAGGTCTGACCACTTCTTTTCAGTGAGTGATTATTCTGGAACACTGCTCAGGGACCATCTCTTGCTTTGAACTAAACCAAAAGGTTCCCTTTCAATTTAATTGGCAGGAACCAAGATTCTCTCAAAGATGTTGAAGGTGAAAAACACACTGGAAGGTGTGACTGCCCACTTCTTAGCTGGGGAAGCTACAGTAATAGGTTCTCCTGGCCTAATGGTGGAGAAAAGACAGAGCACCTCTTTCTGGTCTTGATGGAGCCCCTTCTTGTGTCTCCTTTGAAGTTGCAGAACCTCTGGGCCAGAATAGTTCCTATTCCTCTGTCTCCTCCACAAAGCAGAGGGCAGGCTGGGTGTAGTGGCTCACACCTGTAATCCCAGCACTTTGGGAGGCTGGAGGCAGGAGGATCGCTCAAGAACAGGAGTTTGAGACCAGCCTGGGCACTGCAATGAGACCCCTATCTCTACAAAATATACAACAGAAACTAGCTAGGCTTGGTGGTGCACCTGTAGTCCCAGCTACTCAGGAGGCTGAGGCAGGAGGATCGCTTGAGCCTAGGAGTTCGAGGGTGCAATGAGCTATGATCATGTAATTGCACTCCAGGCTGGGCGACAGAGACCTGTCTCAAAAGAAAAAAAAAAGGGGGCAGGGAGCAGAATTTGGAGAGTACTAGATGCACATTTGGCTGCCCCGTTCCCTCAGGGCTCTGTGAGTAGCGTCTTAGTAAGTTTCTCTTAGAGTCCATGATTTAGCCTGAGCTCCTTAGCATGAATGGAACGTGGCCCTCCCTGGAAACGCACTGTTCTCTTACTAGACTCCCATCCTGCACATTTATATGCTCCCAATGGGGCAGGGTAGAGGGGTGAGGATGGGGTGGGGGGAGGTGTGGAGGGAAAATGGGTGGGTCAATGTAAACCCATCATGGGCACTTGGCAAACTGTGATGTGCAGGACATATTGATGGTGACTCAGGGATATTACCTGATGAGAAGAGGTCTCTTCACCATTCTATTCAAATTGCATTCCCTTAGCAATTCCCATCCATATTCTACTGACCCCATTTGGCATACAAAACCAACGTACTATTAAGTCACATCTTTATTGAAAATACTACAATTATGTGGCCTACAAAAATAACAGGGCATTCGTTAACTTTGTTCACCTACCCACTTCATTTAACAAGCATCTAACGAATTACTTGATGCTGTGCTGTGCACAATTTCTATCTGGCAGGAAAGAACTTTGGAAAAACTGTTATGAATACCTTACTTTAGAAAAAGGGACATGCATAATAACTGTTGATGACAGGGGCCCATGTGATGTGTACAGGAGCCAGGCCAGTGTGAGGCACATGTGACCTGGGTGGCAGAGGCGCCATGGGCGGCCCGGGTGGCAGAGGCGCCATGGGCGGCCCGGGTGGCAGAGGCGCCATGGGCGGCCCGGGTGGCAGAGGCGCCATGGGCGGCCCGGGTGGCACACGCGCCATGGGCGGCCCGGGTGGCACACGCGCCATGGGCGGCCCGGGTGGCACAGGCGCCATGGGCGGCCCGGTTGGCACAGGCGCCATGGGCGGCCAGGGTGGCACAGGCGCCATGGGCGGCCAGGGTGGCACAGGCGCCATGCGTGGCCCGGGTGGCACAGGCGCCATGCGTGAGCCGGGTGGCACAGGCGCCATGGGTGGCATAGGTGCTATGGGTGGCCTGGGTGGCATAGGGACCATGGGTGGCCTGGGTGGCATAGGTGGCACAGGCAGCACAGGTGGTCTAGGTAGTTGTGGCACCAGATGAACACACAAAGCAGGATCCAGAGCAGGAGCAGCATAATAGGCCCCACCCAAGAACATGTCCAAAGGGTGGGCCAGGTCAGCAGTAGCAGTGTTTCTCAACATTAGCACCCTCTGATTTCGTTTCCACTTGGCTCTTCTGTTCTGAAACCAAACCTTCAGAGGGGAAAAATGAATTGGTTTAGTATTTTGAACAGTTAACGTCATAATAGAAAAAAACATAACATGGAATTCTATATGCCACTGAGACTTTAAACTGCAACAGGTGAAGCTATTTTCTTATTGCTGAAATATCTTAGAGGAGTGAGGGAGGGGCTCAGATGTGCTAGTGGTCACCCCTGCCTAAACATAACCAAAGCCAACAGATGGCAAATTTTGGTATGGGCCCATATTGGGTCTGCATTCTCAATACTGATTTCATAAAATAAGTCTACTATATTTGCAAAGAAAAGGAGGGGAGTGTCTATTAAAAGTGTCTTTGGGGGATATTCATGCTATAGAATTTGGAAATAGATGAGAACACTGTCATTTTTCCTTCTTTGTATTTTCTGGCTCTTTCTTCCTTCCTTCATAAATCCATTGAGAGGCCTATGCAAACCCTGGGAGGGAAAAAAGCAGCTCAGCAAACCTTTCTTCTTTTCCTCTGAGTTTACCTTGCTTCCCTGAGAAGGCAGAGGATACGTCATCCCAACCTGAGGCTATGGGCCCCTGGCATCAGGACTCCAGCATTCAGTGGTCTACTTTGTTGGGCTGCTTTTCCAGACATCACACCCACAGGCGTGCAGTGCAGTTCCATCACTACACTCACACACACACCCTGAGGCAAAGCTAATAAGCCCATTCTAACTTTTATTTATTTATTTTTTTGCAAATACTTCCTTGATGCAGCTATGGTCTTCTGTAATTTCAAACAGTCACCTTTTGATCCCATGACCTGCAAAATTAGTCATAACTGCCTGAGTAAATGAAAAGGTATTTTAAATCAACACAGGTAAGAATCTTGCCTGAACTGAGAGAACCCCCTAATCAATCAAATTCCAGAAAACCCACCTTTTCAAAATAATATCACCAAAAAGAATAAAACATCTAAGATGTTTTTTCTAAGGTGTTTACAAAAAAGCGAACATTCTCTTATGCATTTGGTAGTTTCATAAAGTTGAATTTGTGTGACATCTGCAATGCATGTGTTTGACTGTATACAATTCTTCTCTAATCTTTCCACCCTTCTTAGGTAAGGGAATTTTATTCAAATTCTTCTTTCTTTTTTTGTTTCATTTTTTAAAGACAGTTTTCCAAAGCTTACAAATGTTTTCCCCATTACCACTTAATTGAAATATGTTAGCAATGTTTTCAGGCTGACATCAAAATCTTCCCAAAAAATTAAAATTTAGGGCTGCCACTCCCTACTTTAGTACTGTGTTCTGTGTGTGAATTACTCCTTCACTCCAATGCCTAAATATAAATTCACTCATTTAGCTAAGTGCTTGTGCTAGGTTTTAAATATTTTAAATAATTTAGTACAGTGAACCTTCTTATAAAACTGAGCTATTCTGTGCATTAATTTGAATACTTCCGAGGTGAGACTGAGCCCCGAACATGACTCCATATAGAAGTAATCCTTTAGGGAAAACTAACATTCTCCCTAGAGGATACCAGTGTTAGAAGAAGGTTAATCTTATTTATTGGGATATATGTATGTATGTATGTGTATACATGTGCATATATGTGTACGTAAATGTGTATATGTACATATACATGTGCATACACTATATGGAGAGAAAGACAGATACAGATATAGAAGGAAGATGAAAACACATCTTTTTTTCCTTTAGGAAATCATATTTCCTCTGTTTATGAGCAATTTCCATAATCTGAAGTTTACACATCCTATTTTCTACCACTAAAGCCCCTACTGTTCAAAACTTATTTGTCAACCATGGAAAAGACAACAGAAAACACCAGCTTGAGAATGTCCAGGACAAAACCTAAAGCATGCTTTAGAATGGCTGTCCTGCCAAATTGCTTTTTCAAGATTTACTGACCTGCACTCTGTCTTCAGTCAAATTCAGGCGTGCTGCAAGTCTCTCTCTTAGGGGAGAAAATTACAAATATTCAGTATTTGGAGTTGTGGATAAAATGCAATAATATGAACGTGGCTCGGCTCAGCACTTTGGGAGGCCGAAGAGGTTGCTGAGGTCAGGAGTTGGAGACAAGCCTGGCCAGCATGGTGAAACCCTGTCTCTACTAAAAATACAAAAATTAGCCGGGCATGGTGGCACATGCCTGTAATCCCAGCTACTCGGGAGGCTGAGGCAGGAAAATCGTTTGAACCCGGGAGGTGGAGGCTGCAGCGAGAAGAGATCGCGCCACCGCTCTCCAGCCTGGGCGACAGAGTGAGTCTCAAAAAAAAAACATATATATATATATATATGAATGTACATTATTTCTCTCCCCCACCTCCCAGTGCAGTTTTCTGTAATACGGTTGGGACTCGCTTTAGGGAGGTTTTTCCCATTAACAACTTCGCTGTTAAATAAGATAGAAAAAGGAAACATATGTAAAAGCGCCCGATGGTTTGTTAGCTGAATATGACTCAATTCTTCTGTTTGTGAAACAGCAGAGAACAACCCTGGAAATCTTTCCTTGGGAAGTCCGTCCGTGAAAAAAAAAACAAAAAAAAATTAAATGCCAAAACACCTTTAAAGCGCTGTATTGAACCACAGTATTTCTGTTTATCGTAAAAAGGAGAGGTGAACTCTCAGGGAGGGAACTCCAAACCACATCGGCCAAGCGCGCCCTAGGGAAATTCTTTTTTGCTCTTTGCCGGGCGAAGGCTAAGTACAACGAAGCCAGAAAGGTCCCCTTAACCCTACTCTGACCTGTCCAGGTGCCCCCCGCCCCCCATTCCAGCCTGGCCAGAAAAGGCCTGCCCCTTCGTACACTACGGGTCGGTATGAGGAGGGCTCCGATGAGGCTAGCGAAGGAAAGGGGTCGCTGGCTACCGAAAGCTCAAAAGTCCGCCCCCTGGTTGTAAAAGTGCGCTCCACGTGGCAGGGCGGTTACTAGGGCGAAAAGAGTGAGGCGCTCGCCACGCGCGCACAATGTAAATGGCGCTAAAAAACTCGATAATCAAGACAAATAATATTTTAATGCAATATTAAAACGTATCAAAATTAATGCAAAAACAACCCATGGTGAGCAAATTGCCAAAATTTTAAATAAAGGCGGGATCCCACCCTGCCTCACTCGCTTTACCCTAGTCCCGCCCCAGTCTTTTACATCCTCCGCGCCCCGCCCACCACGTCCCCCAAAAACCAAGGGCGGAGGCAGCGCCCGTGAGCCCCCTACGTGGCTTTTAGCTCCGGTGAAAGGGTCCCGGGATGAACTGGGCGCCTCCGGGGCAAGCCACTTACCGCGCCACAACGTCGGGATATTGAGATTCATCGAAAAAGTTCTCTAGCTCCTGCAGCTGAAACTGCGTGAACGCGGTGCGGCGGCGGCGTTTCCTCTCTGGGGGCTGTGGTCCCTCAGCGGTTTGTGGCCCCTCCGCCGGCTGTGGCCCCTCCACGGTCGTCTGGGGCGGCTCCTCCTGCTCTTGCTTCAGCTCGAGCAGGGGCGGCTCCTCCTGCTGTTGCTCCGGCTTGGTCAGGGGCGGCTCCTCCTGCTGTTGCTCCGGCTCGTGGCCGCCGCCACCCTCACGGTCTTGGTCGTCCGAGGGGACGGACCCTTCCGTGCCAACGTTGTTTTCCGCTTCTGTTCCGTACTCAGGTTTGGACCGTGTATTCTCCTCGTCCTCTCCTCCCCTTGCCATCAGCGAGGTCACGGTAAGTTTCTCATCTGGGAAGGGAGGAAAGCAAAAGAGACACCAGGGCGTTGGAGCCCACGGCGCGTGGGCTGGAGGAGGCAGGGGACCCGCTATGGAAGAGCAACTGCGACAGCCGCGCAGCGTCTCCTCCGCTTGCCTCTCCCAGGGAAAAATTCCTCTTTTGGAGTTCGCGAAAGCTCCCGTCCCTGTCCAAGCACTAACCATTCACTTCCTCGATGTCCTCGCCGACTGCCAGGCTGCGGTAGCCAATATCACTGTGGGTGTACCCGCGAAGAGACTCCATGCTTCAAGCGCTGTCGATAAAGCTGTGCACTTCTGCAGACTCTGTGCGTGGTTCCGCGGCGATCCCGGGGTTGGAACTGGCTCTGGGACCAATGGCTCGGGCGAGCGCTTTTCTGGCGCCGGGACCTCTTTCTGGCGCCGTCTGGCACTTGCGCGCCCTATATAGCGGTACGGTGCCTTCCGCAGGTTCAAAGCGTATGCACACGCGTCGGTTAAACGCCCCCTATTAGCATTCACAGTACATCTAGTTGTGAGTGCGACCCCCGGGGGACGCATTCGTGTCCAGGGCGTACGAAAAATAGGGCGAGCGTGCGCAAGCATGGTGCAGGTAGTGAACATGCTTTGCGGGGAACAGTGGCCCCAAATTGCTGCTTAACTAACTACTCCCAACTTGAGCAGAGACCCAGATTGGAAAAAGCGGCTGGGTTGTGAAAGCCGATTTGGGGGCGAGGAGACGAGGGGGCGAGGGGGCGAGGGGGCGAGGGGGCGGGGTGAGACCTCGCACCAGCCCGTGGAGAGGTATTTTGGCAGTGTTCCTCCGCCCAACCGTCTTTACCCCGCAGCACTTGGGTGGAGCGATGCCCTTTGCTTCCCCCACGGAAAAGACCGAGAGATGGCGTTGAGGAAAGCGCGGAAAGTTCAGCAGCCCAAACATGCGAAAGTGAACTTGTTAGTCTACCATGCAATTGGGTTCTGAGCACGACTCTCCCCTGCTAGAAATTAGTGACAAATGGATAGGACTATCTAGTTCTGTACAGTTCGCGCCAAAGTCAGGATAGTGATAAGGTGCAATGATTGGCTAGAAGGCTGCTTGCTCTGGATTTTTGAATTCAGAACCCACCGTGCATTCCGGGAGCGGGAATTTGGGGCTGAATTTGAAGAGCAGTCCGCTGCTCAGGTGCACGCTGCAAGAAACCCAACGTGCTTTTTGAGAAAGCTCCAAGGACTTAAGCTTTTTAGTAATGAACTTATGTCAGAGTGCAAGTATAGAAATCTGCTAAGTGCATAGTGCATCCAAGAATGCTTACACTACGGGGGCCCCGTCTTTTGATGCGCGGCACTTGAAACGTCTGCTGTACTAGGTTCCTGCGCTTCTTATTGCAGCGCGCTTTGCAGAAGCCCGTTCTGCAGGCTCCTAAAGCGCGCGTATTCCCCGGGTTTGTGCTGTGGACCTGGGAGAGTTCCCGCCTTCCCCACTACCCCTTCTTCCTCCTCCCCCTCCCTTTTTCTAGAACTATCTTCCTGAATTCTTGCTCCATAGTGATGTATCACATTAAAAGTCCTGGGCTATGATTGAAGGCTGTATGGTTCTCCCTCCAATAAGTGTTTGCAGGTTCTCCAGGACGTGTTAATATCCGTAATATTATAAAAATAACTCTGTAGACTTAGTTACTAGGGAGGCTGAGGTGGGAGGATCGCTTGAGTCCGGGAGGTCAAGGCTGCAGTGAGCCATGATCAGGATACTGCACTCCAGCCTGGACGACAGTAGACCCTGTCTCAAAAAATAAAAAAATTAAAAAAATTTTTAAAAGCCTGCTAATAATTGGCCCTATGCTTGCCACTGTACACGATTTATCTTACTTTCGCCTTGATAACCACCATTATCATCCCCCCCCCTTTTTTTTTTTTTGAGACGGAGTCTCGCTCTGTCGCCCAGGCTGGAGTGCAGTGGCGCGATCTCGGCTCACTGCAAGCTCTGCCTCCCGGGTTCACGCCATTCTCCTGCCTCAGCCTCCCGAGTAGCTGGGACGACAGGCGTCCGCCACCGCGCCCGGCTAATTTTTTGTATTTTTAGTAGAGACGGGGTTTCACCGTGGTCTCGATCTCCTGACCTCGTGATCTGCCCGCCTTGGCCTCCCAAAGTGCTGGGATTACAGGCGTGAGCCACCGCGCCCGGCCTATCATCCCCCATTTTTTAAAAAAAATACAGAAGACTGGGGCCCAAAGAGCCAGGCAACTTGCCAATGGCAATACAAGCCAGTTTTAACTACAAAATGTGTGCATTTTTCACTATATTACGGCTGTCTTAATTCAAAGGAGTAAATAATAGTGGGATTTCAGGTAAGAGTAGAAGGAGGTGGCATTTGGGGGAGGCATAGTCTTTACAATTCCTGGGTGTGAGGGGTCTCCTCCTTCTCTTGCACACTAATTCAGGCCTCTTCCCCTTGCTTCAGGGCCTCAGCTGGATGTCCTTAAACCACAGGGTTGGGATCCAGCACTGCTGGGTTCCCGCAGCCCACCACTTCACGTTTGCTCAATACGGAGAGGATATTAACGGGCAGGATGCTGCATGCACTAGTTGCTGAGCTGGTGTCTGGAAGACCTGCTCAGGAGGCAGAGGTCATGAGGCTCACCCTCACTCTCACCCTCATGTCAGGGCCACATTATGACTTTCGTGGGCCCTAGGCATTTTTGCCTTCCTGGGCCCCTTCCTCCATTAAGAAAAAAAATATATATTTTACAGCTGTGTTGGTATAAGGATGAATATAATTTGGGATGGATTATATTAATTTTTTCTTATGATTTGAAAAGAAATTAAGACCTTTTCTTTTCTTTCTTTTCCTGAGATGGAGTCTCCGTCTGTCGCCCAGGCTGGAGTGCAGTGATGCCCTCAGGGCTTACGGCAGCTTTTATCTCCCACGCTCAAGTGATCCTCCCAAATAGCTGGTACTACAGGCTCGCGGGACACTGCTCTCTGCAAATTTTTTTGTTGTTGTTTTTAGTAGAGACGAGGTCTCTCTATGTAGTTCCAGCTGGTCTCTAACGCCTGGGCTCAAGCGGTCCTGCCTCCTCAGCCTCCCAAAGTGCTGGGATTACAGGCGTGAGCCACCGTGCCCAGTCAGTTAAGACATTTTCACAGGCCCCTAAAAGTGCGGTGGGCCTAGGGCACTTCGACTACAGTGCCTAATGAATAAGTCCTCCTGCCTCGTATTCACTTGCAAAAAGATTTCAAGGGTTACAACCCCACAGCCTTTCTGATTTTAAGCAAGACATTTCCTCCTAAGGCTGGCTCCTGCTGAGTCTGCAGGCCTTCTTCTCTTTGGGCTCCATACCCGGCGAACAATTTTTCCCTGGGATGTTATATCACACAAGAAATCCATACAGGGTTTAATCAAGGTGTGAAGTAGCCTACCTAGTATATTGGCAACAGTATGGGTGTGTTCTGTCACATCTTAGATTTCCACGGTTTACCAATGTTTTCTAAACCTCAGTCGTTCATGTGTCCCTTTGCAAGTTTTGCCATATCTGGGTACCAGAGAGGACGGTATTTACTTAACACCCTTACTTAAATTGATTTACTTTTTGAAAACCTTAAATACCTAATTAAATCTCATCCTAGGCAAAAATAGCTACGAATTCAAGATTTATGAATGCCAGATTTATGTATACCAGATTTATGTCAAGCACAGCAATAGTTGAGAAATAGGGACCCTGAAGCCAGACTGCTGGCTTTGCTTGCCACTTGTTAAATAACTAACTTGGTGAGTTGCATAATCTCCTTGTGCCTTGGTTTTCTCATCTGTAAAATGGAAATAATGAAAAACACCTACTTCATGGAATTGTTGTGAGGATTAATTGAAATGATAATAGCTAACACTTAGCTAATTCTTACTATTCAATATATACTGTTAATATATACAAAGGGCTGTTCAAAGTAAGATTAAATATTAACACATTTAACCCTCATAACCCTATGGAGGTAAATACTCTAATCCGCATTTTACAGATGATGTTACTGAGTCACAGAGAGGTTAATTTACCTAAAGGCATGCAGCTTGTATGTATTGGACCTTGGATTTGAGCCTAGCTTCTTAGAATGATGCTTTGTAGAGAGAACATGCTGTGGAATGGTAACTATTATGATTTTTAAAAATTAAGTGTGCTATTCAGTGATTTCTAGTATAGTCACAATGCTGTACAACCATCACAATTATCTAATTTCCGAACATTTTCAACACCTTATGAAGGAAGCCTGTAAAACCAATAGCAGTCATTCCTCATTCTCTCCCTCTCTGTAGGCCCTGGTAACCAGTAATGTACTAGTTCTATGGATTTTCCTATTCTGGATATTTCATGTAAATGGAATCATACAGTATGTGTCCAATTATGTCTGGCTTCTTTCACTTAGCATAGTGTTTTTGAGGTTCATTCATATTGTAGCATGTGTCAGCACTTCACTCCTTTTTATGGCTGAATAAAAATCCATTGTATAAGCTGTACCACATTTTGGTTATAGATCCATCAACTGATGGGCATTTGTGTTGTTTTCACCTTTTGGTGATTGTGAGTAGTGCTGCTCTGAGCATTTACATACAAGTTTTGTTTGAATATCTGTTTTTCAATCTTTGGGGCATATACCTAGGAGCAGAAGGGCCGAATCATACCGAAATTCTATGTTGAAATTTCTGAGGAAATACCACATTGTTTTCCACAGCAGCTGTACCATTTTATGTTCCCACCAGCAGTACAGGAGATTTACAATTTCTTCACATCCTTGCCAACACTTATTTTCCAGGTTTTGTTTTTATTAAATCCATCCTAGTAGGTACGAAGTGGTGTCTCATTATTGTTTTGATTTGCATTATTCTAATGACTAATGATATTGAGCTATTGAGCTTTTTTTTTTTTTTTTTTTGAGACACTCTTGTCGTCCAGGCTGGAGAGCAGTGGCGCGATCTCAGCTCACTGCAACTTCCGCCTCCCGGGTTCAAGCAATTCTCCTGCCTCAGCCTCCCAAGTAGATGGGACTACAGGCGTCCACCATCACGCCCAGCTCATTTTTGTATTTTTAGTAGAGACGAGGTTTCACCATGTTGGCCAGGCTGGTCTTGAACTCCTGACCTCAGGTGATCTGCCCGCCTTGGCTTCCCAAAGTGTTGAGATTACAGGTGTGAACCACTGCGCCCAGCCTATTGGCTATTTTTATATCTGAAGTTGCTGTCCCATACAGAGGCTCAGGGTGCCCTAAGTGTGGCTTTGGCACTACCACACCGAGATGGCACACCTGCCTGCTTTCCCCTGGCTGAGGGCTAGCTGGCTCATGCAGGCTCTGATGCTTTACAGTAGGGACGTGATCTTGAAAATGAAATTTAATGTTAAACTACTCCACTTATGAGAATTCCTTCTGCCAGGCAATATCCTCTTTGTAAAGGAACTAATGACAGACCAGAGATCTTTTTTTTTTTTTTTTTTTAAAGACGGAATCTTGCTCTGTTGCCCAGGCTGGAGTGCAAGTGGTGCGATCTCGGCTCACTGTAACCTCCACCTCCCGGGTTCAAGCGATTCTTCTGCCTCAGTCTCCCGAGTAGCTGGGACTACAGGCGCGCACCACCACACCCGGCTAATTTTTGTATTTTTAGTAGAGATGAGGTTTCACCATATTGGCCAGGCTGTTCTCGAACTCCTGACCTCGTGATCTGCCCGCTTAGGCCTCCAAAAGTGCCAGGATTACAGGTGTGAGCCACTGAGCCTGGCCCCAGACCAGAGGTCTTTATTCTGGCCTGTAAACTGAGGCAATCTCTAGATGGTTTCTAGAGAACCTTACAGTCAAGAGAACTGTAATATTATGGAAGTTTTGTGTTCATAGATTACGTTTCTGCTGCGGGTGAGGGTCCCCTGTCCCAGGTATGGTCAGTGGTATGGGTAGGGTAGAGGAGCTTTCTGTTCCTTAAGGTGAGTGGCAGCTTATTCACAGCCCTATGTGCTTTCTGATTCTTTCTTCTTCCTACAAGGGCACTCTGTAGTGAGGGAAATTTTTTCAGTCCTTTGCCAAAAGACCCTACAGCCCACCTCTGATTATTCACCACAACTGACAGCAAGAGTGGGGTGACTTCTGATGAAACATCAGTGAGGTGATATCTTTTTTTTTTTTTTTTTGAGGCAAGGTTATGCTCTTGTTGCCCAGGATGGAGTGCAATGGCACAATCTTAGCTCACTGCAACTTCTGCCTCTCAGGTTCAAGCGATTCTCCTGCCTCAGCTTCCCAAGTAGCTGGGATTATAGGTGCCTGTGACCATGCCCAGCTAACTTTTTGCAGTTTTAATAGAGATGGGTTTCGCCATGTTTGTCAGGCTTGTCTCGAACTACTGACCTCAGGGGATCCACCCTCCTTGGCCTCCCAAAGTGCTGGGATTACAGGTGTGAGCCACCACACCCGGCCATGTTATATCTTTTTATTAAATGCCATGAATAAATTATTCGTGTCAGAAGCCAACACTATGGCTTTTAAAAAAACTGGTATTACTTCTTAAAGATGTAAGGGGCACATGGAGGCTTCTTATACCCACCATTGGGAGAACCACAGTTCTCTGTTTCCTTCAGACTTTTTTTTTTTTTTTCCAAACAAGGTCTTGCTCCGTCACCCAGGCTGGAGTGCAGTAATACTATCATGACTCACTGCAACCTCCACCTCCTGGGCTCAAGCGATCCTCCCACTTTAGCCTCCCGAGTTGCTGGGACTACAGGTGCGCGTCACCATTGCCGGCTAATTTTTTTTTTTTTTTTTTTTTTTAGAGACGGAGTCTCTTCATGTTGCCCAGGCTGGTTTTGAACTCCTGAGCTCTAAGCAATCCACCTGCCTTGGCCTCCCAAAAAGCTGGGATTATAGGCGTGAGCCACCGTGCCCGGCCCCTTCAGACTAGAGATAGTGTCTGCACTGATGGAAGAAGAGGAAAAGTCGCCGAGGCTATTTACATATTTATTCCTAGCCTTAGAGAAGAAAAGAGGGAAGGAAAGACAGCCTGAAGATATCTGTTACTGCTGATAATTTTAAGTAGCACTAAGTGATTGATTTTTGCATTCCCTATCCTGTCCTGGAACACCACAGTCGTCTCAGTTTTTTTCCATGAAACCGAATCATTTGTACACTAAATCCTACTCCAGAGGCTAGGACATTGGGCTTCTTTGCTGTAACCAGGGGTTAAGGGTAAAATTCCATGATTTTTCTTTCTGTTTTGCCTGATCTCTTTGCTATTGTGACCAGAAAGCTTGTAGAATGACTACTATTAATGGCTACCATCATTATTGCATGAATTGGACGCCATCCCTAGGATTTCTTTGATCTAACTAGGGTACCCTGGACTCAAGCCTCAAAAGGCCTGCTTCCTCCAGCTATATTCTCTGCACAGATCCTGTAGAGGGGATACCTTTCATGACCTTCTTGATCCTTGCGATGATCTAGGTAAATAATTTGCTTTTAGTCTACTTCATGGTGAAAGAAAAATGCCATGTGCTAATTACCACTGGCTTTCAGATATTTCAAGTTCTAGCTTAATGCCCACCTCTTGTAGGAAGTCTTCCCAGCCCACAGCACTCTTGCCGTTTTCTGAGCCATTATAGCATTTGCAGTTTGAACTATATTCATTTTATTCTTATCACGCATCACCTCAGGCACTATGTGAGATCTGTCATATAATTTTATTAACCATTTTCTCCAATGTTTAATGTTTAGAATTTTCTCTTTTCCTTTTATTTTTATAACCAGTGCTTTTTTTGTATGTGAGTTATCTTTAAATACATGCAGACATGAATGCATGGATGTGTCGGTATGTATGTATACGGATGTGTGTATCCATTCCTTAATTAGATTGCAAACTCCTTCCACTTCATACATTTCTTAGTATTTTCAAAGCAGTACTGAGTACATAATAGACATTCAGTAGGGATTTGTTGATTGGCTGGCAAATATGGGGACTATGGGTAGGTGTGGTTGGCATTAGCCAAGGCAAAGACTCCTGCAGAACTTAACTAGCTCAGCGTGTTCACTGTTGCCCCTGCCCTCTCACTTTCCTTCCAGCTCTTCTGGCAGTTCAAAGGGCAAACTCTGGGGTGGCAAAATTCTTCCAAGGAAGAGTCTGGGATTTACTTCGTGATCTTGGTGTGTGTATGTGTGTGTGTATTCCAATTCAGTGTCCACATATTTTGTACAAGGGCCACAGACATGAGCAAGACATGGAGAGAAAGAAAACACATAAGAGATTTATTTTAAGTGAAAGCAAGTTTATTAGAGAAGTAAAGAAATGAAAGAATGGCTACTCCATAGGCAGAGCAGCGCATAACATATTTTAATATAAGGTGGAACAAGGCACATGCAAGAGAGGAGCAAAATAATCCTATGGGAGTTCAAAGGAAGAAAAGGTCAGTATATATTGGAAATATATGGAGGAAGTGAAATTCAATATTAATGTTAAAGTATAGTTGAGAATATGTTTTCACCTTTTTTTTTTGAGACAGAGTCTCACTCTGTCATGCAGGCTGGAGTGCAGTGGTGCAATCATAGCTCATTGCAGCCTTGAACCCCTGGGCTCAAGTGATCCTCCCACCTCAGCCTCCTAAATAGCTGGGACTACAGGCAGGAGGCAGGTGCCATGATGCCTGGTTAATTTTTAAAGAAACTCTTTTTTTGTAGAGATGGTGTCTCACTTATGTTGCCCAAGCTGGTGTTGAACTCCTGGCCTCAAGTGATCCTCCTGCTTCTATTTCAAAAAGTACTTGGTGTTACAGGCCTGAGCCACCATGCCCAGCTTTTTTTTTTTATTTTTAAAAAATAACTACTTGTTTGCTCTTAATCATAAAAGTAATGAATGATTGTTGTGATGAATTTGGAAACTATAAAGAAGCCAAAAATAACATAATATAAACTCACTCATAACCTGTTGATTATCTATAGATGATAAT
The DNA here is from genome assembly GCF_000001405.40 of Homo sapiens. NCBI lineage: Eukaryota > Metazoa > Chordata > Mammalia > Primates > Hominidae > Homo > Homo sapiens. The sequence goes on from NC_000023.11 coordinate 104,263,525, forward strand.
GAAAAATTTCTTTTTTCTATAATTTTTATATGTACTATATTCAATATAACTATCTGATATTCTGTCTTTGTGATCTTACGTTATATCATAAGCATTTTCTACACATTAAAAATTATTGGCCAGGCTCAGTGGCTCATGCCTGTAATCCCAGCACTTTGGGAGGCTGAGGTGGGCAGATCACCTGAGGTTAGGAGTTTGAGACCAGCCTGGCCAACATGGTGAAACCCTGTCTCTACTAAAAATACAAAAATTAGCCAGGCGTAGTGGTGGGTGCCTGTAATCCCAGCTACTTGGGAGGCTGAGGCAGGAGAATCGCTTGAACCCGGGAGATGGAGGTTGCAGTGAGCTGAGATTGCGCCATTGCATTCCAGCCTGGGTGACAGAGTAAGGCTCCGTCTCAAAAAAAAAAAACTACTAATGGAAAATATAGAATAAATTCCTGGGCTGAAGCGATTCTCCATCGTCAGCCTCCTGGCTAATTAATTTTTTTTAAGAGATGGGTCTTACTATGTTGACAAGGCTTCAGTATATATTTTTTGAATGAATAAATAGGTGCCAAGCACTATGCTAAATCTGTGACATACATTTATTAGCCATTTTCTCCAACGTTGAACGTTTAGGATTTTTCCTTTCCTCCCCTATTTTTTATAACCAGTGCGTTTTGGGCATGAAAAATTTATGGGAAGAATTTCAATGAGTAGAATTTAGGGATGGGAAAGGGAGTCTAGGGAGATAGCTCAATATAAAGAACATACTTACAGGCCAGTAAATAGTTCAGTTTGGCTGGAGATGAGCTAGGGGACACACGGGAGTCAGGGCTGGCAAGTGCTAATAGGTCTTCCCATTTGTATTACAGCTCCTAACTAAAAAGTGCCTTCACGACATGATTTTACATAATTCTTACAACATTATTATTTCCACTATATAAATGAGGAAGCCGGGCACAGTGGCTCACGCCTGTAATCCTAGCACTTTGGGAGGTGGAGGTGAGTGGATCACTTGAGGTCAGGAGTTCAAGACCAGCCCGGCAAACATAGGAAAACCCCGTCTCTACTAAAAATACAAAAACTAGGTAGGCGTGGTGGCACATGCCTGTAGTCTCAGCTACTCGGGAGGCTGAGGCAGGAGAATCGCTTGAACCCAGGAGGCGGAGATTGTAGTGACCCGAGATTGTGCCACTGCACTCCAGCCTGGGGGACAGAGTAAGACAAGTCTCAAATAAATAAATAAATAAATGCATACATACATACATGCATACATACATACATACATACATAAGAAAACTGAGAATCAGAGAGCTTGAGGGAACATTTGGCAATATCTGGAGATATTTTTGGGTGTTACAGCTGATGGGGGCTTGCTACTGGCAAGTGAGTAGAGGCCAGGGGTGCTGCTAAATATCCCACAATGCACAGGACATCCCCCAGAACAAAGAATTATTGGCTCCAAAATGACAATAGTGCTGAGGTTGAGAAGCCCCAAGTTAATATAGTATTGTACCAAGATCAGTTTTTTTTTTTGTTTTTGAAAACGTACAGTGGTTATGTAAGTTATTATCATTGGAAAAAGCTGAGTAAAATGTACAAAGGAGCTGTCTATACTATAATTTTTATAACTTCTGGTGAGTTGAACTATTTTAGAATAAAAAGTTACACTAAATAATACTAAACACTACTACTACTACTACTACTAGTAATGACTCCTCATTTCTTTCAAGATAAAGTCCAAATCCCTAAACATATGTTTCAAGGCCCCATTGTCTCTGGGCCTGGTGGCTCATACCTGTAATCCCAGCAAGTTGAGAGGCTGAGGCAGGCAGATCACTTGAGGTCAGTAGTTCGAGACCAGCCTGGCCAGCATGGTGAAACCTCATCTCTACTGAAAAATACAAAAATTAGCTGGGCGTGGAGGCTCATGCCTGTAGTCCCAGCTACTCTGGAGGCTGATGCATGAGAATCACTTGATCCTAGGAGGCAGAGGTTGCAGTGAGCCCAGATTGCGCCACTGCACTCCATCCTGGGTGACAGAGTGAGACTCTGTCTCAATTTATATATATATAAATTTATATATGTAAAAAATATATAATATATATAAATTTATATATGTAATATATATATTTATATATGTAAAATATATATAAATTTATATATGTAAAAATATATATACATATACATATATATTTTTATATATATATTAGATATATAATATATATTAGATATATAAAATATATATATATATATTAGCCCTCAAGACTGCCAGTCCTCAATGCTGTAATCCCTTTGGCTTTAAAAACAAAAAACAAACAAGCAAAAAACGGATTCTCACTCTGTCGCCCAAGCTGGAGTGCAGTGGCACGATGATCTGGGCTCACTGCAACCTCTGCCTCCTGGGTTCAAGAGATTCTCGTGCCTCAGCCTCCGGAGTAGCTAGGATTACAGGTGCCCGCCACCACGCACAGCTAGTTTTTGTAAAATACAGAACTTAATTGGATTTCTGTGTGTGTATGTGCGTGTGTGTGTGTGTGTGTGTGTGTAATTCTGTGAAATTTTATCACATGTATAGACCCCTGTTACCATCATGACAATCAGCATACAGAACTGTTCCATCACTCTAAAGAAACCCCTGGTTTCTTTGAAACTACCCCTCCATGGTGCTCTAATTCCTGGTTCAACTGATCTAGTGTCCATCTCTATCATTTTATCACTTCAAGAATGTTATATGAATGGGATCATGCAGATAACATTTGAGACTGGCTTTTTTCCCCCTCACTCAGCATAATTTCCTTGAGATTCATTTCAAGTTGTTGCTTGTATCAACAGTTCTTTCCTTTTTATTCCTGAGTGGTTTTATTAACCCATTCACCTGTTATGGAATTTAGGTTGTTTCTAGTTTTTGGTTATTGTGAATAAAGTTGTTATCAGCATTTGTGTACAGGTTTTTGTGTGCACATTAGTTTCATTTCTTTGGTATAAATTCCCAAGTGTGTGATTTCTGGGTTGTATGGTAATAGCTTGGTTAGTTCTTTTAATAAACTGCCAAACAGTTTCCTGGGGTGTCTGTACCATTTTATGCTCCTTTCAAGATGACTGATAGAGTTTCTTTGCATCATCGCCAACATTTGATGTTTCACTGTTTTTTATTTTAAGCCATTCTGATAGGTGTGTAGTGATACCTTGTGGATATCTAAGAAAATTTGGATTTTCCTAATGGCTGATGATGTTGCATATCTTTTCATCTGTTTATTTGCAATCTGCATATCTTTTTTTTTTTTTGAGACAGAGTCTCGCTCTGTCACCCAGGCTGGAGTGCAGTGGCTCGATCTCTGCTCACTGTAGCCTTCATCTCCAGGGTTCAAGCAATTTCTCCTGCATCAGCATCCTGAGTAGCTGGGATTATAGGTGCCTGCCGCCATGCCCTGCTAACGTTTTTTGTATTTTTTTTTTTTTAGTAGAGACTGGGTTTCATCATGTTGGCCAGGCTGGTCTCAAACTTCTGACCTCAAGTAATCTGCCTGCCTTGGCCTCCCAAAGTTCTGGAATTAGAGGCATGAGCCACCGTACCTGGCCCGAGAAAGAATTCTTGAAGAAGGAACCTGTAGAGGCAAGGAGATGAATTAGAAGGCTGTTGCAGTCAGCTAGGTGAGAGGTGATGATGGCTTGGACCAGATGACAGAGGTGGAGAGAAGAAACTGGCTTTGAGGTTTATTTTTGGGTGTTTATTTTTGAGGTGGAAATAATAGGGCTTGCTGATGGACTGAATGTGAGAATTGAGGAAGAGGAAAGTGTCAAAGATGATTCCTTAGTATTTGGCTTGAGCCAGAACATGACACCATTTACTGAGAGGAATATGGGAAGGACCAAGTTTTAGGGAAAGAGGGTGAATTCAATTGTGGATGTTTTTAGTTTGGGGGCTGATGGGCCTTCCAGATGTCTGTTATATCTAATAGATGGTTGGAGATACAGTCAGAAGCAAAGAGGAAAATCAGTGTTCTACATATTGATATCTATACTCACACACCTGTGCCCTTTGTATCATTTCAATGAAAACTGGATAACTTTGGTACTCAAAGGTGGAAATTGGCTGGTTGTGTTGGCTCATGCACTTTGGAAGTCCCAGCACTTTGGAAGGCCTAGCCTGGAGAATTGCTTGAGATCAGGAGTTAAAGACCAGCCAGGGCAACATGGCAAAACCCCATCTCTACCAAAAAACTACAAAAATTAGCCGGGTGTAGGGTCACCCACCTGTGACCCTAGCTACTGGGGAGGATGAGGTGGGAAGATTCCTTGAGTCTGTGAGGTTGAGGCTGCAATGAGCTGTGATTGTGCCACTGTACTCCAGCCAGGCAACAGAGGCGACCCTGCCTAAAAAAAAAAAATAAATAAAAATAAAAATAAATGGAAAGGACTTCCAGGCCCTCAATAATTTTAAAAGGACTACTGTTTGCATTACTTAGCTCATAGGTGGAGGTGTGAGTAGAAAGGGATTTGTAACCTGGTTTCTTGAGGCATGGGCAGTAATTATACAATAGCTGATGCAAATGAACGTGAAGAAGTCATACAGACAATGAACTCAAAATGTCTATGTGCTGCTTTTAAAATCTACTGCTGAGGTATTTACCTGGCATATGCTATGTGGACAGGTAGAGCTAGTTTTCATTTCTGGCAAGAACAACTGGAAATGCCTGAATCAGAGTTCTATTTATACTTTTGAGGGTGGTGGTGGTTTGAGGGGAGGCAGGGTGGAAATAAAAACTGTAACTCATTTTGTCTGTGCTCTTATTTACTCAAAGAGGCAAGATTTGGGAACTACTACTGTATTCCAATGAGTTGGGTACAAGGTCCTGCTTAGGAGGAGACATGAGATGAGGCCTGTGGATTGTTTGTCATAGGGAGGGTGAATTACAGACTTGGGGCTGGAGTGCAGTTGCATGAATACAGCTCATTGCAGCCTTAGCTTCCTGGCCTCAAGCGATCCTCAGCCTCTTAAGTAGCTAGGACTACAGGTGTGCACTACAACATCTGCCTAATTTTTAAATTACTTTTTGTAGACACGGGATCTCACTCTGTTGCTCAGGCTGGTCTCAAACTCCTGGCCTCAAGTGATCCTCCAGCCTCAGCTTCCCTAAGTGCTGGGATTATAGGCATAAGCCACCACACCTGGCCCTTGGGGCTTCTAAAATGTGTTCTCTGGGCAGCTGGGCGCCATGGCTCGTGCCTCTAATCCCAGCACTTTGGGAAGCCAAGGCAGGTGGATCACCCGAGGTCAGGAGTTCGAGACCAGCTTGGACAACATGGTGAAACCCTATCTCTAATAAGTATATAAAAATTAGCTAAGGTATAACGTGTATAATATGGAAAATTTTAGTACAGAAGCAGGTACAATCCCAGTGGTTGACTTGGGCAATGTTTTAGCTATTTGTCTTCCTGTATTTTAAGAAAAGTGATTTGAACTAGGAGTTAAATAATCATGTACTAATTCAAAATACACAGTACCAGAAATGTGCAAAGTGCAGGAAATCCAATGACAACAAGGTACAGGCTTCTTAATGAAAGAGGCACACTTCCTGTCCTCCAAGTGTTTGTAGTCTAAGACATTTCACCAGACAGCCTCGCTATTTTGCATGAACAAATACATTGGTTTGCCTCACTGGAGGGGGATCTCAGCAGTTCCAGGCTGAGTGGCATCTCAGTCGAGGTTGGATGGTGGGAGCTGGGGGAAAGGTAAGACCAGCCTGGGGCTTAGGATTTGATGGATAATTCCTGAAGTTCATTCACAGAGACAATTGGAGTAAAACGGATTGACCTAACTTGAACTTCTTAAAAGGTGTCTAGACCGGGCACGGTGGCTCAAGCCTGTAATCCTAACACTTTGGGAGGCTGAGGGGGGCAGATCACCCATGGTCTGGAGTTTGAGACCAGCCAGGCCAACATAGTGAAACGTCGTCTCTACTAAAAATACAAAAATTAGCCAGGTGCAGTAGTGCACACCTGTATTCCCAGCTACTCAGGAGGCTAAGGCAGGAGAATTGTTTGAACCCGGGAGGCGGAGGTTGCAGTGAGCCAAGATCATGCCACTGCACTCCAGCCTGGGCCACAGCGCGAGACTTCATCTCAAAACAAAACAAAACAAAACAAAAGGTGTCTAAAATCCAGGTCTACACTTAGTGAATGGATAAATAGTTTACATCTAAAATTTTTTAAATTGGTGACTTTGGATCTGTATCGATAGTCCATTTCTCTTAAAATATATGGTGATACCAGATGTTTTAAAAGAACGTTCTTCTAGGGGATGAATGTTCCCTTTGATAGACTTTAATCTCATGACATCCCCATTTCTCCAGGAGTCATAACCCCCAAGATTGCTCTACCAAGGGAGCTGTCTGCTTTATAATACAGGAGATTCCTACAGAGAATGGTGGTTATCAGAGACTGGGAAGGGAAGAAGGAGGGAAGAAGATAAGTTGGTTAATGGGTACAAAAATACAATTAGATAGAATGAATAAGTTCTAGTATTTGATAGTCCAGTAGGGAAATTATGGTGTGCAAAATATATTGCATACTTCAAAACAGCTGGAAGAGAAGAATTGTAATGTTCCCAACACAAAGAAAATATATATGTTTGAGGTGATGGATATCCCAATTACCTTGATTTAATGATTACGCATTGTAGACAAGTATCAAAATATCATATGCATCCCCCAAATATATACAACTGATATATATCAATACAAATAAAATAAAGGAGGTTCTCCTTTTAGGAGGTGGAAGAATGGCGACTAAAACAGGGTAAGCAATCTATGCTTTCTACTTGTGCTACTCAACTTTTTCTTAGGTTGTGATAACCCTGGGGACTTGCTAAATCCCCTAGTGGTGACCGTTCTTCACTCCATCTGCCTTTCTATCTCACAGCCAGTGCCCTTCTAGAGCTCAGTTTTCAGCCCTGAAACTTAAAGCCCCCACCTCCCGCTTCCCGCCTCCTGCCTCCGCTAATTCCTCACCAGTCCCGGCCACCCTGTTTTATTGCCCACCTGAGTGATAACCAGACTTGAGTTAGGCACTCAAGGTGCCATTTCAGGAGAGTAATAAAGGCTCCTATGATCCCCCCAGTCTCCTTCATCAGCTTTGAGGCTTTAAGGCATGGAGTCTTTTCAACATTCAAATCTCCCTTGAGAGGGGCACGTTCTGCCATCATGCTTATCATCATTATCAATTTCTTACACTCCCACATCTGTTGTGGTGATTATCATCATTATCAGTCTTACACATGAGTGGAAATGAGTGCTTTGGGCAAAAGTATTTGAGGAAGGGGAAAGAGGCCAAGAAGAAAAAGGGGTGTATGGGGAATCGAAAGCACTCCAGCAATAAGGCAAAAGGGGGCCGGCAATGCAGGCCGACACTGAAGCTGAACTTTGAAGACATCACAGTTTTGCTAAGGTTGGAACTATCACTGCATCCCTTTTCTATCCCATCAGGAGGAATCTGCAAAGTGACCTGAAGATTCCCAGGACTCAGCGCTCACGTAGATACCTTCCTCAGTTGCTGAAAAATCCCTGAATTACAAAAAGTAATTTTAGCACGCCCTCAGGTGGCCAAATGGAATACTGTGGCAATGGCTTTTGATGGAAGTTGGCACTCTGGAGGAACATCTCAGAATAGACGCTGGTTCTTGGCAAGCTGCTAGGCACCCGGCAGGGCAACTTGTGTGTAGATGGCACTCTTCCCTTTAGGGCACCGCTTCCCAAGCTGATTGGTATAGCAGCCCTGAAATAATCTTACCAGGTTTATTTTGAATTCTGCATCTCTTCCTCTTCCTCTTTCTCCTCACAATGCTATGTGATATAGGTCTGTTTTTGAAATTAAAGTGAACTTTTTTAAATTTAAAATTATTATATGTTTTTAAACTAACTGCAGCGACCTCTAGTAGCACCAAAGATAATTTGTGTATGGATTTCCCATCTAAAACAGACTAGAGGGACAAAGATGGATTTTAAACTTTTGAATTTTGGGATATTTCAGATTTACAGAAAAGTTGCAAAGATAGCACAAATAATTGCCATTATACTCTTCACTCAGATTCCTTCAAGTTAAAATTTTACCACGTTAGTTTTATCATTCTCTCTGTAATTATAAATATGTATATATTTTTCTAATTCGAATATAAATTATATTCATGATGCTCTTTTATCCTCTAATACTTGTGTGTGTATTTTCTAGACACAAAGACATATGCTTATAGAACCACAATGCAACTATTAAAACCAGGATATTGACACTGATACAATACTATTTTCTAATCTTCAGACTTTATTCAAATTGGCAAATTATCCCACCAAGGTCCTACATAGAAAATATAAATACAGGATCCAATCCAGTATCGCTCATTGCATTGCATTTAGTTGTTGTGTCCCTTTAAGTGTCCTTTCATCTGAAATATTTCCTCAGTCTTTCTTTGTCTTTCATGACCTTGATGTTTTTAAAGAGTATATGCCAGTTATTTTGCAGAATATCCCTGAATTGGAATTTGTCTGATGTTTCCTTATGATTAGCTTCAGGTTATGCATTTTGGGTGGGAATATCACAAAAATTATGTTATTTGCTTCTCATTGTATATGATGTCTCTTTGTTTTGACCACAGGTTTTGACATGCAGATGTCAGAATAGTTAATCTTGAAAACCGCACATTCAAATAAGGTTTCCTGTAGACTCATGGGAATTTGTTATGGGGTGGGACAAAAGCAAGGAACCTGGAGAAATCATCCACTTTCCTTTAATCAATCTGGGAAAGCTTTTTGGAGGAGGTGGGATTTCAGGAATTTCGAGCTGAGACAAGTGGTAATTTTTTAGTGGAATATTTTGATATGTGAAGATCTTAGTTCTTGAGTTCTCAGGGTTTTTTTTTTCCTAATCTTCCCTTGAGAATCAGAAGCCAAGGCTCCTGTGTTTTAGTTTAATTGCTGCATGACACTGGGGAACAGCCAGGTGGTTCTTTTCCTGATTCCCTAACCTGGGAAATGACGATTACTCACATAGGTGGGGAGCCCTTTGAAAGGTTTGTCTGGAGAAAGGGATTGAGGACATGAATGTTCGTAAGCCAGATTCGCTGTGGCACCTAACTGAACTTGCTCCTCTGGGCTCTTGTTCTCTACTACAATCAAATTTAATGTGTTTCTCTATAGTTTTTTATTTTATTTTATTTTATTTTGAGACCAGGTCATGCTCTGTTGCCCACGCTGGAGTGCAGTGGTGCCATCATAGCTCACTGCGGCCTTTAACTGCTGGGCTCAAGCCCTCCTCCTGCCTCAGCCTCCCAAGTAGCTAGGACTACAGATGCATGATTACCACCATGCCTGGCTTTTTTTTTATTTTTTATTTTTTTGAGACAGAGTCTTGCTGTGTCGCCCAGGCTGGAGTGCAATGGCATCATCTTGGCTTACTGCAACCTCTGCCTCCCGGGTTCAAGCGATTCTCCCTCGTTCAAGCGATTCTCCCACCTCAGCCTCCCCAGTAGCTGGGATTACAGACACATGCCACTGTGCCTGGCTAAATTTTGTATTTTTTTTTGTATTTTTTTGTATTTTTAGTAGAAACGGGGTTTCACCATGTTGGCCCCAAAGTGCTGGGATTATAGGCATGAGCCACCACATCTAGCCTTTTCAATAAATTTCAAAAACAAGATAAAAGAAAAAAGCAAGAGGATTTTTGTTTGTTTGTTTGCTTGGTTGGTGGGGTTTTTTTGATAGTTTTTGAGACAAGGTCTCACTCTATCGCTCAAAGCAGAGTGCAGTGGCACAATCACAGCTCACTGCAGCTTTGACCTCCTGGGCTCAGGTGATCCTTTTGCCTCAGCCTCCCAAGTAGCTGGGACTACAGGTTTGTGCCACCATGCCCAGCTATTTTTTTTCTAGGGATGCGGTTTCGCTATGTTGCCCAGGCTGATCTCGAACTCTTGGGCTCAAGCCATCTACCCGCCTAGACCTCCAAAAGTGCTGGTATTACAGGTGTGAGCCACTGCCCCCAGCCGAGGATATATATTTTAATTCAATGTGGTGGTTCAATATTGTGATTCTTTAAGAGAAGCAGGAGGATATGAACAGGGAGGAACTTAGAGAAAGCTTCAAATCTGACCATGTGTTAGTTCTTCAGGAGGCTGGGAAATTCATAGATGTGATGGCTTTATTGATGTGGGAACTCTGCTAGGCTATAGTTCCCAGTTATTCAATCAAACTAATCTAGGTGTTTCTGGGGAGGCATTTTGCAGATATATTTAAAACCCATAATCAGTTGACTTTAAGTAAGGAAAATTCCCCTTGGGTAATCTGGGCAAACCTAACTGAATTTGTTGGAAGGCCTTAAAAGCAGGTTTGAAGTTTCCCTGGAAGAGAGAAAAGAATCTGCCTATTCCTGTAGGGGTCCCTACTGCTCATTATTTCCCCTTCCTGACTGCTGCCCTATGGTTTTGGACTTGCTTAGCCAATGCCCATATCGCATAAGCCAATCCCTTGTAATGAATAATACATATATCCATCCTAAAAAATAATAAGTAACTAAATAAAAAACATCGCCCCAAATTTCTAGTTCCTGGTTTAAAGTTCAGAACTATATCATGACCACGCACAGAGGCTCATGCATGTAATCCCAGCACTTTAGGAGGCCAAGGAGGAAGAACTGCTTAAGGCCAAGAGTGAGACCAGGCTGGGCAACATAGCAAGACCCTGTCTCTAAAAAGAAAATGTTTTAAAAAATTAGCCAGGCGTGGCCGAGCACAGTGGCTCACACCTGTAATCTTAGCACTTTGGGAGGCTGAGGCAGGCAGATCACCTGAGGTCAGGAGTTCGAGACCAGCCTGGCCAACATGGTGAAACCCCGTGCCTACTAAAACTACAAAAATTATATGGGTGTGGTGGCGGGCACCTGTAATCCCAGCTACTTGGGAGGCTGAGGCAGGAGAATCACTTGAACCCTGGAGGAGGAGGTTGCAGTGAGCCAAGATCGTGCCATTGCACTCCAGCCTGGGTGACAGAGCGAAAATCCGTCTCAAAAAAAAAAAAAAGCAATTTATTTAAAAAATGATGACACTATATTTATCTGAGGTATGCTGTTTTCACCTAACAGATTTCTAACATGTATACATTTTGGTGTGAGTAGCTGATGTTATTCATTTTTACTGCTATGTATTATTACATTATTTGAATGCACCACCATTCCTTTATCTATTATCCGATTTATGGTTATTTTATTTGTTTAGAATTATTTGTTATTCAATCAATAACTCTTTGAAGCTTTTCATACATGTCTACTGGGTCACATATTTAAGGGTTTTTCTGGGTCAACACTTAAGATTAGAATCCCTGGGGATTATGTTGTAAATCCGGGTTGAATTTACAAGATATTTATACAGTAGTAATATCAATTCACTTTGCCTTCCTTAGTATAAAGATCTAGATCTTTGCCAACAACATGATATTATCAGGCTGTATTAGTTTTCCATTGTTGTCACAACAGATTACCACAATTTAGTGGCTTAAAACAACACAAATATATCCTCTTAGAATTCTGGAGGCTGTAATTCCGAAGTCAGTTTCACTGGGCTAACGTCAAGGTGTGAGTAGGGCTGATTTCTTCTGGAAGCTGTGGGGGAAATACCAAATATCTGTTTCCTTGTCTTTTTCAACTTCTAGTGACTGTCTATATTGCTTGGCCTGTGGCCCCTTACTCCACCTTCAAAGTGCATTGCTCTAATCTCTGCTTCTGTCATTGCATCAGAAAGATGTTTGTTTGTTTGTTTGTTTTTAAATAACAGCAACAGTCATAACTTTTTAGGCTCCAGTGCTTAGCTGCATGTGCCATTTTTTTTCTTTCTTTGTTTTTGAATTTTGTTGGCTGTTTTGGGATCCCATAAGTTTTGATCTGCCTAAAATTTATTTCTAAAGTATTTCCTGAGCTGTGACTGGTGCTATAGAACTGCACTGACCATTACCTAAAGATGTGGAGTGCTTCTGGCCACTGACCTTTTAAATGCCATAACAGCCTGATTGAATATTTGATTGCTTATAAACCTCTCTCTGGCACTGCACTTATAATCTTGAACTTTTAATATTCTGACACTGTGAATCTTTAATCAGGTGTGACTGTCATAACAAGGCAATGTAATTTTCCAGTCTTTGCACAGATGTTTTCATAGTTTAAATAGAGGTGCTTATAATATTAGTCTACAAAGGAACTTTTTGCATCAACCAAAGATCAGAATAAAACCACAGCAGATTAAAAGAAATATATTTTCACTGGATGGGTGATGAATACTACCCTGATAAATGACCTGGTTTATATAGTTAGTAAATTTATTTAATAATAAATATTATGAATATTAAATATGTTTATTTACTTAATAAATGTATTGAGTCACTATTCTGTGCCAAGCATTGTACTATGGGTTTTGATATGATGTTATATAAATACAGGTAAGACACAAATGAATGAATGTTTACAATATGGGGCATGTAGCAATGGGGGTAAACATGAGGTGCTCTGATACCTAATCTAATATTGGGGAGATCCAGGGAGAACTTTGTGGACACAATGATGTCTAATCCATCCTATCCATCACCAAGTCCTACCTACTGCACCTCCCCCAAAAACGCATCCCAAATCCTACCAGTTCTCTCCACTTTCACTGCCTTAGCCCAAACACAAGCCTCCATCATCTTCCATAATAGCTACATAACTGGTCCCCACTAGACTGCAAGCTCCAAAGGACAAATATTTTTGTCTGTTTTCTTCGCTGAGAGATCCCAAAGACTGTCTAACATGTAGTGGGTGGTCAATACATATTATTAATATTATTATTTTTTTGAGATAGGGTCTTGCTCTGTTGCCCAGTCTGGAGTGGAGTGGTGTGATCACGGATCACTGCAGCCTCGACCTCTCAGGCTCAAGCCATCCTCCAGCCTCAGCCTCCCGAGTAGCTGGGACTACAGGCACACACCACCACTCCTGGCTATTTTTTTTTTTAATTTTTTTGTAGAGATGGGGTTTCACCATGTTGCCCAGGCTGGCTTTGGACTCCTGGGCTCAAGAGATCCAGCTACCTCGGCCTCCCAAGGTATTGGAATTATAGGCTTGAGTCACCGCGCCCAGCCCCATAAATATTCTTTTGTTGTTGTTGTTGTTGCTGCTGTTGTTTTTTTTTTGAGACAGAGTCTCATTCTGTTACCCAGGCTGGAGTGCAGTAGCACAATCTTGGCTCACTGTAACCTTCTCCTCCTGGGCTCAAGCGATCCTCCCACTTCAACCTCCTGAGTAGCAGGGACTGCAGGTGCATGCTACTGCACCCAGCTAATTTTTGTTATTATAATTATTATTACTGTTTTTCAATAAAGATGGTGTTCTGCCATGTTGCCCAGACTGGTCTCGAACTCCTGGGCTCAAACCATTAGCCTGCTTCGGCCTCCCAAAGTGCTGGGATTATAAGCGTGAACCACAGTGCCTAGCCTCCATACATATTCTTGAATAAATAAATAGTCTTTTGTCTTACACTACTGGCCCACTGCAATTTAGTAGCCAAAGAGGTATTTTTAAAAATGCAATTGCATCATCTTCTACCACCCCCATCTCCCTCACCTCACCCTCTTACTATATAGTCCAGCAGTTCCGAAGTAGTTTTTCAGTTCTTGGAACATTCTCATTTCTCATGAATCCATTAGGCAAACTGCTTTTAATTCTAACAGTTCAGATCAAATATTCTTGCCCTCATGGAGCTTACAATCATGTGAGGATGATAGGCATCAAACAAGTAAATAGATTAACAAAACAATTTCAAAAGTGATGAGTGACGTACAAAAAATAAAGCAAGGTTAAGTGAAAGAAGAATTGGCTATACAGTAGCTACAGCAGACCTCTCTGAAGAGGGGACCTGTGAGCTGACACCTAAATGGTTTGAAGGAGCCAGGCGAGCAAACTGGAAGAACTTTCAGGACTCTTCAGGAGGGAGGAAACAAAATGCAAAGACACTGCAGGAGGAGCAGCTTTGCTTATTGAAAGTAGCATGTGAGGATGGAACAAAGTAAGCAAGAAGGATAGGGTGAGGGTGTTTTAGTTCATAGCAAAAAGTTTGGATTTTATTCTAAATGTGATGGAAAGCCTGAAACCATCCCATCACCTGCAGAACAAATCTCAAATTCTTTACTATGGTACCCCAGCACTGAGTGATCTTCCTTCTTATCAACTTTTCTTCCCCTCTCCCTTCTTGGCCAGCCATACTGGTCTTATTTCTCTTCTTGGAATACCTCAAACTTGTCCCTGCCTCAGGACCTTTGCACTTGCTGTTCCTGATCTGGAGTGCATTTTCCCTAGATCTTCCCATGCTGACTATTTCTTGTCATTCCTGTCTCAGCTTAAAAAGTATCTCCCTGGAGCTGGGCGTGGTGGCTCCTGCCTGTAATCCCAGCCCTTTAGGAGGCCGAGACAGGTGGATTGCTTGAGCTCAGGAGTTGCAAACCGCCCTGGGCAGCATGGCAAGACCCTGTCTCTACAAAAAATACAAAAATTAGCTGGGCATGGTGGCGTGCCTGTAGTCCCACCTCACCTGGGGAGGCTGAGGTGGGAGGATTGCTTGAGTCCAGGAGGTTAAGGCTGTAGTGATCTATGATCACACCATTGCACTGCAGCCTGGGCAACAGAGCAAGACTCTGTATCAAAAAACAATTATCTCCCTGGCTATATTCGTTTCCTAAGGCTGCCATACAAATTGTCACAACTGAGTGACTTGAAACAACAAAAAATTATTCTTACAGTTCTAGAGGCCTGAAGTCCAAAGTCTAGGTATCAGCAGGCCCACACTCCCTCTGAAAAACTCTAGGAAGAATCCTTCCTTGCCTCTTCCAGTTTCTGGTGGCTCCAGGTGTTCCTTGGTTTGTGGTAGCACAGCTCTAGTCTCTTGGCTCCATCTTCACAAAGTCTTCCTCTCTGTCTGTGTGTCTCTATGCCTTCTCCCTTTCTGACTCAGAAGGATGCCTGTCGTTGGATTTAGAGCCCATCTTGTCCAGGATAATTTCATCTTGAGGTCTTTCCTAAATTACATCTGCAAAGTCTTTTATTCTAAATAAGGTCACATTCTGAGGTTCTAGGTGGACATATCTTTCTGGAGACCACCACTCAATTGACTACATTTACCTTTCAATCTAAGTTAACCATCCAGTCACTTTCTAGCACATCACTGTACTTGATTTATTATCTGAAAGTACCTTGTCTATTTATTTTTCTTACTTATTGTCTTTCTTCCCTAGACTATAAGCTCTGTGAAGGCAGAGACCTCCTGTGTCTTGTTCACTGTTATATCTCCAGTGCCCAGCACAGTGCCTGACACATACCAGACTCTCAGTAAATATGTGTGGAATGAAGAGATGAAAAATTTAGATCTGAAGGGTGAGTGGAGTTAGTCACATAAAGAAAGATGGGGAACAGGGAAGTGTCTTTCCAGGCTGAATGGGCCAAGGCTAAGGCGTGATAGAGAACATGGCTGGAAAATAAGATTTCCTGGGGAATGGGGTATGGGACAATCAGATCCTGGAGTTTTGTAAGCAGTGTTGAAGGGTCTCTCTGAAGTCTCCCAGACCAGGTGACTTCAAGGTCTCAGCCCCATGTACATACGGGAGCGATCCTCTCTGGGTACATTGCCTTCTCACATGGATCCTCACTTTTTCTGTGGCGCCTTAGCAGACTGTTAACTACCTGTTGGAGCTGGAAGCTGAGGAAGTTCTCCTTTGCAGGCCTCTGAAGGTGCTAGTGCCACTTGGCTTCCTTGTTGTTTCTCTACAGAGGCTATTTCAAAACATGAGCGATTTCATCAATTGTCTATGCCACGACCCCTCTCATCCTTCTTAGCAGTTGATCTCATAACCAAAGAGAAAATAGAGGCCAGCAAGAAAGAATTTCTTGTCCAGAGCTCTGGGGCAACTCAGCTAACTAAGCTCTGTACAAAATTCTGTAATTACCAGGGCCTAGAGTTTGACAAATGTAAAGTGGCAGAGATGAGGTTGGAGAGGTGGACAGGGTCCAGATCAGGTAGGCACCTATAAAAGATGTTTACCTTTCTTATCAAAAGTGTATGGGTCATATGCAAAGTTAGGCAGATATGGTATCTGCCTTCTGGCAGTTTATCTGAAATTTGTCTGCTGGGAAGTTTTCAGTGGTAAGGCTAAAACTAATTTTTTATTTTTATTTTTATTTTTGACAGAGTCTTGCTCGTGTCACACAGCCTGGAGTGCAGTGGCGCTATCTCAGCTCACTGCAATCTCCGCCTCCCAGGTTCAAGCGATTCTCCTGCCTCAGCCTCCCGAGTAGCTGGGATTACAGGCGCCTGCCACCACGCCCCACTAATTTTTCTATTTTTAGGAGAGACGGGATTTCACCATGTTGGCCAGGCTGGTCGCAAACTCCTGACTTCAGGTGATCTGCCCATCTCGGCCTCCCAAAGTGCTGGGATGACAAGTGTGAGCCACCGCACCTGGACAAGACTAATCTGGATTAATACATTACTGTTTTCTGCTTTTATTTGACCAAAAGGTATGTGAAAATCAATAGTGTAGTTTAGGCCAAGCACAGTGGCTCACTCCCATAATCCTAGCATTTTGGGAGGTCAAGGTGTTAGAATCACTTGAGGCCAGGAGTTTGAGATCCACCTGGGCAACATACTGATAACTCATCTCTAAAAAAATAGAAAAGTTTGTTGGGCATGGTGGCAGATGCCTGTAGTCTCAGCTCCTCAGGAAGCTGAGGTGGGAGGATCCCTTGAGTCTAGGAGTTGGAGGCTGCAGTGAGCTGTGATGGTGACACTGCATTCCAGCATGGGAGACAGAGTGAGACCCTGTCTACAAAACAAGCAAGCAAACAAAAAAGTGCAGTTTAATGAATATTTATTGTGTACCTGGTAGGAACCAGTGCTTTCCTAATATACTACCTTAAATCAGCACACATTTATTTTGAAGTCTCTTGCTCGATTTTTAAGAAAATCATGAGAATTTTGCATTCTACTCTATAATATTTCTGGATTTATTTTGATACACAAATAATTTTGTTCCCTCTCTTTTCCCTCCTTGAGTCAAATGGATGCTCCAGGGAGATCCATATGCATCTTGTGGCTTTTTGCATCCCAAGTTCAATTCCTCCAGTTCTACAAGCACTTTCCAACCCTCTTAAAAGCATCTCTCTTATACACGTGAGCCACCTGGAGTTCAGGGATGTCCCAAAACTGAGTCAGTGTCATAAACCTACTACACGCTGAGTCAGGATTTTAGCTCAACTCTCCCAAGGATTGTTTCCAATACATCACAGTCATGCAGGTTCTGGGGGTTTCTATAGAAAACAGAAAATTGGTTTTCGTTTGTTTGTTTGTTTTTGTTTTTGTTTTGGAGACAGGGTCTTGCTCTGTCATCCAGGCTGGAGTGCAGTGGTGATCATAACTCACTGTAACATCGAACCACGGGCTCAAGCGATTCTCCCACCTCAGCCTCCCAAGTAGCTGGGACTACAGGCACATGCCATCACACTTGACTAATGTTTTAATTTTTTTATTTTGTAGAGACAGGTCTTGCTATGTTTTCCAGGCTGGTCTCAAACTCCTGGACTCAAACAATCCTCCCTCCTTGGCTTCTGGAAGCAATGGTATTACAGGTATGAACCACCATGCCCAGCCAATAAAATTGTTTTTTTATTTTTATTTTTATTTTACTTTTATTTTTTGAGACAGGATCTCATTTTGGCACCCAGGAATCCAGTGGCTATCATAGTTCACTGCAGCCTCGACCTCCCGGGCTCAAGTGATCCTCCCACCTCAGCCTCCCAAGTAGCTGGGACCACAGGCAAGTGCCACCACACCCTGCTAATTTTTATATTTTTTGTAGAGATGGGGTTTCCCCATGTTGCCCAGACAGGTGTTGAACTTCTGGGCTCAAGCGATCCACCCGCCTCGGCCTCCCAAAGTGCTGACATTATAGGCGTGAGCCACTACGCCCATTTGAAAATTGTTTTGTCATTATAAAACGTTTGGGGGAGACAGCCCCCGATTTTCAGAAATCACTGCGAGACAATGGAAAAACATGGCCAGTATCTTGTTGGGTGGAGTATTTTATGAATGGATAAAGCAGTCCTTCACTTCAGGCAGTTGGTTTTAAATGGCCCATATGCTTGAACCTTCCCCAAGCCCAAGGCAATACTGAGTCACTGCTATTTCCGATAGCGTTTCTCACCTTTTTCTCTCCTCCCTGTGCCAGGACATGCCTCAGCACTTTATGGTTTCTTGATAGTTCTTTTGTGACCCAGGAAGATACCAGGTGAAGTAAGAAAGTGCTCAAGAACTCCATCTTGGCAGCTGCCAAGAGTTGCCACTGAGCTAGGAGGAAGACACATTTACCTTGCAGTCTTTCTTTGTGTGCCAAGCCCAGCTGCCACCCTGGTGGTCTATTTGAGGGGCTCTTCTGAGCACTACAGAAAGGTGGTAGTAAGCAGCCCAGGGTTTGGAGGAGAAAAGCAAGCATTTCTGGCCTCTCACAGCTTTGGTCTTGCTTTTGCCAGGCCTGCATGCCTCCTTTCGGCATGGCTGGGATGCTTGAGAAGTCATTTAGCTTTGACTGGCAAGGGCTTGCTATTTCTCGATTTAACTAGATTTAAATAGAGTCTAACCGGGGCAGTTGCATTTCTTCACTTTCTAGAGCTATATTTTTCTCTCGTGGGTTAAAAAAAAATGCACACGAAAAAGCCCCAACTTCATTATGCTTCGGTCACAGCAGGGAATTTATAGCAAGAGCCCAGCTGTTTGCAGCTCATGCCAGAGTTTTTTGATCCTAATGTAATTGAGCTCACATTTTTGAATCGGAAAATAATATTCAGAGGAGCCGACTCCTGAGTTTTCAGGTTTCCAGGCCAAGCAACGGGTTCCTGAATCTATTTTGGGCTGTTCTTTCCTCATACCTTTTCCTCTTCACCCTCAGAGCCCTTTGCTCCTTTCCTGGAACTAGACCTATGACTGTGCAAGTCTCTTTCTGTGCACACAGTGTTCTAACTATTCTTTTGAAGGAAAAAAAAAAGCCCCATTATTTTATTCCTTAACCCTTGCCTTCGCTACTTAAAACTCCTTGCTATTAATTGTGCTTCATACATTCAGCAATAATACATCCAAACAAAACTACTAAATGTAACTCATTTCTTTGGCATGAAGCCAGACACCGTGCTAAGGGCTTTATGTGCTTCTCCTCTTTTGTTCCTCCCAACAACTTTCTGAGGAAAGTCCTGTTATTGTTTCCATTTTGCAGATTGTGTATTTGAGGCTTAGGGAGGTGAACTGACTTCTAAAGGTCACACAGTGGTGGAGTGTGGCTTCAATCTCACTTGAACCAGGTCCAGAATTTTAACCCTGCTGCTGTACTGGATTCGCCTCCTGAAACTGTTAAAAGGGCAAAAAAGACATAGTTCTTGCCCCCACAGAGCTTGAGCAGGAGTTGGAGAAAGCACTAAGCACAGTGACAGGAAGAGCTAGCACCTCACTTCTGCCACACTTAAGGGTTCCTCGTGAGGGCCAAATGAAATGACATTTAAAAGCACTTGTTTCAGGTCAGGCGTGGTGGCTCACACCTGTAATCCCAGCATTTTGGGAGGCTGAGGCGGGCGGATCACTTGAGGCCAGGTGTTTGAGACCAGCCTGGGCAACATGGTGAAACCCTGTCTCTACCAAAAATACAAAAATTAGCTGGGTATGGTGGCACATGCCTGTAATTCCAGCTACTTGGGAGGCTGAGGCAGGAAAATCACTTGAACCCAGGAGGTGGAGGTTGCAGTGAGCTGAGACTGCGCCACTGCACTCCAGCCTTGGTGACAGAGCAAGACTCTGTCTCAAAAAAAAAAAAAAAAAAAAGCACTTGGTTCAAAGTGCAGTGCTAGATGGGTGCTTGCTATTTCTATTGGTGTTATACCAGCAACAGCCCAATCCTGAGCCAGTCACCTGCATGGCTGGAAGGGCAGGTGTAGGAGGGTGGCATGGTGAAAACTGTTAAAATCACATTTATAGAGTCTCATGAAGAATGTGGAATTTTGTCTGTCACATTCTGGCTAACCTAGCATTGCATACTTCCAGTTTGGCTGGGAAGGTAATAACAATAATAGCAAGCACATATATAGCTCTGATTATGTAGCAGACACTGTTCTAAGTGGTTTACAAATATTAACTTATTTAATTTTGTTATTTATTTTTTACATTTTAATTTTTTTAGAGATGAGGGCTCACTCTGTTGATCATGCTGGAGTGCAGTGGTGCTGTAAGTGCTCACTGTAGTCTCAATCTCCTAGGCTCAAGCAATCCTGCCTCAGCTTCTCGAGTGGCTTGGACTACAGGTGTTGAAGGATTGTGTGTCAGTATTGCACTCCTAGATTCCCCTCCTCAGTGCCCCCTTCCCCATCAGTAACTAAGTCCTGTTGATTCTACTTCCTGAATGTCTTTTCTTTTTCTTTCTTTCTTTTTTTTTTTTTTTGAGACAGAGTTTCACTCTTGTTGCCCAGGCTGGAGTGCAATGGCGTGGTCTCAGCTCACTGCAACCTCCCCCTCCCAGGTTCAAGTGATTCTCCTGCCTCAGCTTCCCAAATAGCTGGGATTACAGGCACCCGCCAACATGCTTGGCTGATTTTTGTATTTTTAGTAGAGACGGGGTTCACCATGTTGGCCAGGCTGGTCTCAAACTCCTGACCTCAGGTGATCTGCCTGCTTCGGCCTCCCAAAGTGGTGGGATTACAGGCGTGAGCCACCGTGCCTGGCCCCTAAATGTCTTTTCTATTCATCCCCTGCTCTCCCTCTGCACTGCCCTCACTACTGCTTTGGTTAGATTCACATCATCTCCCACCTGGAGGATTCTAGCAGCAGCCATCCTAGGCTTTGCTGGTACTACTCTCACCTCTTCACATTCCCAAGGCAATAAAAATAAATAATTCTTTTTGTTGTTATTCTTGCTGTTTTGGTTCTTAGTCTCTCTGTTATTCTATTGCACTTAATAGAGCCATGAATCATTTAAAAAAAAACAACTCTTGTCCAGTTTAATCTTTAAGACTTGGCTCTCTGTTGTTACTGATCAGATGGAAAGTTTTATTACTACTGTCTAGGAGGGAAGAATTTAGGTTGGAACTCCCAGTGTGCCATGAATTATTTTCCCTGTGGTTACTCAGCAGTGATTCCTGGCCTCTCCTCCCACATAAGGCTCAGGCCTGCATTCAAGCACCCACAGGTGGGGGCCAGGACAGTTGCAGTTCCTGTCTGCATGTTAGCCGGTTCCAGCTGCTCTGCAAAGGGGAGATGGGGCATTAGGAAACGATGCCTGCTTTGGATGAAGCTCAACTTTTTCTCCAGAAGAACCCAGTGAATAATGAATCAGACCCTGAACATCCTGGAACACTACACCCAATGCCACTGTCAGCTCCCTCCCAATCACAGTCATTTCCAAGTAATGGCTCAGCCTAGGCCTGGTTCCCCAAACCATCCAAATAGAGAGGGGGAAAACCATCCTCAACACGCAGAGCGCAATTTTACGGAGGAGATTTATTTTTACATTGACTTGGAACATAAATACTGTAAATATCCTCCACCCCACTGGCTTTTTTTTTTTCAGAGCTCTAGTTAATGGGGTAACTTTCTGGCTTGCACTTTATCAAGTTGATAGAACTGTTTAATGAAACCCACGGAGATTGGACAATTTAGTCTAACGGTCAGTTGCAACCCTTGATGTAAGTAATTTCCAGCAATACTGTATGCATCAAACGTCCAACCTAACAGTGGTTATCAATATCCATTATGCTTTTGGTTGGCTTGAACCATTAATAACCTGTCAGATTAAGCAATTAGGCTGTCTCTACTTGCCAGGGGAAATTGTTTTCCCCTAAGTGATGATATTGGGTTTGTGGTTGTGCAGATAAGTACTTGGTCAAAATGTTTGGCGCATTCCTAGCTGAGTCTTTTTGATAGATAGGGAGTAAGAACTAAAATTCAAGGGGCTGAGAGGAACCTGCAGACAATCTCTGAGAAAAAGCATCTCAGTCATTCCAGTTCACTTTATAAAAGTAGCTTAATTATCACTGGTGCTCTCTAGTGAGGGACTTCATTTGATGTGTCACACAGATGGGACCACATTTCTCCACAGAGCTCCAGCTAAGTCGGAACATTCAGGTTTCAATTTGAAATGTGAACTATCTCGGATTCTTTAGAAAGCCCATCAGGGGCACTCTTGGGGCTTTGCCATTTTGCACACTTTAAAAAGCAAGATGAAGAAGGGAAGAGAGAGGGGAAAAGTTCAATGGAAACCTATTATATAATCCTCTCCTATGCTGTTTGTGGTCTTCCCTGAATTTTTTTGGTTTTGTGATTTTCCACTTACATTTTCATGTAACAGCACAAGAGCACATGTTACTTTCTACCTTCATGTCTTTGCACATTCTAGTGCAAAGGTGCACCTAGTGCACCTCACCTGCTATGTTCTTCTTTTCCCCTTTACCAGTTTACACACAACCATCAGTTTGAAGACCTGGTCTGAAAACCACTTCCAAGGAGACCTTGCAGAGTAACTCCATGCATTCCTATCATGCGTTTACTCAAAGTTTTCTTATTCCTTTGTCATCATTTCATATTTATCAATACATTGCTTTTATCCTATTTTAAAGATTTGCTGGTCAGGTGTGGTACAAGCTCATGCCTGTAATCCCAGCAGTATACGAGGCTGAGGTGGGTGGATCACTTGAGTTCAGGAGTTCAAGACTACGCTGGGCAACATAGGGAGATCTCATCCTACAAACAATAATAATAAAAATTAGCCGGGCATGGTAGCATGCACCTGTAGTCCCACTACAGCCAAAAGGAGGCTGAGGTGGGAGGATTGCTTGAGCCCCAGAGGTTGAGGCTGTAAGTGAGCTGTGATTTCATCACTGCACTCTGGCCTGGGTGACAGAGCAGGACCCTGTCTCAAAAAATAGGGCAAAAAAGGGCACATTGTGCCATGAGAGTGCATGAGTTGGGGACCCATCCTGATTTAGACCTTAAGGAAGGTTTTCTGGGGGATGTGGAATTTGAGTTGAAATGTGAAAGAGAGAAGATCCCTTCAAGCAGAGGTGATAACATGTGGGAAAGCAAAATGCCAGTGCCTGGAAGTAATATGGGATGTTCTAGGACAGAAGTGGGCACACTACCAGTGTGACCTGCTGTAGCAGTTCCAGTTTTGTAAATTAAGTTTTATCTGAAGACAGCCATGCCCATTCATTTACCTATTGTCTGTGGTTGCATATGTGCTACAGAGGCAGAGTTGAATCGTGGCACAGTTGAATCTTTGCAGAGTTGAATAGTTTCTGAAGACCATGTGGCTCCTTTGCAAAGCCTAAGGTATTTGCTATCTATCCCTTTACAGAAGAAAATTTGCATAAAAAAATTAGCTAGGCGCGGTGGTGGGTGCCTGTATTCCCAGCTACTAGGGAGGCTGAGGCAGGAGAATCACTTGAACCTGGGAGGCGGAAGTTGCAATGAGCCAAGATTGCGCCACTGTACTCCAGCCTGGGCAACAGAGCGAGACTCTGTCGCCAAAAAAAAAAAAAAAAAAAGAGAAAGAAGAAAATTTGCCGACCTCTGCGGTGGGATGTAAAAGAAAGCTAAGATGACAGGAAAAAAGCAATGCAGGGAATGATGAGGGTGAAGCTGAGACAGGGACTAGACAGACCATGCAGGTGAAGGATTTTAAACTTCATTCTAAGAGGATGAAAAAAAAACTGAATGGTTTTAAGCAGGGGCGTCAAAAGGGCTATCCTTCTAGTATAATACATACTGGTTTTTAATCTTTTGTTTTTAATTTGGCAGTTTTTTTGTAACTAGTCCTATTCTTCAACCATATAATCTTTAATTGTGTGTCTACTCTTTCATCATAGGGTTGTATTGTAATTCAGAAAGTTGCCCATCTTTTGAAATTAGATGTACTCAGCAGTGAACATCTTTGTGCATATTGTTGTTAATTCCCTTATAATTTCTTAGAAGTGGAATCGTTGGGTCAACAGGTATATGCATTTTAAAGGCTTTTGCATCTCTTGTGTTTCCAGTCTTCCAGAAGTGATGTTTACTACCACCGTCAAGGGATGAGTGCATCTGACTCCCACACTCTTAGGAAAAATTTAAATATGTTTGCCAATTTTATGCAAGGAAACTATGTTTTCTTGTTGGTTTAATTTGCACTTCTGTGATTATTGAAGTGGGTAATATTACTTTCCCATATGCATTTCTTCTTTTGTGAAATTCTTGCTCATATTCTTTGCTTATTTTTGGGCTACTTATCTTTCATTGTTAATTTTTTATGAGCTTATTATATATTGAGGATATTAACTCTTTGACATCCAAATTGTGAATATTTTTTCCAAGTTTGATTTTTAGCTTTACATTTTATTTATGGGATTTTTGACATAATTTATAAATACTTATTTAATAAATAAATCATTTTTTCCTTTGGATTTTCTGCCCTTGGGGTTACGCTTGGGAAAACTCTCACCACACAGAGATTATGTAACATGCACATATATTTTCTACTAGTTTTAAACCAGTTTTTCTTTATATTTTAATCTTTAATCCATCTGGTGTTTATTTTGGTAGTGGCACGAGATAGAGATCTAACAGATTTTTTTTCAAGGGGGAAAACTCTTTTTAGGGGAGAGGAAGAAATATCTCTTGGAAAAAGTGGGAACTCTTTGATCAGAAACCCCAAACACTGTGTCTGGAAGAAAAATGGCTCTTTGGGTGATGTGATATTGTGAAACATATATTTGGTCTTTGACCCAGTTTCCTGGCATAGAACTCTTAAAATACTTAGAATATCCAATGTGAAGTCTTTTTTGTATGCTAATGATTGGCTTGATGGCTGGCAGCCTCTAGGCAGCTTCAGGATGGGGGATGGTCACTGGAAAGGCCAAGGCAGGATTAGAGGGTTGGGACTTTCAAATGGCTGAAGTTTAAGTTAATCGCCAGTGGCTTGTGGTTCAATCAATCATGCCTATGTAATGAAGCCTCCATAAAAACCCAAAAGGCCAGAGTTCAGAAGCTTGGAGGTTCCTGGGGGTAGTGCGCCCCCACGGAGAACACGGAAGCCCCGTACCCCTTCTTGTGTGCCCTTGCCTTATGCATCTCTTCATCTGGACCCTTTGTAGTGCCCTTTATCATAAACTGTTAAGTGTTTCTTTGACCTCTGTGAGCCGAACTAGCAAATTAATAGAACCCAAAGAAAAGGTCGTGGTAACCCCAGCTGGAAGCCGATCGGTTAGAAGTTCTGCAGGCTTGGATTTGTGACTGGTGTCTGAAGGGAGGACAGTCTTGTGGGACCGAGCCCCTCAACCTGTGGGATCTGACACTATCTCCAGGTAGAGAGTGTCAGAATTGAATTGGAGGACTCCCAGCTGGCATCCGATGCAGAATTGCTTGCTTGCTTCGTGTATGGGGAACCCCCTCCCCCCACACATTTGGTCACAGAAGTCTCTTCTGTGTTGATTGTTGTTGAATGAGAGAACAGAAAAAGAACTTTGAGTTTGCTTTTTCTACACGGACTTTGTGTCAGAGGAATAAAATTTGCTAGACCAGCCCAGGCTCAGGGAAGCATGTGGTTTGGGGAAAGAAAGGATAAAAATAGATGAGGGATGAGGAGCTTTTGATTCCTGGGTGGCCATGTGGTCACCCATGATACGGAGCTGCAACTGTGCTGTGCTCAGTTATTAAAGGTGAAAGTTACCAGTGGAATCTAGAGATGGATCTACCTCTTGGGGAGTTGGTTCACTGGATGCATAAGACAATGCAAACTAAGAAAAAAGTGAAACATTAATATCCTATTATTTGATTATTGTTATCAGTAATATGAAATTAAAAGACAGTGCTGGGTTGGACCATGATGTTAGACCAAGCTCAGATTTTAGTGAGTCTGAGCTTCGGCCTCTAGCCTCAAAGGGAAAAACTGCAGCAGAGACAACAGAAAAGTACCTCTAATACCAAGAAAGTAGCCAGTGTGGGGGAAGGGCCACACAAAATAACAATTGAAACTATTGAAACCATGGGTCTAGTGTGAAGGAATTGTTTCATTTTGTAGATCAGTATCATCAGTCTCCTGGGGAGCTTTTATTAAAATGCATTCTAAGAGTAATGGGTCAATTTAGGGGCAGTAGCTTTTGTTATGAATGTTGCAGAGGGGAAGGGCATGTTCTGGTTGATGCATGACCCACTGCTTGTTATGGTCACAGATGTCTATACATAATCCTGAGACACAGATTGTTCTTGAGGGAACAACAAGCTTGGTGGACTGGATAAAAGCCACTGTAAAATGTTGCCCTGAGAAGGGAGACTGTCCAGCTACCCCTGACTGTTTGCTGCTTCCAACCCCAGAGGAAGCAGCAGATAGGCCCCCTATGCAAGCCATGTGACTTTATGATGACCGGGATATTCACCAGGTCATTGTAAATGCTGTGGTTAAGGGGGCCCTTTTTGCATGGTCACCTCATGTAACTTTACTGTTACAAAATTGGAGAAGCCTTATTGAATTTGCTCTCAGATTCCTTTCATGGGTCTTATGGATGCTAATAAAAACATTAAGTTAATTAACAAGAGAATGAGGAAAGACAGAGGGGAGAGTAAAAAGCCTAATCCCAGGAAGGTGGAATTTTTTTTTTTTTTTTGAGATGGAGTCTCACTCTGTCGCCCAGGCTGGAGTGCAATGGCGTGATCTCGGCTCACTGCAACCTCTGCCTCCCGGGTTCAAGAGATTCTCCTGCCTCAGTCTCCTGAGTAGCTGGGACTACAGGCGCCCACCCACGCCAGGCTAATTTTTGTATTTTTAGCAGAGATGGGGTTTCACCATGTTGGCCAAGCTGGTCTCGAACTCCTGACCTCAAGTGATCCGCCCGCCTGGGCCTCCCAAAGTGCTGGGATTGCAGACCTGAGCCACCACGCCGGCCTGGAAGGTGGAAATTTTTAAACGGTTATTAAGAAATGAGGTGAATAAAGAAAACAATGATAAAGGTGAAACTGAGGAGAAAAAGAGAAGGGAGAGTCATGGGACTTGTCCCAGCAGGGTGGAAATCTTCGGACGGTTATTAAGAAATTGGGGGCTGGGCATGGTGGCTCATGCCTGTAATCCCAGCACTTTGGGAGGCTGAGGTGGGAAGATCCCTTGAGCCCAGGAGTTTGAGATCAGCCCAGGCAACATAGAGAAACCCATCTCTAAAAATAATACAAAAATTAGCCGGGCATGATGGTGCGAGCCTGTGGTCCCAGCTACTCGGGAGACTGAGGTGGGAAGGTCGCCTGAGCCCGGGGAAGTTGAGGCTGCAGTGAGACGCTGTCTCAAAAAAAAAAAAAAAAAAAGATGGAAATGCTCAGTGCTCATAAGAGTTCTATAATAAAGTGGAAATGGTTTATACGGGATCATGCTCCCTGGGGATTGCAAGAAAGAGATGCTCATGAGCAGGAATTCTGTTTTTTTCTAGGACTGGCTCTGGAACTGTCTGTGTTTGAGGAGCTGCTGGATTCTACAGTACCCTATAAGCAACTCCCAACAGACTGTCAAAGTGCTGCTTGGTTTGTGGATGACGGTTCCATGGTGAATGGACAACATCCTATTTGGAAGGATGCCACTCTGATCAAAGAAGGTAAAAACAAATCAGCCCAGTGGCTGAATTACATGTTTTTTCCCTAGCAGTGATGGAAGAATTGAACAGTGGTGAAAGTCCTTGTGTTTGGATTTTTACTGACTTGTGGGCAATGGCCAATAGCCTGGCCATATGGTCAGACAGAGGGCAGTAGAAACCTGGCCTTTTTAAAGGGATGCTTATGTGGGACACGCCCTTTGGAAACTGGAGGGGTACATTAAAGGGTGCATGTCGATGCCCATCAGAAGAGCCCCCTTCCAGATTTGGAAGGGGACTGGAATTGACAAACAAGTAACCCCGTGTGCTCCTTTGAGGTGGCCACCTGGGTTCATGAAATGAGTGGATATGGGGAAGCTGCAGCAGTATAGACATGGGTTGAATCTAGACATGTTCCTTTTGCACCCTCTCAGGAACATTATGCCAGCAAAAACTGTTTCTGTCTGTCAGCAAGAGAGACAGACACTGCCGATGGCTATGGGGCAGATTCCCTGGTGGGCAGGCCCTGAACACAGCTGGCAAGTGAGGCTGATGCTGGTAGCCCTGGAGGGCCACAAATGGGTCGTGACAGGAATAGACACTGATTTTGGACTGGGCTTTGTTTACCAAATGGAAGATGAAGATGCTCAGAATGGCCGGGCGCGGTGGCTCACACCTGTAATTCCAGCACTGTGGAAGGCCCAGGCGGGTGGATCACTTGAGGTCAGGAGTTCAAGACCAGCCTGAGCAACATGGTGAAAACCCATCTGTAGTAAAAAAACAAAACAAAACAAAACCAAACCAAAGAAAACAAAAACAAAATTAGCCAGGCGTGGTGGTGCATGCCTGTAATTCCAGCTACTTGGGAGGCTGAGGCAGGAGAATTGCTTGAACCCGGGAGGTGGAGGTTGCCATGAGCAGAGATTGTACCGTTGCACTCCAGCCTGGGCAACAAGAGCGAAACTCCGTCTTAAAAAAAAAAAAAAAAAAAAAAAAAGCTCAGAATGCCATTAAAAAAAACCAAAACAACCCAAAGATATTACATGGATTTGGCCATCCAACCACCATTTCTTCGGACCAAGGTACCCACTGTATAGCCCCATAATGCCCAGGAATGGGTAAAGAGATGTCCTCAGAGTGACAGTTTCATAGAGAAATTGAATGGGCAATTAAAACATTGGTTGTCTAAAGCAGGGGGACATAAAAGCATGAAGGGCTGGTTTACACGCCTTTATGAGTGTGTGCTCATACTCAAGATGAGCGAGCCCAAATGAGTATCCCCACTATATTTTCCTCCATTTTGCTGGTTGATTTGGGGAAGAGAGGATGGGGAAGGATGTTGGTATGATTATGCAATTTCTGCCAAGGGAGGAATATGCTGATATAATAACTATACTTTTTCCCTTTCTTCTTCACATCACCTTAATTGTTTTTTTCTTTACCTGATGCAGGGGTCACAGGACTACAGCTGCTGAAAGTAGGAATGATTTCTAGGAAAGCTTCTGCCAGAATTCCTAAGGGTCTGGTGGAGGTGGGGTGTGCAAAATTGGGACTAACAGTGAATGTCACTATATTCCCTGGTGATAAAAATAGCCCACTAGTACTGCACTTATGTCACCTCAACCTATCTAAATGGGAATGGACCGAGGGAAAGTACTTGTTAAAGACTAGTATTGCTGTCTGCAATCTAGACCAGCACAGTGGTGATTCTAACATCCCTTCCAAAGGTAAAAACAAGTTTGGATATTAATGGAGAGTAGGAAAAATAGTAGCAGAGGATAAAGGAATGAAGAAATTGATTATAAATTAAGGAAAATCTGATAAGAGATGACATTGTCTTAGCTGAATTATGCCAGATACCTGAAAGGGTGACGTATGTTCACTGAGACCACTCCTGCGAATGGAAGCCTGTCAATCTGAGTGACCTCACCCTGGGAGACATTCCTACAATATGATGGGCTGGACTCATTATTAATGATTGGATTGGATTCTAGTAATGTGGCAGTATCTTTTGAGTCATGTATCCTTTTGGCATAAGTGACCGGGTTCAAAAACTAGGTGAACTGTTATATTGTGAAGTATATATTTGATCTTTGACCCAGTTTCCTGGCATACAACTCCAAAAATCCTTGGAATCTCCAAAGCTGTGTCTTTTTGAATGCTAACGATTGACTGATGGCTGCCAGCCTCTAGACAACATCAGGATGTGGGCGGGTTACCAGAAAGAGCAGAGGAAAAACAGTTTGTGTTTATTTTCCCTCAGGTGAGGCACAAGCGTTTGAGACATTCGAGACATTTCAAAACCAAATGTTTACTTATTTAGAACGAACTTAATATATGTATTTTTTTCATCAGTCCTTCACCCCAAAGTTGATATCCCCAAAACACTTCTACCTCCAAACAGCCACCACTCCAAAGCCTCAAGCCTCATTATTCCACCCAGAAGGATGCTTTAAAATTACTTTGGTGTCTTGTGTCCATATGAGGCAAACATTTCCAAATATAACTGTATTTGTGACTTTAAATGTGTTTCCTTCATTTCTCTTTATTCTTTGTGTTGTCTATGTGGAGGACTTATTGTTTTATTTATTTCACGAACACGTGTATAGTGTTTACTATGTACTAGGAACGGTTGTTTTTAAATTAAATTAAATTTATTTTTTTGAGACAGAGTTTCGCTCTTTCGCCTAGGCTGGACTGAAGTGGCGTGACCTTGGCTCACTGCAAGCTCTTTCCCCGGGGTTCAAGTGATTCTCCCGCCTCAGCCTCCCAAGTAGCTGGGATTACAGGCATGTGCCACCATGCCCAGCTAATTTTTGTATTTTTGGTAGAGACAGGGTTTCACCATGTTGGCCAGGCTGGTTTTGAACTCCTGACCTCAAGTGATCCATCTGCCTCGGCCTCCCGAAGTGCTAGGATTACAGGCGTGAGTGGCCAGGAACTGTTCTTAGTGCTTTTATTCTTTTTTTTTTTTTTTTCATAACAGCCCTGTGTTATAGGTAAAGCTATCATCCTCATTTTACAGCTAAGGAAACTGAAGAACACCAAAGTTCAATGACCTATTTGAGATCACACACGTAGCAGGTCATGACCATATTCTGTTTCCTTAAACGACAAAGTAGAGAAAGAATTTTTTTTTTGGGCGGGGGGCGTGGGGAGGTATGGAAAGTTCCCTCTGTGGGCAGAAACAAATAGCACCACAGGAAGAAACTGAAGTCTGAACTCATAGGCTCACAGAATTATTCCTTCTCAAAACATGAATCATGTGGTCTAGAGGCTACTGCCCTCACATAAGCTTTTTTAGTTCTGTTTTTATTTCTACTTTAATTGTCCTATCAGTGTTCATGCCCAATATTGCCTTGTATATATACTCTTATTGTAAGCCATCTAGAATCTCTTTAGATATAGGCAGGTATAAATTATGCTAAAAAGCCTGAAGTGTGCTCAAAACATCTAAGTGGAAATAATCTTAAGACAAAAGAAATTGTTTTTAACCTTAAAGGAAAGTAATTTGTACAAATGTTAATGAAAGTTCCATCATAACCATTGAAAGCTGGAAGCAACGAAATATTCAGCAAGAGGTGAGTGTCTAAACAAAACTACCACATCAGTGAGGTAGAATGTCCCACGGCCATTTTTTTCTTTTTCCTTTTCCTTTTTTTTTTTTTTTCGGAGTCTTGCTTTGTCGCCCAGGCTGGAGTGTGCAGTGGCACGATCTTGGCTCACTGCAACCTCCACCTCCCGGGTTCAAGCAATTCTTCTGCCTCAGCCTCCCGAGTAGCTGGGACTACAGGCACGTGCCACCACACCTAGCTAATTTTTGTATTTTTAGTAGAGACAGGGTTTCACTATGTTGGCCAGGCTGGCCCATGACCATTAAAAATCACAAATATGGAGACTATACTGTTAAGGAAATTAGTATTTGAATTGATAGTAAATGAAAAAGGTAGAATAAAAATAATAGGTACACACTTACAAATATGTGACAAAATATGGCCAGGCCCGGTGACTCACACCTGTAATCCTAGCAGTTTGGGAGGCTGAGGCGGGCGGATCACCTGAGGTCACGAGCTTGAGACCAGCCTGGCCAACATGGCAAAACCCTGTCTCTACTAAAAATACAAAAATTAGCCAGGCATCGTGGCGCATGCCTGTAATTCCAGCTACTCGGGAGGCTGAGGCAGGAGAATCGCTTGAACCTGGGAGGCGGAGGTTACAGTGAGCCAAGATGGTGCTACCGTAGTCTAGCCTGGGCGACAGAGTGAGACTCCATTTAAAAAAAAAAAAAAAGGGACAAAATATGAATACATATGTCACTAATGGGAATACATTTAGGATTGATATCAGTAGCTAAATTGAGTGTTATGGCTTTTGGTATAGAGAATTTAGCATGATAATTAAAACTAATAAATTTAAGACTTTTTTTTTTTCAGACATAAAGGAGTTGCTCCCCGATAGTCCCTGTTATTCTTTCAGGCCTAAGAGGGGATCTTAAAGCTATTTCTGGGTGCACAGGAAGGGGATCTACACTCTGGCCTTTTCCCGGGGGGCTTGCAATTTTTCTCTGTGTTCAGGAAGTGCAGATTGGGCTTTCATTAGGAGAGGATCTAGTTCAGCATTCTTGTCATCACCAGCTGGGGATGAAGAGGCCAAGTTAATGGGAATCTTGGCAAGAATGCTGGGGAAAGGCAGGGACAGCAGAAGTGGCTCCTAGGGGAGCTGTGCAGCTGAAATGAAGTCAAACTGAGGTGGGCCAATCTCATTTAGTTCTGCCAGGTGCACAGAATCTGCTCTGGGAGCATCATACTGTCCCTACTATAGAAGTGCAGGTAGAGCAACACCTCAGATGTGGATCAGGTAAATCCAGGGGACTCTCAGACTAAGGAGGGAGAGGCAGAGCCAGGGCCTGGCCTATAGGAAGGGGTGCTGACAGCAAGTAAAGCAGGTCGCTGGAACCCACAAATTGGCTGGAATATGATTAAAGACTTTCCCCACAACTGGGCACCCGAGCTTGGAGGAGAATGGAGATGCCTTGAGTGTCTGACAGACGCAGGCAGAAGGGGGCCAAGAAACGCTTGTCTTCCCTTCTGGAAGTGTTTGGTGTTTGTGGTAGTTTTAATGACATGTGTCCAGTCTTTGCTACTCCTCCCTTTAGGAGATGAAGCCTCATTCCCTTCCCCTTGAATGTGGCCTGGTCTTAGTGACTTGTTTCTTTTTTATTTTTCTTTTTTTGAGACAGAATCTTGCTCTGTCACCCAGGCTGGAGTGCAGTGGCATAATATTGGCTCACTGCAACCTCTGCTTCCCGGGTTCAAGAGATTCTCCTGCCCCAGCCTCCCAAGTAGCTGGGACTACAGGCACCTGCCACCACACTCAGCTAATTTTTGTATTTTTCATAGAGACAGGGTTTCACTATGTTGACCAGGCTGGTCTCGAGCTCCTGACCTTGGGTGATCTGCCTGCCTCCTCCTCCCAAAATGCTGGGATTACAGATGTGAGCCACTGTGTCCAGTCAGTGAATTGTTTCTAATGAATAGAAGTGATGGAATGTCAGCCTCAAAATTAGGTTATGAAAAGACTGTGGCTTCCACTTTGGAGACTTTCTCTCAGAGCACTCACTCTGGGGGAATCCGACTGCCATGCCATGTGAGCTGCCCTATGAAGTGGCCCATGTGGTGAGGAACTGAACTTTCCTTCTAGCAGCCACAAATGTGAGCTTCTCTAGGACCCTCAGATAAATGCAGCCTTAACCTACAACCACTGTAACTTGAGAGACCCTCAGCCAGAACCATCTAGCTACGTTTCTTGCAGATTCTTGACCCTCAGAAACTGTGATATGTTTGTTGTGTAAGCTGCTAAGTGTTTGGATTATTTGTTATGCAGTTATTATTATTTGTTATACAGATTATTATTAATACAGTGGTGGCCTGGTGCCTGATTATATTGTGAAAATGTCTGGCACTTTGACCTAGTGCTGGGGAACAGCCAAGGTGGGATGGGGCAGCATAAAAATGGCTGAATGCTTATTTCAGACAGCTGAGATGGGGTGGAGATGGGGCAGCTGGAGATGGGGCAGCCACTGACAATCATAGATGGTAAGTGCTCAGTGAGATGTTGTTCTGTGTATACTAATGAGAGATGTCCAGTTCCTTTCTGTGTGGGGAAATGGTGCAGCCAACATCCCAAATAGTTGGTTCCACAGTACCAGGGCCCAGGGCTAGTAACCCCAAAGCGTGGTGCATGATTTTCAAAGCCAAGGGAAGAATTGTAGTTTAGGCTGGAGGGAACACTGAGCCAGAATAGCAAGTCCAGAACAGGTTGTGAATTGAGGGGAGTCTAAGGAAGTTGAATCTGGAGGCAAAGCTGAGCTAAAGGACCAGCGATGCTAGTGTGAGGGTCATAGTAGCCCAGAAAGAGGGAATAATCCAGGAAGACCTGGATTCCTTCCACAGATGTGGGAGCAGATGTAAGTGTCACATACCAGGAGGGAGCAGATGTCAGTGTCACATACCAGGAGAAAGGCTCTTACAATTTCTGACTCAAGCTTCTGTGGACACTGGATCCACTCCAGCTAGGACACGTTGGGGAATGGAACCTGGCTTTTCTTTCAATGACTTGAAGAGGCTTAAGATTGGTTATTGAGTCTGCATTGATAATCCATTTTCATTTCTTCCCTCCCCTTCAAACATTGTTCATTCACTGGCCTTAGAAGGGGTGAGGATCTATAATGAGGTCTCCATTGGTTGCATCATTTTCTGCAATCTTAAAATAGATCACATGTCTCTAGGCCAGTCTTGGCTCTGGTTGCTGTTGAGGGTCTGATGGTCCTTCCTGGGAAGCTTTCATCTGGATATGGTGAACATCTCTAGAGGGCCTAGCAGCTGGTGCTAAAATACATGTTCAAGGGTCTGCTAATTTTCTATCGACTGAATGTTGCATAGCCCTCTCAGCAGAATGACATTTCACAGCTTTCAGCTGACATAAATCATTGACCTTAAGAGCCTCAGGGTTCAGTACCTAATCCATCAGGCTAGCCAGGCACTTGAAGCACTTTAAGACTTTGAATAGAAATAGACCCAAAGACATGCTGTCCCCAAAAGCCATTCCATTCCAGCATGATTAAATGTCTGTGCTCCCAGAAGTTTTCTATGATAGTTTAGAAGATTGGCATGAATATAACCAAACTTTTTTTTTTTTTTTTTTTTTTTTTTTTTTGCGTGTGTGTTCAGGCAGCAAAATCTTGATGGAGATGAATTTGTGCCATTGCAACTTTCTGGGGATATCTTTCAGATGCAAACTCTTTGTCTTAGCTAAGCTGCCATTTGGCCATTTTATCCCCCAGAGGAAGGATTTAGAGCTCTGAGATCAAAAGCCCACATTTGAAAATAACTGTACTTTGTGTTTTAGTCAAGTTTGCCAGTAAGGAGATGCAGTGCAAACTAGGAGAGGTGAGCCAATTGGCACCTTTAGCTCATCTGTCTCTTGGTTCCATTCTGTGCTAAGCTCCCCAGAGACATTCTCTGCTTAGAAAACAATCCCCTATCCCTTCTGGTACAGTTGAACAGTGCAGCCAATCTCTGAAATGAAAATTATTTTG
The DNA here is from genome assembly GCF_000001405.40 of Homo sapiens. Taxonomy (NCBI): domain Eukaryota; kingdom Metazoa; phylum Chordata; class Mammalia; order Primates; family Hominidae; genus Homo; species Homo sapiens. Next base: position 104,298,775 of record NC_000023.11, read on the forward strand.
TAAGTTGTCTGTAAGGTTAAAGTTCAGTTAACTATACTGCCTAAGTGGATTTGCACAGTCAGCTTACCAGCTGATATGGTGTGGCAAAAAAGATGGCTAATTAATCACCAAGAAATTAATATTTCCCATCTCTGTGGAGTTGTCACTGGGATTACATTTCTGATCTCCCCTTACATCTAGGTGGTGCCATGTGACTAATACTTGCTGATGGAACATGAGCAGAAGCAATTTGTGTCACTTTTAAAAGCAGGTGTTCATTTTATACCCTCCCATTTGATTTCTTGATGCAGACAACCATAGTAACCTTGGAATTCAGTGTGTTGAAGATGGAAGAGCTACAAGAGGTAAGGAACCTGGGTTCTTATATTTCCATCTGAAAAGTTATTTGCTGACCAGGAGTGCCCAAACTAGACTGTTAGGTGAACAGGAAGTGCATTTCTATTGTGTTAAGTCACTCGGTTTCTTTGTTACAGCGGCTAGCATTACCCTAACCAACATACATGGAATTTTGATATTCTTGAGTAAAACGGGATTTGAAAGGGCTATGATTGGGTAAGCTATACACTTGGCTAAACTGAAGTTTTGAACTGAATGGCAATAAGGTATATAAAATTTATCCTGAATATTTTACTGCTCCCTCCTTTCCCTAGTTCATTTATGCATTCCACAAAAATGTATTGGAGGCATACAATATGCCAGGTACTATGCTAAGTATGCACTGGAGATACAATAGTGAGCAAAACAGACTTGATTCCTGTTCTCATGAACCTTAAAATCTATAGGAGAGAGATGATGAGTTCCCGAGTTCAGGCGGGGGACTAGAGAGGGAGGGGATGGAGTAGAATAGTGATTCTCTAACCTGGTCATTGGACTATCAGCCATCTGATCACCTGGAAAGCTTATAAAAAATAGGAGGTTTCAGATTCTGTCCCTACAAAATCTGAGTCAAGAGGATTGGGGTGGAATCCAAGCAACCAAGCATTGGTTGAGATTTAGAAGGTAGAGTTGAGAGGACTTTAATGACTGATAGGCAAAGGAGAAGGAATATTTGGTGTTCGAATATGAATTTCTGGCTTGAACCACTGATTTGGAGGTGGTGGTATGTGCTTGAGATAGGCAACACAGGAAGAAGAGCAGATTTCTGTTGAGGTGGAATAATAAGTTGAGCTTTGGATGTAATGACTTTGAAGTGCTCATGCACTATCCAGGTAGAGATGTATATTTGGTTGTGTATGATGGGAGTAGAGAGTGAGACTGTTGGGAGGAAAGGAGACCAACAGAATTGATCCTGGTAAGGTATGAAATCAGATGCAGTCCTTTCTCTCAAGAAGCTCACAGTTGAGTGATGCTGCCTAAGGCTGATCTCAAGAAAGTACTGGGTGGTGCACCGCTATTCTGTCTCTCTACACACAACATTTTGGGATGCTGAAAACAATGGAAACAGTGGGGGAATATTTAAAAAAAATATTTTTCCTGGGACCTTTAAGCTCAGCCAGGAAAATGGCACTTCTCCTATTCATTTGTCCAGGTCCAGTCCCTCCTTTCCACTGTTATCCCTGACACCTTGCTCTCATTATGACTGGCCATCTAATTCCTGGCATTGTTTCTGTTTGTATAAATATCTACACTCGTCCTCACAGGTTTTCATGATCTCTTCTGGATTCTTTTCTTGGCTTATTAGACCCAGCTTCCAACCTAATTCTCAGCGCTGCTTTCTCACTGGAGTGTGGCATCTCTTGATGTTTTGGGTAAGAGGGTCTACCAGCAAAGGTTTCCCTGGACTCTTACAAGGCAACTGGAGTTGAATGGAGCTGATGTATGGGGAAGCACTACCGATGTGTATACTATTATTCTGATTTGCTGCAAAGGGACTTATAAGGTCCAAAGTGGGCACAATTCTCTCCTTTCAAGTCTTTATGTCTTTGTGTCATCTGTGAATAAGTTTTCTTGAAAAGCAAATCTCTTCTATCTTGTGTTAGTGAACTCACATAAAAAAATGAAAACTTCTGATGAAAATCAACAGAGAAAGCTTCAAAGAGAAAAGGAATTCAGTGACTTCCTTTTCAGAGCCAAGCTCAAATTTGAAATTTTCTCTATCTGGCTGCACCTTCAGCTAAATGCGCTTCAGACCTAATATATCTGAGCATAATTATCTGGACTGATATAAATTTGCTGTACCCAGCACTTTTAAGCATTGATGCTGTCAGCTTTAAAGCACCTACTCAGAGTTCTGAGTGGTTTCTGTTTGGACTCAACTTTGAGATCCAATGAGTGATTTAGGTGAAAGAGCACCACTAGGCTGAAAAAAAAGGGAAATAACTTTTTTTGAACTCTTATGAGCTAAGTCCTGTATTTTGGGCTGTATATGTGTTATTTTCTTTAGGGCCCTGTCAACAATTTTGTTATCCCTAACTTACAGATGACAAAACTGAAGATCAGAGAAATGAAGAAACATGCAAGGGCACACAGCTCATAAGTAGTAAATGAGGTGTTAAAATCCTGGTCTATTGGTTTCAGAGCCTTTGTGCACTTTACATTAGATTAGTAAGGCCAAAATTCAGTCATTTGTAATTTAGGTACTACCTCTAATATCCTATGTGATTTTTTTCTTTTAATCATCTGTTAAATTAAAAACTTTAGCCTTTCCTTAAGCAAAGATGTCTTGAAAATCGGGTTTGGGGTGTGTGTGTACATTATTCATCTGGGTGTCGTTTCAGATCAACTCATGTACTACTAATGGAACACATGTCATTCTTTGGAAATGCTGCAGTTTACCATTAGTGGAAGTGGAAGGGAAAAGGGAAGGCAGGTAGGTGCATTCTATTAGCCTTCCACAAATCAACCACAATTTTTTTTTTTTGAGACGGAGTCTCACTCTATCGCCCAGGCTGGAGTGCAGTGGCGTGATCTCCGCTCACTGCAACCTCTGCCTCCCAGGTTCAAGCAATTCTCTGCCTCAGCCTCCCGAGTAGCTGGGATTACAGGGGCCTGCCACCACGCCCAGCTAATTTTTGTATTTTTAGTAGAGATGGGGTTTCACTGTCTTGGCCGGGCTGGTCTTGAACTCCTGACCTCGTCATCCACCCGCCTTGGCCTCCCAAAATGCTGGGATACCAAGTCTCCACAGCTCACAGCATTGGGAAGCTCTGCTATAATCTACCATTGGACTGGCTTTTAGGAAGAAAAACAATCCACTTTGATAAAATCCATTTAAGTACTGTACGTGTTTGTGTGTGTGCATGTGTGTGTGTGATGCTAATTATGTCCTTGTTTTCATTTGATTTCTAGCAACAAGTCTTCGTCAGTTGATGACATCACTCGTCACTCAGGTAAATGTAACCTTAGGACACATCTTTGAGTCCCCTTTTTTTACTCATATTCTTTTATTATAGAAATTATGGAGTTGCTGTGCCATCCCATTCAGGGTCTTAAGATTATTCATGTAAGTGTATGCATGACAATGCAACATAAAACAGTTTTGATAGTTAAAATAAATTACTAGCAAAGAGTGTTTGAAACTAGCATGCACTGATACCTGAGACATTCCCTAACTCGTCTCTGCTTTCACGCCATTTCCTAAGTGTCCCTGTTGAAGCCCAAATGCTACCAGCAGTGTACGTGCTCATTCAGAGTCTTCTTGTGCCTTCCTCCTGGCTTTGAGTCCCTGGAGATCAGTTTTAGCTTCAGAATTCAAGATATGTAGGCATACATTTCCCACTCTGGGCTGCCAGTTGACTTCTGTTTGGAATCTCTTTCCTGTATGTATGGCCCGTTAAACACCATCACCTACTACCCTACCTCATTTTGCTCTGTCTTGTAGCCATCTATGATCTGGACACACTTAATGGGCACAATATTACAACTTGGGACACCACTGGCCTTAGCTCAGTTAATTTGCTGCAGTGCCAGCCTGGCAAGGGCCAAGACCTGGAACTAGATCTAAACACTAGTGGCTACACTAGAAGGGTGTGGTTGAGAGGGGGAAGCAAGTACAGTTAGCAGGTCCAGGTAATGGTCCAGGCAAACAGTTGGTGGTGAGAATGAATATATTCCAAACATACCTTCAGTTCAGGCCTCTTTTCTGAGCTCCATCCACCTCCCCAAGTCTTTTCAATTTTGCCTTCTATATGACCTCTCAAATTTTTCCTTTTTTTTCTCCATCCTCACTGTTGTCAGTTTAGACCCAGACACCAACAGCGTCACCTGGATGACTGCAGTAGCCACCTAAGTAGTTCCTTTACCTCCACTCTTGCCTCCCTTCAGTCCACTTTCCTTATAGCAGCCCAAGTCAATCAAATAATGTCTTCACCATCTCCGTCTCCCCTTCAGATTAAAATCCTGCAGAAGCTTCCATTGCCCTTAGGATAGAGTCGGTCCTTCCTACGGTCTGCAAGGGCCTGAATGGTTGGCTTTGTTCCCTGCCTACATTTTTAAAAAATTTTATTTATTTATTTATTTATTTATTTATTTATTTATTTATGTGAGACAGAGTCCCACTCTTGTCACCCAGGCTGGAGTGCAATGGCGCGATCTTGGCTCACTGTAACCTCTGCCTCCTGGGTTCAAGCAATTCTCTTGCCTCAGCCTCCTGAGTAGCTGGGATTACAGGCGTGTGCCACCATGCCCAGCTAATTTTTGTATTTTTAGTAGAGACAGGGTTTCGCCATGTTGGCCAGGCTGGTCATGAACTCCTGACCTCAGGTGATCCGCCCGCCTTGACCTCCCAAAGTGCTGGGATTACAGGAGTGAACCACTGCACCTAGCCACCCTGCCTACATCTTTAGCCTCATTTCATAGCACTTTGCCCACCACTTGGGCTGCCCAGTTTTCAGTAAATGAAACTGCAGTTCTAGTTTAATTAGGTTGTTAATTAAGAATTCTATGAAATGCAGCATACGATGACTTGCAAGCTAATTCAGAAACCTGTCGTCTTAAGATGATAGATGGAGATACCGGGGGATGGTACTGACTAATGCTGGGTTGACTGTTTTATTAAATTGTTTGTCATGAGAATAAGGATTTCTAGAACCCATGTAACAATACTACGTACTACTTGACATTTAGATTGGGCTTTTATCTTTTTTTTTTTCCAAAACATATGCATAGTGTTGTTCTCACTACATCTGGGTAAGGTGTGTAGTGCAGATATTTATATTTCTTGCTGACAGAGCAACTGAAACCCAGAGTAGTAAGATGAATGTCATGTAGCAAGTCAGGGCCCATCTATAGTCCAAAAGCATGGAGAAATAATAATACATAACAATAATAGTATTAGTAGATACCACTTGCAAAGCCCTTACAATGTGCGAGACACTGTCACATAGGTTGCTATGTCTACTTCAAAGGTGAGGAAACTGAAGCTTAGAGATGTCACTTAGGTAGTCAGTGCTACTTTCACAACATATCTAGAATCCGTCTGGTTTTCTTTTTTTTTTTTCTTTTCTTTTTCCTTTTTTTTTTTTTTTTTTCAGATGGAATCTTGCTCTGTCACCCAGGCTGGACTGCAGTGGTGCAATCTTGGCTCACTGCAACCTCTGCATCCTGGGTCCAAGCGATTCTCCTGCCTCAGCCTCCCAAGTAGCTGGGACTACAGGCATGCACCACCACACCCAGCTAATTTTTGTATTTTTAGTAGAGATGGGGTTTCACCATGTTGGCCAGGCTGGTCTTGAATTCCTGACCTCAAGTGATTGACGCACCTCGGCCTCCCAAAGTGCTAGGATTACAAGCTTGAGCCACTGTGCCTGGCCTTTTTTTTTTTTTTTTTTTTTTTTTTTAGACAGGGTCTCACTCTGTTGCCCAAGCTGGAGTGCAGTGATGCAATCATGGTTCACTGCACCCTCATCCTCCCTGGGCTCAAGGAATTCTCCCACCTCAGCTTTCTGAGCAGCTGGTACTACAGGCACGTGCCACCACACCTGGTTACCATCTGGTTTTCAAGTCATTTCTAGTCTCCTACTGCTTTTGTTCTGCCAGGACCCTAAGTTATCAAAAACACAGAGAGTTCACCACTAGCAAAGGCAGGGTCTTCACTAATTGTTTTGGTTTCCAAACTCCTGTACTATATGACTCTGGGAGAGCTGCCCTCAACCATTGATTTGCCTTGAGAACTCTTCTCTTTCTTTAGCATGGAGCCCCTACTGGAGACAGGCTACTCTAGGCCTCTTTTTCCCTCCAGTGTTCTCCTGGTCCCATTTGTTTAACCTTTTGTTCCTACTATTCCAAAATGGCAGAAGGGAAGAGAGACAATGAGAGAGAGAGAGAGAGAGAGAGAGAGAGAGACAGAGATATTGTCCTAAAGATTTAGAGAAGAGCAAATGTAAGTCACTCATGCTTTGCCTCCTTGAACTCTACCCTCTTCCTCTTGGCCTTCCAAAGGCCTCCAGCAGGAGGATTGTCTAAGCCTGATCTTCTATATCAACCATAAGGGGATACTACTAACATAGTCCCATTTTGTGGTGCTCAGGACACCTTGATCAATATGCAGAGTTCTCCTTGGTATGGGAAAAAGTAGCCTCGAGTGTCCCTAGAAGTTAGAATGTTTGACCCACAGTCAGCACCGGGCGTGCCATACAATAGGTAGCAATGCATCAGTTACTGAGTTGCAAATCAGGCAAAAGCCCCATCCTTGGATGGGTCTGCAATCAGTCAAGCAGGACTTCTTTTATAGATGATCAGGATGTTAGATTCTAAGAAACAGGAGTTGAGACTAAGATGGAAACTGATTTCTCAGTGCAGCTTGCTTTGCAAATACCCAGGCTATTTATGAGGGAAGCTCTTTAAGTCCTTGCTTTTAGTCAGGATAGATCCTTTAAATAGAAGTAGGACCGAGCCTGCAAGTGTAAAGTAGAGAGACTGAGAAGCACATAGGGCCCAGTACATGATGTTGGATAAACTCCGAGCTGGCTTTGTCTTCTGCCCAGAATCTCCTCTGTGATTCTTAAAGTGAATCTCTAAGGGTGGTCCCAGGACCTTTGGCATCAGCATCACCTGGGAACTGGTTAGAAATGCAAATTATCTGGTGCTACCTGAGATGTAGTGAATCAGAAACCCCGGGATAGGGACACAGCAACCTGTGCCATGCCGTGGCCTCCAGGGGATGCTGAGGCCCACTCGATTTTGAGAACCACTGCTCTATGATGCCCTGATGGCCAGGGCATGCCTTCACACTGCCGTCATTTTATCTGAACCAAAATTCTTATGTGCCACAAGCTTTTGATTTTTAGTGACTGTATAGCTCTTGTTTATTCTGGTCCCCTGTCTGCTGACCCTGCCTCTGCGGCTGTCCAGAGTGACAAAAATCATACTCAGACTCTCTTGCCTGATGCTAGTACAATCGGTTTAGAGTTAAAACATGACCTCAAATCTCCTATGTGTATACAGACTCAAATCATGAGGATGGCATAGTGCTGAAGAGCGCTAGTTTTGGGGGCACGCATATCTGGGTTCATATTCAGGCTCTACCTCTTAACTAGATCTCTCTCGTGGATGCTGTAAACCTCCATTTCTTCATCGGAAAAGTGGAGATAACATCAACCTCGCAGCATTGTTGTAAGGACTAAAAGAGACAGTGTACGTGAAGTGCAGAGTATCTGGCATTCAACAAGTGCTCCCTAATGGCAGTCGGATTGGACGGCTTATTTTCCCTTTTCAGTTCTCATGGCACTGTGTAGTTGTACTGTAACTTTAGGGGGTTGCTTTTCCTCATTTGTTTTACCATGAAAAATATTTTCTTTTCCCCTTTGGAGAAGAGAAGTGGCACACACACCACTGAGGATCACTGTGAAGGTGGAGAGGCGTTGTAGAAGATTGGTTAAATGCCCGGGCTCTGGGGCCAGATTGCATGAGATAACATCTTTTTTTTTGGGATGGAGTCTTGCTCTGTTGCCCAGGCTGGAGTGCAGTGGCACAATCTCTGCTCACTGCAACCTCCGCCTCCCGTGTTCAAGCGATTCTCCCTCCTCAGCCTCCTGAGTAGCTGGGATTACAGGTGTGCACCACCACGCCAAGCTAATTTTTGTATTTTTAGTAGAGAGGGGGTTTCACCACGTTGGCCAGGCTGTTCTCAAACTCCTGCCCTCAAGTGATTCGCCTGCCTCAGCCTCCCAAAGTGCTGGGATTACATGTGTGAGCCACCACATTGGGCCCAGAATGCATGAGATTGAACCCTCATTTCGGATTCAAAATCAGGATCACACACTTACTAGCTGTGTGATCCTGCATAGGTTACCACTCTGAGCCTGTTTTCCCATTTGGAAAATGGAGATAATAGTAATACCTACCTTAATACAAAGATTTAATGAATTAATATATGTAAAAAGCTTGAAATAGTGCCTGACACATTTGATTTTGAAACTGTTGAAAAGCATTGCATGGGCAGAATTTCCACAAGAAGAGAATTTTGTGGGAGTTGGGGGGAACTTCTATAAACAGTGCCTAAAATCCAGCCCCAGTATCTAAGGAACATCCTGAATGAGCGCCTGAATGAATCGTGTATGTTTTGGCATTGTGTATGTCCAGCTCTCTGTTTAGCATGGTTCAGGATAATTTGCTTTGATAAAACATAGTAAAACTTTGATAAAAACCAGTAAAGAAATAATGAACGTCTACCGATAGACATTCAGTTTAATGCTAGAGCCTGTAGTACTACAGACGAAGAGGAAATGCTCCCTACCCTTGGGGAACCTACATTCTAGCTGGACAGATGAGATTAACAGCATGAAACATTACAAAAGAATACAAGAGAGTATTAAGTGCTAAACGGTGTGGCAGGGATGACAAGTGCTGCAAGAATTCAGAGAAGAAGCGGGGGAGTGAGACTGAAGAGAGGATAGACTTCTTAGAGGTGATGTTTTGAGCTGGGCTTTTGAGGATGGGGAAGATCTGGCAGGTTAGAGGAAAGGGTAAGTGACAGGTGCTTATCACATTCTAAAATGACTCATTAAGGATTTTTAAAAAAATAGTTGGCACTCCTAGGGTGCTTAATATCAGATTCACTTTATACAGCTCTGTTTATGTGCCAACATTTTAAATCACACTGGACTGGGAGAGAAAGATCTGGGCGTTTGTTTCATCCTACCACTAAGTGGTTGTGTCCCCTCATTCAAATTTTCTTCTATTTTCTAGGCCTCTGTTTCCTCATCTATAAAGTTAGAGGCCTGAACTCAGTGACCTCTAAGATCCTTTTCTACTCTGAGTAGAGTTATACTAATAGCTAATGTTTACTGAGTGCTTACTTTGGGCCAGGCACTATAAGCTCTGTATGTAGTTGACCCTTGAACGACATGGGTTTGAACTGCACTGGTTGACATGGATTTTCTTTCACCTCTTTCACCCCTGAGACTGCAAGATAAACCCTTGCCTTCCTCCTTCTCAGCCTACTCATCATGAAGACAGGACGGATAAAAACCTTTATGATGATCCCCTTCCACTTAATGAATAGTAAATATATTTTTTCTTCCTTATAATTTTCTTTCTTCTTTCTTTTCTTTTCTTTCTTTCTTTCTTTCTTTCTTTCTTTCTTTCTTTCTTTCTTTCTTTCTTTCTTTTTCTTTCTTTCCTTCCTTCCTTCCTTTTTTTTTTTTTTTTTTTTGGCAGGATTTCACTCTGTCACCCAGGCTAGAGTGCAGTGCCATCATGGCTCACTGCAGCTTCCATCTCCTGGGCTCAAGTGATCCTCCCACCTCAGTCTCCTGAGTAGTTTGGACTACAGGCACCTGCCACCACACCTGGCTGATTTTTTTTTTTTTAATTTTTAGTAGAGACGAAGTCTTTCTATGTTGCCCAGGCTGGTTTTGGACTCCTGAGCTCACGAAATCCTCCCACCTTGGTCTCCCAAAGTTCTGGGATTACAGGCATGAGCCACCATGCCCAGCCATGATTTTCTTGATAACACTGTCTTTTCTCTAGCTTACTTTATTATAAGAATACAGTATAGGCGGGGTGCAGTGGCTCATGCCTGTAATTCTAGCACTTTGGGACTCTGAGGGAGGCAGATCACTTGAGATCAGGAGTTCGAGACCAGCCTGAGCAACATGGTGAAACCCTGTCTCTACTAAAAATACAAAAATTAGCTAGGCATGGTGGCGGATGCCTGTAATCCAAGCTACTTCGGAGGTTGAGGCACGAGAATCGCTTGAACCCGGGAGGTGGAGGTTGCAGTGAGCTGAGATGGCACCACTGCACTCCAGTCCGGGCGACAGAGTGAGACTGTGTCTCAAAAAAAAAAAAAAAAAGAATACAGTATATAATGTAATATACAAAATATATGTTAATCAACTTTATGTTATCAGTAAGACTTTTGGTCAACAGTAGGCTATTTGTTAAGGTTTGCGAGAGTCAAAACTTATACATGGATTTTTGACTGTTGGGGGCGGGCACCCCTAACCCCTGTGTTGTTCAGCTGTAATGTGTCCAAGATTCGTCATGCAAGGGGGCCACAGACGCAAACCACTAGTAGCACAAAGTGCAGGTATAGCAGGGGGTTTCTATGTGGGTGGTATTTACAAACAAAGAAGCAGCAGAGTGCATGCAGTCCTTGGAACACTACTCCACAGTACACGTCAGATAGAGATGTTCTGTATGCCCTGTGACCAAGGTTCCAGCAGGGGCAGTGTCTTCCCGGGCCAGCACACTAGATTTGGGAGAAAGCACTCCATGAGCGAGATTGAATCCTGTCCCCAACTTGTATTATATATTTAGTTTAGCCTAAGAGGGACTAGGGGACATCTAGTTTTTTTTTAAGGGACAGGAGCTGTATCAAGGGATTCTCCATCCCAGGGACCATTAGGGAACAGGCCTATGGAGGGCCAGGATCTGCATAACTTAAGGCCCTAGGAACAGCCTTGCCTACCAGGAACGGTGGCGTTAGCCAAAGGCCTTTTTATATCTTGAAGACAGGCTCAGTGCTGCTGAGCCAGCTCTCTGCGAAACTACCAAAAAGGAGGAGGAAATGAGCCAACAGGGTCATCTGGATATGTCTCCTGTCAAGGATAGCCAGCAGAGCTGGAATCAAGCTCAAGCAGTGTGGCGCCAGAGCGCACACTCTTAACCAATGACCTGGCAGTGCCAATTCTTACACTCCTGCTAAGCATATTGATAGTAGTATAACATAAAGAGAGCAGGTTAACTTTCAAGCCAATAAAACCTGTGTTTGAATCCTGGCTGTTCCACTTATTAGATGTGAAGCTTTGGATGAATTATTTAATCTCCCAAAGCTTCAGTTTCCTTATCTGTGTAACCGCCAAAAACAGCCCCTACTTCCCAGGTTCACTCTGAGGATCAGGGAGATAATCAATGTAAAGTGGTTAGTGTTGTGCCTGGCATATAGGCATTGCTTGAAAAATTCCTATTACTGGCCTACCTTCCAGAAATGCTGAATTCTCAGATAATCCACAAGATGTCCCCCTTTCAATAGCAAGTTCCATAGCACTGCTATGTGTATAAATACGTATATCCGAGGATCTGAGTTCTTGAAAAATGACTTTCACGTCCACGCCTGCCTGTGCAAAAACATATATTGAACCATGTGCCCAGGAGGAAATCATAGTTGGCTTTGCAGCCGATGCACATATGGCTCTCGAGGCAGTTCTAAGGCGAGCCGGTTGCTTTCCAGGCTGCGTGTGGGCGGCGACTACATCCCTACAGTACAGCCAAAGCATGATGCAGTGGAAGGAGTTTGAGGATCTGTAATTATGTTCCTTTCCCAAGTCCGGAGGGAAGTATATAGCTCTTGAGGAGTGTGTGTGTGTGAGCATGTGCGTGTGTGTTTGAGAGAGTGTGTGCGCAGGGGTCTTTGTGCTCATGTGCATAGTGGGGGCAGAGCCTCCCCCCTGAAAATTTTGCACTAGACATGAAAGCATCCTTTCACTTCCTGCTATTTTGTGGGTTTTATTTTTGATAGGTCCTTGTGGTATAGGACAAAAGTTCAGAAAGATACTCAGCTGTTTGTGCAGAACAGATAATACCAGACCTAGAATAATTATGTGTATTCAGGACGATGGAACAATAAGAAATCTAAGTGTGGAGGCTGCCTTTGCAGCAGGAGCAATATAGCTATAGAGTTATTTATTTATTTATTTGTTTGTTTGTTTATTTATTTATTTATTTATTTATTGTAGCCACTTGAAAAATTGTTTTCTCCTTGTCAACACAGGGAGAAAGAAAACAGAACAGCTGTTTTTGATTCTTTCTTCCCTTCCACTCAGCTCATTTGCATACTGAGTAAAGGGCCTACAGCCTGGCAACTATTTTGCCCATTAGTCTATTGTACAAGGGTTTGTGTCTCCTAAAGATAATTTCCTTTGTTGTTTCTGAATGAAGGATGAGAGTGTCTCAGCTGCTATTGCTGCATTGCATTGCTTTGTTCAGGGAAGAGGAAGAGAAAACGGCCTTTTTTTTTTTTTTTTTTTTTGCAAACTCCCTGGTATTCTGGATATTTTAGGCAAAGCTCTTGCCTCTGTTTGGGGCAGAGCAGGTCTGGGTTGGGACTGCTGAAAGATCTTTCTGCCCCAGAGAAACTCAGAAATTGGAACTCACAAGAAAGGTCTTCAGCAGCCTCAAAGCACTCCTCTCTTCCCAGGGGCCCATTGCCCTTACACCGCCTCCACACTGCCCCAGTTGTTTTTATCTACATTAGACCTTTCTGGACAACACTCCAAGATCTAGATTTTTCTCAGATCACCTTCCTTTGCCTGATTTCTGTTCCTCAGTGTCTCTTCTCTCTTTCCAAAGGTTGTCCTTGGCTTCCTTTCCTTTCCTTCGTCTTTCTGTCTCTCTCTCTTTCTTTCTCTCTTTCTTTCTTTGTTTTTTTTTTTTTTTTTTGAGACAGAGTCTTGCTCTGTTACCCAGGCTGGAGTGCAGTGGTATGATCTCGGCTCACTGCAGCCTCTGCTTCCTGGGTTCAAGCGATTCTCGTGCCTCAGCCTCCAGAGTAGCTGGAGTTACAGTCATGTGCCACCACGCCCAGCTAACTTTTGTATTTCTAGTGGAGACGGGTTTTCACCATGTTGGCCGGGCTGGTCTTGAACTCCTGACCTCAGGTGATTCAACCCCCTTGGCCTCCCAAAATGCTGAGATTACAGGCGTGAGCCACCACACCCGGCCTGGCTTCATTCCTGTTTGTTTTTGTTTTTTCTGAGATAGACTCGATGCGATGCCCAGGCTGGAGTGTAATGGCGCGATCTCAGCTCACTGCAACCTCCACTTCCCGGGTTTAAGCTATTCTTCTGCCTCAGCCTCCCGAGTAGCTGGGATTACAGGCGTGGGCCACCACACCATGCCCAACTAATTTTTGTATTTTTAGTAGAGATGGGGTTTCACCATATCAACTGGGTTCAAGCGATTCTCGTGTCTCAGCCTCCAGAGTAGCTGGGGTTACAGTCATGCGCCACCACGTCCAGCTAATTTTTGTATTTTTAGTGGAGACGGGGTTTCACCATGTTGGCCAGGCTGGTCTCAAACTCCTGATCTCAGGTATTCTGCCCACCTTGGCCTCCCAAAGTGCTGGGACTGCAGGTGTGAGCCACCATGCCTGGCCCTGGCTTCATTTCTGAATGTACAATTCTGAATGTATGTGGCAGTGTAGCAGGGCGTATGTATTGCCTCTTCCTGGACTGTCACTTTTTCTTGGTGGCAACTAACTTGAACATACCCTGGAGTAGAATGCAAAATGTCCTCAAATCTCTAAGATAAAATAATAGCTAACATCCATCAAATGCTTACTATGTATCAGGTTCTATTCAAAGAGCTTACTACATAGTAAATGATTTAATCTTTGCAACAACCCTAAGAGGTTTTATCCACATTTTGTGGATGGAAAACTAAGGCACAGTGAGGTTAAATGACTTGCCCAAGGGCAAAGAGCTGAGTACATGGCAGTCCACACTCTTAGCTACAACGCTCAATTTCCTGTCCAGGACACATTGGGCTGGGTCCCCAGACCTCCTAGGGAATTTCCTCTGCTATTCGGAGAAGGGTAGCTCTTCTCTTTAATGAATTTATACTTTGACCTGGACCTTTGATTTCAGTAACTTTCTCTCAAAGGAATAATTCTGGTATTGGGTTTGGGGGCCAGCGACAGGTTAGTGGAGTAGCTAACTTGAAATTAGGGTTCTTTTTTGTGTCCTCAGGTCAAATCAGACCAGAGGTTAGTCACCTTCTCTGTTTATTCATTAGATCAGGAATATAAATGGGCATAGCAGGTATGAGTTTTTAGTCCACATCACCAAGCGCAATGCTATGGACTGAAATGTGTCCCTTCCCACCCCCCACCCCCATTCATATGTTGAAGCCCTAACCTCCAATGTGACTATATTTGGAGATAAAATATTTAGAACAGAATTACAGTTAAATGAAGTAATGTTTGGACCCCTGATCCAATAGAATTAATGTCCTTATAAGAAGAAGCACCAGAGAGCATGGGAGCACCTTTCTCTTTGTCTTCCTTCCTCCCTCTCTGTGCCTCCCTCCTTCCTTTCCTCCCCAGCCCCACTTTCCCCTCCTTTTCCTCCCTTCACCTTCCTCCCTCTTTGTCCCCCTTTTCTTCCCCTCCCTCTTCTTTCTCCCTCTCTCCCCCTCTTTCTCTCTGTGTCTGTGCACAAAGAAGAGGTCATGTGAGCACATAGCAAGATGGTGGCTGCCCGCAAGCCAAGAGAAGAAGCCTCAGAATGAAACCTACCTTGCCAGCACCTTGATCTTGGTTGGACTTCTCAGCCTCTAGAACTGTGAGAAATAAATTGAAGTTGCTCAAATGATCCTCCCACCTCAGCCTCCCAAGTAGCTGGGACTACAGGCGTGCACCACCACACCTGGCTAATTCTTAAAATTCTTTGCAGAGACAGGGCCTCTCTATGTTGTCTGTGCTGATCTTGGACTCCTAGACTCAAGCGATCCTCCGGCCTCGGCCTCCCAAAGTGCTGGATTACAGGCGTGAGCCACTGTGCCCGGTCTCTGTCTCACTCTGTCACCCAGTGATGCAATCACGGCTCACTGCAACGGCCGCCTCCTGAGGCCAGGTGATTTTCCCACCTCAGCCTCCTGAGTAGCTGAGACTACAGGTGCACACCAGCCACCACGCCCCAGCTATTTTTTTTTCTTTTTGAGACAGAGTCTTGCTCTGTCTTGATCTTGGCTCACTGCAATCTCTGCCTCCCAGGTTCAAGTGATTCTCCTGCCTCAGCCTCTTGAGTAGCTGGAATTACAGGCACCCGCCACCACGCCCGGCTAATTAGTAGAGACAGGGTTTCACCATGTTGGCCAGGCTGGTCTTGAACTCCTGACCTTAGGTGATCCACCCGCCTTGGCCTCCCAAAGTGCTAGGATTACAGGCTTGAGCCACTGAGCCTGGCTAATTTTTTTTTTTTTTTTTTGTAGAGTCTGGGTTTTGCTGTGTTACCGAGGCTGGTCTCAAACTCCTGGACCCAAATGGCCTGCCTGCCTTGGCCTCCCAAAGCGTTGGGATTACAGGCGTGACCCACCTTGCCCTGCCTGTTTCTTTCTTTATTTTTTTCTTTCTTTTCTTTTTCTTTTTTTTTTTGAGACAGAGTCTTGCTGTGTCACCCGGGCTGGAGTGCAGTGGTGCGATCTCAGCTCACTGCAACCTCCGCCTCCTGGGTTCAAGCTACTCTCCTGCCTCAACCTCCCAAGTAGCTGGGATTACAGGCGCTCGCCACCATGCCTGGATAATTTTTGTATTTTCAGTAGAGACGGGGTTTCTCCAAGTTGGCCAGGCTGGTTTTGAACTCCTGACCTCAGGTGATCCGCCTGCCTCGGCCTCCCAAAGTGCTGGGATTACAGGCGTGAGCCACTGCGCCTGGCCCTGTTTCTTTATTTCTATAAATTAAATAGAGTCTTTTCAGAGCCCCCAACATGGTATATGGACAGGGAATTACATCTCTGTTATTTTGAGGGTTTCCTACAATCTCCCGGGAGATCACTAAAGAGTCCTGGGCTTTTTTTGTGCCAGAAAATCAGGAGAGGGCCAGATCCTTAGTTCTTAGTGGTTTCATCTTTTCTCTTGCTCCTTGGTCTCCCAGAGGCGGCCATCATGTGCAGGTCCTTATCAATTGCCTTTGGCACTGCTGCTCCAAGTGGGTCCAGAGATACCTCTCACTCAGGTCTTCCTTTTGATTGCTTACCTGTCGGGGGTGCTGTACCTGCATGGGGTGCACCGGTTTTACTACTCAGTTCTCTGACCCCTCCCAGTCTCAGCAGAAGGAAGGGCAAGCTGTCTCGAGCCCTTCTCTCTGTGTAATGATACTCAAAGCCCTTCTCTCTGTGTGAATACAGTATAATCCCCTTCATTAATACTTCAGACCAGGGGTTGATAGCTTTTTTTCTGGAAAGGCCTCCAGCTATTTTAGGTTTGTAGACTATATGGCCTCTGTTGCAAATATTCACCTCAGCTAGAAAGGAGCCATAGACTATAAGTAAATGAACAGGTATGTCTGTGTACCAGGAAAAAAACTTCATTTGTGGACATAGAAATTTGAATTTAATACAATTTTGTGTGTCATGAAATATTATTTTGATTTATTTTCCCAACCATTAAAAAAAATCTAAAAACCATTCTTAGCTCACAGGTTGTACAAAGACAGGCCTCTGAGCCATAGGTTGCTGACCCCTGCTTTAGACTCTTTCTACTGAAAGCATGGATGCATGAACCAGAGGTGTCAGCAGCATTTGGGAGCTTGTTAGAAATGCAGAAGCTCAGGTCTCACTGCAGACCTACTCAATGTGAATCTGAATTTTAATAAGATCCCCAGGTGATCTGTATACACATTAAAGTTTGAGAAGTACTGATTTAGAAGTCTAGTGCTGGCTTTTCTTTTCTGGACACTGGGGAGGGCGGAGAAGATGCTAACACCAGTTATCAGATATTTTTCTGAATACAATCCGTTGCTATCTCAACACTGACCATCCAGCCTGATTTTGGCTGTTGCCCTTTCCTGAATGGCACAGCACTTCATAAATGTGGGTTATCGCCAGCTTAGTCATGCTAATCCACATATCATTTGCACTTGACCTCAGAATGAATCATTAAATGTTTTTGGCAGATCTACTTTTCTAGTTCTAGTTTACTTCTTTTCCACTTGCTGAGTTGAGCACCAGCTAAGTATTATGGAAGAGAGGAGGCTTTGGGGCATTCTTGGAAACAAGGTCAAAACAACCTGGACTTAAAATTTTGCTGTAGCTAATTCCCACAGCATATGCAAATTTAGTAATACAATGCATGGACCACAACTATGGAAAATTTCAGCAAAACTAGAAAAATGTTTTTTAGAATTTCACATACCTTTAGATACCATATTAGTTTTTGTTTTGTAGTCTTTTTCTTTTTCTTTTCTTTTCTTTTCTTTTCTTTTTTTTTGTTTTGAGACAGAGTCTCACTCTGTCTCCCCGGCTGGAGTGTGGAGTGCAGTGGCATGATCCCGGCTCACTGCAACCTCTGCCTCCCGAGTTCAAGAGATTCTCCTGCCTCAGCCTCCCGAGTAGCTGGGATTACAGGCACCCACCACCACGTCCAGCTAATTTTTGTATTTTTAGTAGAGACGGGGTTTCACCATGTTGGCCAGGCTGGTCTCAAACTCCTGGGCTCAAGTGATTGACCCACCTTGGTCTTCCAAAGTGCTGGAATTACAGGCGTGAGCTACCATGCCTGGCCTGTAGGCTTTTTCTTATTGTTTTTCCTAGGGTAATATTAAAATGAATTTGTATTCCAAGAACACACATCTGAGGACATAGGGTATTCAAAGGCATTGGGGGAAGCCTCACTGAGATTAAAATTTTCCTTTAGATAATTTGTGGGTTGATGTGCAACAAGCGTCATGAGGCGAGAATGTATAGATAATTAAGATGTGAGTTTTATCTGCCTTGGGCTGTTTATGATCATACTTGTCTCCCAGATATACTTGGTGAATTGGATATCAACCCTCTCATCATAAATTATCAGTGAATCCTGCCCAGGACTCTGAGGATGCCACAAGTGGGGAAGCAGGAGGAAGACTTCTGCTTTTCTCTTTCCAAGTCTTGTGGTCGTTAAAGTTTGATATCCATTAATGCATAAGTGTCATCACCCCGCTGAAAATGCAGCTCTTCTGTATGTGTTTTGATTACCTTGTCAGAGGCCAGGCAGAGAGAGGTTGAACAGCAGTGCTGCTCCTGCACTGTTATTTCTGCTTCCATTACTTGTCCCATCTGTCAGTTTCAGGAACATTCATATCTATGGAGCCATTATTTTTAGTGCTGTAATTATCTTGGATGTCTAAAAACACAGTGTATCATGTTGGTCACATCATGGGTTGTAAAAAAGGTAGGTAGCCTTTCAAGGGGTGTAGGTTTATGGAACACGTTCCCAACACACTTGGGCGTGTGGCAGATTAAATGGGTACATTTCTTTGTCTCTTAAGAGTCAGCCTCTGAAGCAAGTCCCTAATGTTTGCTCTGGCCTTAAAATGTGCTTTATTTTTTTACTTTTATTTTTATTTCTTTGAGACACAGTCTAGGTCTGTCATCCAGGCTGGAGTGCAATGGCGTGATGTTGGCTCACTGCAGCTTCTGCCTGCTGCGTTCAAGTGATTCTCGTGCCTCAGCCTCCCCAGTAGCTGGGATTACAGGTGCATACCACCATGCCCAGCTAATTTTTGTATTTTTAGTAGAGACAGGGTTTCACCATGTTGGCCAGGCTGGTTTTGAACTCCTGACCTCAGGTGATCTGCCTGCCTCGGCCTCCCAAAGTGCTGGGATTACAGGTGTGAGCCACTGCGCCCAGCCCAAATGTGCTTTAAAACTTTCTCATCATCTCCTACTCCTCATAGGCTTTTTAGTTTACCCATCACTCAACCTGCCTCTCGATTTGATCTTCCTGGCCTGTGCCCTGTGTGCTAATCTCATCTTCCCGATGGGTAGGAACCACAATAATAGGTAACCTGTATTGGGTATTTACTCTGTGCCAAGCACCTTACAAACCTTATCTTACTTAGTCCTCTCACAGCAACCCTACAAGGTGGATATCATTGCTGTTCCCATTTAACAGAGGAGGAAACTGAAGAATAGTAAGTAACTTGCTCTAAGGCTACACAGCTAGTACTTTCTAGAGCTGGGATTTTGGTGCTGACTCCAGTGCACATGCTCTTTTTTGTTTGTTTTTGATGGGTTTCTTTTGATTTTTTAATTTTTTTTTTTACAAATTATAATTGTATACAATGATGGGATACACAATGATGTTATGATATATGTATGCTGCATTAGTCCATTTGCATTGCTGTAAAGGAATACCTGATGCTGGGTAATTTATAAAGAAAGAGTTTTATTTTGGCTCATGGTTCTGTAGGCTGTACAAGCAACATGACACTGGCAGACCTCAGAAAACTTAAAAGGAGGAACCTGCCATATCACTTGGTGAGAACAAGCAAGAGAGAGAAGGGGGAAGTCCAAGACTTTTAAACAACAGATCTTGTGTGAACTAACTGAGGGTGAGCTAGAACTCACTCATCACCAAGGGATGGCTCTAAGCCATTCATGAGGGATCTGCCTCTAAGAAAGAAATACCCCCACCAGGCCTCACCTCTGACACTGGGGATTACATTTCACCATGAGATTTTAGGGGACAAACATCAAACCATATCACATACAGTGTGGAATGATAGAATCAATCTAAATTACATACCTATCACCTTAAATACTTATCAGGTATTCCTCCCGTCTTACTGCAGCTTTGTAACCTTTGATTGACATCTCTTCATTCCCCCAATGCCCCAGTCTCTGATAACTCCTCTCTGCTTCTGTGAGTTCCATTGTTGTAGATTCCACATGTAAGTGAGAGCATGTGGTTTTTGTCTTTCTGCCAGTGCATTTGCTCGTAACTACTGTTCTACTGCATTCAAATAACAATGCCTAACATTTACTGAGTGCCTACCTTTTGGCTAAGCACTGGGCTAAGCTCTTTGTATGTATTAGCTCACTTGCTTAATCCTCTTAATGATCCTGTAAAGTAGGTTTTATTATGAGCCGTGATTTTCAGAAAAAGAGACTGGGGCACAGAGATGTTAAATAACTTACCTGAGTCACACCATTCAACAGTGCCAGACGGAAGTAACCTTTGGACACAGAGCACTCTGGCTCCAGAGTCTACACTGTTAGTCACTCTCTTATACTGCCTTCCAGCTGTCTGCTGGGGCAAGGCAGAGGATGTGTGGTGTGTTCCTTTGGGTGTGTTCCTTTTGGGAGACAGTGGGGAGGGAGAGGTAACAACTGCAATTCACTTCCTGCCAATTGTTACCTTGTGAGAATCAAAGCTACCAGTTTTTAAGAGAGGCCCCAGATCTGGATCTTTATATAAAATTTCCTTATTTTAAATATTGGGAACACATTCCAATTTTTAAAAAGCAGTATGCCCAATTAAAAACAATCTGTCGATAGGAAGCAGTAACTTATAGTTAAGGATATTTATTAAGTACTACTTATGAATACCGTGCTAATTCTAGGTATTATTATTCAGTGTAAGCCTATAGACTCCCCATTTTATGTATTAATTCTCAGCGTTGTTAAAAAGAAACGGGCAGCTGTGGTGGCCCACGCCTGTAATCCCAGCAGTTTGGGAGGCCGAGGCAGGCAGATTGCTTGATCTCAGGAGTTAGAGACCAGCCTGGGCAACATAGCAAAACCCCATCTCTACAAAAAAAAAATGAAGAAATTAGCTGGGCATGGTGGCAGGTGCCTGTGGCCCAAGCTACTCAGGAGGCTGAGGTAGGAAGTTCACTTGAGCCTGGGAAATCAAGACTGCAGTGAACTGTGATTGCGCCACTGCACTCCAGCTTGGATGTCAGAGTGACACCCTGTCTCCCTGTCTCAAAAAAAGGAAAAAAGAAAGAAAGAAAGAAAGAAAGAAAGAAAGAAACGGGTTCTCTCCCTGATTTCATCGGTAGCAAATAAGTTTAATTGATGGTTTATGTATATATTTTCTTTTATTTATTTTTATGCATATTTTAGAGTTGAATTTCTCAGTGAAGCTGTAAGACTGTTGGAAGAAAAATGTAAACTTTCAGAATTTAATATACCAGGGATGTGTGTTAAATTCTCTTACCTTTTTTCCAGATGTGAATAATTTGTAGGTAGAAATATTTATTTATGTAAACCTTGACCGCAGTGAACAAAACACACATACTACACATACCTACACATGTGCACACACATGTGCAGGCAACACTTTTGTGAGCCACATCTGACCCATGGGCTGTCAGTTTGCAACATCTGTTTCAGGGGACATATCTTCCATTCCTTTCTTCTGCCTGTCGTTCCTAACCCATTACCAGGTTGCTAGCAGGCAGTGACCGAAAACATATTGACTTTGTGTGCTCTTGTTCTGGCCTAGATATGTCTCAAACCTGATACCCTCTCTCAGGCCACCTCTGTCAGCTTCCACTAAGAGACTTTCCTGCTGTTTTTCAAACCTGGCATCCAATTCTTTCTCCTTCACAGGGTATTCCCAAATCAGGTGGAAGAGGCTTCCAACCTATCCTAAGCAGTAGCTGTTTCCATACAACAGTTGTCAAAAAAAGGAAATGAAGGTGGAAGAATGGGCCAGCCCAAGGGTTTTGAATCCTAACTGTGTATTAGAATCACCTAGAGATCTTTTAAAAAAGCTGATTCTATAAAAAAATTAAAAGTAAACAGAACAAAATCCTTAAAACAATGCTAGTTCTATAGCTCCAGTCTCAGAAATTCTGATTTAAATACCTTTGGTGGGACCCTGGGCATCAGTATTTTTAAATAAAAGCTCCCCAGGTATTCTAATCTCCAGCAGGGTTGAAAACTGGCTTAACTGATGAATATGTGTTTATTGGAAAGCCAAATACCCACTTTGGGCCGTGATCAATTGCCTTCTTCTTCGCTAAAATCAGAGACTTTTGTAAGGCAAGAAATCAGACTAGGCTAATCACAGCTTTATGTATTGTGCTCTTGCGAACCACACCACTGTTGTTTTTATTTATTTATTTATTTTAAATTTTATTTATTTTTTTTGAGATGGAGTCTCGCTCTGTTTCCCAGGCTGGAGTGCAGTGGTATGATCTCAGCTCACTGCAACCTTTGCCTCCCGGGTTCAAGCGATTCTCCTGTCTCAGCCTCCTGAGTAGCTGAGACTACAAGCTCACAACACCACACCCAGCTAATTTTTATATTTTTGGTAGATACAGGATTTCACCATGTTGGCCAGGCTGGTTTTGAACTCCTGACCTCAGGTGATCCACCCGCCTTGGCCTCCCAAAGTGCTGGGATTATAGATGTGAGTCACCGTGCCCGGACTGCTGTTGTTTTTAATCCTTCCATACTGGCTGGATAAATAGACAAAACATGGGCTGACACGTGTGTATATGATGTTGAGGAGGCTGTGGCAGGAGCTTCTGAAATGGCTCCCAATGATCCCCTCCTCCTGATATTCACACCCTTGTGTAATCCCTTCTCTCCCCTTGTGTGTGGGCTGGACCTAGTGACTTCTTCTAACAAAGAGAATACAGCAAAAGTGATGGTGTCACTTCCATTATTAGGTTTGCAGAAGACTGTGACTTCTGCCTTGCTACTACTCGTTCTCTCTGGCCGTATTTGCTTGTTTGCGCTGATAAAACATGAAATAAGTTGCTATATTGTGAACTGACCAATGGAAAGTTCCACATGGCAAGGAAATGAGGGCAGCTATTGGTCAACAGCCTCTGAAGAACTGAATCCTGCCATTGGCCATGTGAGTGAACTTGGAAGCAGATCTTTTCCTAGTTGAGCCTTGAGATGACTGCAGGCCAGACCAACACCTTGATTTTTGTCTTTCAGAGACTCTGAGCCAAAGGACACACTGCAGCTATGACTGGGTTTCTGATCCACAGAAAAGATGAGATAATAATCAGTGTGTACTGTTTTAAGCCACTAAATGTGGGAGTCATTTGGTACAGCAATAGATAACACACTGTGGGATGATGATGGATTCTGTTTAGAGCAGGAAACTAGAGAGTGGTTCCCCAGCTTTAGAATGCACTGAATTTCCTTGGGTAGCATGAGAAAAATGCAGATTCCTAGGCTTTACCCTCAGGTTTTGATTCAGTAGGTCTGAGATGGGGCTCAGTAGTATGCGTTTTTATCATGGAACTCAGATGTTGCTGATGCAGGTGTTCATTGTGATCACAATTCAAGAACCATCATTTAGGAGGTGCAGAGGCAGAGAACATGTTGGAGGACCAGTGATTATTAAGGCATGTAGACCCAGTGAGGAGTGTTTATAGAAGGATTTTGGATTAATTAGGTAACATGTTGAAAGTAGTACTGAACTTTTAATTGGAAGAAGCTATGACAATCGAAAGATTAGCGTGGTGGGCCAGACACAGTGGCTCACGCCTGTAATCCCAGCACTTAGGGAGGTTGAGGTGAGCGGATCACGAGGTCAGGAGTTACCAGACTGGCCAACATGGTGAAACCCTGTCTCTACTAAAAATAAAAACGTTAAGTTGGCGTGGTGGTGGGTGCCTGTAATCCCAGCTACTCGGGAGGCTGAGGCAGGAGAATCGCTTGAACCTGGAAGGTGGAGGTTGCAGTGAGCCGAGATCTTGCCACTGCACTCCAGCCTGGGTGACAGAGCGAGACTCTGTCTCAAAAAAAAAATACATATATATATATATAAAATATATATTTATATATTTAAGAGGCAGGGTCTCGCTCTGTTGCCCAGACTGAAGTGCAATGGCACAATCATAGCTCACTGCAGCCTCAAACTCCTGGGCTCAAGTGATCCTCCCGCCTCAGCCTCCCAAATAGCTAAGACTATAGGTACGTGCCACCACGCCTTTCTAATTAATTTTTTTTTTCTGCGGAGGGGACCTTGCTATTTTGCCTAGGTTGGTCTGAAACTCCTGCCCCCAAGCGATCCTCCTACCTCAGCCTCCCAAAATGTTGGGATTATAGTCATGAGCCACTGTATCCTAACAGCATGAGACATTTTAAAGGAAATTTCGAGAAGGACTTGATGAGTGACTTTATAGGCAGGAACTGAATAAGAGACATAGATATTACAAGCCCCAGTAATTAGAAGCCAGTAGTGCCATTGGCAGAGCTGAAAAATTGGTGGGGATGGGGTGGGAGGAGTTGGTTTGAGGGCTATAGCTCTCCTAGAAGAATTTAGTGCTCAGTTAATTTCAGTAAATCAGGTCTGGACGGGGAAGCTGAGGTGATTGCAAAGAGTGCACATGCAGGCAAAATTCTAACGCAGATCAGTGGTCCTCAAAGTGTGATCCCAAACCAGTCGCATCAGTATCACTTGAGAACTTACTAGATGTCCTAATACTGCTAAGGTTTATAGCCTGACTTGACTTACAGATCTATATGCTTAGAGACCTTGGAATAAACCATCCCAGAGGATGGGAAGCACCCTGCACAGGTAGAGGTAGTGGTGACTCTGCCCACTGACGGAATAAATATCACCTGCTGGTGATTGGAGACTGGCCTAGATGTAGCCCCACTCTTCCCTGCTTTTGGAGTCTAGCCCTAAGCTGAGGCAGGATTCTGGGGACCTGGGACTCCTCTATTTGTCAGCCAGGCCACAGAGCTGTTCCAAGCTGGTGCAGCCTGGATGGACAACATTGAAAAACGACAATGACTCTGGGGGGGAAGCATAATGGTGGGCTTCTTTTGCTGTGAGCACTTTCCTATGCAGATGAGTCTGGAGATCATGTGGGGTGGATTATTTTCTTATTTTTGCACTGTACATATTTCCCACTTGTCCCTGTTCTCACAAAACTGGCCTGGAGAATGAGGGAGCTGAGACTGAGAAAGGATTTATATCAGTATTCCTGTCAGGTATTATAGACAGACAAAATCCGATTTAAATCACACTGTAAGAGAAAGCACAGGCATAAGCTGCTGCTGCAGCTGTCAAACATTACATTGAGTAAGGCCTGAGGAGTTGCACACCACAGGTCACCAACACCGTCCCACTGTGTCAGGCTCAAGGAGACTGCTGCCTCAGGTGCTGTGGCCCTTTCATCATAGGAATCCTGATTGAGTGGCCCTCACGCTGCCTCATCTGGGCCAAAATGTGGCCAAGGCAGAGATGAAGACTATCATTGAATGAAATATTCTGCACCTCATTTTTTTTTTTTTTTTTGGGACGGAGTCTCGCTTGGTTGCTCAGGCTGGAGTGCAGTGGCATGATCTCGGCTCACTGCAACTTCCGCCTCCCAGGTACAAGCGATTCTCCTGCTTCAGCCTCCCTAGTAGCTGGGACTACAGGTGTGTGCCACCACACCTGGCTAATTTTTGTATTTTTAATAGAGACAGAGTTTCACCGTGTTGGCTAGGGTGATCTCAAACTCTTGACATTGTGATTTGCCCGCCTTGACCTCCCAAAGTGCTGGGATTATAGTCGTGAGCCACCACACCCTGCCAATGCACCTCAGTTCTAAAGGGAACTGACTGCCCTCCTCCAAGACACTGTCAGAACTAATCCCATTGTGCCTCACCTCCCAAGCCTTCCTGACTCCTGCTCACCCTCCATACTACTCTATTTATTTTCTAATCCGACAAAAGCCACTTCCTCCCACATCCTTACTGTGCCCTCTACAAATGCCTGTCTGTGATGGCCAAAGTCCCTGTACCCTTATGTCCTGTACCTCCTGTCATAACTGATACGTTGGCTGCTTCTTAGATAAATGTTGCTTGGAGGAGAGTTTGAGAATTATTGGTCCCCCAAATCCCTTTAGGATTATTTTTCTTTTTCCCGCAAATGCCCACCCCTCTACTCTCCTCATTGCTGTCACCCACCAACCTCCTGGTTACTTCCCCTCATTTATTGAAGACCTAGTTCATGGCTTACTCACTTCCTGTTCATTCCTCTTATCATTCTGGATGACTTCAACATCTTTGTGTCAAGAATGTCAGAAACTTTACTTGCCCCAGGAGGCTTTTGTTTTAAAAAAAAATTCTCAGTTACTGGAAATTTAGAGAGGAGTTGTCTGAAAGTGGAAGATTTTGAGGGTGGGAGGAGAGGAGAGTGGACCTGCTGTGGGGTATATTGGATCCCCTGAACCTGGGCTCAAGACAGGAAGGGGAGGCAGGGTCCCGGAGTGGCTGGGATCTCTGTCTTGATTCCCCTAACCCCCGCCCCAGCAGCCTGAGGGATTTGTAGAACTTTGTAGGGGAGAGCCTTTCTCTCTAGACTTTGTTATCCTTTCCACCCCGATTCTAGTCATCATTCTTGGTGACTTCAACATTCACATGGTTGACCCATCCCTTATCATGACTTTTCACTTCCTTGACCGCTTCATTTTAATGATCTTTTCCTCCACCCACCTCAACTACGCATTCATTTGCTCATACACTAGCCCTTTTTATCACCAGAAACTGCATTATTTTGGAAATCTTGACCTCCACTGCTGAAGTCTCTAAACTTTATCAGGTTAGACCTCCAATCCATTGACTCTCATCATATTTTCTCTCTTCATTAGCTCACCATTGTATCGATTTACTTTTTCCCCAGCTTAGAGTCCACAGTATTGTAGTCACTTTCCTTTTTCCTCTTTCACAGCCACTGAGTCATACCTTAACGCTTAGCCATCCTATCCTCCTTCCCTCTCACCTCCTTTTCCTTGCAGCTGAGACTTTCACAACTTGGCTGTCTTCACTCATTACTAACTTCAGGTGGACATCTGACACTGTCCATCACTTCTGTCATCCTTAGTGAGGGTTTTCTGAAGACAGTTCTCTGAGATGATCTCTTCGTCCTCTCTGCTCAAATCTCCCTCTCCCACCCCTTCCTTTTCATGCTCACTGATGACCTCACCCCACATGGCACTGAGTAAACAGAATACAGAAAATGGGAATGTTCTGATCTTGCTACCATTAAATGTACCCTCCTAACTACACCTGCAACCATTGTCTTTCCCCTATTTACAATGGAGAATGTGTGCATTCTCTTGCTAGGAGACTGTGCTCCTCACAGGCCAGACCTTTCTAGATTCTGTCCAATCTTGCCTCCACATGGCCTTAGGTTCTTCGATTACTTCCTTCCTCTCCAGCATTATCAGTATCTCCTCCTTTTCTTGATTTTACCTAAAAAATTACCATGTTATATGACTTTTCTTTCTTTTTCTTTTTTTTTTTTTTTTGGGTGAGGGGAGTCTCACTCTGTCGCCCAAGATAAACTGCATTGGTACAATCTCAGCTCACTGCAACTTCCACCTCTCGGGCTCAAGCAGTTCTCATGCTTCAGCCTCCCGAGTAGCTGGGGATTACAGGTGTGCACCACCACGTCTGGCTAATTTTTTTTTTTTTTTTGAGATGGAGTTTCACTCTTTCGCCCAGGCTGGAGTGAAGTGGCATGATCTCGGCTCACTCCAACCTCCATTCCCTGGGTTCAAGCAATTCTTGTGCCTCAGCCTCCCGAGTAGCTGGGATTATAGGCGCCCGCCACCACACCTGGCTAATTTTTGTATTTTTAGTAGAGACGGGGTTTTGCCATGTTGGCCAGGCTGGTCTTGAACTCCTAACCTCAAGAGATCCACCTACCTCGGCCTCCCAAAGTGCTAGGATTACAGGCGTGAGCCACCATGCCCAACCAATTTTTGTATTTTTAGTAGAGACTGGGTTTCTCCGTGTTGGCCAGGCTGGTCTTGAACTCCTGGCCTCAAGTGATCTGCCCGCCTCAGCCTCCCAAAGTACTGGGATTACAGGTGTGAGCCGCCATGCCCAACTGTATGACTTCTATTAAAAAAAATTCTTCCTTGACTCTACTTCTTTTCCTAGCTACTATCCCATTTCCCTCTTCCCCTTCACAGCCAGTTAAAAATTGTCTGCATAGTCTTCTTCCTCACATCATATACCCCATGAATCTTCTCCAGTTGGCTTTAGTCCCTAACTGACTATATTTTTCCCCTGTGGAGGTTTGAGAATCAAGCCCGTAGGTAACTCATACTGTAGCATCAGAGTCTATTATGTGAGAATACACAAGGAAACCAAGGCTCAGAGAGATTCAGTGATTCGCCTAAGGTTATACAGCTAGTAAATAGCTAAATTGGGATACAATCCAGGTGCATCTAATCCAAAGGGCCCGTGCGCCAGCATTGTTATTATTAATCGGGCCCCTTTTGTGCTTTGTATATCTGCTGTAGGGATTATCACATTTAGTTGTAATTTTTTTGTCGGCATTTTTCTTTCCCCCACTGAATTACTATTTCAAGGACAAGAACAAAGCCTAGAACAAATAGTAGGTGTTCAATAAATGCTTTTCGAGTAAATGAAGGAACACTTCTCTGAGAGCTTATTTGTTCTTTTTTTGCATCTCAGCAGCAATGGATCACTGCTGGTCACCACCTTCCCTTCAATATAATCATAGAATCATGCAATTTTAGAGCTGCACAGGGGCCTTAGGAAATTAAGATCCATAGAGGTGAAGTAACATGCCCAAGGTCACTTGGCTAGTTAGTTGCAGTCCAGTGCTCTTCCCTTGCCATCTTCGGTAGGTGTTAATGCTCCCTCTTTCCACATTCTCTTTTCCGACCTAAATAACTCTGGTGCCAAGCAGCATGTAGACAGCAGAAAGTCGGTAGAAGGACACGTCGTGAATATGATGAGCAGCGAGTGCAGTGCTTTTAGTGTTAATGAACACTTTCATCCTTGGTTCAAGCCACGTGCCTGCTAGCTTCTTTGGTTCCAGTTTAAAATACCCCTTTTCATGAGCTGCTGTTTTATATTCCTCTTAGTGCTTTGGTTATTTTAATGAGTTTTTCTTATCTCCTATTTATAAAACCAGACCTACTTTGCAATGTTTTGTTGTTGTGTTTTCTTTTGAATAACTTCCATTCCCAAGTCTTCTTCCATTTCCATTGCTCTTTCTCTTTTATACTTTTTGTGTTTGTGTGTATAGAGTTATGTGGTGCATTTTTAAATGCAAGCTTGGTTGCTAATACAGTGTTGGAGCAATCAGTTCTTCTATAGGCAAGAATCAGCTAACTGGAACCCTCAACTAACCACAACCGATGGCTGAAGTTGTGCAAGTAGTACAAGCTCTGAAATCAGAGACAGTTGGATTTCAAAAAAATACGTATAATCACCTTTATTAATGTTGGAAATACATTTAAATAAAAGTTCTATACCCATTGCTAATAAACCTCTGTCTTAGCCACCTTAGGCTGTTATAAGAATATATCGTAGACTGGGTGGCTTAAACAACAGACAGTAATTGTCTCACAGTTCTGGAGGCTGAAAGTCTGAAATCAAGGTGCAACATGGTCAGGTTCTGGTGGGGGTCCTTTTCTTGGTTTGCAGATGGCTGACTTCTCACCGTATGCTCACATGGCCTTTCTTTAGTGTGTGTTCATGAAGAGAGAGCTCTCCTTTCCTCTTCTTATAAGGACATTAATCCATTGTGAGGCCTCCACTCTCATGGACTGATCTAAACCTTATTACCTCCCAAAGGCTCTACCTCCAAATACCATCACATTGGAGGGTAGAGTTACAGCATGTGAATTTTGAGGTGACACAGACATTCAGTCCATAACAACCTCTTACTATATAGGGGTAGTTCCTTATCTTTCTCTTTTTTATTTATTTAGACAGAGCATCTCTCTGTCACTCAGCCTGGAGTGTAGTGGTGTGATCTCGACTCACTTAGCCTCCGCCTCCTGGGTTCAAACGATTCTCCCACCTCAGCCTCCCAAGTAGCTGGGATTACTGGAGCATGCCACCATGCCCAGCTAATTTTTGTATTTTTAGTAGAGATGGGGTTTTGCCATGTTGGCTAGGCTGGTCTCAGGTGATCCAACCGCCTCGGCCTCCCAAAGTGTTGGGATTACAAGCATGAGCCACTGCACCCCGCCAATTTTTATTTATTTTTAAAAATAGAGATAGCGGTCTCACTATGTTGACCAGGCTGGTTTCAAACTCCTGGGCTCAAGTGATCTGCCCGCCTTAAGCTCCCAAAATGCTGGGATTGCAGGTGTGAGCCACTGTGCCCGACCACTTCAGTTCTCTTTTTACCTCTAACTAAAAGTAAATAAAAGTGGCTGGGCATGGTGGCTCATACCTGTAATCCACAGCACTTTGGGAGGCTGAGGTGGACAGATTGCTTGAGTCTGGGAGTTCAAGACCAGCCTGGGCAACATAGTGAGACCCCATCTCTACCAAACATACAAAAATTAGCCAGGTGTGGTGGCACACACCTGTAGCCCCAGCTACTTGGGAGGCTGAGTTGGGAGGATCACTTGCGTCCAGGAGGTGGAGGCTGCAGTGAGCCAAGGTTGCACCACTGCACTCCAGCCTGGGTGCCAGAGCCAGACCCTGTCTCAAAATAAAATAAAAGTAAAAAGAATTCATCTGTATTTTTAATTTAATTAACAATAAAAAGGGTTGGTTTGTATCTTTTTTATGGAGTCTTATTTTTCACCTTAAATTTTAACTACTTTCATCACCTTGTCGATATGTCTTCTCATTTAATTCCATTTTGATAACTTTTTAAAATAAATGTGGAAATTTATTTTAAAATCTATAAAAAATATATCTTTTTTTTTGGTAAATTCACCACCTAAGTCTTTAAGCATAGTTTTGATCATAACACTACCCTGAAAGAAATCCTTGAACAGCTCCCTGTTTCCAGTAAATCAGACAGGCTCACTTCTAGCTCTGGAGCAACAAAGGGAGGCCTACATAGCCCACCTGAACATTTAAAAACTAGAAACTGAATGAAGCACTACAGGTATGCCTTTCATGAGGGCCTAGAATGCCAGGTTCAAATTCAGAATTCTCAGACGCCTCAGAGTTCCATCATGGAATATGAAAACCCGGGGGAGAGCTGTTTCTGACCCACAATCCACCCCCTTCTCTTTCTATCCCCTGCCCATTCTCACATTTGGAGGGTTTTTGTACACACAAGAGTGGAAGTTCAGACCTGTCCACACCTCCCCTGAGCAGCCATACTCAAATAGTCACGCCTGGGCTACCCTGCGGGTTCAGAGATGCCCACGTCGGCTGTCTATATTCAGGAGGTTAGGTTGATAATAGGTGCTGGAAAGCCCTAAAAGCGGGTTCCAGACTGCTTGGCCAGGAAGTTCTGGGAGCTTCGATAGTTGGATTTAAATCCTGGCTTTACCACTTATTAACCGCATGACCTTAGGCAGATTGCTTAACCTGACTGTACACATTTCCTCATCTTTAGAATGAGAGTATTAATAGTAGATAAAAAGATTAACAGTAGATAAAAAGATTACATGAAGTAATACTATGTAGGCCTAGGTTTAAAATTCTCATCCTGCCACATACTGGTTATAGAATGATCTCAGTAAAGATCTCAATTTCTTGGAGACTTAGGCTTCTTCTTTGTAAAATGGGCATTGTTCTCAGCATTTGCTGCATAACATGCCACCTTAAAACTTAGTGGTTTAAAATAGCAACTATTTATTTGCTCATAATTCTGTGAGTGGGTAGTTGGGGTGGACTAGGCTGGAACTGTCTGTTCCATTTATGTCAGCCTCATTTACTCATCAATTTATGTCAACTGGTAGTCCCTGGCCTCACTCATGTGTCTGGTGGTTGACTGGTGATTGGCAGGGGTCATGGAAGTAACTGGGCCATGTGTCATTTGTAATCCAGTGGCCTGGCCTGGGCTCATTCACCTGGTGGTAGTTGCAGGGTTACAGAGAGCGTCAGGCCCAATGTGCAAGCACTTTTCAATTCTCTGCTTGCTCATATTTGCTGTTATCCCATTGGCGAAAGCAAGTCATATGGCCCAGCCCAGAGTAGATGTGGGAAGGGATTACCAAAAGGCATGGATGTCAGGAAGGTAGTTATTGCAGCCATTTCTTTTTCCAGTTAGTTTATCACACACTTGATAATAACTCTTTTCCAGGATCATTGTGAGAATTGGAGATAGTGCACATTAAGCACTGAGAGAAGTAACCCATATAGTAGATCCTTGGCGAATGACAGCTAAAGCATATTATATTGTACCTGACATACAGTAAGTGTTAAGAAAAGTTCTCTTCCCTAACCATTCATTCCGCCTACTCTCCTTTCCTCATTACTTGACTATTAGAAGAAAACTGTAACTCAAAAAAAAAAAAAAACCAAAAAGCTAAAAAGCCAGAAAATCGCAAACAAAAACAAAACTAAAATAAAACAAAAAACAGGAAAACAAGCAAATGAATCCACATTTGTGATTTTTTTTTAAAGTTTATACATTAAACAAACATCCACTGCAAAACACCAAGTAAAATAATCCCCAGATGAAAACTAACAGGATGTTGAGAATCAGCATTCTTTATGATTGCAGTTTCTTCATCTTTCCATAGAGTCTAATGACCCTGAGGTTATACAGGATGCTGGGTCTCCAAAGAAAAATTCCATTATAGTGACC
Source organism: Homo sapiens (assembly GCF_000001405.40). Taxonomy (NCBI): domain Eukaryota; kingdom Metazoa; phylum Chordata; class Mammalia; order Primates; family Hominidae; genus Homo; species Homo sapiens. Next base: position 104,331,155 of record NC_000023.11, read on the forward strand.
AAGGCAGTGAAGAGGACACAGATATTCAGCAAAGAATTGCCACACCCAGGAGTTTAACCAATACAGGATTTGTGGTTAACTCTGTTTTCTAAACAATGGAATTCATTGAAATCCTCAATCTTTGAGTTTGAAGGGACTTCAGAGGCCTTCGACATTTAGACCCTCTATTCCTCTTCAGCAGTAGTTCTCAAACTTTTTGATCTCAGGGCCACTTAACACTCTTCAAAAGTATTGGGGAGCCCAGAGTGCTTTTGTTTCTCTGGCTTATATCTGTCAATAGTTACCATATGAAAAAGTTATCCTGAGAAAAATTAAAAACAAAAGAATATATGAGCATACATTCTGTTATCTATCAGAGTAGTGAGTCGTCATACATCATATAGCTTCTGGAAAACTCCACTGTATATTCACCAGAAAATGAGAGTGAAAAAAGCAAATAATGTCTTAGTATTGTAAAAAGAAAAAAAGTAGTTCTGACTTTATTAAACACCTGAAAGAGTTTTGGGGACTTCAAGGGGTCTGTGGACCACACTTTGCAAATTGCTGCTGTAGAGTCTCCCTGTCAGAAAGGAGTTGCCCTTCGGAATCATTTGGAGGCAGTGATAAAGTTCTGTCTCGGACTTGTGAGGTTAATTTCCTCATCTATAAAATAAGGATGATAATAATAAGATTTACCTCATATAGTTGTGATGATTAAATAAAATAAGGTAATGTGCCTAACCCATATTAAGGGCCCTATACAAAATCTACCATTCAGCAGGCTGCCAGTAAACATTGGTCCTCTCATCACTGAAATAAATAACCTAATAGTTCCATGCCTCACAAGGCAGCTTATTTGGGCTTTGAGTTTTAGAAATTTTCTCCTCCTGCCTCTGCGTAACTTCTGCCCCTTAGCTTTAGTGCTTATTCTTCTGTTCAGAAGAAGGTAACACCCTTTGAGTTTTAGATAAAACTGCGGGTCTGTTACGTCTTCTTTCTTATAAGTTATGCAATGGTTTCCAAATTATTCTGATCATTTCTTTCTTTGGTTGCAGGCACTCATTCAACAAATATTTACTGAGCACCTAAATACTATGTACCAGTATGAAAAAAAATAGACAATATCCTTGCCCTTTGGGAACTTACATTCTGAATGTAGGAGACAGACCAAAAGCAAATACTCAAATAAAACAATAACAGATGTGAGAGAACCTACAGTGGAAAATGAAGCAAGGCAATGAGAGAAAAAGTGATGGAGGTTGGTGCTATTTGAGGCAGAATGATCACATAAATGCCTCTCTGAGGAGGTGACGTGTGAGTAGAGACCTTTGTAAACTAAGGGAGCAAGCCATACTAAGGGAAAAGTGAGTGCAAAATTTGAATTCTATTCTAATTGTGCTTGCAATCCTTTAGAAGGTTTAGGTGGGATAATGATGTGCTATAAATTGTGTTTTGAAAAGATCACTCTTGCCATTTTGTGGAGAATAGACTAGGGGACAAGAATAGAAGTGGGGAGAACAGTTAAGCAGCTCTTGAAATAGTCCAGACAAGAGATGGTGGTGCCTTGGAGGTGGTGAGAAGCTAGATTGGGATAGAAGGCAGATCCAACAGGATTTACAGATGGATTAATGTGTTATGTAAGGAATCAGGAGGAAGCAGGGATGATACCCTGGGTTTTGGACTGAACATGGGAAGTGTTCAGGAGGGACAGGATGAAGAGTTCTGTTTAGGATATATGTTAAATTTAAGGTTCTGGTTCGATACCCATATAGAAATGGGGAGTGAACAATCTGGAGCTCAGGCTGGGTGCGGTGGCTCATGCCTGTAATCCCAGCACTTTGGGAGGCTGAGGTGGGTGGATCACCTGAGGTCAGGAGTTCAAGACCAGCCTGGCCAACATGGTGAAACCTCCTCTCTACTGAAAAATGTACAAAATTTAGCCGAGTGTGGTGGCACATGCCTCTAATCCCAGCTACGCAGGAGGCTGAGCACGAGAATTGCTTGAATTCGGGAGGCAGAGGTTGCAGTAAACCAAGATCACACCACTGCACTCCAGCCTTGGCGAGAGAGAGAGACTCTGCCTCAAAAAAAAATAATAAAATAAAATAAAAATAAATAAATAAATAAATAAATAAAATCTGGAGCTCAGGGGACAGTCAGGGCTGGAGGTTGCCATTTGGGAGTCCTTAGTAGATAACATTCAACAATTGAGCCCTGGAGCACTCCATTGGTTAGAGGTTGAGAAGATGAGGACAACCCAGCAAGAGACACTGAGAAAAAGTGACTGAGAGGTAGCAGAAAAAACAGGAAACTATGTGGTCAGAGAAGCCAAGATATGTTTCAAAATGAAGCCATAATTAAGTAAGCCAAATATTGCTGAGAAGATTAATAAAATGCGAAGTTAGAGTTTGCCTTTGGATTTGGCATGATGGAGGTTGTTGGCAACCTTGATAAGAGTGCTGTCAGCACAGAGGCAAAAACAAGCCTGTTTTGAGTGGGTTGAGGAGAGAATGAGAAGTCAAACAATGGAGAGAGCACTACAGACACCTATTTTGAAGAGTTTTGATATAAAGAGGAGAAAAGAAATTGTGAGGAAACTGGAGGTGGATATGTGGTCAAGGAAGTTTCTTTTGTTTGTTTAAGAAGGGAGGTTTTGTAGCATGTTTATATGCGATGGGAATCACCCATCAGCACACTGATAGAAAGAAAAATTGGTGACACCAGAGAGAGAGGGGTTAATTGCTAGAACAAAATGCTTGAATAGCTGAGAGTGGAAAGGATCCTGTGCATAGGTGGAAGGAGTGGTCTTAGATGGGAAAGGGAAGGTTCTTCCTTAGTAACAGGGGAGAAGGCAGGGTATGTGAGCAGAGATGCAGGTAAGTTGGTAGACTTGTTGGTCTGAAGATGAGGTGGGTTTCTTTCGATTGTTTCTTTTTTTTTTCCCCCAGTGGAATAAGAAGTGAGGTCATCAGCTGAGAATTATAAAGGGGATTTATATTATTTGAGGTTTCATGAGGGAGTTGTGTGAGGGAGAAAGACAGTGACTTGACTAGGAAAATTTAGTATTGTCAGTCATTGTTGAAGGCCCACTTAAGAGATTTCTGGTCAAATATTTGAAGTGGGACCATTCTACTTTGTAGGTAGAGTTATTCTTATTTAGGGATAAGTTCAGTATGATTGAAGGAGGGAGGTACAAAGACACTTCTTCTGTTTGCAGATTTATATGAGGCAGTGGATATAATATTGGACCATAGAATTTAAGCCGGGTTGTGAAGAATGTGAAGACATGAAAGGACAGACGAACCAAGAGGGTAGTAGGTTCCATGGATTGTGGGTTGAGATTATATGGGAGACAGGGAGATCTGACATTGACACTATAGAGGTGATGCATTTATTGCTGATGACATCCAGAATATGACCATAGAGTGTGTCTGAGCTAGGATGCTGGGGAACAAAAGGTTAGAAGTGACTTCAAGAAATAGTAGGGCAAGGGGCTTGGCTATATCCTCAAGTGGATATGGAAGTCACACGGGGAAGTGTTTGGGTAAAAAGACTGAGCCAAGCGCTGTTATTTCCAATGAACGAATGAATGAGATGAAGTAACTGGGAGGTTGGTGGAGAGCAGCCATTAAGAGGGGCAGCAATTGGCATAGACTGATGTGCATTTTACGTGGGCTGGAGTGTTAGATGAAGGAGAAACAGTCTGCAAGTGGCAAAGAGGAAGAAGAGGCCACTCTTCTACATCTTGTCCTTTAAGTAACATGAAGGGTGTGGGAAAGAAACACCAACCATCTGAAAGGGCTACATGGAAGCAGGAACCTCAGGGAAGAGTCAGGCTTCCTTTAGGATAAGAAACTGAACAAAATGTTGAGGATATAGACATATTTGCTGATAATGGGCTTTGAGCTTCAGAGGGCATGTTAGGCAGGCTTCGGGGTTCATTGAAAATAGGCTATTGTGTCAGATTGGGGACTAAATGAAGCCTTAAGAGGTTAGGAATTCAGGTAATGATGCAGGCTGGGAGGCTGGGATTTTGTGGAGGTGGCTGGGGTAAACAGGCATGTAAGATATGTCTGGATTAGTCCTGTTGGGCTCTTAGGGTGAAGTGGATGAAAAGTGCTAATTAGAGCCTCCTTCTGGGGTTGATCTCTTGGTCACTATGATGAAGCTGACAGAGAGGATCAGCTAGGGGAGGGGAACTTGCACCAGGAACACCTAAAACTTCCTGGCCTCCCCTAAAATTTTCTGTGGTCTTCTTCAAGCCTGGAGTAAGGAACTTATTAGGACATTTCAACAACAATAGGGCTTTAACTTATGCCCTCCAACTCTGCATTAGTCCCTACCAAAGCTACTTCAAATATATACGAGATGTGATCTAAGTGAAAAATGTGTCCTTGCTATGTAAATAATTTCAGGACAAGTCCTCTAGTTGCCCCAACCACCTTTCAACTAGATTGCTTCACTGAGGCCCCTCTCTTTTATCATTTATTATGAAAAATTCTAAGCATATGTAAAAATAGATTTTGCATAATGAGCTCCCATATACCCCATCACCTAGATTTAACAGTTGTTAACATCTTGCCATACTTGCTTCATCTATTTTTTCCTTTTGCTGAAATATCTTCGGGGAAATTGCAGACATTATGACATCTCATTCCTAAATACCTCAGTATCCTAATTCCTCTCTATAGAGAAATTCTGAAGCTGCCACTGCCTTTCAGAATGTGATGCCCAGGACTGGACAGTAGTGTTCCAGACATGGACTGACCAGCCAAGTTCACAGAAAGAATGACTAGACCCTATGTTTGTGAAAGCAGATTACAATCTCTAAAATTAGTCATTTTAGAACCCACAGCACACTATTGACTCAAGTGCACTTGTGGTCAGCTAAATTTCCCAAGTTCTTTGCACATGAACTGCTGCCGTCAAGTCAGGCTTCCCCCATCTTGTATTTGTGTAATTGAATTTTTGTTGGTTTTAGCCTATTGAAAATATTTTGAATTAGAAGTCTGCCCTCCGGTGAATTAGTTAATCTTTTTTCGCTTTGGTTCATCAGCAAAGTTGATAAGTAAACCTTTTATATATTCATGCAAGTATATAGTAGCTACTTTCTAAATTGATACTTATGCTGCCTCAAGATTGTGGAGACTGCAGTATGATCATTTCAAGCGTTAAAAGTGGACTGTAGGAGAAATTATTTAAGTTGAATGTTCCTGTTAATGATTGGAATCCATCCTTCTTGACTCTTCAGACCTTGTGACCTAACAGGCTGGTATCTGAGTACAGTTTTCTAAGACATTCTAAATCATTCTAGAATGAGTATTTAATACAAGCAATCACCCAACAGTTTCTTAGTACAGCCTTGGAAATTATTCATAACAGCTAAATGCAGGGGTTGGATTGGTTTTCTGAGAACTCCATGGGTTAGCTTGAGTGGTTCCTCAGTTGACTGTTTTTACAATTACACAGGGATCACTTTTTAAAACTAAACTGTGAGAGTGAGAGTGAGCTGAATGGACACCCCCTGGCTCTGCTCATACTTAGAAAATGGGACCGTGCCAGGAGCGTATCAACTCCTAGACAAGTGATATTTTTGTAAAATTTCAAACTGGATATATAATATGACTCAGCGGGAGGCATAATCATGATAATAATATACAAGGCTTAAAATAGGAAATCAGTATTATGGAACTCCACATTCCTCAATATTGTTCCTAATTCTTAGGTATTTCAGAATGAGAGCTCTCTGACATTAGCCTTCATGGGGAGACACCATAGCACAGAAGTTAAGTCTAGGTCTAAAGCCTGTCTCTACCATTTATTGACTGTGGGACTTGAATTATTTTTTAACCTCTGTGAAGAGTAATTTCCTCATCTGTCAATGATGAGGATAACACTATCACCACCATCATTTAGCAGTCGCAAGGATTAATTGTATTAATGTAAGCAAGGTGTCAAGCATTTAGTAAGTGTTATCTACTATTATTTATTATAGTTCTGTCAGTACTCCCTGGGACCCAATATATTAGATACCCTTTGGTGTCATATTCATGAAGTTTTTAATCTAGATTTAAATATATCTAGTCTGGGAATGCTCTAGGCTGCCATGTAGCCTTCTGCATTTCCTTATCCTCATTTCCACTGTAGTGCCTCCAAAAGCCTGGTAAGAACAATTTAAAGAGACATGAACAGGTCGGGCGCGGTGGCTCATGCCTGTAATCACAGCGCTTTGGGAGGTTGAGGTGGGAGAAACACTTGAGCCCAGGAGTTTGAGAACAGCCTGGGTAGCATAGTGAGATCCTGTTTCTACACAAAATCAAAAATTAGCTGGGTGTGGCGGCGCACTCCTGTAAGTCCCAGCTACTCCAGATGTTGAGTTGGGAAGACTGCTTGAGCCCAGGAGGTGGAG